>NC_000004.12:103921381-104546381 GCF_000001405.40 Homo sapiens | reverse complement strand
ACATACTGAGAATCACACCCATTCTTGCTACAGTCCACAGGGGCTCCTTTTCTGTCTTTTGGGCTCATAATTATATAAATTATGTAAAAAAATCCAAAATAATGGGAATAACAAACTGTTTGGAAACAAAATACCTGGTTGCAAATCTTACTCCAAGACTTAGTAGTTGGACAAAGTTGGGAAAGTAACTGAATTGCTTTGGGGATCATTTCTCTTATCCATAAAATAGGGAAGCAATAGCCAAACTTCCCTCTCATAGTTGTGATGAGAATCAAATTAAATGATGTTCTTGCAGGTTCCTGTAAATCATTAAGTTATATATAAACATATTATAACTAGGAAACATAAAAATGAACAAATAAATAATTCTTGGGTCAGAGTTGAATTATGTATGTATCTTCATATTTGTCAAGTTCTCTGTAAGTATAAATTGCTACATAAATCTGAAGAATGCTTGTCAGCATCTATATATTTAATAATACTGTTATTTGGTAGTCAGCCAGTTCTGCATTAAGAACATCCTGGTTTTATGACTTTAGAAAAAGATGTCAATGCTGATGACTCTTCACTGTTGGCTCTTGATGAAGTTACTCTACCAGGGTTAATTTTGGATAATCAATCCAGACATAGCCTAGTAAATATTGTTAAGTTCATAGGTGAATAAAAGTTTTTATAAGCAAACAGATGGGAAGAAAAAATATTCCTGTATAAATAAAAACATGGTGACTAGATATTTCTGCTTCACAATGCTAAATTTCAGAACATAATCTGAAATATCAAGTTTTCATAGGGCAAAAATATGACTTAAGAATTCCGTGCCAAGCCAAGAGTTAACTATTTGTGAGAAGAAAAACAGAAATACATTCTCTGGTGTGTGTTTGGAAAAAACACTCTCTTACCTTTATTGAAAAGAGAAGGAAGTTACATTGGTTATGACAATAAATGTGAATTAAACTCTACTGTTAAAAAAGTAAAATTTTTATTTTGAGTTAAAAATAAATACATATGGAAGCAAGTTAAATGTCAGTAAGGAAGGCAGAATGCTTAAACCATCACAAATTTATAAAATGTTATTCAGCTATAAAAATCACATTTTCAAGAAATATTTAATAATGTTGGAAATTTTATAAAATAATATTTAGTGAAAAAAGTAGAAAACAAAACTAAATATGAGTATCATTTCCTTTCTGTTAAGCACTGTTAGGCATAAAAAGGCAGAGAAAATAATCAGTATGTGACAGTAGTAATTGATAGGTGGCATGATTATACATAATTTTAAGTTTTGTGTTGATTTCAAGATAATATTTAATTTCTAATATTCTATAATGGCCATATTTTACTTTTATAATCAGAAAAATGAATGAAAGAAAGGGACATAAAAGAGCCATTGACAAATCCTGAGACAAATAAGTAAATACGAAGAGAAGTCCTGCAAGAGACTGAGGAAAACAAAAAAAAACAAAAAAACGCAGTGCTGTAGAAGGAATTACCAAGAAAGGAGACATTTTGAAGAGGAAGAAAACAGCCAACCATCTAAAATACTACTGAAATCGAACAAGATGGGGATGAATAGAACCCATTAGAAAAGTCTAATTGAAAGGCTCATGGGTGGACTTTTCAACAGCAGTTCCAGGCCTTGGCCAGAGTTACTTATTTGTCAGAACTTTGGCTGCTGCAACTTATAGAGTGAATGGAGGAAGAAATCATAGTAGATTATTTTGAGGAACTTAACTTTGAAAAGAAGAAAAATTAGGGTTTGTCTAGAAGGTAATATAAAAAAAAAGGTTTTTGTTGTTGTTGTCCTTTGTTTGTTTGTTTTAAGGTATGAAAAATTAGGCAAGAATTGAATGTTACTATAGTGGTAAAAAGCAAAGGATTTGGAGTCAGATGAATCAGCATTTAATTATACGGTAGTGCCATTCTATCCAAGATTACAAACTTTTGTTAATCTGTTAATCTAAAATATAGATTTAAAGGGAATCATAAAATATAACATATTTTTAAAGGTTATTTTAACTGAAAGAATATAAAGGCACATTTCTTCATCAAATTCTCATAGGCAAGGCCTTTTACTTAGTTACTTGCTCTCCTTTTTGAATAAATTACAATCACAATACATCAGTTACAATTTTCAATAGTGAATTCTGTAAAAGTGGAGTTAAAATTTAAAGCCCTTAGAAGAAAAAAACATTTCTTAAATTTTTAGATTTTTTTCTGCACCTAATTCAACTTCGATTTATGATTTAACTTTATCAAGACATTTCCGAGCATTCAGTTTAATTTTCCTAGAAACAAATTTGTTTTCTTTTTTCTTTCATGCATACTTAATAATTTATAGAATATTTATTTAAATTTAAAATGACAACAAGTGAAGTGAATGAAACAACTTTGAGGGCAAATCCAACTGCTTCTTGGTAAACCTATAATTTAACCAGTGAGCACAGGCTATAGACTGAAGACTACAGAAGGGTGACTAGCCAGCTGACAATACTGGGTGACAGCATTATTTAATGTGTTTTAGAGGAATGGAATCTTGATTACCAGTGGGTTGAGTAAGTGGAGGTGGGTTGACATTCTACTGTGAAAGTCATATTTTTACTGAAGTGAACAAACAATTGATCAAATTCCTAATTCTAAAAAGAAACTATACATTGCAATGTATATGACAAAGAAGAAATATTTCTTATCAAAGATCCAACAGTTAAAAGAACATCATTATAACAGACTGTAAATTATATACCTTAGTGATATACAGTGTCAGACATTTCAAAGTGTCAAGTGATTTTAAAAAACTGGAACCACATTAACCAGATATTGAAATATTATTTATAAAAATATGTAAATTTATATAAATAAATATCTATTTAACAACAAA
The DNA here is from genome assembly GCF_000001405.40 of Homo sapiens. Taxonomy (NCBI): domain Eukaryota; kingdom Metazoa; phylum Chordata; class Mammalia; order Primates; family Hominidae; genus Homo; species Homo sapiens. Next base: position 104,543,506 of record NC_000004.12, on the reverse strand, counting down.
TGGAATTTTGAATCCTTTCTTTGGCTGGAGGTTGAAGAGGTATAATTTCAGCAGTAATCTTTAAAGAGAACAATTGAGTGCATATATGTTTAGGATAGTTAGCTCTTCATGTTGCGTTGATCCCTTTACCATTATGTAATGCCCTTCTTGGTCTTTTTTTATCTTAGTTGGTTTAAAGTCTGTTTTATCAGAGACTAGGATTGCAACCCCTGCTTTTTTTTGCTTTCCATTTTCTTGGTAAATATTCCTCCATCCCTTTATTTTGAGCCTATGTGTGTCTTTGCAAGTGAGATGGGTCTCCAGAATACAGCACACCGATGGGTCTTGACTCCTTATCCAATTTGCCAGTCTGTGTCTTTTTAATAGGGTATTTAGCCCATTTACATTTAAGATTAATATAATTATGTGTGAATTGGATCCTGTCCTTATGATGCTAGCTGGTTATTTTGCCCATTAGTTGGTGCAGTTTCTTCATAGTGTCAATGGTCTTTACAATTCGGTATGTTTTGGCAGTGGCTAGTACCGGTTTTTCCTTTCCATATTTAGTGCTTACTTCAGGAGCTCTTGTAAGGCAGGCCTGGTGGTGATAAAATCTCTCAGCATTTGCTTGTCTCTAAAGGATTTTATTTCTCCTTCCACACTTATGAAGCTTAGTTTGGCTGGATATGAAATTCTGGGTTGAAAATTCTTTTCTTTAAGAATGTTGAATATTGGCCCCAATTCTCTTCTGGCTTGTAGGGTTTCTTCAGAGAGATCCACTGTTAGTCTGATGGGCTTCCCTTTGTGGGCAACCTGACCTTTCTCTCTGGCTGCACTTAACATTTTTTCCTTTAGTTCAACCTTGGTGAATCTGATGGTTATGTGTTTTGGGGTTGCTCTTCTCGAGAAGTATCTTTGTGGCGTTTTCTCTGTATTTCCTGAAGTTGAATGTTGGCCTGTCTTGCTAGATTAGGGAAGTTCTCCTGGATAATATCCTGAAGAGTGTTTTCCATCTTGGTTCCATTCTCCCCATCACATCATTTATGTTCTCTCAACTGGTTCCTCTAGTTAGCAGATCCTGTAACCTTTTATCAAGGTTCTTAGCTTCCTTGCATTGGGTTAGAACATGCTCCTTTAGCTAGGAGGAATTTGTTATTACCCACTTTCTGAAGCCTACTTTTGTCAATTAATCAAACTCATTCGTTGTCCTGTTTTGTTCCCTTGCTGGAGAGGAGTGGTGATCCTTGGAGGAGAAGAGGCATTCTGGTGTTTGGAATTTTCAGCCTTTTGCATTGGCAAACTGAATCCAGCAGCAAATCAAAAAGCTTATCCACCACGATAAAGATGGCTTCATACCCGGGATGCAAGGCTAGTACAACATATGCAAATTAATAAACGTAGTCCATCACATGAACAGTACCAATGAAAAAAACCACATGATTATCTCAATAGTTGCAGAAAAGGCCTTTGATAAAATTCAACACCCCTTTCTGCTAAAAAGAAAACTCAATAAACTATGTATTGATGGAACATAGCTTAAAATAATAAGAGCTATTTATGACAAGCCCACAGCCAATATCATACTGAATGGACAAAAGCTGGAAGCATTCCCTTTGAAAACTGGCACAAGACAAGTATGCCCTCTGTCATCACTCCTATTCAACATAGTATTGGAAATTCTGACCAGGGAAATCAGGAAAGAGAAAGAAATAAAGTGCATTCAAATAGGAAGAGAGGAAGTCAAATTGTCTCTGTTTGCAGATGACATGATTCTATATTTAGAAAACCCCACTATCTCAGCCCCAAAACTCCTTAAGCTGATAGGCAACTTCAGCAAATTCTCAGGATACAAAATCAATGTCAAAAATCACAAGCATTCCTATACACCAGTAACAGACAGAGAGCCAAATCATGAGTGAAGTCCCATTCACAATTGCTAGAATAAAATACCTAGGAATACAACTTATGAGGGATGTGAAGGACCTCTTCAAGGAGAACTACAAACCATCACTCAAGGAAATGAAAGAGGACACAAACAAATGGAAAAACATCCCATGCTCATGGATGGGAAGAGTCAATATCGTGAAAATGGCCATACTGCCCAAAGTAATTTATAGATTCAATGGTATCCCCATCAAGCTACCATTGACTTTCTTCACAGAATTAGGAAAAAACTATTTTAAATTTCATATGAACCAAAAAAAGAGCCCGTATAGGCAAGACAAGCCTAAGCAAAAAGAACAAAGCTGGAGGCATCACACTACCTGACTTTAAACTATACTACAAAGCTACCATAACCAAATCAGCATGGTACTGGTACCAAAACAGATATATAGATCAATGGGACAAAACAGAGGCCTCAGAAATAACACCACACATCTACAACCATCTGATCTTTGCAAACCTGACAAAAACAAGCAATGGGGAAAGGATTCCCTATTTAATAAATGGTGTTGGGAAAGCTGGCTAGCTATATGCAGAAAACTGAAACTGTACCCTTTCCTTACACCTCATACAAAAATTAACTCAAGATGAATAAAGACTTAAACTTAAGACCTAAAACCATAAATACTCTAGAAGAAAATTTAGGCAACACCATTCAGGACATAGGCATCGGCAAAGACTTCCTGACTAAAACACCAAAAGCAATGGCCACAAAAGCCAAAATTGATAAATGGGATCTAATTAAACTAAAGAGCTTCTGCACAGCAAAAGAAACTATCATTAGAATGATCAGGCAACCTACAGAATGGGAGAAAATTTTTGCAATCTTCCCATCTGACAAAGGGCTAATATCCAGAATCTACAAAGAACTTAAACAAATTTACAAAAAAAAAAAAAAAAAACATGAAAAAGTGGGCAAAGGATATAAACAGATACTTCTCAAAAGAAGACATTTATGTGGCCAACATACATAGGAAAAAAAGCCCATCATCACTGGTCATTAGAGAAATGCAAATCAAAACCACAATGAGATATCATCTCACACCAGTTAGAATGGCAATCATTAAAAAGTCAGGAAACAGATGCTGGAGAGGATGTGGAGAAATAGGAATGCTTTTACACTGTTGGTGGGAGTGTAAATTAGTTCAACCATTGTGGAAGACAGTGTGGCAATTCCTAAAGGATCTAGAACCAGTAATACCATTTGACCCAGCAATCCCATTACTGGGCATATACCCAAAGGATTATAACTCATTCTACTATAATGACAGGTGCTCATGTATGTTTATTGCAGCACTATTCACAATAGTAAAAACTTGGAACCAGCTGAAATGCCCATCAATGATAGACTGGCTAAAGAAAATGTAGCACATACACACCATGGAATACTATGCAGCCATAAAAAGGGATGAGTTTATGTCATTTGCAGGGACATGGATCAAGCTGGAAACCATCATTCTCAGCAAACTAACACAGGAATAGAAAACCAAACACTGCATATTCTCACTCATAAGTGGGAGTTTAACAGTGAGAACACAGAGACACAGGGAGGGGAACATCACATACCGGGGCCTGTTGGAGGGTTGGGGGATAGGGGAAGGATAGCATTAGAAGAAATATCTAATGTAGATGATAGGTTGATGGGTGAGGCAAACCACCATGGCACGTGTATACCTATGTAATAAACCTGCATGTTCTGCACATGTATCCCAAAACTTAAAGTGTAATTAAAAAAAAAAAAAAGAGAACGATTGAGAATCAGTGCCCTTGGTGATTTTTATTTCTGAGAATTTGGTATAGAAATTTAGTTTTTTGCTACTTTCAATCTCACTATAAATTTCCATGAAAATGAAATGGGCAGTAGAGATCAAGTTATATAACTTTCTACTGTGATTGAAATCAAGATCAGTTTTTTTTTAATCAGCCCATTAGTGTGCTTTCTTGCTATAAGTGTTTAGTCAAATAAGGTAGAATGTATGTTCCATGATTCCTGTACACACCTTACTGGACTAACTACCGAGCCATGCACAAGAAACAAATCTCTTAGTCAAGACAAAGAGGTCAGTTACCAGAAGCATTTTCCAAAACAAGTGCTAGGCCAGAGGGAAAATTAAGCCATCATATGGGGGATGAAGAGAAACAGTAAAGAGCCAGAGAAACTGAACGGTTGGTTTGCCAAACTGGGAAATCTAGAGCAGGCAGCAGATTGCTGAGACAAAAAGAGATCAGGCTGAGACAGATGGAGTTATGGGAGCTCAAGGGCCAGGTTCCAGTCTCATGAACATTTAGCATCATTACTACTTTTCTGTTTTCTGTGGTTTGTGCTTCCTTTATTGGGGATTATTCCACTGAGCCTGGGGGTGGAGTTTGTGATCATTGCTGCTTGCCGGCAAATTTCCCTTTCTCCTTCCTAAAGAGTCTCATTTCATCACAGAATATCATCTTCTTTCTCTCATTTTTCTGTCATCTGCTGTTCTCCAAGACATTCTTTCTCATATTTCAACAAGTTTATCTCCTAGTTCGTTGTTATTCTATCCGATAATACTGCCTTCTTATCTTGGACCATTTCAATATTCATGTAGACAGTGGGGTTAGAACTAGGAAGAGGCAAGTATGAAGTTTAAGGAGGTATTCACTCTCAGAAGCATGCCAGTGTCTTGTCATTACGAAAAACTGCAACCCCATGATAACCTCAATGTCCCAACTTTTCAGCTAAATTCTTCTAGTACTCCTACTCCAATAATTCTTCACTTACACCAATGGATTATTCCTATACACTTAATTGTCCCTTACCCCTTTGATACTTTCACACTCTTTGTTACCATCTTTAATTCCATGGTCCATCATCATAATCATTCCCTTGTATATACACCCTCTACTCCCTCGCTTCTCTCTGGCTTACTGATGCTCACTTGGAAAATACACAAACCTGAGTAAATTCAACTCTCTGCCCACTTCATACTTAAAGCTTTGCAGCTGAATGGAGCTGGAGAAAAATATACAATCATGCTGAATAATTAATGATCACTAAGTTCAAGTGGGAACTCCAGGCTGCCAGGAAATCATACTGTATTTTCCTAGTACCTCTATTCTGCCACCCTCCTACATGACAATTTATACCTTCTCCTCTCCCATCTAGTAGTAGTTGATTTTGCTTCCTACTTCATTGAGAATATACACACACACACACACACACACACACACACACACACACACACATATATAAAAAGAAACGTGTGTGTGGGTGGAGGGGTGGTGCAGTGTGTGTGTTTACATCTATCTACCTAACAGCATCTCTGTCTCCCTCTAGCTAGAATTTAAGTTCTTAAGGCCACTTTTTCTGCTTTGTTCACTGACTTCCTAACAGCTTAATGTAGAGTATAACACTAAATAATTATTTATAAAATGAATGAATAAATGGGGTATATAAAAAGTACTTTAGAAATTATATTTCATACCATAATAAGTTTTAGCTTTAAATAGTTAAACTTTTTTTTTCTTAATCAAAGTTTTGAAAAACCATAAGAAAATAGAAATGCATATGTTTTGACTCTGGGTCTAGGCAATAATTTTCTAAACTCAAAATTATTGAATTTATAGGCAATGAAGGGAAAATCACAAAGACAACAGGTAGATTAGATCACATAAAAATTTAAAACTTAGAAGGCCTAAATATTACAAATGCAATTTTAAAACAAGCACATGTGCATTATTCTGATGATGGATACACTAAAAGCCTTAACTTCATCCCTATACTCTACATCCATATAATAAAATTACACTTGTACCCCATAAATTTATACAAATAATAAAGCAAAAAATGACAGAGTAAATGTTACTTGGCACAAGGAGAGCTGCAAGGAATTAATGTTGGTACCATGAAATTATAAAGTGACTGAACAGATAAGACATGAAGATCATAAAAAGCTTATAAATTTAGAGAAGATGCTAATTTCTATTAATTTAAGAAATACAAATTGACACATTAAGATCTTTCAAATTAACAATGAAATAATAATAAATTTAAAAGTTAATGTTAAATTGTATTAAACTCAATAATTAGATGTTAAAATAAACTAATAAATATAATAACATTGAATTTTAAATTTAACATAACAATTTTAAAACTAGGGCTGTATAAGCTGGAAACTCGTATTTTCCCCAAAGCAATTTAAAAATATGTACTAAATTTTAAAAGAAAGCTTCTAGCTTTTTGGTCCAGTAATTTAAGTTCTGGTAGTCATATGGATTTTTTTAAAGTGGTAGTTGTAAATACATAGAATTGTTTATGTATATAATTTTATAATAGTAATTTTCCTAAGTGCAAAAATTGGTACGGGGGAAACCTAATTTTACAAAAATAGAGGAAATAAAACAGACAAATTTTCTGTATCCATGGCATGGAGAATCATGCATGCATTAGAAATGCTATTTTTAAAAAGAGGCTTTAGTGGGAAAACTTTAAAAACTAAAAAATAAATTTAGTAAAGTTGCAGAATACAAAATAAACATCCAAAAATAAGTAGGATTTATAAATGACAATAGCAAACTTCCTGAAAAAACAAATCAGAAACGCAGTTGCATTTATAATAGCTACCAAAAAAAAAAAATAGATGTAATCCCAGTGCTTTGGGAGGCCAAGGTGGGTGGATCACCTGAGGTCAGGAGTTCAAGACCAGATTGACCAACATGGCGAAACCCATCTCTACTAAAAATACAAAAATTAGCCCGGTGTGGTGGTGGGCACCTGTAGTCCCAGCTACTCGGGAGGCTGAGGCAGGAGAATCGCTTGAACCCGGGAGGTGGAGGTTGCAGTGAGCTGAGATCACGCCACTGCACTCTACCCTGAGTGACAGAGCAAGACTCCGTCTCAAAAAAAAAAAAAAAAAAGAAAAAAGAAAAAAGAAAAAAAAAAGATACCTAGGAATATACTTAAATAAGGAGGTGAAAGATCTTTACAGTGAAAAGTCCAAAAAAAATTGATGAATGAAATTGACAAGTATACAAAGAAATGAAAATGTATCCCATGTTCATGGACTAGAATAATTAATATTGTTAAAATGTCCATATAACCCAAAGCAATCTGTTGATTCAACATAATTTTTATCAAACAGCACTTGAAATTCTTCACAGAAATAGATGAAACAATCTTAAATTTTGTATAGAAATATAAAAGTTCCCAGACAGTCAAAGCAATCTTGAACAAAAGAAAAAAGCTGGAGGCATCACACTATCTGACTTTAAAATATGATACAAAGCTATAATAACCAAAACAGCATGATACTGGCATAAAAACAGACACACAGGCCAGTGGAACAGAATAGAGAACCAATAAATAAATCCAAGCATTTATAGCCTACTGTTTTTTGACAAAGGCACCACTAACACATATTGGGGAAAGGAATATTGATGCTAGGAAAGCTTTATTTCCACATGCAGAAAAATAAAACTAGACTAATCTCTCACCATATTAAAAAATCAACTCTAAATGGATTAAGAAATTCAATGTAAGACCTGAAACTATAAAACTATTAGAAGAAAACATTAGGGAAATGCTTCACGAAAATGTACTGGGCAATAATTTTTTGGATAAGACCTTAAAAGCACAAACAATAAAAGCAAAAATAGACACATGTAACTATAGCAAACTAGAAAGCTTCTGCTCAGCAAACAATTAATAGAGTGAAAAGACAACCTACATAATGGAAGAAAGTATTCCATAAGCCAGTTTTAAAATGGGCAAAAAATAACAAATAAGCCAATTTTAAAATGAGCAAAAGATTTGAATAGACATTTCTCAAAAATAGACATACAAGTGATCAATAAATATATGAAAAATGCCAATATCACTAAGTATCAGGGAAATAGAAATTTAAAAACCACAATGAGATATCACTTCACCCCAGTTAGAATGGCTATTGTCAGAAAGACAAAAAAATTACAAATGTTGGCAAGAATGTGAAGAAAGGAGAGCTCATATAAACTGTTTGTGGAAATGTAAATTGGTAGAGCCATTATGAACAACAGTATGGATGTTCCTTAAAAAATTAAAAATAGAACTACTATATGATCCAACAATCCCACTACTGGGAATATATCCAAAGAAAATGAAATCAATTATGTCTAAGAGATATATGCAGCCCATGTTCATTGCAGCACTATTCACAATAGCCAAGACATAGTATCAACCTAAGTGTCCATCAGCAGATGAATGAATTTTAAAATGTGGTATATATACCCAATAGAATACTATTTAACCATTAAAAGAATGGAATCCTGTTATTTGTGACAATCTGGATGGATGTAGAGGACACTATATTAAGTGAAATAAGCCAAGCACAGGACCAATACTGCATTATCTCACTCGTGTGGAATCTAAAAAAGTTTATCTCATTGAAGTAGAGAGTAGAATAGTAGTTACCAGAGGCTGGAGAGTGTAGAAGAGATGGAGGGATTGGGAGAGGTTAGTCAGCAGGTACAAAGCTACAGTTAGGATGAATAAGTTATTGTGTTCTATTAGGCAGTAGTTTAACTATAGCTAATAATAATGTACTGTATATTAATAGCTAGAAGACAGAATTGTAAATATTCTTTTTATGCTGCATGTGAATATCTAGTTTTCCAATAGCATTTATTGAAGGAACTGTCCTTTCCCCATTGTGTGTTCTTGGCCCCTTTTTCAAAAATCAATTGACCATAGATGTGTTTATTTATGGGCTTTCTATCCTATTGCTCTTGTCGATGTGACTGCTTTTAAGCCACTGCCATGTTGTTTAGATTACTATAAATTTGTAACATATTTTGAAATCTGGTAGTGTGATTCCTCCAGCTTTGTTTACTTTTTTGGTCAAGATGGCTTCGGCTTCACCAAGAGCAGAATATCTGATATATTAATAAAAATAATAATATGCTTGTTTGTTATCAAACTTCTGATGACATACTAAATTGCTACTTTTTTTTTGAGACAGAGTCTCATTCTGTCACCCAGGCTGGACTGCAGTGGTGTGATCTCATCTCACTGCAGCCTCTGCCTCCCAGGCTCAAGTGATTCTCTTTCTTCAGCCTCCTGAGTATCTGGGATTACAGGCATGTACCACCATGCCCATTATAGCTACTACTTTAACAATTCTGTTTGTACTTATGCCATAATTACACATATTTTTATTCCTGCTTTCAATGTGGAAAAAAACATACAATCTTCATAACACCAAAAAATTCACCAGTGCATTTTTAATAACATAAGAAACTACAGTTTTTATCATCCAATTATATACTTTAATAGTTAACATGTATTATTTTATTCAATCGTGCTTGCCATCATTTATCTTTCCAAACAATCTATTTTAAATTGCCAGAGACTCTCTACAAAAATTCCATGTTTGGACTCTTAAATATTCCATGATATAGGAATAGGACAGAAGCAGAAATCTGGGACATGCAACATAATATTCAGATAAGCCATGGACAAAAGAGCTCAATTCATGAAACAGAAGGAGACTAAAGAGTAGGCAGAAAGAAGAGGCTGCAAGGATCCTTTTCAAGCAATTTCCCCATACCACTTAATATAAGAGGGAAGCGAGAAAGCGAGATCAGTGGATGAAGAAAAAGTAATTATTAGAAGCTAGGTTCTACATATCATTCTTCTCACCCTAGCACATTTTTGATGTTCCACACTATATAGAACTTTTTTTTAAAAGGCACCACATACGGATTTTTAAAGGTGCAACTCTGCTTCTAAGACTTACTTCTCTCTCCCTTGGTCATTAGAAAGCAGTGCTGGAGGTAAACACTGAGTCAGAGATGGTGCCTAGCACTGCAGCCAGGTCTCACGCCCATATGTTAGATAAGTGCACCCCCTATTTCACTAGGCTCTAGAGGAATCTGTCCCAGCATTAGCTGCCATAAATCATACTTCTGGCGTTTATGAAACTTTGTCAAATTCTTTTTGGAAAGGATGAAAAACATTTTTCATTCAGGACACTCTATCCATGGAAATGTTTGGTGCTCATAGGTGTTGGGCAAAGAGTTCCCTATGGAGTCAGGATCCTTCCTGGTCCTGCTTAGAGCACTGAGCAAGTCTTTTCAGATGCTAGGAGTTGTAGGTGAAAGCCACAGAATTAATAATTTTCTGTCACCAGAGTTTTTAATATGGCTGAGTAAGCTAGAGGAGACACAAGAAAATTTCTCACTAAGAAAAGGTCTCCAGGGGTTCAACTCCTATTAATCACGGCTTTCATAGTCTTTAGTGTGATCTGAGGGTTGATCTGAACCATGTTCCTCTAGGTAATTATTTATAGAATTGCAGATGTGGGTAGGGTGAATTACATGGAATGAAAAATCATAGAAACAATAGAAAGGAATATTTTGAGTAGAGGTATAGACTGTGTTGATAAAATAAAACCATGGTAGTTGGCAAAGTAGCCTAACCATACTGCCAGTATAAAATACAACACCATAAGAACTGTTCTTGCATGCTATTTATATAGTGAAGCTGGCCTTTATATGGAGATTGCTATTCAGACAGCAGAAATACTTTGACATGAGGGTTGTTGAAAAATAGAAATCACCAGAGGCCCAAGGTCCAGGATGCTTGGTCTCTGTCAGCTGATGTAGAGGGAAAGTAATTTTTTAAAGTGATATATTTCTTTGGTATGCGGTATTCCTTGAAACAGCTCTCGCCTGCTCCCCTGCATTCAGGCTACATTCCATTCCCTTGCCCTCCTTTGCCCTGTGCTGGCTCCTGTCTTTTGAAAGGTCCAACTCAAGCCTCACCTCCACCTCTTCCTCTTTATCTTAGCCATCCAACCATCAACTTTTTTTTTATTCTTACTAAACCTCTGTCTTGTCTTTCAAATTCACTGCACACCATTGCTTTCTATTTGACAAATTTTGTTCTATAGAATAAATTTCTTTGCCTAAAAGCAAAGACTAAAGTAGCGTCTTAGTGATGGGAAGAAAAGCACTGGTGAAAAAAGAAGTGAAGCTGCACTGTTGCACTGATGCATGATGAGGTAAGAACTATTAATGGAAGCTCTAAAGCAATAGAATTATAGGAAATAAATGTAATGAATAAGAGTGTAAGAAACTCTGAACTAGTTCAAAAGTGTGTGTGTGTGTGTGTGTGTGTGTAGGGAGGGAGAGAGAGAAAAAAAAACTACTGATTTGGAAATTTAAGCACCAAAATTTGTTTTACAAATGCAAATTCGCCACTTAGTTTTATAATGTGCAAATGACCTAAAGTATCCAAAATATAAGTTACCCTGCCAGGATTCTTCCACATTAAATTTTTTTCAAAAGGCACCTTTAAACATTTGTTTCCACATCATTCATTTAAGTTTTTCACTAATGTGCTAAATTATGCAGTACTCCAATTAAAGTCAACTTGGAAAAATCTGAGTGCTTTGTTAAATTAGTACCAGCAGTATTCTTCCAGATAGTTTTCCCTGTGTTCATTTGCCAGAAAGGATTTACAATTTTTTTTCTCAGTTCAGACTCAGATTAATCTAAGAAACATAGTTTTATCAAAGTAATTTGCTTTGGACTCAGAAGTTATTCTTCCCTGCTATAATTTTTGCTTATTTTTAATTTGAGTAATAAATGTTTAAAATTTAATAAATTTAGAATAATAATTACCTATAACTTATGAGTAATAAAATAAAAGCATGCAGTATGCTACAACAATTAGGTCTGGTGCTGAAGTTATCTTGTCCCAGTATTTCCTAGAGCATGAAAGATAAATGTGCATATTCATGGTCCTCAACAAAGTAACAGGATGAAACATCACTCACTTCCAAAACAGATAGGATAAATAGAGTGGCAGCTTTAAAGTCCAGAATGCTCAAAAACTCATTGCCAACACCTTATGACCCCACGTTCAGTACAGCATATAAAGACCCTGAGCTTCAGGCCATGCTGAGCAGTAGAAGAGATTTGCTGGAAAAACAGCTTTCTGAAACATGTCTGAAAAGTTAAGCACAAAATCCCTGCTCCACTAGAGAGCACTAATGACCAAACTCTTCCTGCTGAAACTTTGGCAGGGACAATTTCACTTTTTATAAATCTCCTCAATACATTTTCACCACTTCAATTAACTTCCCTAAAGATCTAATAATATATATGGTGATGAATACAGAATCTTTAATAGAGAATGGCTTCAGTGTTTTGTGTCATGACAGTATTTAACAACAACAACAAAAAAAATAGAGGTAGATTGCAAACTCATTAGTATGACCTGTCTTTTTATTTTAAACTTCAACATAGCACAAAATATTTCAAAGTTACAAACAATGTCAGTACCAAGAGGGAAAGTGATAAATATGACTGTGTGGAATGTGACATCATTTCACTGCTCAAATTCTGGCACAATGTCATCTAGAATTATGCTATGCTCTGTCCTTTACCAAATGGCAATTGTGTGTTCCCTGAGGCTTGTAGTCAATCCTAAAGGGCTGTCCTAGTTTTTAGATGCGAAAGGAATCCAGAAAGCAACACCCAGATTGTTATGTCATTATTATCGAAGAACCATGAAACCATTGGGTAGAGGTGATGCTGGTGAGCATTAAATATATAACATTTCAGCAACACAAAACTAAAATACAATAGAAATTAAAAAGTTTATTTTCTAACTAAAATGAAATATTTTTGAAGAATATATCTTAATTTTGCCATGGAAACCTTGAGAAATAGTGTTCTTTTGATAAATCTTATATATAAATTTATTTGGTTGCCAGCTTCTTCTGAGTCAAAATCCACAGATAACAGTTAGGAACTAAAAGTCCTTTGTAGATTAAATGAGTATTGGATAAAAAACTTCTCAGACTTGGTTGTAAATATACTGACTCAGGATCTCTTTGTTGTGGTCTCTTTCCCCCTCCTCCATATCTCACACATATTTCATAGTTGGCTCCACACTTCCTTCTCAAATCTGTTCTCTCTCCCATATTTCCATTTTCATTGAGATACATCAATCCATTCAATCCATTCAGCTAGAAAACTGTGTGTCATCACTCTCCTCCCAGCCAACTGGCCAAGTCCTAGTGATTCTGTTTCTTAAACCTCCTTCGATTATTTCCTCTTGTTTCCGGGCTCTCTATGACAGCTTTAGGTAGGCCCTCATTTATCTCATTTGGATTTATAAATTATTAGTTATCTCTCTGCTTCTAGTCTCTTCCTTTCGAATGCACCCTCCCCATTAACACAAGTGCTTTTGCTTTCTCACCCCTACTTCAATACTTATATGCCTCTTTATTGCCGGCAAGAGTACTTCATATACTTTTTAATGTTACAAAACAGTGTAATAAGTGCTGTAGTTGACATATGCGAGATATGTCTGTGTTTCAAAGGATGGCAAGATCAACACTAATCAATTTTAATGCAAAACCTCCTCCATCTGCCCCACTGCTTATAGGAGGGATCACACCCTCAGACAGGAGATCTTTTACAAAGTGGTATATGTTTAATGAAATTGAGACTAGAACACAAACTTTGGAGAGAGTAATACATTCAAATTTCTAACCCACCAGGTACGAGATGTGTATCTGGACAAGTCATTATATCTTTCCAAGTCCAGTTTTTTACCTCTAAAATGGGGATAATTATGCCTACAATACAGAGTTTATGTGATGGTTCATTAAGACAATTGTTTTTATGTCTCTAACACAGTGGTTAGTGCATAGTAGGTATTCATAAATATTTGTACTTGTTCCTGTAAAGATATGTAGGAAAACAAGAACATACCTTACTGCGAAAAGTCCCTTCAAGCAGGGAAAAACACAGAAAATAGCTTGTCCAAGTATAACTGTATGGCGTATTTGAGGAACTCTAAGTGATTAAGCAGTTTGAAGGGGAGAACAAACAGGATATAAAAATTGAGGGAAAAAAAATGGTTTGTTCATAGAGGATCTTATGTTTTACCTTATATCCCTTCCTCTATACTAATCTATTTAAGCCTTTTCAACTTTCTGGTCACTTTCATTCCCTCTGTAACTAAGTTTATGAACTTAGGAGACCATATTCACTGTTTCTATTTTTCTCAACCAACTTCAGTCTAGTTTCTAGTCCCATCACTCCATTGATGTTATCATCGACATCACTAACAACTTCTTAATAGCCACATCAGGTGGACCCTTGACAGCCCACAATCTTCTTGAACTGTTTGGAGGATTTTGGTATATTACTCGACTTTTGGAAAATCACTTCTTTCTTGATTTCAATTATTTCTTTCATGTTTATGGTTTTATTTTTATCTATCTGGCCCTTTCCTTACCATCTCTTTCAGGAGATCCTAATTCTTTACCATCTCTTAAATCCGTGATTCTGTCCTTGGATCTTTTCTTTCTTTATTTTTATTGTCTCTTTTAGAACTCATCTTCAAAAGTAGCTTTAGGTTTCTACAGAGTCCTTATAATTCTCAAATCTAATATGTGCTATAAGCCCACACCACTCTACTTATAGTTTTAATCTCCCTACTAGACTGATTTCTATAAGGAGCAAAAACCTTGTCTTTCTTGTTCAATCCTTTGAACCGCCTAACTGTGGTAGACTGCATTTCTGTTTTCAATTCTTTGCTCCTTGCTGTATCCATTTACCAAGTGGTTTTATATTCCCTCCTTTAGAGGCAATATGCTTTCCTAACACATTGATGTTGGCCTTGGCCGCATGACTTGCTTTGGCCAATGCAATGTGGGCAGAATGACAGGAATACAGCACCAAACCCAGTCATAAGAGGTTCTATGTGCTCTACCCTCCCCTCTGGTGTTCTTACCCTCCCTCTGTCTAGAGTTTCTACTGGGAAACTGATGCCCATTCATCATTCCATCACTGGAATGATGGAACCAATTTATTCCAGTGATTCTGTAGGTGTGCATAATGAAGCAGAACAGTCCCAGCCAACTTGTGACTGGGATAATAATTAATATTTCAAGCTGCTGAATTTCTTGTTTATTTTTGATGCAGTATCTTTGTAATATAGCTAAGATATTAGTTAATACCAATGTGCAGTACATTTTGATAAACATTTGTTGATGAATGAAAATGGAGCCTTTGGGTTAAATGTAATCTTAGTCAAAACATAATTATAAACCAAACAAAAATGTAGCAGCTCTTGTGAAATGGGCATGGTGAGAATTGGCGGCCATGGAGTGGGTACTGCTTGGATCTCCTTCTAGAAAACCTGTTGGAGAAGCATGGTTGACTGCAGATCCACCATATTTGTACCGAGGCCATCTTTCTACCAGTCTAGTTACAGCCAGTGAGTAAGCACAGCGTGCATACTAGTGCTGTCCCATTCGTGAAAATGCAGTCTCTCTCTTTGGCAACTTTGGCTAAGAGACACTTCATGGGTGAGGTAAGACTTTCTTGCAGTTTTGCAGTTTGGCTCTTCCTATTCAATTCTTCTTTCCTCTCTCTTTTCACAAACCAGCATTGTGGTCTAAATATCTCCACCTGCCTGCTCCTGCTGCCTTCCCTTCATCCTTCATAGCTCCCCAAGAACATCCTTTATGTCTAAACTTGTCTTGAAATTTGATTCTCAGAGGACCAGAACTGACAAGGACCAAGTGCTTAGTCTATTTTGAGCTGCTTTAAAGTGATGTTCCCCCTGAGAGACACCTAATTGCTCATGGGAGCACAGGTTGAAAACCACTGGACTTGTGAGTAATATCCAAAATCCTCATCGCAGCACATGTGATTCTTTATACAATGCTCTTTACTTTATTTTCTGCTTCTTCTCCCTAGAAATGGTAGTCTCCACCAACTTGAAGTGTTACATATATCCATATGATCACTCTTAACAAGCAATGTGATGCTTATCACATAGAAATACTATCCGTCAATGAGATACCATCTCATGCCAGTCAGAATGGCAATTATTAAAAGGTCAAAAAACAAACAAACAAACAAAAACAGATGCTGGCGAGGTTGTGGAGTTAAAGGAACACTTACACTATTGGTCGGAGTGTAAATTAGTTCAACCTTTGTGAAAGACAGTGTGGCAATTCCTCAGTGACCTAGAGGCAGAAATACTATTTGACTTAGCAATCCCATTACTGAGTATATACCCAAAGGAATAGAAATCATTCTGTTATGAAGATACATGCACGCGTATGTTCATTGAAGCACCAGCCATGATAGCAAAGACATGGAATCAACCTAAATGCCCATCAATGATGAACTAGATAAAGAAAATGTGGTACATAAACACCATGGAATACTACGCAGGCATAAAAAGCAAGATCATGTCCGTTGCAGGGACACGGATGGAGTTGGAAGCCATTATACTTAGGAAACTAACACAGGAACAGAAAAACCAAACACGGCATATTCTCACTTAGAAGTGGTTGCTGAATGATGAGAACACATGGAAACATGGGGGAAGAACGCACACTAGGGTTTGTCAGAGACAGGATGGGGGAGAGCATCAGGAAGAATAGCAAATGGATGCTGGGCTTAATACCTAGGGGATGGGATGATCTGTGTGGCAAACTACCATGGCACATGTACCCCTGAACTTAAAATAAAAGTTGAAGAAAAGAGAAAAGGAAATACTATCCCTAACAAAGTGTAGGATATATTCTAAAAATATATCTTAATAAATTTGAAAATAAAGCAGGGATTCTCCAAAAATAATTGATTTAATCCAAACTTTTTTCTCTACTTGCAGATCAAGCTACCAGCAAATGCACCAGCAACCTGACCATTCAAGGCAGTTACCCCACATCTTGCAAAAATAGTATAATATGATTGCTGGCTACACTAACTAACGTATTGTCTTTACAATGATAATCAATAGTTTTAAAAGATGTAATTTCCTGGTAGAACTCTATTTGTTTTGTTTTCTACAAATTTGGTGGTAATGATACAAAAGTAATTTGAATATTACTTTAGAAATTATATATATATATATATATACACACACATATACATAGAGAGTTTTATCTTTTAGGAAAATCATAATTCTGCTCTTGCAGCTTACAGTTAACTTTTCATTTTCCTTTACATACACAATAACAATGACATCCCAAAATATGGCATACAAAATTGTCATTTTTTCTAGATTTCTGTACTATCATAGATTTAACTGGATCCAGTTAAATCTATATAATAGTATAGAAATCTGTACTATTGAACTGGAAAAATTTAGTAATCCTCTTCTCAGTACCATAGTCCATAAATTTATAGAATCCTCCATTTTTTAAGGTTTTACTTTTTTCTATTAAAATGACACATGGCCAGGTGTAGTGGGTCATGCCTGTAATCCCAGTGCTTTAGGAGGTGAAGGCAGCAGAATAGCTTGAAGCCAGGAGTTCAAGATCAGCCTAGGCAACATAGTGAGACTCTGTCTCTAAAAATGTAAAATAAGACAATTAGCCAGGCATGGTAGCACACACCTGTAGTTGTAGCTACTCAGGAGGCTGAGGTGGGAGGATCGCTTGAGCCCAAGAGTTCAAGGCTGTGGTGAGCTATGATTGGGCACTGTACTCCAGCCTAGGGGACAGAGAGAGACCCTGTATCAAGTAAATAAATAAATAAATAAATAAACTTTTTAAAAAATAAGAGACCATAGAAACGAAACAAAATCCTAGGGAAAAAAAACAGTATAAACACATATTTTTTATACTCTGAAGTATACAAAATTACTCTGAATCCCACATTGCCCAAGGAAATAAAGTCATCATGAACACTTCGGTATATTTTATTTAAAATACAGATAGATAGCTGCATATAAATACAGACCCACAAATAGATATTCCAGCATATGTAACTTTAATATAATGGGATATACATATGCGTGTGTGTATAATATACATATACAAAAATGTGTTTAATTTCTAGGTTTTATCTTAAGCATCTTTGGGGAGAGGGGGAATTAGGAACTAAATGTATTGGTGGGGATTTAAATAAAAAATTCTGTGTCGAATATGTGGAGTTTGTGTCTACAAGATTCCCAAGTAAAAATACTGAGGAAGCAGTTTGTATGTACGTGGAGCTCAGGGGAGAAGTCAGTTATATGATGTTGTAATGCTACATTTAAGGTTTTATGTCAGACTTTCAAATGGTAGCGCATTGGCTTCTTCCTGTGCTATCTGAAGTGATTTCAACTCACTAATTTATTCAACAAATATGTATTGCATTATCTGGTAGCTAATATAAAGTGATACATAAAACAGTAAATATGTAGCCAATCAGAAGCTTATAATCTAGTAGGAGAGATGACAAACAAGTAAACAAAGAACACTGTAAACAAATATTCCAGATAGTAATGAAGAAAAAAATGTTGAAAAACAACTGCTTGATTTGAGAGTCGGGGCATTTTAAATGGGTAGTCTGAGAAGATACTTTCTGAGGAAATAACTTAGATCCAAAGTCTAAAGAATGAACCACATGTTTGATGCTATGATGGGGGGCCTGTCAGGCAGAGATGAACTTAAGAGTAAAGGTCTTGAGAAAGCAACAAAGTTGATATTTAGGAAACACAAAGTGTAATTAGCAGGAAAAAGTACTGTAACATAAAGTTAGTATGATAGAAAAGGATGGGTCATATGGAGCCTTGCAGGCCTTAGTGTGGTGGTCAGATCTTATTAGATGTACAACTAGAGGACTTAGGAGAGTTTTAAATGTTATACTTTCTGGCTGTTGGGTTGAGAGTAGAAAAGAGTGGTTCAAGTGACAGTAGAGAGACAAAGTAGAAGACTATAGCTATGCACCTTATGAGACATGATGGTGCTTCTATTTTTTAAATATTTTGAATAAAAAAGCATGTGACTCACTTTGGATTTCCTGTGGGGGTTATGGATGCAAAGATGTCAAAGATGACTCATTCCTAGGTTTTGTCTTGAACAGTCTGATGGCTGATGATATCATTTACTGAGATGGGAAAACTATGGAAGAAACAGGCAGTGAGGGACACCAAAATAAGAAGTTTGGACGGAATCTTTTATTTTTGAGGTTCTATGGAATATAAAAGTAAAGATATGAATTGACAGGTAGATAGATGAATTCAGAGACCTTGGAGTTGTCAGCACTTTGATAAAATTCAAAGCCATGAATGAGACTATGTAAGATCATCTAGAGAAGCAGACCAAAAAGAGAAGAGAAGTCTAGGGCAAAACTCTGAGAAACTGTGATATTTAGATCAAGTTCAAAAAGGAGGAGCCAGAACAGGAGACTGAAATTAATCAGACAGTGAGCAGCCTGGAAACTAGATGAATGGGGTATCCCTGATCTAAAAGAAAGAAATTTTTCAGGATTCATCACTGAGAGGAACGCTGCTGAGAGAGCTAGTAAAATGAGACAGAGAAGTGATTATTAGAATAGTGAACTACATGTGGTCAGTGGAGTTGACAATAGCAATTTCTGTGGAGATGTGGGTTCAGACACTGACTTGCTGCAAGTGGAAGAATAAACAAGCGAGGAGCAAGGAATACAGCCAGAGCAGATCATTTGTGCATGACATCTGGTGGTTAATAAAGGCAAGAAAATTTGGGCAATAGACTTTCTTTGCTTTTTGGATATGTGATACTATAAGTGAGTTTTATTTATTTATTTTTTTTTAGGATATTGGAATAATTCTGGAGAGAAAGATCTTGATTACACAGGAATGAGAAGGGGTATCTTGTAGATGCCCTTGAAAAGATAAGGGTATGTGGGATTCAGAAAACAAGTACAGGGTTTGTCTGGCTCTTGCAATAGCTACAGTTTAACTCGTGTAATAGGAGGATAGAAAACACAGGAACAAATGCAAGTAGATGTATAGATTTGCTGCTGTTTGGGAAGAATTTTTGCCTGATTATTTCTATTTCTCAATAGAGAATGAAGAGACATAATTAAGAATTGGACTGTATGCAGAAGAAAGGGTGGCCAGTTGTGATGAGAAGAAATTAAAGTTACAAAAGAAAGGTTTCAAGATATGGGGAAGTAGAGTATGGGAAAGAAAAATGGTAGGCTTTTCAGGCAGTCTAGTGCATTTATTCATAAGTTTATTCGTGATTTAAAATTTGACCTTAGTAAATCACTTTTTTGTCTTATTTACCTGTTTTTTTTTAATGGTGTGTTTCTTTTGAATTCGTGTAAATTTTTTATATATGAAGATATTACGCTCTGGAATGTTTCTTATAATTTTTTTTTCCATTTGGGAGGTTGCTCTTGTACTTTTGCTCATAATTTTTGGCATAGAAAATATTTCATGCTATTTATGTAGCATAGAGAATGTTTTATTTTATGTAGGTTATTAAAACTACAAGTGTTTTCTATTGTTTTGTTTTCCAGGCTTCCATTGCAACTTCTACAGAAAGTTCAGGAAAATAACGACTTTCAACATTATAGAATTTCAAGTTAGAAGTGATCATTTTCAACTGATGAATCTCATTGAGGAAGATGAGGCATCAAGAGGTAGAAGACTAACTCAGCAGGTGGTACAGCTTAGGTTAGAGAGCAGGTCTGCCCAACTCCTGAGCAAACTAGTTTGTGACATTAATGTTCCCAATCTCATCTCTTTTAATAGTATCTAATATTCCAAAGCTAGGGAACCTCGGATTTTACCTATGCATCATAGAGTACTAGTTACCATATGGAGATGATATAAATGGAAAGATATCTTGCTCTACAGGTAGTCTAGAGGATTAGAGTCTTTGGGCCAGTACATCTCCCCTGGTACTGCTGGACTACAATTTCTATGACATCTGTACTTTGTTACTTTCTGTGTCTCTGCAAAAGTGTCTTCTGGATTCTTTTTAAGTCGAATCTCAAACTGGACCAAAGATATTAGATGTTTGTTTAGGCATGGGATAGATTATGGAGAAATAGGAACACTTTTACACTGTTGGTGGGACTGTAAACTAGTTCAGCCATTGTGGAAGTCAGTGTGGCAATTCCTCAGGGATCTAGAACTAGAAATACCATTTGACCCAGCCATCTCATTACTGGGTATATACCCAAAGGATTATAAATCATGCTGCTATAAAGACACCTGCACATGTATGTTTATTGTGGCACAATTCACAATAGCAAAAACTTGGAACCAACCCAAATGTCCAACAATGATAGACTGGATTAAGAAAATGTGGCGCATATACACCATGGAATACTATGCAGCCATAAAAAATGATGAGTTCATGTCTTTTGTAGGAACATGGATGAAGCTGGAAACCATCATTCTCAGCAAACTATTGCAAGGACAAAAAAACCAAACACTGCATGTTCTCACTCATAGGTGGGAATTGGACAATGAGAACACATGGACACAGGAAGGGGAACATCACACACTGAGGACTGTTGTGGGGTGGGGGTCTGGGGGAGGGATAGCATTAGGAGATATACCTAATGTAAATGAGGAGTTAATGGGTGCAGCACACCAACATGGCACATGTATACATATGTAACAAACCTGTACGTTGTGCACATGTACCCTAAAACTTAAAGTACAATAATAATAGTAAAAAAAAAGAATTCAAACATTACTAAAAATCTAAAGCATAAAAATAAGAGTGGGGTTACATGCTGTAAATCTAATTTTAGTATTTTGAGCTGTATTAAAGAAATTCTGTGTAGTTTGTACTTTTGAATGGAATCTCCTCTATATGATAGGGTTTTCCTTCAGTTGCTAGTGCAAAGAGGGAAAAGGGGGAGGGGAGAATTTTTGAGAAGTTTTTGCATGTAAAAACTAGCATATAGAGGTTAGAATATGATCCTAGAAGCAAAAGAAGCACTTTTATTTATTTAACACAATTTTCAAAATAAGTATTGCCCTTCAAAATCTTCCTTGATGAAAACTATTCAAATACTAAGGACATTTTCTAATTAACTTGTCACTGATCATCTTGTTTCAAATATCTTGAAACTAAATCTTTAAGAGAACTGTTGAATCAAAGATTGTAAGGAAAAATTTTTGTACCCTTAATAAAATATGCACATCAAAAGGAAGATAAGGTCATTCTGCTTGCCTAGATTGTTATATTCTACACAATGCTAATCAGAAAAATTATGTTGCAGCGGTTAGTCCAGTCAGGTATAACTTTCTCCACATGAGGATATAAATGTCTAAACCTCTGTCCCACTATCAAAGAGCACATTAGCACTTTTACAAATAATTAGAAACATTTTCAACTGAATAAAGGGAAGTTTTTAGCAACTTGGGAAATTTTCACTAGTCTTTCTGTTTACACTGTGGTAATGATAATTCATCTCTTAGCCATCAGTATCTTGAGGATGTTCAATAACATTCCTGTGAATTCTCCTCAGAGAAGTTTTTTTAAATAAACAGCATAGCGTAACTGTCTTAGTCCTTGCTGATTTGAATAACAAGTTGTATGTGGCTATCTGTGTGTTTGTATGCACAGATATATCTGTGTAATACTTAAAAACCTTTTGGCCTAGGTGGGGCTTGGTTCTCTGAGTCTGGCTAGTTTGTTTTCTCGGTTGCACGTATTGTGTTGAAAACAAGCATGCTCAGCTGATGAGGCAGTAAAAATGGCAGATTCTTTCTGCTAGGCATTTTTATTTTTATTTTTTTGATTTTTCATTGCAAGGGACCATTTTGACTTTCTAGCCTTGATACTGAATAGATCATTTTGAAAACTGTAGACTTCATTTACATAGAATCAGAGGTGATGGGTGCAGGAGTAACTGCTGCATTATAGACTGAGTTATACTAGGTAACATGTAAAATAGTGTGGTTATGATTAGCCTGGCAGTATAATTATATCCATGTCACTGTGTTTCTTGGAGTATTAATGACATTTTGTGTAAAGCAGTTCTTTATTGGCTGGATTTCCAGGAGTACCCACAAGACACTTATAGTTTTGGTCATTGCCAACAATATGCAAGTAGTGCCACTCAGACATTCTGGTAATCGAAAATGTCCCTTCGTATTTCTAAATACTCCAAAGAGGAATAGGTAACACCCCAGGTTGTGGACTACTAAATAAAAGATTTCATAAAGTTCACACTAATAAAATTTTCCAAGTGAACCCTTGTTTTACTCTTAGATCTGGTTTTACACTTAGATCTTCTAAAGCCCATCCTGAAATGCTACTTTTTAAATACTACCTAAAATCTGGTACAGCTCTGCTCTGTAAGATTTCACAAAGGGCAACATCAAAATGAGGTTTGGTTTTTTTCTCAGTGCTAGTCCCATCTTGGGTTCACTCTCTCCTGCCACATACTTTGGGTAAAAATTTAGAGTGATTTCTCTGAAAGATAATACATTGCCCCTTTTGTGTTTTCTTTTGGAGGCTCTTCCACTCTATTTGCTGCTTTCCAACTCATGGTTTAAGGATCTAATCTCCAACAGGTGAGAGATTCTGGGATGAGTTGAATCACTGTTCACCTAGAGAAGAGATGAAAGATCATAAGCAATGTTTGTATATACCTGGGTTAGTAGAGTTGCTAGAGAGAGTGGAAGAAATATTCCAAAAAGAAAGCTAGGAGATCAAGGGGGTTAAAAAAAAGAATAGTAAAATGTTGCCAAATTAAGAATACATCGCGAAATCAAGGGGAAAATAAAAATTTGAACCACTGGAACTGTATAACAGGTTGCATATTCCCTATAAGGTAAATCAGAATCATCTGAAAACAAAAAGCAGCTTCTGGTTCTTTCCACAGAAAGAAAGAAGACTTGTAGGTACCAGGAGTTGAGGAAACCAGCTTCAGGCCCAGGGAATGGAGATGAGAAATGATATGACTTAACTCCACATGACATTTCTGCAACAGTTATAATTTAGATCTGACCTAGCTCCTTAAAACTGTAATGTTTTTGTTTGTTTTGCTTTTGTTTTTGTTTCTTTCTGTTTTGAAACTGAAAGTCTGGCTTAATTTATCAGGTTCACAAGGTTTTTCTATCTACTTCTGCTTTTTCATGTAGGTGAAGGATTGTATACTCTGTTGACTTGGGAAATTTTATAAGGAGGTAAATGCATCTAATTAGGTATCACAAAGCCCACATAAGATAAGATAAAAGATAAGACAAGGTTGGTGCAAAAGTAATTGCAGTTTTTGCATTGTTGAAATTTGCCTTTTGATATTAGAATAAGTTCTTAAGTGTGGTTGTGTTATACATCATTTTAATGCACATTTCTCACTTTATGTCTTTTTGCTAATGACTTATTACTTGCTGTTTATTTTATGTTTATTTTAGACTATGGAAATGGTGTCAGACAAAAAGCAAATTCGAGTGATTTTCTTATTC
Source organism: Homo sapiens (assembly GCF_000001405.40). Lineage (NCBI taxonomy): Eukaryota > Metazoa > Chordata > Mammalia > Primates > Hominidae > Homo > Homo sapiens. The sequence goes on along the minus strand of NC_000004.12, from coordinate 104,519,403 downwards.
AATTTAAAAATGGGTCATAAAGCAGCAGAGACAACTCGCAATATCAACAACGCATTTGGCCAAGGAACTGCTAACAAATGTACAGTGGTAGCTCAAGAAGTTTTGCAGAGGAGACGAGAGCCTTGAAGATGAGGAGCATAGTGACCAGCCATCAGAAGTTAACAACTGCCAACTGAGAGCAATTATTGAAGCTGATCCTCTTACAACCACACAAGAAGTTGCCAAAGAGCTTGACGTCGACCATTCCAGGGTCGCTTGGCATTTGAAGCAAATTGGAAAGGTGAAAAAGCTCAATAAGTGGGTGCTTCATGAGCTGAGTGAAAATTTAAAAAAATCATCATTTTGAAGTGTTGTCTTCCCTTATTCTATGCAACAACGATGGACCATGTCTTGATAGGATTGTGACGTGTGACGAAAAGTGGGTTTTATATGACAACCAGTGATGACCAGCTCTGTGGCTGGACCGGGAAGAAGCTCCAAAGCACTTCCCAAATCCAAACTTGCACCAAAAAGAAGGTCATGGTCACTGGTAGTCTGCTGATGGTCTGATCCGCTACAGCTTTCTGAATCCTGGTGAAACCATTATATCTGAGGACTATGCTCAGCAAATCTATGAGATGCACCAAAAACTGCCACACCTGCAACTGGCATTGGTCAATAGAAAGGGCCCAATTCTTCTCCATGACAACGCCCAACCACACGTCGCACAACCAATGCTTCAAAAGTTCAATGCATTGGGCTACCAAGTTTTGGCTCATCCTTCATATTCACCTGACCTCTCATCAACAGACTACCACTTCTTCAAGCATCTCCACAACTTTTTGCAGGTAAAACGCTTCCACAACCAGCAGGATGCAGAAAATTCTTTCCAAGAGTTTGTCAAATCCTGAAGCATGGATTTTTATGCTATAGGAATAAGCAAACTTATTTCTCATTGGCAAAAATGTGTGATCATAATAGTTTTTATTTTGATTAATAAGGATGTGTTTGAGCCTAGTCATAAGAATTTAAATTTCACGGTCCAAAAATGCAATTACTTTTGCACCAACCTAAGTACCTAAAGTATGCTTTACTTTCATAAAGCAGAACAAATGTGGATTTCTTTAAGAAGAAAAAGAACTATTAGAAAAAAATGTGAGTATAGCATTGATACATATACACACATACATGCACACACACACCCGTGTGTGAAAATCCAAGAATATGAAAAAAAATTATAATGACTTATAGACGACCTTCTCTATGCAAAGCACTTTCCCAGGCAATGAACCTACAAAATCTTTAGTTCTCACTAAAACCCGGCAAGGCATTCACATTTTACAAATGAGAAAACTGAAATTGAGAGAGTGTTAGTAAGTTGGATATTGCACATGTAATTTTTTGTATAGCCAGGATTCCAACCTAGTGTTTGTGATTTAAAAATTTACAGTTTTTAGTATTTTTTTCAGTGCATGTAAATTAGATTGAGAGGATTGAATGCAGCCTCGTTACCTTTGTGTGAGCGATTTATCCCAGCTAAAGGATACTGATAAGTACCTTTTTCATATATTTCACAAAATTAGGAAAAGAGGAATGACCAAAAATTGTGGAAGACTTTAATTCTATAGATATTAGCCATGGATTTTAAAAATTATTGGCTTGTGTTGATAATATTGGAACTCTCAGAAAGTGCATAAAGTAATAAGTGGAGTAATGTGAACTTTATTTAAAAAAAAAAGAACTGACTAGTGAAAAAAAAGTAACAGGAACTTTGGAAGTAAGTAATCATGTAATTTTGAGTTTAAATTGATCTGTGACAGGGACATTTATTTCAGAACTTTTTGTATGTTTAAAAATAAAATTTGGAAACTACTAGAATGTTCCCTAGTATGGAAAGTTGAACAAATTGTGGTGCATGAAAATGCTGGAAAATTACATAGTCATTCAAAAGAAAGCCTTAGTTCTATGTCAATCGTCTGGGTCAGAGTCTGATTATAGTGAGAGAGAAAAGCAAGAAGCAGAGATGAATACGTAGTATGATCCCTTACACAGGTTAGATTTTCCAGGAAGCAGAATCTGAGATGAAGTTTAAGATATTTATCTGTAAGTGTCTTGCAATTAACATGTACAAACAGGGGAGAGAAAAAGCAAAATTGGGCAGAGGGTGAAATTGAGTTGTGAAGCAAGCCTGATGAGAATCTTGGCTGACCCAATGGGGAGGTCTAGAGCTAAAATTGCCATCAGAGTGTCCCTGTATCAGGTCCAAATGGCCAGTAAGTCATACTCTTAACTAGATTAGTCATTTGATGTGGGCTGCTCAGGAAATAGTGTGACCATGGGTGAGGCAGTTCTCTGAAGCTAGTAATCACTGAAGGAACTGAGGCATCTACTCATAGCACCCCCACCCCCAAGCTTTTAGTTCTTCATTGAGGAACAATCTGGGTGGTGCCTCTGTCCCTCACAATACCTAAAACAAAGTATGCCAGAACCCAAAAGGTATAAACATATTTGTAAATGATTACATATGCATGGAGAAAAGTAGAATATAATCTTGGTCATGGGGAAAGCAGTTGGGCTGGAGGTAGTATAAGTAACCAAACAAAACAAAAGGGAAAGATATTAATAACAAGAGTCCATAATATTTTATACAGGTAAACTTTAAAATACATCAATATAATACTTAGAAGTATTAAGGAATGGGCATCCAATAGTATTTAACTCTAAGTTGTGACTACCTTTCCATTATGTGTCTCTATGTTCTTTGAGTAAAAGTAAACATGTATTGTTTAGATAATTTGAAAAATTACAAAACTATTAATTTTTTTTTGAAGCAGAGCCTCACTCTGTCATTCAATCACTTGATCTCTGCTCAATGCAACCTCCACCTTCTGGGTTGAAGCTATTCTCCAGCCTCAGACTCACGAGTACCTGGGATTACAGGCGTCCGCCACCCGCTGAGCTAATTTTTCTATTTTCAGTAGAGATGGGGTTTCACCACGTTGCCCAGACTGGTCTCAAACTCCTGAGCTCAGGCAATCTACACCTCTTGGCCTCCCAAAGTGCTAGGATTACAGGCGTGAGCCACCACACCCAGCCAAAACTAAAAATTAATAGCAAATGACATGATCACTTGATTAAAACAAAGCCTTCAGTTTTCAAAGAGCAGATTTCCAAAGGTTTAAATCATGTAGGAAGATGCTCTAAAAGACAAATGGTTTTCGGAGGCATGAGTTGTGACACCAGTCATAATATCCAAAAGTTAATGTTAATAAATTAAGCTTTTTTATGAAATATACATTTAGTCAAATGTTTCTTGAGTGTGTTTAATGTGGTGGAATCTGTTGTAGGTGTTGGGTTACATCCAGATGGAAAGCAAACAAAAATTCTCACCCTCATGGATCTCACATTCTACAGGAAGGAAAGAGAAGATAAACAATAAGAACACTCATTATTTGGCTCTCTGTTTGTCTGTTATTGGTGTATAAGAATGCTTGTGATTTTTGCACATTGATTTTGTATCCTAAGACTTTGTTGAAGTTGCTTATCAGCTTAAGGAGATTTTGGGCTGCGACGATGGGGTTTTCTAGATATACAATCATGTCATCTGCAAACAGGGACAATTTGACTTCCTCCCATTCACAATTGCTTCAAAGAGAATAAAATACCTAGGAATCCAACTTACAATGGATGTGAAGGACCTCTTCAAGAAGAACTACAAACCACTGCTCAATGAAATAAAAGGGGACACAAACAAACGGAAGAACATTCCATGCTCATGGATAGGAATAATCAATATCATGAAAATGGCCATACTGCCAGAGGTAATTTATAGATTCAATGCCATCCCCATCAAGCTACCAATGACTTTCTTCACAGAATTGGAAAAAACTACTTTAAAGTTCATATGGAACCAAAAAAGAGCTCGCATTGCTGAGTCAATCCTAAGCCAAAAGAACAAAGCTGGAGGCATCACACTACCTGACTTCAAACTATACTACAAGACTACAGTAACCAAAACAGCATGGTACTGGTACCAAAACAGAGATATCGACCAATGGAACAGAACAGAGCCCTCAGAAATAATACCACACATCTACAACTATCTGATCTTTGACAAACCTGACAAAAACAAGAAATGGGGAAAGGATACCCTATTTAACAAATGGTGCTGGGAAAACTGGCTAGCCATATGTAGAAAGCTGAAACTGGATCCCTTCCTTACACCTTATACAAAAATTAATTCAAGATGGATTAAAGACTTAAATATGAGACCTAAAACCATAAAAACCCCAGAAGAAGACCTAGGCATTACCATTCAGGACATAGGCATGGGCAAGGACTTCATGTCTAAAACACCAAAAGCAATGGCAACAAAAGCCAAAATTGACAAATGGGATCTAATTAAACTAAAGAGCTTCTGCACAGCAAAGGGAACTACCATCAGAGTGAACAGGCAACCTACAGAATGGGAGAAAATTTTTGCAGTCTACTCATCTGATAAAGTGCTAATATCCAGAATCTACAAAGAACTCATACAAATTTACAAGAAAAAAACAAACAACCCCAGTAAAAAGTGGGTGAAGGATATGAACAGACACTTCTCAAAAGAAGACATTTATGCAGCCAACAGACACAGGAAAAAATGCTCACCATCACTGGCCATCAGAGAAATGCAAATCAAAACCACAATGAGATATCATCTCACACCAGTTAGAATAGCGACCATTAAAAAGTCAGGAAACAACAGGTGCTGGAGAGGATGTAGAAAAATAGGAACACTTTTACACTGTTGGTGGGACTGTAAACTAGTTCAGCCATTGTGGAAGTCAGTGTGGCGATTCCTCAGGGATCTAGAACTAGAAATACCATTTGACCCAGCCATCCCATTACTGGGTATATACCCAAAGGATTACAAAACATGCTGCTATAAAGACACATGCACACATATGTTTATTGCGGCACTATTCACAATAGCAAAGACTTGGAACCAAGCCAAATGTCCAACAATGATAGACTGGATTAAGAAAATGTGGCACATATACACCATGGAATACTATGCAGCCATAAAAAATGATGAGTTCATGTCCTTTGTAGAGACATGGATGAAGCTGGAAACCATCATTCTCAGCAAACTATCGCAAAGACAGAAAACCAAACACCGCATGTTCTCACTCATAGGTGGGAATTGAACAATGAGAACACTTGGACACAGGTAGGGAAACATCACACACTGCGGCCTGTTGTGGGGTGGGGGGAGGGGGGAGGGATAGCATTAGGAGATGTACCTAATGTAAATGACGAGTTAATGGGTGCAGCACACCAACATGGCACATGTATACATATGTAACAAACCTGCATTTTGTGCACATGTACCCTAGAACTTAAAGTATAATAAAAAAAATTAAAAAAATAAGAGCAATTAATGAGTTAAATACTACAGTAGGTTAAAAGTTGGTGAAGCCCAGTTCCTGAGAAAACAGGCTGTCAGACTCGGTGATTCGCATTCAGGAGTGTTTTGGAGGATGCTCTTGGGAAGAACAACTAAGAGAACAGAAGGAAATAGGTACAAGTAGCCCAAAATGATAGCTTAATGACTAAGTTTAATGACTAAGAGATGCTCCTTGTGCTGCCTGTTGCAAGTTTTCTCCCTCTGAGAATAGGAGAAGTAGACAGATAGAATCTGCATTTGGATACTTTCAGACTAATTCTTGATTCAGGACAGGAGAGTTAAGGTAGTGCTGTATGAAAACTGAAAAGTATACTGTTGTCCATTCAGAGTGAATACAGATGGTTTCTTGCCCTCCTGTCTGAAGAGGTGGAAGAGAATACCCTGGCTAGATCACTTATTACATACCATGGACTGGAAGCATTAACTGGTTCCAGCAGGAATAGCTTATCTAGCAAAGCAACTGCACCTGGGGTTTCCTTTTAATTGAGTTACAGTAAGCCGTAAACCCAGGATCCATCTGAGTTTTCTAGAGACCTGTTTGGAAAATTAAATGGAAATATAATGCAAGTCACTAATTTTGAATCTATTATGTCTTTAACAGTGGCAATAATTTGCTTACTCTCCCCTGGTTTCAATAGCAATTCATCCATGACCACTGTGAGGGGCAAGTTCCAGTGACTTTGACTTTTTGTCTTTCCCACCATGATAGCTCTTAGCCCGTGGCCAAAGAACACATGTGGGGTATTTTCAAAATCTAATTATGTCTATTTCAATTGTTCATTCAGAGACCAAGTGAGTCTGCAAACCCAGTGGTCCCAGTGAATCCACCGTGAGCCACACCTGGGGCTTGACTCCATTTAATAAGTACCATCCTCTCCCAAGCAGGAGAGTGTTGCTGCTTTCGGCCTCCCAGGTATCTATGTCAGCTTGGACCTTGTGTCTAGCAAGTCTTGAAGTATGTTTTTCTTTCTCTCTTACTTCACTGTACAATTACCCAAGTAAATGGCAAGGTCTGATTGGGAGGGACTGGGAGAATCATTACTGTGTACTTTCTGTGGTGTGGCAGGTTTCTTCCTTCTGAGGCAAAAGTCTAGCCTACAAGCAGCAATTTCGAGGTCTGCAAAACTGGCTCAGACTTGGAATCTGGAAAAGGGATTGAAACATTTTATTTGGATGACTTCCCTCAGCCTCCTCATCTTCCATCCTTTATTTTGGTTGTATACATTGTGCCTTTGTTGGCTGCACATATGTCTTACTGTACCTAGACATGCTGTATTCTGCTAACCACCTCTATAGCTCTCCACAGGTTCTCTCTCCTGGCTGCCACTCTGATGTTGCTGCTCATTATAATAATTGCCCCAACTGGTGTCTGACAGTTCAGCACTGCCACCTGGTCTCTATTAATTAGGGATCCTATGAGTCCCATTGCTATCAGTGAGCCCAGTTATTAACAGCATCTCTTACCCTCATCCCTGGCTGATAGAAGACAGCCACCACTGAGCTTCTCAGTAATGCCCATGCCCTTCTCACCAGCATATGCCTTTTTCCTTTGGTAAATGAAATTTCCTCTCATGGATCATAGTGGTCTGGTAGGTTTTCTGACCTAGTTAGTGTATCCACTCTAGCATGCCCACTTCTGTGAGCCCTTTGATCCCTCTACAACTGTAAGATAAAGTAGTTCTGGCACTTCAACCTCACAGAGTGTAGTCCATTACTTTCTCTAAGCTTCTAGGAGTCATCCTAGTACCTTGTTTGCTCCACATCCCAGAGACCTTGCATAGGTTTTAAATCGTGTAACCTGGAGAGTGTTCTCACATCAATAAACTCTCTTTTATCCAGCATCCTCAGAATCCAGTCCCATGTATACTCTCCTGGATGCTGCCACTATACACTGGCTAGTTTTTGCTTCAGGTTACAATCCCTTTGCTACTTCAGCATGTCCCCTGATGGGTTAGGTTGTGACTTAACCCAGTTATTGGTTTACTGTTTGGGGCATGGGGGATGGAGAGTGGTGGTATATCCTAAAGAGAGCACAACTGGTCTCGCAAGGAAGACATCTCAAGCAGAGGTAGGCCAGCCCATTAATTAGCAAAGAGGAGTGTATCACTGTGACAGTCTAAAAGAGTTCAAGAGAATCTGGAGATTCAAAGTTTGGAAGTGCTTCAATCCAGATATCCACATCCCAGTTTTCAAAGTTCTACTCTTTTCAAATCAGGGACCTAATCTTGGCATAGCAGATCCTGAAGTTGAGGATTCCACTTTTTAAAGAGTGTGCTGCTCTTTAATTAAATGTTGAATCTCTAGCTTTTGCTCTCCACTGGCCACAGCAGACTCTTTTTATATTAGTTGTTAATAACATTCACACTTTTCTTGCCATTCTCCATGTATCATTGCCCTGAAGAAATAGCCATCTAATTCCAAATTTCTTAAAATTACTATCATCCCTGAAAAATTCAAACTCCTGGGATAGCTTACCTGCCAGTGAATTCCCCTTAATGCCTATCTGTTCCCAGTTCCACATCACTGAAAATTTTAATAATTTCACTGCAACCAAATATCTGGACCTAACAATGTTCCATCTACCCCCATTGAAGGAGTTTTTCTTGACAGCTGGCCAAATAAAATCATGAACCTACAAACATCCCATTTTAGACTCTGCTTTCTAGGATTAGCTCTAGTATAAACGTCAAAGGTCAATCTTCATAGAACTCTGATAACAAAAAAGGTGTGTACACAAGGAATACTGGATAGAGATCTCAGAAACAATTGTGAGGTATGAGAGGAGAAGAACTGGTCAGAAGGAGAAGCTGAACAGTGATGCAGTTGCAACAGAAGATTCAGCTGATCCTACAGGAAGTTCTAGAGTTTGGCTGGCCCATTACAATTATTCCAACGTTAGGCATGGGGGACAGACCATCTAGCCTCTTGCAAAGGCTAATCATTGTATGCGGGCTGCCCTTTAGGAGGGACATAACCTTCAGTGAGGCTGCTCTCTTAGGGCAATTGTTGGAGGGGAACTCAGTTTAGCTTTATAAGTCACCACCAGCAATAGGGGAATGAGTGACTCTACGAGAGTAAAGGAAAAATCTAGGCAGTGCAGCACATTTTAACTGAAATGTCGATAAAATCTATAGGGAAAAATAATTATGTGCGGAGGATCACAATGCCTGAACTAGGGTGAGAAGAGGAGAAGTGGTGGGTTGGACTTTCAATAAAGAGTGGTAAAATGTAGGTCTCATTGAAAAAATAACATCTGAGAAAAGACTTGAAGTTAGCCATGTTGAAACCTGAAGGAAATATGCTCCTGGAAAAGGGAATAACCAATGTAAATCTCAAGAAAGGAACCTGTTAAGTGTGTTGGAAAATTTGAAGATGGAAAAACCCTAAAACCGCAAGTTGCAGAATTATGGTCACCATATAATAGTATTGCTACATATATGTAAAGAATATGTACAGAATTATGTACCCAACCAGATAGTGTGTGAGTATAAATAGGCTTTCAAATCTACCTGTAGCTTTTGTTTCACTTACTTTTGAAAATTCTGAAGAAATGGAAAAAAAATTGATGTTTTAAAATCTATGTAAAGATTATATGGTATTAATTATATTACTCCCTATTATTTTTAATATACATGTTATATTTCATAACAAAAAGGAGAAAAATCAATACGGGTGCTAGAAACAGACATGAACATTATACATTATTAGATGAGTGAAATAAGATATCCTGGCTGACCAAGAATTATTTATATGTAGACTGTGCTAAGCCTAGTGATAATTTGTGTAATTAAACTTCGTCTTTTTTGTCATCAATTTTGGCCCTACTCTACCCCGTTCTTCTGAGCTACCAGCCACATCCTGGCTTATATATATTTTCAAATACATTCTTTGTAAAATTTTCTTAAAAGATAATAACAGATTATTATGGAACATAATTCATTTTATATTTATAAAACTTCAAAATGTTAAAAAATATATGTTGTGAAAATTAAATAAGTTATATTTTAAATGCCCAAATTACCACCAAAGAAATTTAAGAATTTGAACCCAAAGCCTATAGCTAACATGAATAAAGGGAATTTTGATTCATCTCCTTGAAGTTCAGAACCAGAAAAGCACACCAAATGTCAACAGAGTTTAAAACACTAGAGAGTCTCAGCTACACTTGAGGGAGTTATTTAATCTTATTTTCCTTATCTGGAAAATGGGGGTTGTTAAGGTATGCATCAAGTAAGGCCATTGTGAACATGAAGAGATGGGTACAGATGAAATCTTTGCCCAAGAGCTCACTAAGCATTTGCTGTTACTGTTAGCAGCAGATTAACATATACTAATTCTATCATCTTCATGAAGTTTGACCACACTCACAATGCCTATCATCTACTCTGCATGAATCCAGGAACACATTTCTTAGCATTCTGCTCCTGAGCGGCTAAAAATCCACTGCAAAGGTGTACATTCATTTCTTTCAGATTGAACTATTAATATTGCTTTCAACCAGCTTACCCTTTCTCTTGCCTACTTAATTGAATTCAAGCCAACACATACTCAATGAGCATTTAATACATTACATATATTATATTAACTCCTAGACTTCCCTCCTTGCTTTCCAAAGCTAATGTTTCAGATATTTACCACTGATTTTATGCATTGAATCTGCCCTCACTTTTACCAGATACTCCTCACCTCTTGCTTCAATGAAACAATACAAGTAATCAGAATTGAAGTCTGTTTTTCATCCCTCCACCTCAGAATTTGCCTTTTTATTCCCTCATTTTCTCTCTGCTGCTTTAGATTCCCTTTTTGTTCCCTTTTTGGAGAGAGAGGAGAGAGAAAGATTTATTATGGGAAATTGTCTCTTGAGATTATGGAGGCTGAGAAGTCCCATGATCTGCCATCTGCAAGCTGGAGGCCAGGAAAGCTGATGGTATTGTTCCAGTCCAGGCCCCAAAGTCTGAGAACTAGGAAAGCCAATGATGTAAGTCCCAGTCCAAGTCCAGAAAACCAAGAACCAGGAGCACAGATGTCTGAGGGCAGGAGAAAGTGTATGTCCCAGGTCCCAGTTCAAGAAGAAAGAGACAGAATTCTCCCTTCTGCCGCTTTTTTGTTCAATTCAGCAGTGGATTGGATGATACCTTCTTGCACTGGTGAGAGCGATCTTTACTCAGCTTACTGATTCAAATGCGAATCTCTTCCAGAAACACTCTCAAAGACACACCCAGATATAATGTTTTACCAGCTATCTATTAGCTCAGTCATTCCGACACATAAAATTAACCATCACAGAGATAAAGAGTAATAAGAATGACCCCAAGATTTTTGATCTGAGCAACTAGAATGATGGAGTTGCCATTAACTGAGAGCACGTTTTAGGGTAGTTAAGGGAGAGAGGTGTTCAATTTTAGATAATTTAACTGGAATTTTAAAGTAATTAGATATAAAAGTATTGACTGGAGATTTACATTTTGGAGTGTCTAGGGCACAGATGAAATTTAAAGCCATGAGATTGGATGAGATCAGAAAGATAGTGAGTGTAAACAGATAAGAAAAGAAGTCTAAAGTCTAAACTCTGGGTCACTTCAGTGTTAGGAGGATAGCAAGGTAGGAGATAAATCAGGGGACTGGTTTTCTAAAAGCCCTGGAAAGAGAACATCAAATGTTGCTAATGGGTAAAATAAGAGGAAGACTGAAGTTCATCTTTGAATTTAACAAGGTACAGTCACTGGAAATCTTGAAAAGAGATGGACTAATGCCAATTCAACAGATAAGGGAAAAAGGCAAATTATGACATTGGTATATACCATTCTTTTAAGAAATTTAACTGTCTAAGGAGTGAATGGGGTGATTGATAGAGGGAAAAATGTGGTTTAAATGGTTTAAAAAACGTATTCTAATGGTAATACTACAGTTGAGAGGAATAGTTTGATGATGACAAAGAGGGGAGAATTGCTGGAGTGAGACTCTATGTGTGATCCAGTGAGAATGGGAGAGGGTGTCTTTAAATAGAAACATGCAGAATATATTCCAGTGGGAGGAAAGGAAGAATGTCTGTATACAGATACTAGAAGGTAAGTAGATATGATAGCAGGAGCTCATGGAAACTGCTATTCTAGTAGTTTCTATGAACACAGTGAAGTAGAAACTTGCATAAAGAACAGGGAGATGTGTTAGAGGTTTGAAAAAAGAAGATATAAAACAGAAAGAAAAAGGAAGAGTAAATGTAATATAATTGCTCTGCAACATTAAAGGCCCACTTGAGTAACTACCATGAAGCTAACATAAGACTTAGATTTGTAAATGTTTTTCCAGCCATATGTGGCTATTCAGGTAAGGTAATGGAGCAGGCATTCCTTTACTGTGTTTACTTTGGTTAAACACAGCTTACAAATCCCAAAGTAAGGGTTTAGCCAAGAGATAGCTAAATGAATTGAAGTATAGGAAAGGGAGTGTTCAAAATGATTGATCATGGGAAATTTAGAGTGTTTGAAAGGGAATGTTTATAATGATTGACCAAGCTGAGGAGTATGTAGGGAAACAGAGGCATGGGAAGATGAGGGTAACAGTAGCAGGATCAATGGATTGTAGGTTCAGTGGGAGGGACAATTGAAGGATATTTGAGAGCCAAGGATTTGAGGAAGTGATCTAGAAATATAGGAAGTGATGAGTAGACAGTGGGTCTAGAGTGTGACCACAGAGTTTAATGACAGAAGGGAGGCGGGAGAAAAAAAGAATCAAAGGGAGGTGATCAAGGAGGCAAGAGGACTTGAAGAATTATATGGCTAAATACTGAAAACACTCAGAATCAAGGAAAGAGTTGTGGTGGTGTGAGCCAAGAGTTACAGCTAAAGTTTTCATAGACTGAGGAGAGCCCTTCAATCCTTTAGATGATTTAAACAAGGAACAGAAGTAGGGAGCATAGTCTTATGGCATTACTGTTACAGCAGTGGAGAATGGGGCTTGAATAGCATGGAACAGTCTGGAAATGACAATGAAGAGCAAGAAGGAACCTTCCCCATGATCACCATTTGAGAGCACTACAGAGCATGCAAGTGCTTCCCAAAGAACCACATTTCAACAAGAGCAAGATGAAGGGAATTTTCAGAGAAGTTATTGAGAACACGGGGGCTTTGCTGATGGCAGACACTCATTCTCAAGAATCAACGGTGTCAGGAGATGGCTACTAAAAGGTGGATATACGGAGCTATATATAGAAACTGGAATGTGAAAATCAACAATGCTCTAGGAAGCCAGGGTTTATGGCTGTGACTGACACAATAGTGAAAAAGTATATAAAGAGATGAGTCCTAATGGTCTTTGGCCAGTATTGGAGGAGGTAAGTGTTGGGGAGTATGCAAAGGTTAGAATTTATGGGATTCTCTTCTCCCATAAATCATCCTGATGACAGTGTGAAGATCAGAAAAGGGATGATCTTGACTGCACAGTTATCCATGTAACCATTAGGTCTTTGAAACTGTTTACTGACAAGTTTTTCTTATTGCCACATTTATTGGTTTCAATCTGGGGCAAGCTCAAATATGTAGCAAAAGCCTCTAGTTTTTCTGTTTTTTGACATAAAATAAATAATAATTTCCCATAAAATAAATCATGAAATAACCATAGTTTTGGCACACAAATGAGCAGAAGCCAATCCCCTTGACGTTGTACTCCAAGCAACAGTAGAAATAGGAGTTTCCCATCTCTTCCCAAACCAACTAGTGGTTAAAAACTGCTCTTAGCACAACTCTAGAATTGCCCCTAGAAGCTTCTTTCAAGCCTTTGTAGATCCTTCAGCATCAATGGTTCACTCAATTTAGGAATATCCTTGCTTTTGGGATTTTTTTTTTTTTTTTTTTTGGTTAACATCTCCCTTCCAGATGACTTTTTGTGAATCACCCTTCTTGTCCTCTGAAGTTCATCTTTCCTTCAAATAAACTCTAGGTTTTCCTCAAATTGTCTATATTGTCTCCCTCCTATTCCATCCTGTTGCTGGGATCTTTATCTAAAACGCTGCTAAAGGACAAAATGTTTCACCTCCTCTAAACCATCTTCCCCAGTGTAAGTCAGAAGGATACTTGAAAACAAAAATAAACAAAAAAACACAAGTGAGCATAGACCTCCTGACATAAACAACATTTATTGGCCTCTTTTTACCCCTAAGCAAGTCTTTTTCCTCAGCATAACCTTAAAGGCTATATGCAATTTAACAGTATTCTTTCTGGGTCTCATTTCCCATCACTTGTCTCTTTTTGATGTATCATTACTGCAGCCACAATCAACAATGTACCACTTCTGGGCTCTGCTATGCACTTGTGTTCCCCCAGCTTTTGCTTACACCCTGTCCTTTATGCCAAATATTCTTTCTCCCCTTCTCCGTTAGTCATTCCACTTCAAATACTTCTTTTGTGAGGTTTTCCTCAGGAGCATCCCAGACCTCCAAATTATCCAGTCCTTCCTCGTTGCTTTTAATGCACTACATTGATACTTACAATATAGAAATTTTCAGGATCTGGTTTTTATTACACTCTACTTACTTAAATTCTTCTTTTTATAGAAGAGGTGAGATAAATGTAATATTAGAACTGTGTGTGTTTCCTGTCTGAGTACCCTCTATTAAATTATTAGTTTTTCAAGGAAATTTCTCATTCCTTCAGTACTTGACATTATGTCATGCATATAACGTGTTCAAAAAATACTTATTCAATTAAAATATGATAAAGAATAATCCAGGCTGGAAAGAAAGAGTAAATGGCTATTAGTTGAATTAAGATGACAGTAGAATATAAGTTCTATAAGGATAGGGATTTTAACATGTTTTGTCTTTTAAGAATGCTATAAAAATATATTGAATAAAAAAGATTAATTTAGGAGATTTCATACTTAATATTTAACACTTAATCTGGAGCAACATACAGGTATTACATGAATATTGGGGTTTGCTACATCCCAATTAAAATGCACTTTTGAATAAAATGCTGGCTATTTTTCTCACAGTCAATGTTTAAAAAAATCTGAACAGACATAAAGGAGAAAAATGTTTTCCCAAGTATAATACTAGAAAAAATAGCCATTCTTTCTTTTACAGAACTTTAAATTTTAAAGAATGCCTATGTTTCTTAATTCTATTCAATTTTTAAAATCAATCACTCTCGTGCTGAATATTTTTAAATGAATATGACACTTTGCATAGATCCCATAAATAAACAAAACGTGCACAGCTTTGTTTATGTTAGGAACCTTCTGCTAAGTGTTGCTTCTATTTATTTACTTTTAAATTATGCCAGATTTTTGCAAATTTGAGTCAGTTTGGGGATCAACTTGAAATTTTAAGGACTGGCTATTTACTTTGCTTCTGATTACTTGCAAATATGTTAAGGTAATAGTTTTAATGGCCAGTAGAAGGTATAAGATGAAAATATACCAGATGTACTTAATTATGGAAATAGATGTACCTTGCCATTTTTTAAATTGTTTCTCTTAATTTCTTTTAACTTCCTCATTCTCTTTGCTTTCTCCTCACATCCTATAGCCCTATACCTTATAGATCAAGCTCAGATACTCCCTGATTTATGTAACATAGTATAAAAGGTCTGTAATGATGAACATGAGATAAGTTTCAATAAAGATAGGTCAGTAAATCAAAACTTTGCCAGGAAAGCCATGTTGCTAAAAATAAATCCTGCTTATAGGCATTCATGGCTGTAATTATAATTCATTAATTAACTCATAATAAAGAGCTGGCATCCATAAACTGACTTTCTCTTATTATATGTAATCTGGCATGCTTCATGAGATTTAGGGCTGGTTAGTTTTTCTAAGACAATAAAAATCAAGTGATAATAGACTTATATAAGACAACGGATACTGATACTGGTCTCACCAACAACCATCCAATCCCCTATCTTCTTCTTCCTTCTTAAACAAATCATGGCTATGTTCAGGTATTTCCTATCCTTCACACCGTCATGTGTTTCAGAATGATTACACCTCTAGTTCCAGGGCTGGTAGATACTTATTAAGAATAAGACAATTTCATTCTCTTTGAAAATGGTTGGTTTATGTGTCATCAGGTAACTCAATTTTGGGTAATTGGATCTTAGCGGAAGTCAGTGATGGTGCTTCTAGGAAAGTTCCTCACTCTAAAGACAAAAACGCATAAAAAAAAGAAAGTCCTTTTCTTTTCCCTAACGCTTTTTTATGCATAGATTATGATGTTGGAGCAGTAACTGTGAGGGAACTGCTTGAAGGAAAAAATAAGATAATAGGAATGATGAGCAAAGAGATGGAAGAAGCCTATATTATGTGTGATATCTATAAGCCACACAGGTTGTTCCTTGCCTGGAGTCTGCCCTACAAGAGACCTCATCATTTAAGCCAGTTTGAGTAATTTTCTCTTACATGTACTCAGAATTCTCAAAACCTTCTTTCTATCTATTCTTTATTAAAGAATAAAGTTATTTTGTTTTCTATAACAAATGAATATACCTGTCTGGATTTCCTCTGCAAGGAGATTAGCATGCAGTAAAATATCTAGAGGCTAGCTTTTGTTGGACATTCTTCAAATTTTGGACTCTTGATACTTGCTAAAGAAAGGTATGTAAATCAATCAGTGTTCCCATTAGGTAACAGAGTTGTTTCTTTTTCACTAATACAAAGTAGCCAAGAATTACAGGAATAGGATATGTTTTAAAATAGAAACATTTTAAAGGAAATGCCATCGTATCATCATGCATTTTAAAAGAGCCAAGTTACAAATTGGTAAAAACAACTGCTCTTTCAAGCAGTGCTACCATTATAAAATGTTAGCAGATAACAGAAAGAACTGGGGTCTGAACAGTGTCTCCCTCTTTTTAAAGAGTAGTTGTTCCCAAAGAAAGAAATACAATGTTATTACGACGATCCAACTCACATTACTAGTCATTTTGTTGATATTCAATGAAACATAACTCCTGATTCAGTGGTAATGAGTTCATACAATTGAAAATTTCATATTATTTACATCCTATTTGAAAATTAGTTCATATTGGAATATGTTTTAGGTGAAATTGGTTCACAAAAAAGGGATAAAGATAAAATTGAATATGATTTTAATATTAATCTAAATATAATCTTGTGGGATATAATTTCAAAGATGAGATGCTAACTTTTTAATATGAATAAAGGTGGCTGCAATGTTCATTGCTTTACTTAATTGGCCTATAATGGGGATACTGATAAGGCCATTTCTAGCCCCTAGAATGCCTTTTTGCTAATTAGACCCACCAGAACATGGCTTGGCAAGCAAAGCAATGGGCTGGATTCCAGCTCCTACTTGCCCATTTGGCCAGGCATTGTTGTGCAGTGAACAGCTAGCACAAGCGTACTTAGATGCCTTGAGTTACAAATTCCAATGCTTAGGTGGGCAAGTGTCAGACAGCAGGGAATGCTAAAAGTGCCGGCAAACTGGAGACTCCATCACTAATAATAGCTACAGCTACTATTTCCAGGATGGAATGTAGACACAATACTTTCAGAACTTCCAACTTATGAAAAAAACTGGAAGTCTAATTGAGTTTGTTTAACACCATGGTTCCAAACAAAAGGTATTTGAGAACCAAACTCATATTGTTAACTGGCAGTTTATAACTGGACTTAAAGGAAGTGTGTAGCCACAGCTACTTGCTCAGATACTACTGTTAATCCCAATCCAGTTAGATTCAGAAATGTTGAGCTCCTGGAGGTGATCGTGCAATCTAACAAAAGTGGGACAGAGGCTATGTTTTACATCCAAAGTAAGTCTCAAGTAGCAAAGACCATAGATGTAGATATGGAGTGAACAGAAAAAAAAAAGCAATAAATGTTAAATTAACTCTGAAGGAAAAAGAAAAGGATTGTGTAAAATTAAGTACTATGTGGGGAGAACATAGTTGTGATTTTCAGGTAGTTTGCTTTTTATAGTACTGCTCTACTAAATAGCTACAACACTTTGCTAACATTAATTAAACCTCACAAACCCTGTGAGATAGGTAATTACTGTAATTAAAGTGATATTCCAGATCGGTAAAATGAGAGGTAGAATGCCCAAGGTCATAATGATTGTATGACCCAGGTTGGCAGAAAAACTAAGTGTTCTTACATCATGTTACTCCCCTAGAAGGGGCTCTCTCTCTCTTTTTGCTTTCTTTCTGTTTCGACTAAGAAGATATAATGATAGGATAAATAAACTTCATCACTGAGAAGTTAAACTGCAAGTTGGTCAGGGAAGCTCAAAGACAATCTAGAAAAATGCCTAAATGAATGATCTGTATTCCATAAATAACATATATAATGTGCAAATTCCATTTCAATTAATTGCATTTATTTAAAAAATTTCCATTCAAATTGCTGGTTTAGCTAAATGCATCAGTAAATCAAGAAATCAATGCACGTAAAGCATTCCCCATACTGCACAACAGCATATAAAAGACTGTCATTAGTTTGGAAAGAGAACACAACAGACAGACAGAAGGAACTCTTCTTGTTGCTATAACTACGGCATAACAAAGGTCAGCACTGGGAAGGAAAAAAACCTTTCTGGACTGAACGTTAACAACTCAGGGATATTATCTTGAATTCTTCCTCTCAACAAAGAAAAATAGAATTCCTTTTTTAAAAAGGGAGTTAATTGAAGATAAACTAAATGGAAACACACTTAAAAAAAAACAAGCATGAAGAGTGGCTTTGATTTCAAATAAAATATTGAGACTAATATTAAGAAACCTGAACTTTTGCAAATGGAGATATCTAGGTTACACTGGAAGTCTAAAATCTCCAGGGAAAAAAATATAATTTTTGTGTTCACAACCATTTTGTAAAAATTTCTTTATTCTACTTAAAAATGGCAAATTCAAAAATGGTGATATTATATAATAGGAAATGGTTTAAGACAGATTTAATTTTGGAGTTTCACAGAGCTTAACAATATGACTTTTATAAACCTAATTTTATGTCTTTACAAGGTACATTCTTGAAGTAACTCTATTATTAAAAATTGAAGATTTTTTTTTCTAACTGGGTAAGTCCTGTCTAGCAATTTGAAGATTCAGAGGCCTCTTAATAAAATGTCCAGTGTCTGCATGTAAGCTTGTTTTAAATAAAAGGTCCACTTCTTCCTGTTGAGCGAAGTATTAATAGAACATTGGTTTCCTAAGTTACTGAGTTTGGAGTTTTGATAGAGAATTCGAAGAATTGAGATAGGGGACTATGTTACTTGATTTCCAGTGTCCTATAAATTCTGTCTAAGAAGACTTGTGTGCAGAAGAGAATGGCCGACAGCAGAAGGAAGTGACACCGCCACATTCTGGACTGCTGTCAGGGGAACACGGACTACTGGCACACTGAGCACTGTGGACAAAGTGTTTCCTGGTTAGCTCTTAACTACAAATTTCACCACAGGATTTCCTCACTTTATATTACTTTACCATTACTTATCTATCTGAAGAGATTTATCTTTCCAGAAGGCACACAGGTAGTTGCATGATTAAGGAGAATTTTCCTGGGACAAAGGCCAGCATGGAATGCTTTGATTCTGCCAGGCAAAGGAAAAGGGAGACCCCAAAGAACAGCTTGGGGCCCATGTTACAAATCTGAGTTTAGATTTGTTAGTGCCTGGAAGCTATTTACCATCACTTGGTGTTTTGTAGCAAAAGTGACCCATTGTTTCCTTCATGAGTAAATACTTTGACAAAATCTGGAATGTTATTGTTTGTATTTTCTAATAATCCAATGAACAAAGGATACCAAATATTTTTGGGAAAGTACAAGGAAAACAATAGCTAATAAAAATCAAGCTATGTCAGTGAGCCTATAGAAGAAAAAACATTCTTCTGGAGTTTTCCCTTTCTAGCCTACCAGAGAAAGTTTGGATTTCTGTGTTTGGGAATAGCACTTTCCATGGAGTGTTAGAGCTGTAGTTTTATAGAAATGAGAATTTATATGATGAGAAAAAATATCATGAGTAAATTAAAATGGGGCTAGACCAAATTTGGTCTTGCAAAGAACAATTCTAAAAATTAATGCCCAAAATAATACTTGGTACATATTTGTCTAGTGTCCAAACTGTATATGAAAATATGTGAATGTGATAAGCTTGATTAGCTTAGTTGATTTGAATATGGTGTTAATGAGGCCAACGTAATGGGTTTAACCCTGTGAACCCATTATTTTCATTATCCTCAATTGTCACAGTTTTTGTCCTTAACAGTGGCCAGCCATTCCATAAGTGCCTCCTGTTAGTCATTAGAAAGACAAGGTAAGAGAGTAAAGATAGCTGGAAAAACAGCTCAAAGCATGTGACCTACTGTGTTGGTAGGTTAAAAGTACCAGCTTTGAATATGAAGGTCAGCATTGTGATAACAACGTATCAATATTTAATTAGAAGTGAAAGAAAACAACAGGTGTGCAGAATATTGATTTTAAGAAGTAGCTTCATCAAATCCCAATTGTTAAGTCACCAAGACAACTTCTGAAAACGTTAAATTAAGGGATTTAAAAATATTATTTCATTATGCTATAATAATTTTTTATATGCAAAGATTTCTTTTATGGAAATAATAGTACTTCATTTTGGCTCACAGTTCATTATTAAAGATTTTCTCCCTCTCTGGTCATAAGGCAAATGAAGTTTTCTGAGCTAAGTGGATCTGCTAGAATAGTGGGTTCTTGGAAGGAATACTAGTAGAGTAGATTCAAAAGATGGAACCAGTTGGAGAAGGGCTTCATAAAATTAATTTTATAAATTTTGCACTTTTATCCTATAGGCAATGGGGAATTTACTTCCATACATTTTGTGTATACTACATTATTTCAATATGCATGACTCAGAATGTTTGGAACCTGCCATGTAGTAGGCATAGTAGGTATGAGGTGGGACACAAAGCTGTATAAGACACAATTCCCAATGTCAACCAACTCAAATTCTGGGAAAGGAGCCAGGTAAATAAAAATCCTAGGTAGATTTTTGGCCAGTCAAAAGAGTTAAAGAAATTATTCCCTATTTGTTTTAAGGGAATATTCCTTCTATAAAGGATGTGGTTATTTACTATATCCACAGTGAATTACTATGGCAAAAGAGGTGGTCCTCAGAGCCCATGAATGTAAGTTGAGATGTGAGTCCTTGGATATTAGGTAAGAAAGCTCCACACACCTTTTCTGACCTCCATGTTGTATATTTTCTTATGACTAATAGGAAACATCTCATTTGTGCGAGGTTAAAAATTACCTCTTGGTTTGAAAACACCAGCAGACAAGCTGCAGGTCCCCAAGATTTATCTCGGTTAGTTTATTTTTTATTTATGCTATTTTCTCTGATTGTATTACTTCTGCTTTCTTTATTCTTCAGTAAATTCTTGTTCAAATCTTCTAACCTTGTCTTGGCTATCCTACAAGTATTTAAGAAAGCTTAGTTCTTTCACAGTTGCCAAACTTTCCCTAAAGTCATTAAGACTGTTTTCAGTGGTAATCAGCAAAATAACTTCCAGGGAGCAGAGGAATTTCAAGGTTAGATTCAGGGCTGTGTGGTCTACTTAATCACTTCATCAGATTATTCTCCTTCTGTGTTACTCTGCGTGGAAGATAGCTAGCTGTCCCTCAGAATTGTTTCTCTACCCCATAGTAATAAAGCTGCATCTTGGAGTTGGCTTCCCAGTAATCTTTGCAGCTAGGTGTGGCATGTAACAAGTTTTTGACAATTGCATGTGAGCTACAGTGCTATGTTCCACTTTAAGACCAAGACTTTTAACAAGCCATCATAGCTCCTTCATGCCCTTCTGCCAGCTTGATGTAGTTGAGCAGTCCTTTGGAGATAAAATGTCCCAAGATAAAAGGAATCTTAATCTATGGATCACTCATAGAGAAGAATGGTCTCTGATCTGAAATTCCCACCCTGGACTGTTACATGAGAAAACACATACTTCTGTGGATTTTGCATTGGTAAATTTTGAGGTCTATTTATTTCAACAGAATATGCTACCTTTTTGGAGATTCTGGATAACAATGATGATCATGATTATGTTGGAAAGTAGCAGTACTTTAAAGATATTTGAGAGCAGTACATAAAATTTATGCTGAGTGGGGATACTTTTTTTGGGTGATGCTCAAGTTGGGATTAAAAAAAAAGTCCCATCAGGATAGCTATGAAACCTTTGAACTCTCTCCTAGCTAAGATTTTAAAAAATCATAAAGCAGGGTAAAGGCACAAACCACTTCCAGGTAATTGGAAGCTGTAATGGGCATTTTGCAGAGAAAACAATCTCACTTTTTCGTATATCATATAAAACTGTGGACTTAAAGAGAGTTAACAGAGAACTGAGTGTTCTCAGGTATTATTATCAAAACCCTGATATATCATTTTAAAGAAGACAAACATAGACTAATGTGAGACATGGTGCATATATGTATCTACACTAGTATAAAAAATTAATGGATATGAGATAGATGAGAAAAAAGATTTCCCTTGATCATATTTGGCTAAGTATGCAATCAATTCCCTAGTGGAAAGGAAACAGAATGCTATATCAGAGCCATGAGGTATATTGTTTATAATTTCTTTTATAAATTTAATTGATCCCATATCAACTAGGGGCCTACAATCATAATTAAATCTGAGGTTCCAGTATCCAGAGAAGGTTTATTGATTGATTAATTATTGACAGTGAGACTAGGGTAGAGGTTATAAACATAAGGCTTTGGAATAGACCAGATTGGGTACAAATTTCAAACTTTTTACATACTAACTTTGTGACCTAATCTAGGTTACCTCATTTCTCTGGGCCTCAATTTCCTTGTTTGTAAAATGGAAATAATAGCCACTTCACAGGATTATTGCAAGGACAAAATAGAATATCTGCAAATTACTTAGTGCAGGATCTGACACTAATGGGTCATTAATAGGGGCTATTATTATTAATTATTAAGACCAAGAATTCTGTAGTTTTCCTTCATTAGCTGGAAAGTAAAATTCATTGGAATTTAGAACATATTTTCTCTCACGTGTTTAAGATTTCATTTTGAAAGTAAGCTTGAAGAGTCCCAAAAAGGAAAGCATGAGAAAAGGAATTTCCAAAAAGGAAAATTTCCAGAAAAGAAAATTTGGCAAAAGAAAGCATGATGTCTTTATTTGATTAAAAACATTGCTTATTTATAAACTTCAAAATTTCTAACATTGGACTGATATTTTAAATATTGTGAAAAGATGTTTAAGAATCTATCATTTTTCTAGCATGTTTTCACTCATTAAAAAGTGACCACATTTTCCTGATAAATTTCCTATGAAGCTGAGCTAAAACAAAATAATCAAATGGAAAATTTCCTTTTTTGCTTTTATAATGCATTAGCACAAGAATAAAAATATCTTATTAACTTGAATAATTATTAACCCTCCAGTTATTTTGTCTATAGATGTCAAATAACCGGTAATAATCAAACAGCTTATGCTTTAAAAAAATTACAAAACATGTATATTAATCAATGAGTCACAAAATACACCTGTTTCCTATTGCAATAGTAGCCCACTCTTGAAATAACACCTTCATTTAGGCATACACACACCACAGTTTCAAACTTGTTATCAACAATTTATCCTCCATAGTTGGTAATGTCTTGATATGGTCAAAGTCTATCTTTTGAAAATTCAAATACAAAATGGTTTAAAATGTCTTTTCAGCTTTTTTTTCTTATTAAAGAAACAAAACATTATATTTTCCTCACTTATCTGAACAATTAATATTGCATTACTCTAGAATAAACACTTAATTTTAATACAAAACTTGTACTCTGCTTGATAACACCAATTTAAATAATCTTAAGTTTTTTCTTTCCTACTCTATAACTTACCTTAGCCACTGTTTTGCTCTTAGAAAAAAAATTATTCAAAAGTATTCATAATTCTGTATCTTATAACTATTTCCACTAGAGTATACTTTAATAGTAGGATAGCATGTGTCCACAAATATTTTATTTGAGGCAGCAGTGAAGAGGTTAATTTACAGCTGCATTTATGAACGAGTTTTATTTATATTTGACGTGCCGTACAATATTTATGTTTCAATTCATAAACTATGTTTTCCCAAGTGGCAAGAAGTGAAATGTTAATTACATACTATTCTAAAATAGACTGAAAGACAAAAGTTTTTGTTTAAGTAAAGTTTGAAATTAAAAAATAGGGCAGTGAGTTAAAAATCTGATTTATTCTTTGGAACTACCAGATGGAATAGTAAAAGAGGATTTTGGGAGGAGAGAGAGAAGAGTAGAGAAGAGAGACAGAGATTGAGATGGATTTTGAAATTGGCCAAGCATCATATCACCGATTTTTTACATTCTGGCATAATAGTACTTCGAGGGTCTGAAGAACCACACCGGTCCGTTTTCCCTTACTTTAAAGATCTAAATGGTATTTTTTTTTAAAGTCTTCCTGGGTACACCAGGAAATTTATTTAAAACCATGCCATTGGGTACGAACTAAGAGCATTCTTCAAACAAACATGACCTTTTCTCTGTTTCTTGTATTGCTCTTCTCAACCCAGCCAGAAATCCCAGACAAGTTTATTTACACACACACCCGCACACGCACGCACACACACACCCCACACGCAGAGTGGCGGAAACGCCCTCTTTCCAACCCTTCCAAACAATTATCTCCGAGAGCAAAAGAAAATAATCAACAGCCCTGTGTGCTGGGCTGAGCCGGAGAGCCGGGCGCGAGGAGGGAGGGCGATCCGCAGGCGAGCAGGGAAAACGTGGCTCCTCTGCCGAGGAGAGGATTTGTGAAAAGGAGCGCTGGCCCGCGTGCGCCTCTTGTTCCCCGTGTAATTTGCAGCCAATCATCAGTAGGTGTCCACGTCCCTGCGTCCTCCTCACCTCGGCGCCAATCACCCCCACCCCCGCGCCCCCGCCCCCAGCCTCCACACCTCCTCCCTCGCCTTTCTCTGTGGCTCCCCTCCCCCAGCAACCGCACACTCGCACACACACAAACAGAGAGAGAAGGGGGGAGGGTGAGAGAGAGGGGAAGAGAGAGAGAGAGAGAGAGGGGAGAGAGAGAGGAGAGACTCCCCGGCTCCCTCCCTCCCTCGCACACAGCGACTGGAGACGGACGGAGAGCAACGCGCTGGGAGAGGAGAGACCACCGACAACAGACCCGCGCTCTCACACATACACTCACACTCGACTCTTTCCTCTCCCCCCACCTCCTCCTCCTTCCACCCCCACCACTAACACCATCTCCTCCTCCTTCTCTCTGCAACAAGAAAAAAAAGCCATTTACAGGTATTTTTTTTGATCCGCATATTTATTTACCCCCCCCCCCCCAACAGTTTGTTTACAAGTATTAAAGTTGTAATTGGGAGCTGCCAAGACACATCTGGATTTGTGTTTCTTTGTGTTAGGGGGTGATGTGCAACTAATTAAAGGCAGACTGGCAGCGTCTGCAAATTCTAAGGCTCCCCAAATAAAAAGAGACTGGTAAGTGATTGTTCTTTCTCTTTCTCTGGCTTTTTTTTCTCTTAAATGTTTGCTGTCCGTTGGGATTGTGAAAGTAGATTATTAATGCTGGACTCCAGCAAGAAAAAGCGTCGCTGTATTAATTTATTAATTAGTCTGCACCCGCCCCTCCTCCTGAATGTTAAATATGACCTTTGATCTCTATGTCTCTGGTAGACCAGACATACAGTATTAGGCATGTAAAGTCACATTGTTTAAAGGCAAAACAGGATCATGAAGTATGGATCTCTAATTTAGCTTTGGCATAGAACTATAGTTATTTGTGTGTGTTTTATTTTGTTTTTAAATAAAATCCAAACAATAGCTGTGGCTTAGATACCTTTTTCATGCTCCAGAGATGCATTGATTAAACAATAATGACCTGGATACTGGGCATAATCATTTTCTACAGTTTCTGGTGGTATTAAACCTTGAGGTAGGAAGAGGGATGGTGATGGCAATCAGAAAAGCAAGGAAAGCTTGTGTTTGGAAACACCACTCTAAGACTCTAAAAAAGGGACGTTAAATTATTTATTTATTTGGAACAAGGTCAAAAGACTAAAAGGTTGAAAATTTTCCCTCCACTCAATGTGATGATATCTAATGCATGGTTGACATAACTAGTTTTTACTGAGTAGCAGTTATTATGGTCTTGCAGTTACAATGTGATTCGCAGAAACTGAAGCTATATGCATATTCTTGCTGTGTCTTCCCTCACCCCTTCCAAGCATCAAGAATATTTAGCCAAGAGCATTTTGGGGGCACCTTTTGTATTGCCCTCAGACCTGAGAAGGCAGCAGTTTTCCCTAATGCGAAACCACAGAGGTGGTTCCTGAGTGATTAGGGACTTGCTGTGATTGAAAGATGCCTGCAAGCTTCTAATCCAGCCTGGGGTGAGGTTCCTTATCTTGATTTACTTTGCCTAATAGGGATTTGTTTACATAAACCCCTCTTTTTAGAGCACCTCATCAGTAGGTCTTGAAGTTTTTGCACTTGGAGTTTGGGCATAACTGGTTCATTAACCTAATTATAAGCATAATTACTATAATTGATAACCATTTTGAACTCTGAATATTTGAGACGGAGACTATTGGGCCCCCATGTAGAATTCCCTGAACTCTGCATTCTAGACCAATCTATGGGCTTCAAAAGATGTCACAAAAAGATATTCTGGCCAAAAAATCTGGAAACAAAGAAACTGGTTTTTTAAGTGAATATACACTTTATGCCTTTGCTTTGCTTCTTAAAAGGCTGTGATGTACTTCTCCCTCTGTAATAAACAACTAAAATACCTCTTCCTAAAGCATAATAATGGCCTGTAAGCAAGGAGATTAATGCAAATACCCAGTTAACATTAAACTTTCCTCTTAAAAAGAGCAAAATTAAAAAATAATTTTGTTATTTTTCTCTGGCAAAGAACACGTTAAAGCCCCCCCCCCTTTTACTCAATGTAAAAATCAGTGATTGTGAGATATCCTTTTCAAAAAGTCCCATGCTTTCCTCTTGTCTTCGGAAGAGACAGCAATCTCCATTAGGAATGATTAGGAATATTCTTATAGAGGCTGCAGGCACTTGGTTTAAAACCTGAGACATTGCTGATATAAATAAATATGTATATATGTAATTATCTGGCTTATCTTTATTTTCTACCTTAAAAAAAATCAAGTAGAACACCACCCTCTTACCCCCACCAAGACCCACCACCAAATGGCTTGTACAATTGAGACCTGTCCTTGGTCCATTGAATTAAGACCCTAACAGAGCCAGCTGTGCTGGGATTCAAACTAATGACCGCAGACACAGAAGGATACTGTGGCAGCTGGTAGTTCTTTTTTCCCTGCCTCTTTAGTTCAGATTGTATGTGGGCAGTCTCTTAGCTCTCAGTTGTATTGTGTTTGCTTACAGTTTATACTCGGATGTATTGTAGACTTTTTCAGTACTTCATTTGCTAATTTCCTGTTCATTTTCCTCATAGGGCCATTGCTGTTTTCTACTTTACAGCATTTGCATGCCCAGGCAGCACTTGTTCACACATTTCATAATGTTTAAATGCCCTCTGCTTATAGGTAGTATCGCCCTCCCACCCATGATTTGCATGTCTTTAGCACTCCAATTGCCCTTTTCCTTAGGCGTTTGTCACCCCCGTCTTCCTTCTTTCCCTGGGTATCCTGGCTATTAATACATTTTCTCAGGAGGGTTATAAGAATAGGGGGGAGGAGCTGTGGTTTGCTGTGGGGAGGGAGGGAGCGGGGGTTGGGAGAGTTGGGGGGGATGGGCTGGGGGGGGTCACGTCTTGATGATTCTTATGCAAACGACCTGATGGAAGAATGTGGGAGCTTTCGGTGTCTGCGGTGGGTTAGTGAGGGAGGTTGTTTATTTTTAATCTTTTTCCTCGTGCAGCTCGTTGGAATGACTTTCTTTATTTTAGTTGTAACAGTTGGAGGATAATGCAAAGGAAGACGCTGCCTGGGAATTCACCGTCTGTGGAAATGAGCCCCAGAGAGGAATAAAGCAGCCCTCACCTTGCTCTCCCCACCCGAACCCACTTTCCCCACCCGCCTCGGCCCCCACCCCAACACCACCATCACTCCCTTCCCTCCCCCCCACCTTTCCCCCTTTTCCACCCAGGTGTCGGACCAGGCGGTCCCCACTTCCACCCTGCACCCCTTCTTCCCCCCCTGCACCATGAACACCAATGTCTGCGTGGAGCCCGGGCCGAGCCCGGAGGCCCCGGGCTTGCCCAAGGAAAGCCACTTGCCCGAGGGGGCTCTGAACAGCCTTGTGGATTACAACTCGGAAATGGAGCGCTACCGCTCCTTTGCCACCTCCTTCTACAAGACCAACGGGGGCGCCTTCCCACAGGCGGCCAAGATCGCGCGCATCACCACCCCCATCTTCCCCAGCAGCGCCGCCGCCGCCGCGGCCGCCGCGCGCATCGGCATGTCCCCCTGGAACTGCGACAACGCGGCCACCGCCGCCGCCGCCACCGCCATGCTCTGGGGCAGCGGCGGGGGCGGGGGCGGCGGCGGGGGGGGTGGCGGCGGCGGCGGCGGCGGCGGAGGCGGGGGCGGGGGTGGTGGGGGCGGCAGGAAATCCTCCTCCGCCGCCGCCTCCTCCTCCGCCTCCTCCTCCTCGGCGATCCTCCCCGCCGGCGGTGGCGGCGGCGGCGGCGGCGGCGGCAGCAGGACCAGCATGCACCACCGAAACGACTCCCAGAGGCTGGGGAAAGCTGGCTGCCCGCCAGAGCCGTCGTTGCAAATGGCAAATACTAATTTCCTCTCCACCTTATCCCCTGAACACTGCAGACCTTTGGCGGGGGAATGCATGAACAAGCTCAAATGCGGCGCTGCTGAAGCAGAGATAATGAATCTCCCCGAGCGCGTGGGGACTTTTTCCGCTATCCCGGCTTTAGGGGGCATCTCATTACCTCCAGGGGTCATCGTCATGACAGCCCTTCACTCCCCCGCAGCAGCCTCAGCAGCCGTCACAGACAGTGCGTTTCAAATTGCCAATCTGGCAGACTGCCCGCAGAATCATTCCTCCTCCTCCTCGTCCTCCTCAGGGGGAGCTGGCGGAGCCAACCCAGCCAAGAAGAAGAGGAAAAGGTGTGGGGTCTGCGTGCCCTGCAAGAGGCTCATCAACTGTGGCGTCTGCAGCAGTTGCAGGAACCGCAAAACGGGACACCAGATCTGCAAATTTAGAAAATGTGAAGAGCTAAAGAAAAAACCTGGCACTTCACTAGAGGTCAGAGGAGATGATTTCTTGTTTCCCAGTCTCCCCCCTTCCCTCCTCACTCCCTCTCCCCTTCAGGGATTCTTGTCTGGCTTCAAGATGCAGTACCCCTTCTCAGAAGCTTCATTCAGGTGGTAAGAGTTGTAGGTGGTTTGCGAAAGGCTTGGCCTCTCCACCACCCGCACCAGCTGCACTTCACGTGACACCGCCCTTCTGATAGAGAGAGTGCCCTCCTTTTTATCCCTGGGGGAAAAATAATGTAATTGAAGAATCAGAAGTTTCACATTCAATATGCTCAATATTTTCCCTTGGTGGTTTAAAATGCCCCCTCCTCCTCATTAAAAAGGGTGGGGCATCTTGCCCAAAGGACTGGACACATCACATCCTATACAAGTTTACTGGCTAAGTTAGTGGCCCATTTATAACAGTGAGGACACAGTTTGTGGTACACAAGCCTGTTCTCATTAAAAAACCGGTAACAAACCACACAGCAGTATTCAATGAAGTTGAAACACCTGGATTCAGAAGGGGATTTCCTACCCTTTTCTAGAATCATTTTTCTACTCATCAAGGCAGAATGTTTTCTATTTTATTTTCTGCGTATCTGATATTTTTGGAGAAAGCTGAAACTGTGTAGGAAGCGGATTTCTACCTGCAAATTTTGAGGAGATGTGACTTAGAATAAAGGGATACAATTAGTTAATTTCAGGGCAGATAAGAGTGATTTTGTTTAAAAATTATTTTATGTGGTTTTAGAATGAATAATTTCTAAAACTCAGTTACAAAAAAAGTATTTCCCCTGGGCTCTGCATTGGACAAAGTAACCATTTTGTGGTTACAAAGTTGGTGTATACACCAAGCACAGTTTTGGTTGATACCTTATATGGTCAATAATAGTTTCTTTTACCTATAGGTCTTTAAAACAGATATTGTACAGATGCTCACTAAAGTAATTGTTAAATTAGGTTATGAATTATGCTAAATACAGAGATTGATACCTTTGATAAAAATTTTGTATTGTGTCCTGATCAAAACAAAAATGGGGAAAAATGAAAAATCACAGGTAAATGACTTTGGTGGTATATTAAACAAAGAAATCTGGACAAGTACTTATAGTTAGTCTCGATAAAATTTACAGGGTAGATAATTAGATGTTCATATATACATGAGACTGTAGGTGGTGGGTTTAGCATTCTGTGCTTTAACATTTTAATATTCTGTGGAGTGAGTTGCAGGATGAGAGTGGCTCTCACAAGTTATCTTAGGGTTATCTGTACATTCTTTTAAAAATTGTGAGTACTGCTTAGAGGAGTTTGCTTTATGAACTGGGAAGCAGTCTTTAAAAGAATAAAGAGAAGGGTTAAAGATCTTTGGTACAGGTTTGAACACAAAGAAGATACAGTTTTTTTTTTAACCTTTAATTGTGTAAATCAAATGAGATAGCCCTCTAGGATTCTAAAAATATCAGAATTATGTTGATGTCATTATTGGGTATGATCAGTTTCATCAAAATATTGCATTTATTCTTCTTTATAAGATAAATCAGCTCTTTTTGGAAAGTTTAACTTTACTCCTGGATGGTTTATTACATTTTCTTTGGCAACTTTCTTTGTGCAAATATAATAGCAACTATAATGCAGGTCCATGTATTTTCTTAGGTGGCAAAAAATAGCTTTTGAATCTTCTTTGCCGGATTAATTTATTGTAACTTCTAAGGACTATGGGAAATTAAAATTCAGTTCATACTGAAATTCTCTATTCCCAGCTGATAAGGACAACATGGCTTTTATTTTTCCTCTTGAAATGTAGTATCTAGAATTATAAATTTGGTTCTGCTGTTAGGCCTCATCTTTAGCTAGACTCGTGGCACTACTTGCATCCCAATTTAAGATATGTAGTAACTGAATAATTCTGATTTATTTAGTAAATAATTACCCTGCAGGGGTTTGATATGAGTACCAATAGGTTTTCTGCACAAGTTTCTATGCTGGTGTAATTTTTTAATTTGATGCTTTTCCTACAAGCTTGTTGTGATATTTAAATTCCTCAGGCATTTTGATGACAAAATCCCATAAAACTACATTTTCTTCTTTTTAAAAAATTCTCATGCACAAAAATTCTGTTACTCTTCACAAGGTGGGGTATGGGTAGAATAAGAAGCTGATTTTTTCCTTTGAACTCTCAAGCTGATCTTCTAACTTCAGATCCCTTCTATCAGAGCATGGGCTGTGTTTCAAGGCTAAGATTATTAGCGGAATACTATTTGGCTAAAAGAAATAAAAAGCTTTTTTTCAAAATTGTATAAGATCCTATCTAGATCATTAAAAAAGACAATGCCATCATGACTGCCTTAGACCTATGTGCAAATACACAGTTATGGTTGTAGGAAACCAGCTGAGCACATGTCAGAGTGACAGGGCTTACATGACTGAACCAAAGCTGGAAGAGGAATTGCAGGAAGGTGAAAAGTCCCCCTGCTGACCTGGTTTCTCTCTTAAATTTGGTCCATCCTCATCTGGGAAAATGTTTTAGAGATTGGATGGGTTCCTGGCTGAGGGCAGTGATTTGGGGACTCATTGTGGATATCACCTGTGGGTTCCAGATGTAAACTCCATAGCTAATATTTGTTGGCTTTGAATTATGGGTGCCAATTAACATCTGGATCATAATAATAACATATATTCTTCTTTATCACTTCAAGACTCATGTGCCACTCTTCCCTTTGACTTGTTCTCATCCCAAAGACTGGAGACATAGTCAGATTTTTTTTCAGGGTGAGAAAACTGAAATTAAGACAGACTCACATGGATATGTTGGGACTCTCATCCAGATTTTTTTCAAAGCCTCCTCCCTAGTGTTCCTTTTAAAACTGCCTTCTATTTTTCTGCTTAGTCTCACCTTAAGAGCATCTTATGATGCCCTAGAAATGTGTTTATAAAATCACCCCTTGATCATATTTGATATGATAATGCACACAAAACATTTAGTTTTTCTGTTATACTGTGCACTGTGTATTTGCATAACCACTGTTCATTAAGTCAATTACTCTGTTAAAAAAATAGCCACTAATTGTTCAAAGCAGTCATTACAAATGCTCTCTGCCCCTTGTGTGACAAAAACTGTTTTAAAAATTTCTATCCTAAATGAAAAATATTAAGTTCCTTGATGTTTTAATAAACGTGATCATATAGGAGATCCTTATGATAAGTTACATGATAACACTTTGTCTCTTGCAAAGATAATCCTTCAGTTTTTATATTCACAACAGTAACATTTCTGATACTGACTTCTAACTTTTAAAAATATCCCAATCTGATATGGCTCAAGGGATAAAATTGTCCCATGGGCAACCCCAGCCTCTTAGTCTCTGAACATTGTTCAGGTGACATGATTGATCTCTGTGGGACAGCATTAGAGACCACACAGATCTGGTTTCTCTACCATTAGTTGATTTATGGAATTACATTAGTAAGCAGTGCCTCAGGAGGTTTCCCTTCCCCCACTCTTGGCTCTCTTTGCAGTAAGTTTCACACTGCCACCACTGAGACTTTCCTTGAGCTGGAGAAGAAACTAGAGAGAGCAGGTTATAGTGAAGACATTGAGAGACTGGAAAGTCAGGAAGAAGGATGGTTCCATTTTTTTTCTTTACTTTCTTTTATCTCTTAAAAATCTATCTGCCGAATGTACAGGCCAACAGTAATTTTTCCACAAGTTAGGTTGAGTTTCTAAGGGGGTTGGCAGAAAAAAATTCAAATACTGTCTCTAACTTGATAGCTTACTTCAGAAGAGTGTAATAGGGGAGGAGGGACATATTGTTTACGCTGTTAAGTTCTAAGAGCCCCAACCATAAATGGCAATTGTAAAACTCTGGACAAAGCACCATCTGTAATGAGTACAGGAAGGTGGCACCTGCCTCCTGAGGAAATTAACTTGTAGACCAGATGTAAAATAGGTGTGTCACTCAAACTAAGAGCTTTTAGTTAATAAAATAATTCAATAATTGAACATATACATTTCTGAGGTTTGGTGACAAAAAAATCTATGGATAAAATGCAAATGTTTTGTGTCTTAAATGGAAACATCCACCAGTTTTTTTATGTCATAATTTTTAAGAAATGAGTTTTCAATTTTTCATCTCAAGAATAAGAAACTTACCAACAGAAAAATATTTTTATTTTAACCAAAAAGTGCAAATATATAAGTGAGTATGAAAGGGAAAGGGGAAATTTTTCAATAAAATTTAAACAAAATGATAGTATATTAACATTAGAATGTAACATATAAATAATGTAGGAAAAAACACCTCAATTTTATAAATAATAAGGAAAAAGCTTGGAAAATTTTATCTTTGACTAAAGCCACAAATGAATTTGTGGCCAAGGCATCAAACTGCAAAACAAGTTCAATGAGATTATTTTTCCATCACTGGATTTAATACAAGGGAGTTAAAGTTGTTTTTTATATACTTCAAAATATCATGTTGTACCCACAGTAAATACATGTAATTTTAACTGTCAGTTTAAAAACTTACAAAGCGTACATACATTTTTAATACTTCCTAAATGAAAACAGTACCCTCGCCCATCCAACCATCATGTAAATTCTAAGCCATGTTTTAGATGGCAATTAGGAATAATAAAATAAAGTAATTAAAATTCATTTGTAAATTATGCTATAAGAATGTTTGAAATTCAACCATCATCAAACAAAATATAAGTGAGCAAACACAAGGCATATAAGAGCAAATTTAAAAAATAAACTTTAGGTTTCTGAAAAGTGTATCTAGTGATGAAAGAAATAAAAGTCGTGTGGCTTTTCAAGTTCTTAAATAATTGATTACTGAAGTATTTCTCTATATTTTGTTTAGTCTCAGTCATCTACTTTTCTGAATTAATAGTTAAGTTTTGCATAGTCAGACTTATAGATTGATAAGTACAAAACAATTTAATAAAATAGCCTGTAAGATTGAAAATTGAAAGGCATGCAAAAAGAACAGGCATTTGATCCATATTTGCTCCAGTTGGAACATTGTTTAACAGGTTCCAGGCTGAAGATCCATGGTGGGGTGGAAACATTGTTGGAATATTCTGAATACAAACTATCTTTCTGGATACAAAGTTAAACATTATACTATTTGAGTATCTCTCAGGCATAGGTTGAAAGTGTGCTTTTAAGAAAGTCTTCTAAAGTTGTTGGTGCTCTCAGAATTTACTGCTGGACCTCAACTGGTCAGATTGTCTGAATATGCAGAAAACATTTCACTTCAATTTACTCTGAAAAAGCTTGACATAATGTCCTACTATTCAATATGAGTGGATATGCTTTAATTTCTTAAATTTATTTTACTCCCATTATGCAAAATACCAAAAATAAACTCTTGCATTTGTCATATAGAAATATCTAGTTAAAGTCATAAGTTAAATACAAGATTTATTTAAAAGCCCATGTAAATATACAAATTGGAGAAAGGACTAATTCTTTTATAGTTTCTCTCATATTCCAAGATTAGTTTGTAAAAAAGCAAAAATGAACTGAAAATAAAATCTAAATTTTATTAGTAATGTGACTTTTAGTCACTGATCAAAATGTCAGATGATCTTAGCTGGGGAAGTAGGGCATTCTAGGAAGCATCATCTTTTATAAAAACTTCTTTTCAAGAAAGTATGTATTTTTTGTAATCCATGTAAATTTTGAGAATTTTGTGCATGTGTAATTTTGTTCCTTCATTTGTGCATCAGTGTTTCTGACCATTTTTAACATACTTTTAAATCTAGCATTTTGCTGCTATTATTAGGATTTTCAAAATATTGGGGGAGGGGCATAAGGGTGATTTTATCCTTGAGTCATATCTTGTTCCATCACATGCAAACACCTGTCCTGAAATTGAATTATTCTGCAGGGTAATCGAAAAGCCTCCCTCCATTCAGCATCATATGTTTTCTGTTGTTTATTGAGTTATGTTGTACCATACTTCAGATGCGACAGCCATTTAATAATGTTGAAGACTTAGCTCTGCAGGGGCTAAAAGGATCCCAGCAGGCTTGTTAACTTCTACTCTAAAACATTATGAGAAATATTTTTTCCTCTGTGAAACTTCTGGGCTTTCTCTTAATTTATTTTAAGAGCGTAAGAATCCATAGCTAGGTATGAAATCAAGCCTGCTGAATTTTTTGGTTTCCTCTTTCTTAATCTTTAACCCATTTATTTCCCACTATGTTTTTTACTAAAGAGATTGTGGCAAAGCAAGCAATTACTTTTTCAAAGACGTCATATTCAAGATGTATTTCTTTGGTTTATATAAAATGGTATAAATTATATTCAGGAAATATACTACTAAGCTCCTACATTTTAATTTCTTTTCATTTAAAATTATATGTGGTCCATGTGGCCACATAGGTAAGAAATTGTGAAAAGAGCCACTAGTATCAAGTAACTTAATAGTTGAACAATGTTAGGTACATCAGCATAACTTCTCTGAACTTTATTTCCTCATCAATAAGATGAAAGTAATATCAACCTACCTTATAACGTTTTAACATTATATGTAGTTTAATGTTGTTGGCAAACTGAAAGATGCTATATAATTTCTCAGTCCAATTTTAAAACCTCAATGGAAATGGAGAATAAGGCAACTGTATTTATAGATAAGAAACCAATAGGTTACTTATAGTTTTCAGACATTAAAGCCCTGATGTCTATTAGTGGTATGTGGTTTTTGAATATTTGTTTTAATTACCCAGTTGGCAAAGATATGACTTGAGTTTACTTGGAAAGAGATAAATCTAATTAAACATGTTTCCTTGTTCCTATACTTGCACTGTCAAATGTCTTAGGAAACTGAGCATATTACCCAGTGAAGTCAGTCAATATGGTGAGCCAATTTCAATTATTTAGTGCTCTTTCTCCTTCCTTACCACAGACATATCACCACTATTAATTTTTATATATTTTGATAGATGTGTGTGTGTGTTTATGTTTCACGTTACTAACCCAATACTTTTATTTGACTTTTTTTTCCAAGACACAGAGATATTCTAAATGTGAATTTGTGAGGTCAAGAGAATAATTGTAAGAAAGAAATGAATTCCAGTTGGAAAACATATGTAACAAATATTAGAAAGTGAACATATTTAACAAATTTGGAAAATTCGAGAATATATATATATATGAGTGTACATAGGAAATAAAACAGGTAGATATGCATTTTTACCTAAAAAGTGAAGTAGCTACATGAAGTTTTTCTGTTTTTTACTAAAAACAGAATATTTTTTAAAATGAAGACAGTTATTAAGCATTAATCGGAATAGCTGGTGTTTTTCTGGGGAAAAAGAGTGATAAGCCCTAAAAGATTTATAATGCTGACCAAGAAAGATGAGAAACAAAGGAGAAAGGAATATTTAAGCCAGAATCCAATGCAGTGTATAGAAAGAACTTTGACAAGATGGAATTATGGATGTATGCTTTGCTTTAGCTGTTATAAAAGCTTTTTAGATGATGGAAAATATTTTTTAAAAAGAAAGATAATTTTTTTTTAATGACTAGACTCAATACTTTTGGTTTGAGAGTCAGAACTGAGGCTTGAGTGGAGTGGCAGATGAATTAGAGATAAGGAAAAACAGATTGTGTTATAGCTGATGTTATTATTTTTACTTATGCATTTGAAACATTTGGTAGAATAATTCCAAAGTGTAACTAAAAGAGAATACTTCCAAGATGGGTGGAAAATGGTATCCCATTTGTGTCTCTTCTGCATTAAAATTCATATTTTAGAAAACATTCTTGAGAAAGTAAAGTGTCAGACTATGGGAAAGACGGTGCTGAAAGTGCTGCTTCTTGCCCAAAGACTAAAAGACAAGAACAAAAAACCCCACACCATACCACAACTGGATTATTGATAATACTATAATGATAGGGATCAAGTAGGATGAAAAGAGAAAGGGATATATGTTTGTAGATTAGGAAAAATTTGGACATTTCTGTCTATTTCAGCAAATCTGGCAAATGCCACAGAAGATAGATATATTTTCTCCAAAATTTAGAGAATGAAACAAGATTAAATACATTTTTAAGTGAACAGAAGACCATATAAATTTAATCATGTGGAAATGGCGAGAACTAGTGTTGGTGAATCAGTGGTAGAAAAATAACTATGCTTGGGAATAACTTCTCTATTGGCAATGCTTTTTAAAAATAGATTAAATTAGATAAGTGGTGATCTTAATGTTAAGTGAAGATAAGAAAAAAGGATAAAATTAACAGTCATATGTAGGTGTATAAGAAGTGAAAAGTTGTGGAGTCTTCCATTAAACATGAAATATTTTGTGTGCTCTACCTTTAGTCCGTGAAAAAGAAGAGAGAACTTTGGCTTATTTCCATCGAAAGAGAAATACATTAGCTCTTCTTTGTAATGCTGCTATATGTAGAGTTAAATTCTTTATGAAGTGGAGTGGTTTTAGATTTTCCTCATGTGATTCTTTTCACATGAATTCATTTTTGTACAGTATGGAGGTGTGTTTATCAAACTGCAGGTGACAATATGTTGGTGGTCCATGAAACCAATGTTTTAACTTACCATCAAGATTTTTTAGAAAGTAGGTTAGAATAAAATGGAGCAGAAAAATATATGAGTTTATCACATGTAGTAATAGCAAGCATTGTTCAACTTCTGTTTCAGTTATGTACACTTAAAGAAATGTATGTGTATGTATGTGCTGAGTTGCTGTGTAAAATGTATTTATAACTTTTAGTTGCAGTCAAATTTGAAAAACATTAATCTAGCAACAGCAATATCACTATTGAACAAGTCTGTAGTGAGGAAAGAAATTATATTTGAACAATGTTAACAAGATAAAGAGTAAAATTGAAATGTTTTTACAAATAGCGTATTTTTACTTATTCCAGGCAGGTCTATACCTTTGCTGTCTATTCATGAATATATGGTATTAATTAGCACATAGTAAACCCTTGATAAATTCAATTCAATTTAACAGATGTTTAGGTGGAACTGTTATCTTCCAAGACTTAAGTTCCATGTATACATACATACGTATGTACCAATATATATGTACATGCATATATACACACACACAAATCCTGGCTTAAAGAACCCTAAATGTTCTTTATTCCTGCTCTTTTTACAATATGCATGTAATTCTCTAGCTCTGGGTCTTAGTCCTTCATCCAAGGTACTTAGTTCCATATTTTTTTTTTTCTTTTTTCCCTTGAGACAGGGTCTTGGTCTGTTGGCCAGTCTGGAGTGCAGTGGCGTGATCTCAGCTCATTGCAACCTCTACTTCCTGCATTCAAGCTATTCTCATCCCTCAGCCTCCCAAGCAGCTGCAATTACAGGCATACGCCATGATGCCTGGCTAATTTTTGTATTTTCTTTAGTAGAGATGGGGTTTCACCATGTTGGCCAGGCTGGTCTAGAACTCCTGACCTCATGTAATCCGCCCACCCCAGCCTCCTACAGTGCTGGGATTATAGGCGTGAGCCACAACACCCGGCCTCCCTATTTATATTTTTAATTTTCAGCCCACGAAATGGACAAATGGCCACATTTAAACTAACATTGAAATTTTAGAAAATTCTGGAATCAATCTCACACCTATTTAAAAGCCTTAGGATTCCTTGACTCATCCTTGGTTTAGTTCTCCACATCTAGATAAGTAACACAGACTAATATGATCTCTGCCTTGCTACCTCATGTGATTCTGTAGTATTATATTTTCTGTTTTATTTCAAGGCATATTTTACAGACTGCTGGAAACCTTTGTTTTACCTGAATAAGAGAAAAGATTATATTGGAAGAAAGTAAGAAGGGAAGGAAGGAAGAAAGGATGGAAGGAAGGAGGGAAGGAAGGAAGAAAGGATGGAAGGAAGGAAGGAAGGGAGGGAGGGAGGGAGGGAAGATAAAGGCAAGGAAGAGAGGAAGGAAATACAGGAAGGTTACAGAATTGCTACTGTTTAAGGGAAATCAGAAAGGGGCGTATTGGCAAAAAGAAATGGCATACTTAAGGTCATCTTGATCTGGTTTCAATAAGAAATGGGAAGCAATAGTTAGTCTCAGAATTTAGGGAAAGGTGTCATGGGTCTGGGTTTAGATCCACTAGAACCACTAAGCATTTTTTTTTTTCCATTTACCATGGTGGAAAAACTAGTTTCAGGAAAACTAAGTATGTTTATGGTTTTTTAAAAACATATTTTTAAAAGTAATTCTTAAGTCTGCAATCTGCAATTAGAAACATAGAAAGGCCAAGATGGGAAAACCAATGCTCGAAACTAATGATAGTGTTGAGGGAGCTCAAGGCTATCCAACCCCTATAATGAACTGATGGTACAAAATGTCAGTGTACTTTTTAAGTAATCATGAGGAGAATTTCTGAGAAAATACAGAATCGTGCATATAAAAAAGGCTACTAAAGAATGATGATGAGAAGGATATCAATCACTACATCTTATAAATCCTATGGTGGAAAATTTATTAATTTACTTTGCTAGTTAGTTGACTATCTGAATGTGGCTATGTTCTACTGAGTATATAGGTTTATATACTCTGGATGGAGCACATGATACTTATAGAAAAAGAGGTAGTTCATGAAAACTTCCTGAGGAGAAATTAGAATCTAAATACTTGAGAATTTGTTCTAGACAAGAACAAATGCCTACCATGATGTTATAGTAGTGGAAAATGCTTAATAGTATTTATCTTCTTGATGAAAGTAGATGAACCAAAGTGTATTTCTAAACAGTTAAGAAACATATAAAGACTTGATAAAAATTAAATTAATTATTGACTGTATACTTTTCAATTTTATTATTTTAAAAGAGAATTAAGAGAAAAGACCAAAAGTCGAAGTCAGAGTGATTGTTAATTTGAGCATTCCGTATGATGGCAATTGAAAGGAAGGAATAAAGGGAGAGAGGGAGGGAGGGAAGGAAGGAAGGACGGAAGGACGGAGGAACAGAGGGAGGGAGGGAGGGAAGGAAGGAAGGGAGGGAGAGGGGAAAAAGAAAGAAGGAGGGAGAGAGGGAGGGACAACAAAAGCTACATTTTATTATTAGAACTATAGTTTTAATCAAAGTAAATTATTTTGGTGATAGCATCTAGTTGACTGAAATATTTAGAATTAATGTTTTCTAAATTCCTCTCAGTAGTTCATAAACATAAAACATGCTGTGAATTTTAGGCTGAGTCTCTCCCAGTGGTTGGATAGTTCATAACAGATTCTGAGCCACATGAAGCTCAGTGACTACATCCAAAATGCTACTTGACTTAGCCTAACAGGAAATTTTCTGTTAAACTTTTTTTCACTTTTATGTAATTAAGAAATAAATATTTATCAGATCTCAGAACTATAATAATAAAAGAGATATGCCATATTGATTTGCTGATGGAGGCTAAATGTAACTACTTTATTTTCGTATAAATTAGAGGGTGTTCAAATCACAGTTTTGATAGTCAGGTTAAACATCACCTCTTAAGATTTTTTAAGTGACTTCTCATTTTCTAGTATTTTATATGAATATTTATGTTTCTCTTCAATAAAAAAGGGATAAAGTTAATACGGTTTCACTGACTGCTTTAAAATTAACCAGAACTTCAAAATTGTCCAACCACTTGGTCTGGGAAAGGCTGCTCATTGTTTTTCAATGGCTAATTACCAATGAACTCACCTAATGCTATGCTGTTGCATTCAATGGGAATTACTTGAGAAGAAGTTGAATTGTTGAACTTTTATACACACATATATATTCATATATATATACACACACATATTTATTTAGAGTCTATAACCATATATATTTATACATATATATACATGCAAATGAAATATGAACATATGACTATATAAATAAAATAATTTCAATCATTCTTGAAAGTATAGTATTGATTTTATTAACCCAATTTTTACTTTTTAAATCTTAATTTTACTTCTAATTTTCTTTCACATTCTCTCTTACACATAAGGTTAAGTATATAACATTGCTTTGATAAATACCTTTTAAATTTGTGAATTATTGAAAGATTTTCCTCTTTCTGCTTACCATGGTACCACCGTACTATGTTTTATTTTTATATGGGTAAGAACATTTTAACCACTAAAATACCCACTTATAATACACTAAATTTACTTATTTGTTAGAATGGTGTGGTTTGAAGTATTTTTACGAAATTTAACTGAAATATAATTATATACGCATAGCATTATCAAGAGACTTGCTTAACTAAAGTAGTTATATTAGACCTATGGCCAAAATGGGTACATTTTTTGGTCACTTCTGGACCAGTGTGAATCGTGGTGTTAATCTGTCATTTTACCTCCCACCAACCCACTCCCACCGTGTACACACATTCTCCTTTGGACAGCTGTTTTCATGACAGGCTTTATCACCATATGGACTTGACTTAGTGCCTTTACAACATAATGTATAAAGTCATCTTTCCATTTGCAGAAGTTAGCTAGGTTTACCTTCTAAAGTCACACCGTCACAGTCTAAAATCATGCTGTCACAGTGGTGATGGTAACTGTGGTGGTTGCAGTGTAGGAGTGCAAGGCAAAGAGAGCAACAGGAGCAACAGCCAAGGGAGAATCAATTATCAATGAAAAGGCCATCTCTAGTTCTCCATCATTAATCGGAGAAATCTTGGTCACAAATGTCAATTTGGAAACCAAAATATGGAATGTTTCTTAAAATCATATTTAAAGCCTCCAAAAGTTATGTCATAAAAATTACCTAGTTATTTGGTGCTTTCCCCTTTTTAAATAGGGGTCTAATATTCCAGTTAGTGGATGATGTTGAAAGTTGTTTTTAATTTATATTTGGATAAAGACCAAAATAAGGTGTGATTATACCAAAGACATACAGTTATGTAATAAATGAATCTGGATTATTAGAAAAATTAATCTGCTATACATTACAGACATAATATGGATTTATTACAACAGAGCAGAAGAAAAAAGTGAGGTGTAATTTAAAAAATGGAAACAAGTATATACTTATATTACTCCAAATATTTTTAAATTTAGATATTATTAATAAAATGTTTTGTTTATAATAGCAATAAATTATTGGACTGTGTGATAATCATTAATAGTTCTCTTATATTATTAGCCTATACTTTACTAGTGTTTTCTAATAACTCTATTATAGTTACTAGACTATGATTTCTAAAACCTATCATTTACAAAAGGAATATAGAAAAATCTTTCTGCTAAAAACTTGTGGGGGAGGTGTTCACCTTTGCTAGGTATTATTTTATATCATAATTATTAATTATTCAAAGATTCATATTACTATGTATTAATTTGTGTCAATCAGTTTGTTCACATTCACAATACTGTATACGTAATACAGTTTCCAATTTCTCCAAGTAGATTTTGAAATTTTGTTAGTAACATAATCAAGAACCTATATAACAATGTTTTAGCATTCTTCGTGAATCAAATCAGAAAAAAAAGGTAGTTTTTTTCACCATCAGCAACCTGCTTGCATTTGTTAATCCGGAAATTTCTAAAGTTTGAAAGTTTTATATGTAGCCACAAACAAAATCTATATAATTGAATAACTGAAGGCAAACAGTGGGGTCCATTATTATGTTTTGTCATATTTATTCACTTACTTTCTACTGCAAATTTTCAGTGATTCATTAAGATCTTTGCATTCTAGTGTGAAATGATAGACTTGAATGCAGTGGAGGTTTCCAGTATCAAGGCCTTAGATGCCGAGGAGTCTAAGAAACTTACAGTGGGACTCCTCATAGTGAAAACAATATTTCAAAAGGTTATACAGTAGGTGGTATTGGCTAACTACAGCCTGAAATTGCCTTAAGTTTGGTTGGGAAGAAAGCATGCTTCACGATTATATGGGAATCATAAAATGATTTCATGACTTTTGTTTCTTTAATAATAAATGGGAAAACAGGAAATTATTTTTGATTAGTATAGAAATAATGGTATCCCCAAATAGTGACCTTCAGTTGGAAATCATGAGAGCCATTTTGTTTCACAGTAGAATTTTGAAGGCCTAGGTGAGTCACTGAAATTTTTAGATTCGAAAGTATATGAATAAATATTGGAAAGATAGGTTTAACTTTAGTTATAGACATTTCTAGTATCATAATCATGATCTCAATTTAAAATTGTATTTAAGGTGAATTTCAGCATCAAAAGTTTTCATTAATTTCCTCTTTGAAACCTCAGGTCTAATATTATTAAAAGTTTTAAGTGCAGTTTTGTAAATATTGCTACATTTTACACACTGTACTTAGATATGAATGGCCAATCCACATATCCTCATATGTACAGAGTTAGAGATGCCCCATTTTCAGCTTTTAGGAGCTGATGTTTTATTAGACTTGACGTATTTCTAACAAGAATATGTAGATGCATTCTTCACCTGAAGATACCACTTTCCGTGTGACTGCTTCGCAGGTATGAGAAGAGAAACATGCTAAAATCCTTAAGGTGAAAGCTTTTCATATTCTTTATTATTTTAGGTTGTTTAATTATTTCATCACTGCAGATTTAATGAAAATCAAACTGAAATATATATATATCTGCCAGGAACATTATTAAATTTTAAATTTTTTTAAAAAGTAAATATAAAATGTACTTGGACTTAGGTTTTATCATTCTTTTATTCAAGGAAATTCCCTTAGTTTTAATGTAATTTAGGGAGAAACAGAAGACTCCTTTAGACTTGAAGATAGTGTTGTACCTGGTTTGTGTAGGGGTGAATTCTCTGGAACACTGTGCTTTACAGCAGTACCAGAAAGAGAACTGGGGCTGCAGGTTTCTCCACAGGCCTCCTGGGAGCAAGACGGCTGTTTGTCAGCGTTTGCACCTGCATGAACAGTGAAGGCTGCCTTAAACAATGCCGATCAACTCAATTCTATTCTTTACCTCCCCACCCCCTTCTCTTCAGGGGAATCTGGCTTTCCTGTCACTCAGGATAAAGATCCCCTGCAAGCATCACTGAGATCCAGAAAGTCACTGTAATCTCATCAAGAGTGTGAATCCCTAGCTGGGACTTTGAATTTATACAACCCAAAGGTGGCTGGTCAGGGTATTTAATCCCGCACATTGGTGTGCTGAGCCCCCGCACCATTTAAAAAGAAGTCTTCTTACAAGGATAACCTCATTAGTTGACAGAATGAAAAAATATGTGTCCTCAAATTAGTACAAACTTAGTTAGAAACCTGTAGTTTAACTCAATATTTTATCTATTAAAACATTGTTGCTTCACCCAGCTTGGCTGAAACAAACTCAATCAGTCCTAAAGTACATTTCCATTGTTCCTGATGAAAATTGGGCAGGAGATTAGATATACATCTATTTTGGGTAGGCTACAGGACCCTAAAGAGTTTTGACACTTTTAAAATCCTGAAATACAAATTTCTGGTGTGTGCCTTGATTATTTTCTAATTACTGCACCAGTAGTTTTCCTAATTTTTCTCACATATTTTATTTGGTGATTTCCCAACTAATCATTTTTAGGCTTCTTGACCTCAAGGATCTTAATATAAGGAAGAAATAATTTTTAAAAGAGGCTTCCCTGCTTACCTTCTCACTTCTCCTGCAATAAACTGTCCATATTCTTACATCTGGGGATGCATACTGGTCTCAATGTATGCATAGTAAAATCACGATGCACAGTAATATCAAGTAAGTGTAGAAAACCTTTTTTCTGCTTTTCTCGTGTTTGCATTGTTTAATTAATTTGTACTGCTAA
The DNA here is from genome assembly GCF_000001405.40 of Homo sapiens. Lineage (NCBI taxonomy): Eukaryota > Metazoa > Chordata > Mammalia > Primates > Hominidae > Homo > Homo sapiens. The sequence goes on along the minus strand of NC_000004.12, from coordinate 104,475,020 downwards.
CAGGTATTGAGAAGTGATTATCTTTTTTTCCCACAACAATGACCTTTGACACTAAGTGGCATTTTATAAGCTTGCTTTTTCTAAATGTTGCAAATAAAATTGAGTAGCTGAAAGGGGCACAGGAAGAGCGAGAATTGGAAAAGAGATTTAAAAGTATATCTAAGACATAAGGACTTCATCTCATTTAAAAAATGTACTCCATATATTTTTGCTGTTTATCTTCGTAAACATATATGTTTATCAAGATACAAGATTACATAAGTATATATTTATAATCTTGTTTCCAGTTGGCATCTGAGAGTAAGTTGGCATCTCTGTGTCATACATATACACATAAATGTGAATATATATGAATATATATGCACATGTTTATTTTTCGTATGTGAATCTGTAACCATAGATCTATAATTGCATGAATATGCTTGGATCTAACTTATCTCGTTAGAAGTGACTACATTTATATAAGTGTGCATACTTATATAAAATTTATTCTTAGTTGGCATCAGCCAGTAAGTTAGCATCTGGTATAAACTTTTAAGTTTTCATTTATTGCTTTTGTGTGTGTATAAAGCATGAATATTAGAATGGGCATGTTCTATTTCTTATTACGTCATGTAGCTTCTTAATAATGATTAAATTAATGTAATCAATGTGTATAATTATTACATTTATCCAAAAGTTAATTTTAGAAAGTAGTAAAGAAGTTTTTCTCACCAATTAAATCAAATGATAGAGATTCAGGTATGCATAGTGAGCTGGAAAGGAGAAAACCAATGAAACCATCTTATAACAGGTTAATAAGATCAGTACAATTTCCATGAGAATAGTGAACTTTTTTGTTTGTGCTTTTAGAAAGCGCTGCTCAGGCAGATTTTGTTCTGTATACCTATATGCAGACTTGGAGTAGGAAGATAGTCATTTATCAATGATTTGTTCTCAACACAGTCATTTTGAAATTTATTGTGTTTGTGATGAGGACAGTCTTTTAAAAAATTATTTTAGTACAGATAGCGAAAAGCATGTTTGCTTTCCAAAATATTTATTTTATTGTTTTCTAGTTGACATCCTAATCAATTAATACTTTTATTATTAGATGACATAATTACAATAGGACAATGTCCACCAAATAACACGTGTGAGAAAGTAAATAAGAGCTAACCTCAATTATTAGAGGGTTTTTAGCAGAATTTTGTGTTTATTTTCTGAAATCCAAAAATCAAGTGCTATTAATGTTTTAAGATGCATTACAAGTAATGTGTGTGTATGTATGTGCTCTTGTGTTTTTGTTTACCTAGTAAATATATTGGCACTTACATTCAACACATCAATTTATATACTTATTTATCCTTAGCAGCCATCTTACGATTTATACAGGCTTGTTGGGCTAGTCTAAGGAATAAAGTCAACTTTCTTTTGCAGGAGAATGTATTCTTAGCTTGTTGTTTCTTGCATACCTTCACTGTATATTCATGTGATTGTTTTATGTATATCATTAGAATACATTTTAAGGAAGGATATGGCATGAGGAATTATTAGATGTTAATGTACATAGAAAATTCAAGCTTAACTACCATTTACCTAACAAGAAAACCTCATAGTAACTATAAGCTTTTTGTTAAAATGATTGCTTATACTTTGGTGCTAGCTTGATACTTCTTTGGAGAAACCATTTATAGTATGTTTACAATTCAATAGGGTAGTTATGCTTCATTGAATATCATTGGTTAGTAATCAATTTACTTTATATATATATTTGTTGAAAATACAAACTCACTTTGAAACAGTGATATATTTTATGAGTATGGTTCTCACTAGACTATAAAATGTGTTTAGAATTTAATGATAAGTGTTGCAGGTAATATTGATATTTGTTATTATTCTGTCAGAAAATCTGCAGAATAAATTACTTAACTGAATTTTGAACATCAGCTTTACATAATTGGATATGTATATATATATATATTGTGATTTCTATACATAAAACAGTGACCTAAATTTCAGTTTCAGTTTTTGATTGCATTTTTGGTAGGGTGGTTAGAGACAGAGTAATTCAATCATAGTCATTTTAACCGCATAGAATGCTTATATGTCTCACTCATGTTTAAGACCATGTGCTGCATAGCTGATTGTATCTTTAGAAATACAAAAATACAAAATAAATATCTATCATGAGAAAGGACTAATGTAGAAAGCTAACCAGCAAAAGTGAATCCTTTCTTTCTTCATTATGTGATTGTGCCTTCTGTGTGTATGTTATCCTGACGGTAAGATGATCCACTCAAAATGATGTAGGCATTCTGCAAGGCAGATATAGATTTTAAGTACCTGTGCTGACTGGTCTTCCTCATATTGGTTAAGAGGTTGAACTTTACCTTTATTCTGCTTCCTATACGTGTTTCAGGCTGCATTTCCTATATTTTTAAACCAATGTGTTTTAATCAGTATATTCAGCAAGTTAGCATTAAATTCAATATTCTAATTATTGTCATGTTCTAAGATTGAGCATTTCTTCTTTTTATTAAATGTTGAAATATACAAGTCATTATGTTGTACATTGGTAACTAAAAATATTGCTGAAGTGTAAAGGAGAAAAATCTAATTTTATATTGGCATAGAAAGAAAGCTTAACTTGTTTTCTTGCTCTTTTTTTATAGAGAACACCTGTTCCCAGCGCTGAAGCATTCCGATGGTTCTTTTAAAGCAGTAGTATATCTTATTTTCAAGGCATTTGGAAATGAAGGGCAAACTAATGTCTTGTTTTAAGAAACTGCTTAGTCCACCACTGAAGAAAATATCCAGAAATTATTTTCATTTTATGTATAGGGCTTTCTTCAAAAAAAAAAAAAAAGAGGAAAAGAAAAGAAAAAGACATAAAAATAATGTGAGAGCTTGGAGAATTGGCCAGTCTATTTACTTTCAATACGCTGATTCTTTCTTTGATGTAATTTAGCTATAGTAGTGAAGTTGTTGTCTATTTTGAAAGTGGCTGTAAAAAATAAGTTTGGGTAAACCCCTGCTGTAAAATCATGTATCTTTGCAAAGTACATATCTATACTTCATTTTCAAATATATGTGTTTCAGTACTGTAAACTGTACAGATAGCAGCTTGTATTTTGTGTGTTTAGACACAAGGAGACAATCATGTCTGAGCATCTATGGAGATTAACAGTTTGTACACAACAGTATGGTTCTGCAAGTTAAATCTGGAGCAATAAATTTTAGCTTTAACTATTTTTTGCCAGTGGTTTAGAAGCAGCAACAGCACTGGCACCATTTTGCCATGCATCTTTCCATAGAGACTTGATGCCAAGTTTTACAAGACTAAAAGATTATGATGCATCCACCAATTACCTTCAGTTTTATTGTTATAAGAGGGGAAGATGTTATGAAAGTTTCAATTAATCTTTTGAGCACTATATTAGAGTAGTGGTTATGCACTTGCATTGCTTACAAACGAGCTGTACAGAAGGGTATACCTCCCAAATACTTAGTGTAGTTGACTTGTCTTGGGTTGCACTGTAAGGCAGAGTACTCAGAGTAGTTGGAAAATGCAGAATCAGTTGTATAATTTTTTTTTATAAAAACGGTGTTTTTTAGGCTAAAGAATAAAGTATCATATCTTAGGAGGGGAAAATTTATAACTGACATTTTTTCCCCAGCCCAATATGGGCTGTATACGTTTTATTGTTTCTTAATTTTTTTCTTATTTTTTCTGTAGGAAAAAATCTTAATAAAAACTACCCCAATGTTTTAACTTCATGTATGATATTAAATGGGTAGTTTTAACACTTGAATATGTTGAGGGCTTCTGCCTTGAGGCAGGGCTTGATATATTTTTAATTTACAAAGAATTAAACATATTCATAAAAGTGAGGCATTTTATCTCTTTTTATTTTCTTTTCTCATAGCCACCCAGTTGGACTAGTGGTCTTCCCCTGGTCCTTCAGTAAAATGCTCCATTGCTGCCATTTCCATTGTTGTTACTTGATGCTTTCATTCCTGAGAAGGCAGGGCTACAGTCTCTGGAATTTCATAAATGCATGACATACCCCTCCCCCCACAACCTACACACAAAGGATCTAATGCTTCATAGAACCTGTGCTACCTTTTCATGTTGGAGTTGGTTTTCTTATCACAGTCAGGGTTCTTAAGGCCGTCCCATCAGGACAAATATTTACCTTCCATTTTATTTCTGTTTGTCCCAATTATAAAGACTATTTTCAGTTTCAGGAGTAGAACAGGGTTTAGCAAAAATATGTAGAGTATCAAAGTTACCTACTGCAACTTTTTGTTCTTTGTCCACTAGCCAGGTGATTTAACCCACTAAATCCATTAGCTTGCTGAAAAATGTTAGCAAAGTAAATCACGAGAAGAAAGATAATTTGAGAAGAGAAATGGTATGGTACAATGAAAGAAGCTGTAAAGATTAGGAAAGACTAGTAAGTGAATATTTTTAAAAATTTAGTTGTAGATTTCAATGGGATACGATAGGACAGAAAAGATTTTTTAAAAAGCAGAAAGAGTGTTTCATGGTGAAAGTACTGGGGGAGGGTGGACAAAGCATGCACACATGCCAATTTGAAAATCAAGTGTGACTTACCTCACGTAGAGTATGAATACATGGTCCACAGTTATGGTCAACAAGCGTTTTCAAGAAAAACTCATGATGTGTTACACCCATCCATATTTAGAGATGAGAATTAAATGATTACAAGCTAAAATGTGCTGTATACTGTATTAATTTTGAGATAGCTTTCTACTTGATGTATATTTCTTTGAGGGTTTCTATCTAGTTAGAATTTCAGCTTCTGCTGTGGGACCAATGAGAGCTGTATGAGTTTTTTTTTTTTTTTCCTTTTCCATTATTTTATTTTTTGTTTTTTGTTTACCAATTTGCTAATTAATTACAAGTAAGTGAAAACTTACTTTCACACTTGAATGATAAGCTTGCCTTGCTCTTTGGAAAATGATGATTGTTATTACAGAAGTGAAACAAACTTCTATTCAGGCTACAGTAGGCATACAATAACCTAAAGATCTCATAGAAGTATACTGAGAGTCTAAAATACATTCTAGTAGTGCATGTCTTGGTGTGCTTTTGTTTGTTTGCTTTCTAAAAGAACTAATGAATCTGTATATTGTAAACTGTGGTGTTTTACATGTCAATTCATTTTTTTAATGAAAGAAAATTTGTTGATTACTGAAATGAGAAAGTGTAGCTTTTCATTAATTCTCTTATGTTTTTTATTCTTGATATTGTTCTTTTATACCACCCACTTTTTAATGTTTTTGGTTAAACTCCATTTATATAATGTAGGATGCATATAAAGTTCTCATTGGTGATGTTGAAGAAAGAGATGACTCTTCTGGCCTTTCTCTAGTTTTCTTCCTCATATGTCCCTGTACTGAGAACTTCTAAAGCTTATCATTATAAACCTAAGGCAGTGATTTGAAAGTTTACATTTTTCATGATTTTCAAATACCAATGAAATGTAACTTTTAAATATTCCTCACTGTGTGTTTTATATTCACTGTCAAGAAAATTCAGAATGTAGATTGTGTGGACAGCTATACACAACTTAATAATTATATATCAGATAAACTGAATAAAAAACTTTGTAAGAGTGGTCTACGCACACAGGATCTTGTCCTCCCTAGGCGTGGATAGAGAGATGCCATAATCTGCCAGCATTTGGGGAGATCATGGTAAATACTTGAGGCGTTGATACATAGTGCAGTGAGCCAATTTCCTTTTCAGTTGTCACTCAGCACCATAACATCACGAAGAACATCATTAATGCAAACCTCTCACTAAGCCTTCAGACCAAAGTGGCTTTCTGATGGACTCTGCCTGTCTGTCTACAAGTGGAGTCAGATTCAAAGTAGAAATGTATCCATCCTTGGGAAAGAAAATAGGAAGTCTTCCCCCACTGTAGGAGTATATAAAAATGTCTCCTGGTTGCTTAATTCCCAACACTCAATTTCCTTCTTCTAAACACATTTATAAGGAGCAAGAGATGGTGCACTTATTATGAATTAATATTAAGCAATCACTAAAAGAAAGGAATATTCTCTTCCTTTCAATCAGAAACCCTGATATGTAAGTTGTGCAATTAATGCTAAAGCATATAAAGTCTTTAAGCTGATAAGTATCTGTAATCAAATAATGAAAAAAGGAAAGCAGTTAAATGAACACACTATTCAGGGTCAAATATGTTCAGCAAAAAGCCGTAGCGGGTCTTTGATCATGGTTAGATTCACAGTGATATCAAACAGTTGGTTCTCATGTAACAGCTAAATGTTTCAGTTTTTTTTTTTTTATTAAATTTGGCATTTCACACTGAGATCTGTATTCCTAGTGAATAAAAGACAGCTACTATATTAGGAGGGATTCCATTTTCACAATTGCAAAACAGATATTTCAGGAACATGGGCCACAAAATGTACTCCTTTCACAGTGTTCTCCTCTTCTGAACTGTGCAGTTATCTATTAAATTTTCTAATAGATATTTGTGTAAGGTGTATGTATGCTTGTGCAATTATTTAAAAAACGGTTTTGGAAAACAGTGTATTTATTAAAGAAAATTACTTATGGGGCATGTACAAAACTGTAAAAAAAAAAAAAAAGTAAAAAAAATCACATTCAATTTGCCCAGTAAAGTTGTTTTTGTGAAATTTCTGTGTTGTTGAATAAAGGACTTTAGTACTCAAAATATCTCTATTTTTCCATGATAAATTTTCATTTGTGGGATTTTAAGCAATGAGCATATGATCATAAAAATTTAATTTTGTTTATGATAAAAAAAGTTTATAATTCTACACTTGCCCTTATGTCAGCAGAATGAGTGCTTTGTATAAGTCTTTCATAAAATATTCCAGGGATTTTTTTTTCTCCTTATATATTTTTTTCTCATACACTGAAAGAAAAGAAAAAAGAACATGATTCCTTATCCATTTCTAGAGAATATATTTTTGTTGAAAACCTAAAAGGTGTAAATAGAGGAAGAACTGAATGCACCCAAACATCTCTCCTTCCTTCTGCATCGTAAGTGTGCCAGGAGAAAACATCTCAGGCATTTTTTTTTTCTTACCATGAATGCAAAGTCTTGGTGATGCTACTTGAAAGCATTAATGTGCATGAAGAAATTTGAAACACTGGAATTCTGTCTTCAGCCACTCTCAGCAATACTCTGAGATGAAATTTTTATTGTGTTACTTTTTTATTATGGAATATTGTGGTCCACACATGTTACTCATTAGTTGATAGTGAATGTGTTTAACACTTATTTCACTGCTTCCCAGTACAAGGTCCAGTTTTTTTGATGCCTTATAAACTACAAAAATATGTAGAACATGGTTTTATATCTTGGAAATATTTAATATGGCTACAAACACAGAACTTCATACAATTGAAAGATTTCATGTCTATAGAACACCATATTAGAACATTTTTATACATTTATGAAACATTAGCATGTGTTCTGTTAGTACAATATCAAAAATATAAAATATCAGGGCTAAGGCAATAGAATTGGAATATATATGGTGAGAAAAGATAATTAGGTAATTTTTATTATGTGAGTTCCTGAATACTCAGTAATTTTCAGGTAAGTCACTATGCCTCTGTATCATATTTTGGTATAAGCAGCAACAATATGGCAAATAGATTTAAATGGATTTTCAAGATAATGCTCATTTTTTAATTTAAATCATCACGGATACAAATACTTGGATGTTCATGTGTAATGATAAAAGAGAGTTTGAATAAACCAAAAAGGCAAGCGGGGCAAGAAATATCTATAACTTACTTAGATATTGAGTCTGATAATAATTTCATGTGGACTTTGCACAAACATGTATTTTTTCGAGTGTGTTTATTGGTGGAAGTTGTTTTTGTGTCTATTTTCTACAGAAACTTCTTTCCATTTTTTTTCCACTCTTTTCTTCTTCTTTTTCTTTTTTAACTTTGAATTTCTGGGGTACATGTGCAGGTTTATCTATTTTACATAGATAAACTTGTGTCATGGGGGTTTGTTGTATAGATTATTTCATCAGCCAGGTATTAAACCTAGTACCCATTAGTTATTTTTCCTGATCCTCTCTCCTCCCACCCTCCATCCTCTGAAAGGTCCCAGTGTGTGTTGTTCCCCTCTATGTGTCCATGTGTTCTCATCATTTAGCTCCCACTTATAAATGAGAACATGTGATATTTGGTTTTCTGTTCCTGTTTGTGTTAAGGATACTATGTCTTTTTTTAATGGAGAAGAAAATATTATTTGAAGTAAACAAACACAATGAGTGCAAATTTAAGGTTATATTTGCATACACTACATGTAGCATAGTTATACAGAAAATTTTTGTTTATTTCAAAATTTTTAATCTTTTATTCTAATATCTTGGCTTGTGATCTATCTTTGTGCCTTTTAAAATTCAGATTTTGGGGGCCAGTTTGTAAGTCAATGTTTCTTAACTTCAATGTATTTATATAAAATGAAGTATCAACTAAATTATCTTTTTAGGTAGGTCTGTGCTTTGTTTACAATATGTTACTTATGACCAAAAAAAATCATTCTGGTTAACAGGTGTTATACTTTCACAAATTGGAAGCAATGTGTGTATCTCTTTCCAAGAACACTACTTTTAAAACTATTCTAATGTCTAACATAAGTATAAAGTATTTTTAATACTGAACTGAGTTTCATGACTTCTTTAACAGTTAGATGGTAGGAGAATATGTTTGCCTGGTTGGAGGTATGATCTTCTCTTTACAAGTTCTCTGAAAGGTAATCTTCTATTTAAAATTCTACAGCTTCCAGGAAACTGCATAGTTGTAAGGGAAACTGGTAAAGAACAACATTTAAATGGTACTAGTTAACCATTGATACTATCCTAAAATAAATGTAACTAAAAATCCTTACTCATTTTATCTTTTAACAACTTTTTTAAAAAGTTGTTTCCATGACTTGCCTTATACTTTTATTTAAAACATTAGTATTGAATTAATATGTGTAGGTGCATATATGGACATACACACAAATATGTGTGTTTGTGTAGGTAGATCAATCTGTGTATGTATGTGTGTGTTTTATTCAACAGAGTTTAGGCCATGCTCTAGAGTAGCTGAGGGCCGGTCTAGGTTATTAAGAACCTCTAGTGGAAAGGATTCCGTCACTATTGTACAGTTGAAATTAAATTAGATGATTCAGCATTTTATAATGCTTGACCTATTCCCTGGGAATTAGAAAATGTGGTGAGGCCACATAAACTCTTTTGCGCTTGTTAGGTACGCTTCAATGAGTTGCCACTTTAGTTCGCTGTATCCTATTTTTAGCCATTTGAGGAATTTTGTTGAAAATTATGTATATAATTTATTTCCCTAATGCTTTCTTTATCTTCATATAATTTGAACATTTGGGGCATATTTATATTCTGTTAGGCTATTTGTATAGTTGAACATCAAGTGCACATCCAATCACTAATATATAACTTGATCTGGAGGATATATGCTTTGACTATACAGAAAAAGCCTTTATCTCAAAGGAATTCATGATGTCTACAGAGCAGTACTGAGAAGAACATTAGGAACATTTTGTTGTGTTGGCAGACTACCAATTGACGTAATTTCTCATTTATTCAACAAATATTATTGTGTGTCTTCAATGTAGCAGCTACTGAGGATATCAAGATGAACAAATCATGATTCCCAACACTTTACCATCACCATGGAATTCAACCAAATGGCTGAAACAAATATATAAATACATAATAACTGTGGAAAACATTTCTTGTGAAAAGAGCAGGCAACATGTGGTGGAGTGGTAGAAAACAGTACAGTGAAGCTCTTCGATTTCAACATTTTCCAGCTGAGAGAAGGAGGTAAGACTTAAACACTCCTAGAAGTAAAGACAAAGAGATTTAGAATGGCAGGAAAGAAGAGGATAAGTGCAAAGTGCTGAGAAATACTTAGTTCAAGCTGCTATCATGTCTCATGGAGATTACCTTCATAGCTACCACAATATTCTCCCTCCCTTTATTGTTATCTGTCTTCAACATATTTTATATGCTTCAGCTTGAGTTAACCTTTTAAAACAAACACAACACACACGTTTATGTGATTCCATGTTTATCATCAATGACTTCCCATTGTTATTAGAATAAAACCCAAAATGCGGTCTATAAGGCCATTTGTGGTCTGGCCTGCAATCTTATTACATATCATGTCACTCCTTTCTCTCTCTAAGCTCCAGCCACTTGGACTTTCTTCCAGTCTCTGCAAGTCCTATTTATACATATAAATAAAAACTGGAGTTTCCCACATTTGCGGGATGGGCTTTCCCTCCCACCTCAGAACATTCTGTTCATGGCGCTCTTTATTGTCACCCAGGCTGGAGTGCAGTGATGCAGTATAGCTCACTGCAGTGTCAACTGCTGGTCTCAAGCAATCCTTCTGCCTCAGCCTCCTGAGTAGCTGGGATTACAGACATGAGCCACCATCCCTGGCTACTCATGTTATTCTTAATACCTAGAATCCCCTTTCCTTTTCTCTCCTGGATAATGTCTCTTCATTCTTCAGAACTTTTTGATTCATTTTTTAGAAGCAATTCCTTCCTAATTATTGTGACTGTCAGAACTCATCTAATTTTTTTTTTTTTTTTTTTGTGAGACGGAATCTCGCTTTGTTGCCTAGTCTGGAGTGCAGAGGCAGGATCTCGGCTCACTGCAAGCTCTGCCTCCTGGATTCACGCCATTCTGCTGCCTCAGCCTTCCAAGTAGCTGGGACTACAGGAGCCCACCACCACGCCTGGCTAATTTATTTTATTTTATTTTATTTTTTTATTTTATTTTTTTGTATTTTTAGTACAGACGGGGTTTCACTGTGTTAGTGAGGATGGTCTCAATCTCTTGACCTCGTGATCTGCCCACGTCGGCCTCCCAAAGTGCTGGGATTATAGGCGTGAGCCACCGTGCCTGGCCAAAACTCGTCTATTATAGGCTCTCAAAGTACCTATGAGAGGTATATTACCTCTTCATAGCATCAATAATTATTGATGAATTATTTCATTCAATAAATATTTACCATGTGCTCTCCATTTATCTAGGCAACTCATAGTTTCCTTTCTAGTAGAGGAAAAGATGTTATTAACAAGTAAGTAAATATACATGCAGACATATAAATGCATATATATGTATATAAAAATATATATACATACAAATGTCACGTGGTAATATGTGCTATGAATGCAATTTAGGAGAGGAAATGAGATTGATTAGGAATACCTGTAAGGTGAGAAGGTAAGGAAGATTGCTGGAATTTTAAAAGAGTAGTTAGGGGAAACCTAGCTGAGAAGATGACACTGGAAATAAGACATGTAAGAAGCAAGGAGGGAAGCCACATGGATACCTTGGAAATAGCCTACCTGGCAAAGGGAATTAACAAATATGAAGACCTCGTGACAAGAATGGGTCTGGAATTTTCAGGGTCCAGAAAGAACCCATTGTATCTGAAGTGCAGTGAGTAACAGAATAGCAAAAAATATGGTTAAAAATGAGGCAAGATTGTGTAGTGCCATGTTAAAGACTTTGACTTATACTCAGTGTGAGAAAGGAAATCTTTGGAGGGTCTGATTAGAAGAAGACATAATCTGATGTATATTATGAAAGGACAGCCTTGGCTACTGTGTTAAGAATAGACTATAGAAGGTTAAGGGGAAAAGAGGGAGACCAGCTTGGGGAAGCTAATTCTGTAATCCAAGTGAAAAAAGATAGTGGAAATAGGATGTTAGCAGTGGAAGTTTTAGAAAACAAAAAGAGGTTGAGTTCTGCATATAATTTGAAAAAGAGGCAACAGGATTTGTAGACAAATCAGGATTTACGTATGTAAAGAAGAGAATAATTGATAATGACTTTAGGTTTTTGACACGGATAACTATAAAAACGCAGTTGCCATCTACTGAGATGGGGAAGACTAAATTTTGTTTATGGACATACACAATTTAAGCTGCTTCTAACACACCCAAGTGAAGATATCAAGTATACAACTGAATATATGGACTTAGAGTCAAAGGTACATTTATAAACTGGAGATACAGATGGTATTTAAAAATAATGAGCCTAGATGAGATTATTACAGAAGTGATTGTGGATATATACAAGAGAGGAAGGTCAAAGTCAGACCTGGGGCTCACCTACAACAGTTGTACTTTCACCCTCCCTATAATCATTACATGGTTACTGCCCATCTGCCCTATTGAACAAAGTAGAGAATAAGTGGAAACCCAAGGATAAGTTCTGCAAGTGAATTATTTCAGTTCCTCCTTTTCCTGGTAACCCATATTCCTTTAACTATTAGTTACCCAAATCTTTACCCTTTGTCCACAGGTGGTAAACTATTCATCCCCCTCAATTTATCCCCTCTCCACTGCATGTAAAAGCGTGTAGTTGTTTATTTATGTTTATCCATACACAACATTCTGATGCAATATTTACACTGTACATGACAATATTTTTCTCCTAACGCATATATAAATACATGAGTTAAAAGTTTGATGCTGACCGTAATTTGTGTATTTAAAAAATTAAGCACAATTCTACTAACATTTGTATAACACAATCTACCTGTCCTTATATTCTTTGTTGGTAATTCCATTAAAGGAGATGAGATTATTATTGCTATTTAACATCTCCGGGCACTGAAATGTTTGAACAGAAAAGTGAGTAGATGTTAAAAACTACAAATTGAGAATTGAGATTAATTTGGGTGTACTCCCAATCACAAGAAAGGGATAATATGATTTTCAGTTTTGCCTAAACTTTCCTTTACAAGGGAAGAAGTTGGTTCATGACTATTGAAATATTCGAATGCAGTGTTTTCACTAATTACTGTTCTTGTTCTTTACAGAGTTCTAGACTTTACAGAGTTTATTGTAAACATTTTCACTAATAGCCAAAATGCATTCCAGGGGGAATGGTTAGTATATAATTATTTATTTATATTTTATATGGAAAGAGAAAGTATTTTGGATCAGAATTTTCTTAGACCTAAGTTTCATTTTAAAACGTGCTCTCTGACAGAATCTCTACATAGCACAATATCTCAGTTGAATCCTTACCATTCGAGTTCTGAGGACTAAAGAGTGACTAGCTCCAAATCCCAAAGAACTGAATAGTAATTGTTGCAGCCCATTAAATTCCCAAGGACCTCAATATATCCGGAACAAGAAAATAAGCAATGACTACAACAAAAACAGAAATGGTTGATTTCACAACTTGGTAGAAAATGTTAAGAATGTTACAAAAATATCAAGAATAAAAAAATTTGAGTTGTAAAAGGATTTAGGAATAAAACTACAATCCACACTTTCTTTAGGAGCTTGGGCCACATTGTCACCATGGATGGCTACAGAACTTCTGAGGCTTATCAACAGATCCCATAACTAACAAATACATAATTATCCACAGCAATATATCACTTGTATAAGTAAGGGTTAATTTACAAGCTGAACTATTAAATGTAATTCTCACATTGACATTATAACAAAATTGTGAACCTGAGAAGATATAATATTTCCCAGTTTATGAAGTCTGTCATAGACCAAGTTCTTAAATAGCTAATTTAAAGGAAGCTGGCACACAATTTAAAGATGTAATTTGAGTCATAGTTGATGATATACTTTTACTTGTTTAGCCTTTTATGCAGCTTGTTTGCATTCCTTGAACAGATTTGCTGTTTCTATTCTAACTGCATTGTGTATGGCATGAGAAATGCTGATTAATTCTTGTGGGTAATCATCACACACGCTGCCAATGTTGTACATTTATATCTTTCATTTCATAATCTATGTATACATTCCTTATGTTATTAGCGGAAGTGGCATATAATAGGTAAATAAACCTGCTCTTGATTTAGGTAAAAAATGACTGTCGATCCTTTCTATCTTTAAAAGAAATTCCATTCGATGGGGAAATCTGGCATAGCCGTTATTTGCTTCAAATTGCTTTAAATAGAATTCTTTAATTGTCTCTACAGCTGCCACCCACAGTAAACTCTAAAATATCAATTGTAATTGAAAGATAAATTTGCATTTTTTAATGACATTAAGTTAACATATCTTACTTTATGAACTCTAAGAAAGTAAAGCTATTCAATGCTACTGGAGTGTCCCTTGAATAGACCTTTTGGATTATTTTGATACTTACATTGTAGGTGAGTATTCCATCTACTTACTTGTAAATAGAGATGTAACACATGACTTCCAGGTGAGCCTAATTTAGTAGAGCACTTAAAGGTTTGTTTAGAGAATAGCGAGTGAGTAAATAGGTTCTTAAATGATGGGCTATAGTTTGAAAAGGCATTTCACTAGAGGTCCTAAAGTATTTAAAAGGAAATAAAGTGTGCCACTCCTTACTTTGAGGTTTATAGTCAGATTACAATTTACATCAGAGTTATGTAGTGAAAGAATGAAAAAAAAATATAAAAAGTGAATTTTTCCTTATCTTTATAACCTTATTCCTAACTTTACCAGCCTTTTGTTGATGTGCTAAAATAGAACCACTAAATGAGATGGTTAGACTCCATATAACTAGCCTTCCTGTTGTCTAGAAGAGTAAATGGTTTCTATGAGAATGAAGCTGTTTAGAATATTTTATTTCATACTAAGTTATTCTGTTAAAAAGGTAGAAAGTGTAACCACTCACAATGGATGAAACAATAAAGGGGACTGCATCTCAGATGACTGAAATGTCCTGAGGAAAGACTAAAGTAAAACTCATGTTATTTTATCCTATTCTCTTTGTCTTTTCAGTACTCGCAGCTGGCTTTATTCTGAGGCTTTGTCTATGTCTTTTGTGGCCTCTAGCACTTTGACAGTTTATTTTCCATTGCTAAGAATTTCTGTATAGGGAACAATTTTTGTTCCTGACAAGTTCAGAAAAAAATCTCAGAATTAATGCTGATGGATCCATTTGGCTGAATTGGATCATGTGTTCAACCCATAACTAGCTGCAAAGGAGGCTAAGCAAAGATTTGGTTAATCTTAGCCTGTCCCTAAAATTGGGGCAGGGGGGTACTGCCTCTTCTATGACATTTACTGAGAATGAAAGAAAAGTAGTTCTCCAGGGAAGACCAGGGTTTGTTTATTAGAAACAGAAATAAAAATTGATAGTGGGCAGGAAAAAAACGAATGAAAGGAAGCAAAGAAGGAAGAAAAGACTAAAAGGGATAAACGGAAGAAAGAGAAAATAAAGGAAAGAGAAGGAAGAGGGAAGGAGAGAGAACAAGAGGGAAGAAAAGACAGAAGGAAGGAAGGAAATAATATGTGTCTCCTACATCATGTTATATTGAAGGGTTAATAGACAAGGACGCAGCAGGAGGGAGGAGGCAGAAAACTGAGATCTTAGCTGGAATTCTAATAGGATCATTAATTTCTGTATAATTGTATGATAACCCTATTTGGTTAACTTGAAAGACCTATTTTTATTAATTAGTCATGTATATGCATAAACACACACATACAACACACAGGCAGACACAATACCATTATGTCTATGATTGAGTCTACATGAACACAATACTATTTCTGGGATGAAGAAAATGATTTATGATGAGTTTGATAACCTTTTCAGCAAAATTCTATCCATTATGATCACGCTATTCCTTATAGAAATGTGTGCAAATGTTGATTGTGTAGAAGATGAGCAGTAGGTTTATATATGAAAAGTTCTGTTTTCAGAGAACTAAGACAAGATCAAACATCCTAAAATACAAATCAAATTTTAGCCACCAACTTTAACATGCATTTTACACAGATTCTTTCATTGTATTTGCTGCCTCATGATTGAACCTACACTTTGCTTGATTCAGCCTAATGAGTATGATTGAAGCCAAAGGTTTACTAGTTTCAGCACACTTTAATGTTGTTCATCTTTAACTCAATTACTTTATGCTCATGAGAAAATTCTTATTATTTTTGGGACAGTAAAATTATTTTCCTATTTTATGCCACTGTTTTATCAGATAATAAAACTATATGTAACTCAATACATAAATGGTTATACCAACATTGCTATGAAGACAAAGATGGCAAAATTGGAGAAGGTAAACCATGGCTGGTAGTGCTAGCTGGCTTAATATGTTTTTTTTTTTGTTGAAAAGGTCAAAACTAAATCCTGCATACATGAGCTTGCTTCCACTTCGGTATATAGGGGGTTAGAGAGTATCACTACCAACTTTACAATGAAACAACCTAGACAAACAGCAAATTCATGACTTTTCTTGAGTCTATGAGAGTGCTGATGTCACATGACACCAACTGGCCCCAAACCTAAGAAAAGGCATCTACAAAAAGAAGAGACATGTTGTATCCCAACTTACCAAGAAAAGCCGATGTACCTAAACATCGGCTCTAATTGAAAAGAGGAACAACATGCAAGACCTGATTGGCAACTTCGGCAGAGAGATGGAGATGATGAGGAAAGCTCAAATAGGAATATTAGAAATGAAACACACAGTAACAGATTAAGAATGCCTTCAGTGACGCAGCTGAGGAAAGAAGAATCCACGACCATGAAGAAATGTCTCTAGAAATCCCCCAAACTGAAATAGGATGGGGAAAAGAAGAGAAAATCCAGTACACAAAAGGTACTTTGAAGTAATGCTACATAATATTTGATATGAAAGAATGGGTGTAGCAAACTCACATGTATAAAGTGGAAAACTAAGTTTTTGAATGACTTGGTTCTAATTTAAAAAGCAGATGTCAGACGATCCTTGGAAAATAAAGACAACAATTCCTTTAGCAGTTCAGGTCCCTTTTACATAATGTTTGGTCATTCAGGCATGTGTGGCTTGTTTGACTGACAGATGTCAACTTCCATTGGGCCATAAGGAAGCAAGGAAAGCATTTGACTTCATGCTACTTTACCACATGAAAAATATACCTAGCCTGAAGTGTTTTAACAGAGATGGCTGTAATTCCACTGAAGTTTGTTTAGGTATCATTTCCTGGTCTTTTTTTTGTCTTATTCTCTACAGATGAACCTAATTAAAATGGCCTCTTTAAGTAGTAAATGACACTTTTAAGTAAATTGGCTTAAAAAAAAATAAGAACTTACTGACCTGTGTAACCGAAAAGCCCAGTAATCGGCAAGGCTGAGTCTGGGTGTTAAGGAGATATTGTCAGGTGTCTTTCCCTCTGTCCCTCACCTGTGCTTTACTCTTTTTAGTATCATTTTCAGGCAGAGTCTCACTCTCAGTGACAACATGGTCAACAGCAGTTCCAGTCATACCATATTTCAGTTGCAACTCAGCAAAAGGTTTCTGAGAGAGAGAGAAAAAAAAAATCCTCATTTGGCTCATCATAAATGTTTTACCTATCCCTGAATCACTGATCCAAGGAGACAGAATGCAGTCTTCAAGCAGGACAGGTGAGGGGAATATGCTCACTCCCTCCCCACAGAGCTAGGGGTGTGAAACCAGCCCACCTGACCCAACAGAACTGGCAAGAGAGGATGGCCAGTGTATAGAGAAAAAGTAGAGAGTTGTTACCACAATAAGGAGGAGTATATGCAGGGCAGGCAATCACAGTAACTGTCCACTACATGAGGAAATAGAAACTCACAATGTGCCTGGCACTTAAATTTCTTTTAAAAAATTTAATTTTTTATTTTTTATTATTTTATTATTTTTTAATTTATTAAGTAGAGAAAGAGGAAGTAACTACACAGCAACTGGAGCCTATGATATTGTTGGAGAAACAAAGCAGTATTCTCAAGTGTTTGAATCTATACTCTAATTGTTGCCCAACATGTCAGTATTTAACATAGAAAAAAATAACTAAAAGAAGATGTTTGCTTTATAAAGATATGGCTTATATTTGGCTCTTGTGAACACATGAAGGTTGTTCCCTCTTGCTTTCCAATTGAGAATAGAGAAAATAACTGTATAATCTAAGATAATTTGGCCTTTTATATTAATATAGACAAATGGATTATAAATGTATGAATACAAATAAAACATCTAAAATAGGTAATGCAAAGAAAGAATAATTTATTGAATTCTGAGTTACGTTTCTCTTTATATTCAAACAGTTAAGAGACTTTTTTTGGATTAAAATAGGCAGAACTTTGTTACAGATAACATGAAAAGTTTGATCCAATGGACATTATCATGAAATCTATGAAGTATAACATTTAAATATACCTGTAAGAAATTCATGGTTTCTTTTGTTTGTGATAATGAATGCTTTCAAACTAAATAAAACAGATTTTTTTTGAAAAGGTTAGATTTAATGGATCTATATTTATATTTACAATTTTCAAATTGTTAATTCCTGACTCATTAGTATAATACACACACAGGCATGCACACATGCATACATTACATAAACACTGATTTTTAAAAAGAAATGGCATCCTAAAATGGAGACTTTTATGTTTACAGCATTGATAACATTAAACATGTACATCTTAAAGGCCTAATTGATTGACAGAAAGGATTCTTATAACATTTAATAGTGGATAGTTCAAATATAGCTACTGCTATTTTTATTGGTCCATAATATTTACTTTAAGTTAATAATCACTCACTTGTACACCTTCTCTTCAGGATGAAAAGTCACCTAAGTGGGTCAACTACATTATTCATCCCAGAAAAGGTAACTTTTTAGAGTTCATATCACAAAATGCAAGTGTCACAAACTTATGTAACTACATAAAATATGATTTTTTTCAAAATATTTCTCCAAAAAAAGTGGACACCAAACAAGCATACATCTGAATAAGCCTTATCTATATTAAAGGTTGATGGTATCAGCATGACTGAATTTCAATTTATTTTGCTTTAAAAAAATTGATATATTTATAAATTATGCATTTTGTAAAAGAAAAAAATGGAAAGTACTGAGGGGAAACAAAAAAAACTAAACTAAACTGAACAAACTTTAACAACTTTGAAAGAAGCCTACCCTGTTGAGATCTCCCTTGCACCCCAACTTCAGCCCTGGAAATATTTTTTATCCAATGGCAAATAGTACCCCATTAATTGTTACTTAATCGTAATTTGTCAGGCATCAACAGATCTGTGGTGACAGGACGTTCATTTGCAAATGTGTTAACTTTTCATATACAATCTGGTAACATTTCCTTAACTTAAATGGACTCTTGTCCAATCTCTTTTATTTTACCAGGGCAGTGCTAATTGGAGTAAATGAAAAAACCTCCTAACTGGGCCTTCACATTTCTCAAATAGGTCCAAAGCAAAGCAAAAGAAAAAAAAAAGAGAGAGAGAGAGAGACTTATTGAGCTCCTTTATGTGCCATTGCTTAGTCAAGCTTTTTAATATAACTATCTCATACATCTACACTAAACACTATTGCATTATTACCTCACATTTTTGAAATTTTAAGCAAGTTTCAAATGTTTGGTTTCTAACCCTTTTTTTAATTTCCCTGCCCTTGGGCCCAAATTATGATACTGACAACAAATTTTGTTTATGTTAAATGCTAACTATAAATCTCACCAGTTTTCTCACTAGGTTAAGACATGATTCCTCAGCCTGCGTTTATGGTGCGAAACCAGATCCAGAGCTTAGTTTTCAGCCTCATTTCCCATTTTTCTCTTATAGAAACTATGGCTGTGTTTACTTTTTGTGTTAGTATGGGTCCACCTAGAAGCAGATAATAGGACAGGGTAAGAGATGCAAGAGCTTTATTGCAGGAAGGAGCAAAAGTTTGTGAGAAACTTCCAGGACATAATGTATGTCTGACACCTGTGAGAGAGGGTCGGATGGAAGGCTGGCTAGGATGAGTTTTGGATTATAGCAAAGTTCCAAGAAAGAGCTGCCTCAGGCCAGGCGTGGTGGCTCACGGCTGTAATCCCAGCACTTTGGGAGGCTGAGGTGGGTGGATCACAAGGTCAGGAGATCGAGACCACCCTGGCTGACACAGTGAAACCTGGTCTCTACTAAAAATACAAAAAATTAGCCGGACATGGTGGCGGGCACCTGTAGTCCCAGCTACTCGGGAGGCTGAGGCAGGAGAATGGTGTGAACCCAGAAGGCAGAGCTTGCAGTGAGCAGAGATCACGCCACTGCACTCCAGCCTGGGCAACAGAGCGAGACTCCATTTAAAAAAAAAAGAAAGAGGTGCCTCAGCTGATCCGCAAGATAGCTCATTCCATGGGGGCCTTTGTCAGGATGTTACATCTGGAGAATGTTAAATCTAGAGAATGTGCCCCCAAGTCAATGAATTCTTCCTTACCCAGTCTTATTTTCTGGCCCTTATGATTAGGCGTTTTCTAAATGCAAACCCAAGGATACTTTGCAGGCCCTTGATGGTACATGGTACATGCCAGCTAATTCTTGCAAAGTACATTGAGAAATGCTGTAGGAATTCCACTGCATGTTCTGAGGGATCAGGGGATTGTGCAGAGCCAACATCCTCAGGGTCATGTCCCCATCCCATATTTCAAAATTCCAGGTTTTCCAAACCAGGACCCTGAGTCCAGCATAACAGAACTGCCCTTGCCAAGCATTCTAAGGTCTCTGGATCTCACTGACTTTATCAGATCTCTGATGTACTACTTAACTATGCTTTTCTTCCATTCCAAGAGAAAAAGGCTTTTGGTAGGCTATCAAGAGTTTGGCTTTCACACTTATTAACTACTTGCTAGTGGCCCTCAGTTTCTTACCCTCTGCAAGGAATCAATATCAATACAATTTAATATTAATTAGCCAACTTGATTCTCTTTCAAATGCTTGAAACATTATACCTGCAAGGTAGATCATCACCCAGTGAAATCTTCAGCAATTGGGCCTTGTGTCAAGAACTCTTCATGATTCACCTTTCACTGAAAATGAGAGGTTAGTGAGCCATGGCCAAATCCCCATGTATCATGTCTTTTCCACATCACTCTCATCTCTCTACCACTTCCATTAGTTGGGGTTCACAGAAAACCAGATGCCAAAAAAGAACTGGACAGATGAGAGATTTAGGGAGGAAATAAGCAGCAGAATGTGAGGGTAGGCTTTAGATATGATATAAGTTTGTTAACTGTGAGAGGAGAAAGAGAAGAAAGGGGATTGGGTAGTTAGAGTCTCAGATTGTAGCACAGCCCAGTAAAGATTTGGTTAGGCTGATAAGGAGCCTCCTGGGGACAAAATCCATGTTGGAGAAGTCCCATACATTGTCTTGCCATGATCAGTATTGAATGGGGACAATCATTCAATACAAAGTGTAGCATTAGTGTGAATGCAGAGGTGGACCTAGAGGAAGAGTAGTTGAGGCCGTCAGTCAGTCATGTTCCCTATAGCAGGAAATCTAAGCAGCACAGTTTTTGTTTGTTTTGTTTTGTTTTGTTTTGAGATGGAGTCTCACTCTGTTGCCCAGGCTGGAGTGCAGTGGCTGGATCTTGGCTCACTGCAGCCTCCGCTTCCCGCATTCAAACAATTCTCCCTGCCTCAGCCTACGAGGTACCTGGGATTACAGGCACCCACCACCACACCCAGCTAATTTTTGTATTTTTTATTAGAGACGGGGTTTCGCCATGTTGGGCCAGGCTGGTCTTGAGCTCTTAACCTCAGGTAATTCACCCGCCTCGGCCTCCCAAAATGCTGGGATTACAGGCATGAGCCACCGTGCCTGGACTGAGCAGCACTTTTCTTTTCTTTTCTTTTCTTTTTCTTTTCTTTTCTTTTCTTTTCTTTTCTTTTCTTTTCTTTTCTTTTCTTTTCTTTTTTTCTTTTCTTTTCTTTTGTTTTCTTTTGTTTTCTTTTCTTTTCTTTTCTTTTCTTTCTTTTCTTTTCTTTTCTTTTCTTTTTTTTCTTTTCTTTTCTTTTCTTTTTCCTTTCCTTTTCTTTTTTTTCTTCTCTTTTTTCTTTTTTAATTTATTTTTTAGACAGAGTTTCACTCTTGTTGCCTAGGCTGTAGTGCAGTGGTGTGATCTTGGCTAACTGCAAGCTCTACCTCCTGGGTTCAAGCAATTCTCCTGCCTCAGCCTCCTGAGTAGCTGGGACTACAGGTGCCCACTGCTATGCCCGGCTAATTTTTTGTATTTTTAGTAGAGATGGGGTTTCACCGTGTTAGCCGGGATGGTCTTGATCTCCTGACCTCGTGATCTGCCCACCTCGGCCTCCCAAAGTGCTGGGCTTACAGGCATGAACCATGCTCCCGGCCAAGCAGAACATTTTTATGTACACTGCTGTGACCATTTATTTAGCACATCGATGGTATAGTGATTGAGAACATAGATTTGGGAGTCAAATTGCATGAGTACAAATACTGCTGAGCTACATACTAATCATGAAATTTCAGATGAATTTACATATGTGATCTACTTTTTCATATTTAAATTGATAATAATAGTTACACTCACAGAACCATTTGGAGAGATTAAAAAGTCATTCATGGAAAAGCTCTCATTACGATTATGTCCACAGTTCAGTTATTCAACAAAAAAAGATAACTTGTTTCTTTTTTTCATAACTGAACTCATTGTTTTCATGTTGATCTTTCATCCTAGCTGGTGTTAGAAATGAAATCTTAGGTAATTCTGTTTTCCTCAGTTAGCACAGTGATTTTGAGGCCTATTGTTGAGGCTCAGAAAATGATACCCCAAAACACGGTGCTTTGGCATGCTGAACCAAAGAGGCAGCCTTAAGATCTCTCTCTGACTTCTCCCAGGCCCCCTGTCTCTCTGATGCTCTTACTTTCCTGAAGCACCAGGAGAAACTTTCTCTGGAATTTCCTTATCTGACTAGGTAATTAACTTTCCTAAAGAAATATAATTGCATTGAGACACTGCTTCTCTAAGAATCTCATCAAAACAAACAAATAAACAAACAAACAAACAAAAAACCAGGAAACAATAATCACTGGAGAGAAGATAACTAAAAGTCATCACTACACCCAGACAGATTTTCATCTATTCTTCTGAGAGCAGCTTCTTCAAGAGACTACCTAAGAAATCGTATCTGCATAAAAAGACAACCTTTGTTCCTGTGTAGTTCCACCTCTAGGTTTCCCTAACTTGTCAGTCTCATCCAGCTTCCCAAGAGTATTATTTGCAAAATAAAGTCTCTCTACATCTCTCCCAAATATAGAAATTTTGAAAGCCTCAGCCATATGGCCCCTCTTTAAAACCTATATTTTGTGTATGGCTCTATGTTAGTCTGCTTTAAATACATTTTGTATGCCTTTTTCTCCTATGAATCTGTCTATTGTCAGCTTACTTTCAGCAAACCTCTAGAGGGCAGAAGGAAAGCATTGCCTTGGCCCTTTCACTATCTAGAGTCAGACTTCCGTGGTTCAAATAGTAACTCTGCTATTTCTAATTGAGGGACTTTAGGCAAATTACTTCTCTGTGACCTGGTTTTGTCATCACAAAATGGTGAAACTGAGTGATAATTCCTTCATAATCTGGTTATTACTCAAATAAAATTTGGTAAGAATAATGCCTGGCCTTATTAAGTGCTTGATCAAGGCTAGATCTTACTATTCTTATTTTTAGGTTTAAATAGGTCCCATCTTGGTTTGGGTATCTCAGTCCTATCTAGGCATTTAATTATACCTTCCAAAGTTAGGGTAGATCAGAATTAGGGGTTCTTTCCAGAAACCTACCAGCATCTAAGCCCTAGCTTCCTCCTGGGTTACTTTTCATTTCACTTAGTGGAATCCTTGTGTAGTCTGTGTAGGGAGGTCTGGTTCTTTATTCCTTGTTTATGGAATAAACCTTATGCCTTTAATGGTTCAGGGCTTAGCTTCTTCCACTGCAAAATCCTTGCGTTTTGAGATTTAAAGGCTTTGGGTTTTGAAAATAAAGAGGGTTTTCTTTGCATATTGTGATATCTCTCCCCTAATGTGGGCAGGAGAATAGGAAAGGGGACAAAAAGTAAGATAAAATATATTACAGGAAGCACATCATAGTTAATATCTCAAAATATTATTCCTCTACAATGTTTCTATTGAGGGTCTTCTCTGTTCCTGAAGTTCCCTTTGGAACCAAGCAGAGTTCTAAGTTGCAATCCAGAAGGCTGCTTTTCTTAGAAGCACTCTTAAGTCACTTCAATTCAGAGTGATTTTTTTCTTGTAACTGTATTATGGTGGTCTTTATCACACTCATTTAAAATAGCCCAGTATATACTCTATTTCTTCCACTGGACTATATACTCCTTGTGGGCTGAGAATAAACCTTATTCATTTTTGGAACCTGTATTCTCTTCTGTGCCTAACATAGGACCTGACACATAGAAGCACTTGAAAATGTTGATCATACTAATTAAACAAATTACAGGAAACTGGCTACAGCAGAGGCCTAGAGTTCTGTCTGAATCTCTGCCTACACTCTCTGGTATTCTGGAAAAGCCTTATCTATTACTGTGGATCATTGATATTGATGTAACTAGATACAACATATTAATCTTTATTTCAGTTTTAGAAATAATAAGCAGTCTATGTGCCAGCCATTTTGCCAGGCTCCAGAGAGGCAAAATTTAATAAAACCCTGCCATCAAAACTAGAGATTTTTTTAAATGAGCAATTTAAATGATGTATATGTCTAGCACAGAGCTTGACGCATGATACCTGTGATAACTTCGTTGGAGAAGGAATGAATAAAGAACTCTGATGGAGTTATATGTGGAGGCCTAGAGCCTTTTGTTTGTTCCATGGAGGTCTTGAAGCAGGTTGTAACTAAGGTGAGTCTTGGAGGATGGATAGAAGTTGAGCAAGGAAAGAAGTAGAAGGGCAGGCTTGGCAGCACAAGCAAGAACAGAGTGGTATCAAACAACAAAATTATGCATTTTATGTAAAAAATCAGATTTGTTTATATTTTAGCCAAAATACATTTTCTTTGCAACATAGCCTCATGGTTTAGAGTATAAGCTCTAAAACCAGATAGCATAGGTTCACACCTCAGTTCAACCACTAACTTACTCTACAGTCTTAGTTAAGTATTTTAACCTCACTGTGTCTGGGCACTTCACCTGTAAAGTTGGAAATAATGTCAACTTCTTAAGGCTATCTTGAAGTTCAAACAAGACAATGCATTTAAAGTAGTCAAAATATGTCTAACAAAAAGTGCTCAGTTAATTTTAGCTTTACGAAGAGAAATATTGTGTGTGTGTGTGTGTTTCAGAAGATGTATTTCCCATTTAACATCATTGCAATTCTCATTTTCCATCCAGAGATTCTCAGGAGGGAGATGGTAAGAAGTAAAACTGAGTAGAACCACTTGGGGTTCTTTAAAAACAACGTATCCATTTGCTTATCTTCCTACACCTGAAACTCAGAAGTAACGTCACTGCTAAAGTGAGTCATTGTTAGTGAAGAGGGAGTGTAGTGTGTCATTTTATGCAGGGGCATTGGCATAGAAGATGGCTTTGAATTAATTTTATGGATGTTCTAGATACAGAATATATACAGTTCAGTTCTAGATTAAAATAGCTCAAATATTTGACTTCAAGTTTCTTCATATTTTAAAAGTTTTGTTGCAAGAACTATGAAAATCACCAAGGAGGCATATCTAGTGCCCTGAGCACACTGTGGCATCAATGATTTCTACTTAAGTACTCCAGAATTAATTCATTATTTTGCTTTTTTTCTGATTAAACAAGGATGTTTCTCAAACATTTTCTACAATTACTCTAGAGAAAATAGAAATAAAGAATAGAAATAAATAAATAGAAATAAAGATAGAATTATTTGACTCAAAAATCATACTTTTCAGAGTTAAGGCAAAGATATTCCACAGTGATAAGTATTATTTTAAGCAAGAATAATTTTTGACCTAACTTTCATCTTTTTTGTTGGAGGTAGTTGGGAAGTGGTGTGGTATACAAATGTGGAATGTGTTATAATTCTTTTCTCAGCTCAAACCCATTAATTCAATATTCAAAACCTGTTCATTTTTCATCTAGGTACATTAGTTATATTTACAAAGACTTTCATCTGGTTAAAAATGATTAATCACTAAGATCTTATTTCCACATGCATGATTCCTAACTTATACCAAAATTTTGATCAAAATAAGCCTCATCTATTTAGTCAAAAAATTTTAACATTCATTAAGCACCCACTATGTGTCTAACACTTTAAAGTAACTTTGTAAAGTAGAATGACTCTTGAAATTTTTAATATGATTTAGATAATAAAAATATGATATGCTCCTCTATATTTTATTTTTTTCAAACCATATCACTGAAGAAAAATATGATTAAAAAAACTGGGATAACTGGATATTATGACATTATAGTTTGACTAATATGTAGTTAATTCCTAAAATAATATCCTTTATTTATCTTTCCCTGTAATTATAATACAATGTAATGGCACAACAATACAATCTAAGTATGGCATCTTGATGTGCTAAAAATTGCCATCATTAAGCTACATTTTCAGTCACTCCCCCATATTATAAATAATTATATATAATAATTATATATATATATATATTTTTTCTTTTCTCTTTCAAGATGTCGTTTCGCTCTTATTGCCCAGCCTGGAGTGCAATGGCACGATCTCAGCTCACTGCAACCTCTGCCTCCTGGGTTCAGGTGATTTTCCTGCCTCAGCCTCCCGAGTAGCTGGGATTACAGGCATGCACCACCATGCCCGGCCAATTTTTGCATTTTTAGTAGAGACGGGGTTTCACCATGTTGGTCAGGCTGGTCTTGAACTCCTGACCTCAGGTGATCCATTGCCTTGGCCTCCCAAAGTGCTAGGATTACTGGCGTGAGCCACCGTGCCCGGCCAATGACATCTTAAATTTGCACAATATTTTACAATCCTCAAAATGTAAAAGTTTTCAAAAGTTTCCTTTCAACCTCATGCAAATCAAATAAAAAGTAGGCTCCATCAGAAATAGTAATAATTCAGGATTTGAACAATTAATGTGTGCCAGGCCCTGTGTTAATATGTATTAACTATGTATGATTTAAAGTGTCTTAACTCTTGTAATTATCATATGAAACCTGTGAAGGAAGAATAAGCACTATCTCCATTTTACAAAAGAAGAAACTAAGACTAAAACACAATTAATGTATCTCCTATGTGGTAGAGCAAGAATTGACATAAATGTATGTTTGATATCGAAGCTTACATTCTTGAGCACTGTGTCACACTGCCTCATATAACTTTTCGTTTCTAACTTCCATGAAGTCATGTATTTTTTTCATCGACAATACCTGGCTGGGATATTTTGACACCTAATGATTAGAAGCTTAATCGACAATTTGATTTATTCGAAGCTAGTTTCATATACACAGAATGTTAAAATGATAATCAGTTTAGCAAAGAATTAATTTGTATATGTACAGTTAATGAGAGACATCTCTAACTAATTGTTAGGAATTCATTAGTCTGGATTTGAATAGTGTGGGTCTCAAACCATTTTTTCTCTTCTTTTGGCCTTATTTTGTTGTTTTCCTGAAGAGCCTTCATTGTCCTTGCAGATCCTGCTGGGTGAGCAGACTGTCATTTCCTGGACAATCTTTCCAAGCTGGCAGACATGCTATTCCGAGGCTCTCACAGTTGTTATGAGTTTTGTGGGCGATTTACAGATTCCTTCTGCAGATATCTCATTTTCCTCCTGATACTACTGCCTGTTTTCCTTGCAGTAAATCCTTATTATCTCACTTTATTTCTCCATTTTCTCCTTCCTTTCTAGTCATGCTGCTGCTGCTTTTCTCTACCTGTCACTAAAACTCACTTCTTTTTATCCCTGTGCTGTTGGTATTCTTATTTAGACATCACTTTTGTTATGTCTACTCGTTTATTTGTGTTTGTATGCAGGCCTTCCTAATTTTTTTTCCATCTATCCTCCACAAACATCACCTTTTTGTTAGAAAAGACCACCTTCTGGGTAGCACCACCAGGAATACACTTCTCCCCCAGGAAATATGACAAAACCTTTTTCTCCAGTGCTTCCTGTTCTTTCCCTTTAAAGCATTTCTCTGCTGAAGCAGCTAAGTGGCTGCACAACGTAATCCTGTATAAAGCTGGCAGAAATGCTATTTCAGAGCATTTGTGTTTAACTCTTTATTGTCCATTTTTTACAGGTTTCAAAGACACATGAATAATAATTCAATGAACTTTCATTCAACATATACCTTTTAAGCAATTAGGATCTGTCAGCTCTTTTAAATTCTGTACTATATATTTTTTGTTGTTGTTTCAGTGTGCTCTAGATTCCCCAAAAGCTAACTGTATGGACTACATTAATAACCTGCATGCATTTCCCTCCAGCTTCTGGACTGCGTTCAGAATATGGGAAATACTGGCACGGAGGGAGGACACTGAAGCAGGAGTATTTATTGCCCTAGTTACTTTCCCTACAGGGTTTACTTCAGGTTGGCAGCATCCCTGTAGAAAATGCCACAGCTCTTGGGCCCCAGGAAGCCCTCTCCATATAATTATCTTCTTTGTGTTCTGTAATTACTCCCTCCCCTTACTCTTCAGTATGGCTTCCCTCTATGTTAGCTTTCCGATTCTATCTTATTCCTTATTGGTTTCCCAAATTCCTGCCCACACTCTTTGAGAGAAGTCTCATTACTGAACACTCCTCAAATTACAGACTTTGATTGTGGCATCTGTCTCCTGAACTGACTATGCAGACTGGATACACCATGAGGAATTAGATACGGTTGTTACCTTTAAGGAACTTGAATAGCAGAAATGGAGTCAACCATGTAAACATAAATGAATTGGAAGTTATAGGAAGAGGTCACACAAAAGGTGATTTGTTCTATATAGGGAGAGGGTATTAGAGAGGGCTTCTTGGAGTAATGCTTAAGTGATACTAGGAAAGATGAACTGGTCATAAATGGGCTGATAAAGTAACTGAGCTGGGCATAAGGTGGAAGGGCCATTCTGGCATGAAAGACTAGAACTGATGAAGCAAGAAAGCATGAGACAGTATAATATGTGTAGACAACTGCAGGCTCATGATATCCAGAGCTTACAGTGGAGGAAGAGGCATATGAGTTCAAAAATGTCTGCAGATGTTGGGGAGTCTATATATCAAACTAAAGAATTTAAATCTTATTCTGTTTGCCATGAGGACGCCAGAAGATTGTACCTTTGTCTTTAGACAAATTACTTTGGTGACAGTGAGACTCATTTGAAGGAAAACAAGATTGAAAATCTTGTTCAAAGATCTTGAACAAAGACTTGGGGGAAGAGGTAAAGATGCTGACTAAACCAATGATGTTTTAAAGGTATGTTGAGAAGATAGACCTGATAAAACCTGTCCACATATTGGAAATGGAGGTGAAAGAAAAAGAGAGCCCTAAGGCGATCCCCGGGTTACTGAAGGATACATTTTGAGGTAAAGTAAGAAAAGACAGTTCACTTTGGGTTTGAGCTTTTTGCGGGACACTTACAAGTAGAAACAAGTTCAGAAAAAAGCCCTGAACCAATGATGTAGATTTGAGCACCAGCATAAAGTATAGGTAGCTGCTGCTATGGAAATGGTTGAGATTGCTTAGGAAGGGTGTTTCACTTCATAATGACAAGGACAGTACAAGCAAAATTGAAGGAATGATTAAAAATAAAGTTATTTAATATACAGAGTATGCTAGGCATTTCAATAGTCACTTTCTTACATAATTATTAGATCTTTACAATATCCCTAGGTTACAGGTATCTTATATTCCTAATTTCACAGTTGAAGAAACTCTGGCTTAAAGAGTTAAGCTAGGGTTACAATACTAAAAACTAGTAAAACTGAGACCAGAATTTAAATCTTTTAACTTTTCCAGTACATCATACTGCTTTCTTATTGTTTTATTTTAGCAATCTTTATGAACATAGAACAAGGGAAAAGGAAAAATATAGAGAAAGAACTCTTGGGATCTACAAACAAATGGCTCCAGTGATAGAAGTGCCTGTATGTTGTCTATAATGTGCCATTGCTTAAAACATCTTTTTGAGGAATACAGCCTTATTTATTTTACATATTTGGAAATTGTGTTCGAATTCCATTTATTTAGTTGTGTATGCTTCTATTTCTTAACCTAAACTTATTTTATCATTTTTCTACTCTACTATCACTACAGCATTTTTTCACTAACATTTAACTATCTCACATATGTAGCACACTATAGATGAGCTAAAGGAACCAAAGCTCTAAAGACTGTCACATTCTTCTTTCAGAACTGCCACAAGTTTCACGTATAGTTCAGCATTGCATAGTGGTATAGATCTTGAAACCAAATTGGAAAGAGAAAAGGGTATTTGTACCAGGTTCCTGCTTTCCACATCTGTAGTAGTTTCCTGAATTGTAATCTAAGGCTCTGAATTGCAAATGTTTTGGGAAGGAAAATGCAAAGATAAGAGTCCTTAGATTAATGTTAATGCTATGCATTATGCAACATGATCCATAAGCTGGAATATTCTTACTAATAGATGATGTCAATATATAATAATTTATGGCTAACTTTCACAGGAATCATTGGATAGATTCATGATTTACTAAAGAAAAAGGGTTGATCAGAAAAGCCTTATACATACCCTAACACCAACTGCAGAGTAACTTCCTGAAACCTTAACATTAGCTTTAAAGAAATAGATTGAATAAAAGTGGACCTATCACATGAGTCTGTTTCATTGTTCAGATAAGAAGAAATGAATCACACAGAATGCCTCCATAATCAAATTAGATGCAGATTTGTCAGATTTGGTGAGAAGATAATAAGAAAGCTCTTTTCTGATTGCTTCTATTTTCTTAGTGTAATAGAAAACAAAGTCATAATCTGAGCTGGGGATGGTTGGAAGAAAAAAGAGGACAGGAAATATAGATGAGTAGAAGTTTAAGATAACAGGAATGTGAGATGACTAGGGAAACATAGTAGGCTAATCAGGCAGGGGTGAGGGTTCACTTGAAGTTTGCGGTCATTGATTAAAAGTAAAACCTGTCAACATGGGCTATGGATTTTTCTCCATTCATGTTCAGCAACAAAGGTGTAAACTAATGTAAATAGTTAATTAGATTTAAGTGGAAAGAACTGTGGAGAGATAGAAGGGGCAAGGGGGCTATTTTATGTAATGTAATGATTATACTGATGTAAAACAGAATTTAAGCTAGTTAAAGGGAAAGAGAATGTGAGGAGATCACGGACAATAAAAATGGGGATAGTTAATACAGCAAATTGTGGTGAATTCAAAGAATTACTGAAAGAGGGAGGCCCTAGGGAATTAAATGGATTAGAAAAATAATTATTTTAAAATTTAAAACTACCAAATAAGAAATTCTACCAGGAAGAAGTAGAATAGCAAATATTCTTCAGATTAAAAGTTTATCTGAAAATATTGTAACAAAAGCATATGAACACAGACCTAAAGGACAGTTTCTCCTCTTGCTAGACATCTGGTAGACTAAAGTACACATTTGAACAATATTCTCTCAATTATCTGCTGAATAAAGTAAGTTTGTTTCCTACATATAAATGCATGAACATTTCACAGATTTTAATTGATTTGTACCTAGTAAATCTATCACATAAAGAAGCACTAAGTCATGAAAGCATCTATTTAAATTGCTCTCATTTTTTGGAGAATGCTAGGTAAGAAGTTATTTTAGCCATGTGACCTCATCAATATGGATTTCTTCATAATTTATTGCAAGATTGTCCTATATTTTATTTATATTCCTAGGAAAAGGAGAATTCTGAGAATGCTAATAGTGTGAGCTTTCAGGAAATTTACTAAGTCAGATTTTTAAAATTATTATATTTTAAGTTCTAAGGTTCTAAGTAAGAATTTTTTTAAAAGGCTCTGATAAATTTTGCAAAAATAATTAAGACAGTTTATACCAATTAAACTACTAGCAGTTTGTGTCTCTTCAACACATTCTCATCTCAATAATGACTTTTATTATTGAATTATTCACTAACTTTATAAAAAGATAATATTTTGTAGCTATTTTAATTGTCATTTGCCTGGTTACTTGAATTATTAAAGTCTTTCCCATAATTTTACTTTTTTAGTTTTCAGTTTGTTAGATAACTATTCATATCTTTGCTCTTTTTTCCTTAACAATTTTTAAAACTAACAATACTTTATATATACATAGACTTCTACAGTTGCTGTTTCTCAGGGTTTTGTTGTTGTTGTTGTTATAGTTTTCACAGTCAGGTAACCTATGTGGAAACTTTCAGTAAACTAGAAAAAGTACCTTCTCTGAGCAGATGCAAACTTACGGCTCAATAAGCCAAAGGAAACTTTAGAAAGAAAAATGTCCATTTTCTTAATCCAGTCTATCATTGTTGGACATTTGGGTTGGTTCCAAGTCTTTGCTATTGTGAATAGTGCCGCAATAAACATACGTGTGTATGTGTCTTTATAGCAGCATGATTTATAGTCCTTTGGGTATATACCCAGTAATGGGATGGCTGGGTCAAATGGTATTTCTAGTTCTAGATCCCTGAGGAATCACCACACTGACTTCCACAATGGTTGAACTAGTTTACAGTCCCACCAACAGTGTCAAAGTGTTCCTATTTCTCCACATCCTCTCCAGCACCTGTTGTTTCCTGACTTTTTAATGATTGCCATTCTAACTGGTGTGAGATGGTATCTCATTGTGGTTTTGATTTGCATTTCTCTGATGGCCAGTGATGGTGAGCATTTTTTCATGTGTTTTTTGGCTGCATAAATGTCTTCTTTTGAGAAGTGTCTGTTCATGTCCTTCGCCCACTTTTTGATGAGGTTGTTTGTTTTTTTCTTGTAAATTTGTTTGAGTTCATTGTAGATTCTGGATATTAGCCCTTTGTCAGATGAGTAGGTTGCAAAAATTTTCTCCCATTTTGTAGGTTGCCTGTTCACTCTGATGGTAGTTTCTTTTGCTGTGCAGAAGCTCTTTAGTTTAATTAGATCCCATTTGTCAATTTTGGCTTTTGTTGCCATTGCTTTTGGTGTTTTTGACATGAAGTCCTTGCCCAGGCCGATGTCCTGAATGGTAATGCCTAGGTTTTCTTCTAGGGTTTTTATGGTTTTAGGTCTAACATGTAAGTCTTTAATCCATCTTGAATTAATTTTTGTATAAGGTGTAAGGAAGGGATCCAGTTTCAGCTTTCTACATATGGCTAGCCAGTTTTCCCAGCACCATTTATGAAATAGGGAATCCTTTCCCCATTGCTTGTTTTTCTCAGGTTTGTCAAAGATCAGATAGTTGTAGATATGTGGCATTATTTCTGAGGGCTCTGTTCTGTTCCATTGATCTATATCTCTGTTTTGGTACCAGTACCATGCTGTTTTGGTTACTGTAGCCTTGTAGTATAGTTTGAAGTCAGGTAGTGTGATGCCTCCAGCTTTGTTCTTTTGGCTTAGGATTGACTTGGCAATGTGGGCTCTCTTTTGGTTCCATATGAACTTTAAAGTAGTTTTTTCCAATTCTGTGAAGAAAGTCATTGGTAGCTTGATGAGGATGGCATTGAATCTATAAATTACCTTGGGCAGTATGGCCATTTTCACGATATTGATTCTTCCTACCCATGAGCATGGAATGTTCTTCCATTTGTTTGTATCCTCTTTTATTTCATTGAGCAGTGGTTTGTAGTTCTCCTTGAAGAGGTCCTTCACATCCCTTGTAAGCTGGATTCCTAGATATTTTATTCTCTTTGAAGCAATTGTGATGGGATTTCACTCATGATTCAGCTCTCTGTTTGTCTGTTATTGGCGTATAAGAATGCTTGTAATTTTTGCACATTGATTGTGTATCCTGAGACTTTGCTGAAGTTGCTTATCAGCTTAAGGAGATTTTGGGCTGAGATAATGGGGTTTTCTAGATATACAATCATGTCATCTGCAAACAGCAACAATTTGACTTCCTCTTTTCCTAATTGAATACCCTTTATTTCCTTCTCCTGCCTAATTGCCCTGGCCAGAACTTCCAACACTATGTTGAATAGGAGTGGTGAGAGAGGGCATCCCTGTCTTGTGCCAGTTTTCAAAGGGAATGCTTCCAGTTTTTGCCCATTCAGTATGATATTGGCTGTGGGTTTGTCATAGATCGCTCTTATTATTTTGAGATACATCCCATCAATACCTAATTTATTGAGAGTTTTTAGCATGAAGCATTGTTGAACTTTGTCAAAGGCCTTTTCTGCATCTATTGAGATAATCGTGTGGTTTTTTGTCTTTGGTTCTGTTTATATGCTGGATTACATTGATTGATTTGCATATATTGAACCAGCCTTGCATCCCAGGGATGAAGCCCACTTGATCATGGTGGATAAGCTTTTTGATGTGCTGCTGGATTTGGTTTGCCAGTATTTTATTGAGGATTTTTGCATCAATGTTCATCAAGGATATTGGTCTAAAATTCTCTCTTTTGGTTGTGTCTCTGCCAGGCTTTGGTGTCAGGATGATGCTGGCCTCATAAAATGAGTTAGGGAGGATTCCCTCTTTTTCTATTGATTGGAATAATTTCAGAAGGAATGGTACCAGTTCCTCCTTGTACTTCTGGTAGAATTTGGCTGTGAATCCATCTGGTCCTGTACTCTTTTTGGTTGGTAAGCTATTGATTATTGCCACAATTTCAGAGCCTGTTATTGGTCTATTCAGAGAGTCAACTTATTCCTGGTTTAGTCTTGGGAGGGTGTATGTGTCGAGGAATTTATCCATTTCTTCTAGACTTTCTAGTTTATTTGCGTAGAGGTGTTTGTAGTATTCTCTGATGGTAGTTTGTATTTCTGTGGGATCGGTGGTGATATCCCCTTTATCATTTTTTATTGCGTCTACTTGATTCTTCTGTCTTTTCTTCTTTATTAGTCTTGCTAGTGGTCTATCAATTTTGTTGATCCTTTCAAAAAACCAGCTCCTGGATTCATTAATTTTTTGAAGGGTTTTTTGTGTCTCTATTTCCTTCAGTTCTGCTCTGATTTTAGTTATTTCTTGCCTTCTGCTAGCTTTTGAATGTGTTTGTTCTTGCTTTTGTAGTTCTTTTAATTGTGATGTTAGGGTGTCAATTTTGGATCTTTCCTGCTTTCTCTTGTGGGCCTTGTTTGCTATAAATTTCCCTCTAGACACTGCTTTGAATGTGTCCCAGAGATTCTGGTATATTGTGTCTTTGTTCTCATTGGTTTCAAAGAACATCTTTATTTCTGCCTTCATTTTGTTATGTACCCAGTAGTCATTCAGAAGCAGGTTGTTCAGTTTCCACGTAGTTGAGCGGTTTTGAGTGAGTTTCTTAATCCTGAGTTCTAGTTTGATTGCACTGTGGTCTGAGAGACAGTTTGTTAGAATTTCTGCTCTTTTACATTTGCTGAGGAGAGCTTTACTTCCAACTATGTGGTCAATTTTAGAATAGGTGTGGTGTGGTGCTGAAAAAAATGTATATTCTGTTGATTTGGGGTGGAGAGTTCTGTAGATGTCTATTAGGTCTGCTTGGTACAGAGCTGAGTTCAATTCCTGGGTATCCTTGTTAACTTTCTGTCTCATCGATCTGTCTAATGTTGACAGTGGGGTGTTAAAGTGTCCCATTATTATTGTGTGGGAGTCTAAGTCTCTTTGTAGGTCACTCAGGACTTGCTTTATGAATCTGGGTGCTCCTGTATTGGGTGCATATATATTTAGGATGGGGGAAGGGATAGCTTTAGGAGATATACCTAATGCTAAATGATGAGTTAATGGGTGCAGCACACCAGCATGGCACATGTATACATATGTAACTAACCTGCACATTGTGCACATGTACCCTAAAACTTAAAGTATAATAATAATAAAGTTTAAAAAAAGAAAGAAAAATATCATAGCTCCTCCTGATAGATGGCCCCAACTCCAGCACTTATAATTTGGTCACTGAAGAACAGACTGAGCTTTAAGCCTACTTTTTCTCTTGTATGGGTGCCTTTTTACAACACAAAAGCTGCCTATCTGCTTATGGTTGCCCTGCTCAAACAATCCTGAGGATTAAAAATGGTTGGCATTTTATAACTCAAATTCAGGGAAGTATCTTACTATGGCCAAACAGCTAGTAAGAAAGCTAAACATCAGTAAAGATCTTCCAATCTCGAGTCCAGTGATTTTTCCATGAAGTTTACCACCTCCAATTATGGTTCATCAGATTGGGTCAAGCCTGTTACAAAAAATCCATGATTTAATAGGCTGCACAGTTATGATACAAAAATAACAATAAGACCTTTACATTTCTTATTAAGATACTTATTCATACTTTACCAATTTTATTTTGCACAACAATTAGAGTAATAATTTTGTGGCCTACAGTAATATTTGCTTATAACTGTCAAGTGTAAAACTTCTCAAAGAAGTGGAATATACCCAGAAGGCTGTAGTGCTCTCTCTCTCTCTCTCTTTTGTAATTGACAGATAAAATTGTAGGTATTTATTGTGTATAACAGGATGTTTTGAAGTATACATACATTATGGAAAGACTAAATCTAACTAATTAACATAGTTATTTTTGTGGTAAGAACATTTGTATCCTTTCTCTTAGCATTTTTCAAGAAATATTATATTGTTATTAGCTATAGTCATAATGTTGTACAATAGTTTTGTTTTTTTTACTTCTCTTATCAAACTGACATTTTGTATCCTTTGGCCAACATCTCCCAGGTCTCCATCCCCCCAACCACTTCAGTCCCTGGTAACCACCTTTCTACTCTCTACTTCCATGGAGATCAGCTTTATAAGAATCCAAATGAGTGATATCACGTGGTATTTGTCTTTCTGCTCCTGGATTATTTTACTTAACTTAGTGTCTTCCAAGTCCATCTATCGTGTCACAAATGACAGAATTTCCTTCTTTTTATGGCTGACTAGTATTCTCTCTCTCTCTCTCTATGTGTGTGTGTGTATATATATATGTATATATATATACACACACACACATATATTTATCTATATCACATTTTCCATATTCATCCATCCGTTGATGGACACTTACATTGATTCCATATCTTGGCTATTGTGGTATAGCCACATCATGCTGCAGTAAACAAGGGAGTGCACATATCTCTTTGAAATATTGATTTCATTTTCTTTGGACACATACCCAGTAGAGGGATTCTTGGATCATATGGTAATTATATATAGATATTGTTTTTGAAGGAATCTCCATACTGTTTACCATAATGACTTGATGTATTTATATTCCCACCAATAATTTGCAATGGTTTCCCTTTTTCCAGATCCTTGCCAACGCTTGTTATCTTCTATTTTTTTGATAATAACAAGTGTGAAGTGATATCTCACTGTGGTTTTAATTTGCATTTTTCTGATGATTAGTGACGGTGAGCATTTTTTTCATATACCTGTTGGCAATTTGTATGTCTTCTTTTGAGTATTGTCAATTCAAGTTTGTTGCTTTTTTTTTTCTTTCTTTTTATATGGGGTGTTTCTCTCTGTCACCCCAGCTGGAGTGCATTGGCACAATCTCCACTCACTACAACCTCCATCTATGAGGCTCAAGCAATCCTCCCAACTCAGCCTCCCGAGTAGCTGGGATTATGCCTGGCTATTTTTTGTATTTTTTTTTGTAGAGACAGGATTTCACCATGTTGCCCAGGCTGGTCTCTAACTCCTGAGTTCAGGCAATCCTCCTGCCTCAGCCTCCCAGAGTCCTGGGACTACAGGGGTGAGTCACTGTGCCTGGCTCTTGCCTGTTTTTAAATCAGGTTATTTATTTTCTTGCTATTGAGTTGTTTGAATTTCTTATGTCTTTTGGATATTTCTTATGTATTTTGGATATTTACTCCAAAGATGTATATTTTGCAATGATCTTTTTACTAGGTTTTCAGTCTATTTCTTAATAGCTTGTAAACATATTAAAATATAATATTAATGTTTTAGGTTTTTGGCAAATGTTTGCCCAATTGTTTTTAATTTGATTTTATGTTTTTGACACCTGATTTAATTTATATGCCATTAGTCAAATGTTATAACAATTGTGCATATAGAAATTCAGACAGGTTAAATAACCTGTACTGGGTCTCACAAAGCAAAGATTTTGATGCTTATCTTTTTGGCCCACACAAAGTCTGGTGATAAGAAAATTTTAATATGATATATTTAAGAAGGGGATAAAGCATAATAAAGAAAGGCCAAGTTTGGGAAGTATAAGAACAATTATAGAAGGAGTTGCAGAAAATGAATCTATAGAACAAAAAACAGTGATGAGTTGACAATTACTCCAAGATTTCCTGTGTGGCTGGCTGCTGATATAGTGGCACTACCTAGTGTGACAAAGAAACCAGGCACAGAGTTCTGTCACTGCGAGATGATAAGCTGAATTGTCTTCTCCACATTTCATTTCTGTTAGTGACAGTACATACAGTTTGAAATGCCGTGTACAGAAAACTCTTGCCAAGTTGGATGGAGAGGCCAAGTTCACAGTTAGACAAGTAGATTTGGACAGGTTTTCTGTACACAGATGGAACCAAATGACATGCCCAGTGTTTGGTGTATGGCAAGAAGAGCAGGGCATCTATTAACTTCCAGAGAAATCTGTATGGAAGCAATTTAAGAAGGAAGAGGAAAATCAGGGAAGGTATAAAGTTTTGAGTATAACAAAATATATAGATTCCTAGAGAATCTTTCATTCCATAAAATACAGGAAAATAACAAAGTATATATGAGAACAGATCTGGGACTGACCACATGAAATTTTCATATTTTCATGAAACATTGAAAATTTATAATTGATGGACTAATACAAATCAGTAATAACTCCAATGAAAATATGAACAGTTTTAAAAATGTGTTAAGCTCATTATTCATAAAGGGCTATATGAGTAAATACAGGGTATTTTCCCATAAAAAGTCAGTAATGGAACGTTTATGGAAGGATTTCAACAAAAAGTTGAGATTGCTGAGTTATAGAGATAAAGAGAAAATGTATATCCAGTAGGCAGACCCTGCAATACTGATTTCATGACAGAGCACGTGGCCAGACTAAGCTAAGAGCTGGAGCATGGGGTGAATGAGCAGCGTGCATAGTACTATACCACTCTGTCACTTGCAAACTGGACTCAGCTGCGTGAGAATTTGGAGGAATAATATAGTATAATGCTGGGGGAAAAACTGTATGAACCAATGCAACTTCCATGTTATACTGACATGGTTTCCTTATTTATACATCATGATTAAGGTAATTTGCCCATTGAACTGGAGCAAACTATTTCAGAATTCAACATCAAAGAAGGTTCACTTTCTAATACAAATTAGTCCTCCCACCCTGATACTCTTTTATTTGCTATCTAATTTTTCTTTTTGGCATTTATCACAATTTTTATCTTTTTCCCACTCACACTAATTTGTATGAGGGCAGAAACTTTGATTATTTTGTTCACCGCTATATCTAATTTGTCTGTCATAGTGGCTGGCATGTAATAAGTATCAATAAATATTTGTGAATTGAATAAATACAAGCAGTTTATTGATTCAAAGATATTATAGGCAGTTTATTGATGATTTACTGATTTAAATATAAATGCTTCCTGTGTACCAGTTCCTGTGTAAGCTGCTAAATATACAACAGTGATCATGTCATAGGCTCACTTTTTAAGAAGCTTGCTAGATTTAGTAGGATAGACAGATCAATAGGAAAATATAATGCAGTGAGTGTGTGATAAATGCTTAAATAAGGTAAGTCCAAGGTGTTTAAATCACATAAAAGGATCACAGGTATGGCTTTAGGGAAGGGTTAGGCTGGTCAAGGATAATTTGCAGAAGTGAAGTTTAATCCAAAATCTAGCAGATGATCAGGAGTGAGAAAAATAAAACTAACATAAAGGCCAGAGGACTCTAGACAGTCAACATCATGTGCCAAACCTGGAACTGAGTGAATACCTGAAATATTTTAGAAAAAGTACGTGGCTTGGGTAAGGATCAAATACAAACTAAGAGGATGTCAATTGCTGTTAAAGATAAATCACAAATTCTATTCCACTGCCAGTGTTCCTGGTGAGGCGGCTTCCCATATAATAATTCAGGGATCTAGCCTTCCTTTGTCTTACATCTCTCTCCTTTTCTGGGTCCTTAAAGGCCTCCCTTTTTAACTGGAAGATAGAAAAAGATACCGTGGGAAAGACACACCCATTTCTCAACCATTCTGATGTAGAAGTGACATGTATCATTCCTGCTTAAATCCCATTTGTCAGAATTTTGTCATATGAACACTCCAAATGGTAAGAGATGCTGGAAAATGATGTCTTGCTAAGTGAACAGTTGAAAAATAAATGGATTTTAACAAACATTTAGTAGGCTAAGCTATACATATGTAGAAGTAGTAGAATTAAAAATGATCAGGTTGGAGGGTCAAACTATGACAAATTTATGGACAGTTTACTCTAAGTTTAAACTTTATCCTGAAGAAAATAGAGTATTAGAGTACAATTTTGAGTTGAGATGTGGCAATATCATATATGGACTTTCAGTAGACAACTTTGCATGTACATGTTAAAATTAGAACAGAGACAAGCTTAGAGCTGGGGAATAATTCAGACTCTAGACAGTGGTGCTCTAGACGTAGGCAGTGGTAGTGCAATTAGTTTCAGAACTGATAAAGAGGCATTATAAATAAGACTTTTCTAGGTGTGTGGGGACAATGGGGAAGAGGAGTTACTAACTTCCAGCTTGAGTCAACTGGACAGACAATGATGATGGTATTTGTTGAGATAAGGAACAAATAGAGGTAGACTGAGGGGTTGAGTTATAGGTAATGAATTGAAGGATAAACTTTTTGATGGTTGTAGTATTTTGCATTCCTCAATTTCTAGTCCTTGTGTTGAGTGCAATAAAGAGCTCAATAAATTCATATTAATTACTAATCTAGGTGGAGTGATTCTCTTATACTTGATTGGTTATTTAGAATAAAAATTTTGATGGAGTGAAAAGGAAAATGGTATTAGAGAGTATGTAGAAAAGGTTTACCAAAGAGAAGTTAATACACATGATACAGAATTTTGGTTAAAACCTACCACTTCCATTTTATAGTTTTTTTTAAATATCCAATATTTTAATACAGCTCATAATCATAGAAATGGAGCTTAGAAGTATCTGTTACATCTTTTTGGAGACCAGTTTGGATTCTTCCCTATAATATGTTTCCAGCATTTTTCATAGTTATATTAAACACTGGATATACTATTCTCACAGATGTGTCAGAAAATTACTTCTTGATGTTGAGTTTAACTAATGAAACAAAAAGACTCTATAAACTATAGAGATTAATCACAAGTGAAAATGTGTCTTCTTTTGAGAAGTGTCTGATCGTGTCCTTTGCCCACTTTTTAATGGGGTTATTTTTTTTTTCTTGCAAACTTGTTTAAGTTCCTTGTAGATTCTGGATATTAGACCTTTGTCAGATAGATAGATCACAAACATTTTCTCCCATTCTGTAGGTTGTCTGTTCAATCTGATGCAGCCATAAAAAGAAACAAGATCATATCCTTTCCAGGGACATGGATGGAGCTGGAAGCCATTATCCTCAGCAAACTAACACAGAAACAGAACACCAAAAACTGCATGTACTCACTTATAAGTGGGAGCTGAACAAGGAGAACACATGGACACAGGGAGAGGAACAATACACACTGGGGCCTGTCAGAGGATGGAAGGAGGGAGAGCATCAGGATAAATAGCTAATGCATGTGGGGCTTAATACCTAGGTGATGGGTTGATAGGTGCAGCAAACCACTATGGCACATGTTTATTTATGTAACAAATCTGCATGTCCTGCACATGCATCCCAGAACTTAAAATAAAATGGAATAAAAATGTCTACCAAGGTTAGGTTTACCCAACAGAAGTCATCTTGAAGACTGAACAGTTATCTGGTAAATTTATGTAGGTAAATAGCCAATTTGGATAATGTTTACTTGCTGCTGCCAATCTCATTTTATTTGGTACAAAGCTAGTCCAGAGTAGCTAGTTAATTAAACTTATTTTTTTGCCTGAATCATCCTGGTTAATGATACATATACTAAAGGTCATTCCTAGAGAATTAATCCACTTTCTGTTTAACTTTGTCTACCGTACATTTATGTGAAGACTCATGGGCTCATTAACAGAGGTAAGAGAAAAAGAAATGATTAGAAATCTTGGTTAGTAAACTCAATTGCATTAGTTGTACATGGGTATTTGGTGGAGCATTTGGCACTTGGCAACTGGTTTCCAGGTCTCATATTGGTTTACTTGCCTTCTCTTTAGCTCACACAGCTCTTTGTGAAGTTAATGAGGTAGTGTGTATAAAGCTCTCTGAACCAAAATGGGAAAGGGATTATCTAGCTACAAGGAGATATGATAGACGGGCCAAGCATGATAAATGAGAGTTTGCTGGAAGGATCTTGACTGGATTCATCTTAATATTTTAACTGCTATCAAACTTATTATCTGTATGGAATAAAGAATATAGGAGCAATGGGTTGTTCCACACTTTGTAAGCAACTCATTTCCTCCAGGATGTGTTTTAGAGGCAGACTGGAAAGATGATAAAAAATAAGATTTTTTCCCTCCTTTTAAAAAAGAGAGCTGTACCATTTTCAGTCCTCTTTTGCAGCATAGTTGCTGTTGTCTTGTTCATCCTATAAAAATGTTGAAGCCCAAGCTGCAAATCTAAATGACTGTTTTGTTTGGTGATAATTGTGATTGGATGTGTACCACTCACACCAAATCCTATATCCTATTTTTGTGAGTAAAGGCACTGAAGTTCCTATCACTCTACCCCACTTCCCTGATTATATTAATATTTATATACAGCTTTATTTGATGAGGGTTTATTTTTATATAACATTAAAAGAAGAGCTGATCACATCATAATTTTCAAGACTGGACAACACTTGTGTGACTTACAGATAAAAAGAATAGTGTAACTGTTTTTCTCTGCTATATTTTAAGCACATGGGAAGGAATCTCTAATTGCACAATAACTTAGAGGCAAAGGGGGAAGGGCAGAAGAAGAGTTTATGTCCATTTCAAATGGCCTTATATTTGACAGTGATCCTTAGGAGATTTGTGTCAGAAATTTCAACTGCATATGCTCTATAGAAGTTCAACATTCAGCAATGGGAACATGTTTTACAGTAATTTTTTAAGCTCTCCTGAGCTACACTCACTGGCCTGAGTGCATTGCAGAAATGAATCGTAATACCCTGATTCTGCATATATTTCATCATTTTAAACAAATATTTAATAATTACACTTTATGTGTAGAGGCTTGCATAGGCTGAGGAGATATATTTTCTCCCTGTCTTCACATGAATTATAGTCCAGTTGGTGAAGCAAAATGTTGAAAGAACATTAAATGTTAAATGAAAATACAAATTACTATATTCTAAAGACTGAATTACATGGTTTGGCTATGTCTTCACCCAAATCTCATCTCGAATTGTAGTTCCCACAATCCCCACGTGTTGTGGGAGGGACCTGGTGGGAGGTAATTTAATCATAGGGGTGGTTACCCTCATGCTGTTCTCATGACAGTGAGTGAGTTCTTATGAGATCTGATTGTTTTATAAGGAGCTTTTCCCCCTTTTGCTTCACACTTCTCCATCCTGCCGCCCTGTGAAGAAGGATATGTTTGCTTCCCCTTCTACCAGGATTGTAAGTTTCCTGAGGCCTCCCCAGTCCTGTGGAACTGAGAGTCAGTTAAACCTCTTTCCTTTTTAAATTACCCAGTCTTGGGTATGTCTTTATTAGCAGCATGAGAACAGACTAATACACTGAATCTGTGTCAATGTATGGCAAATAACTATCTTCTGTTCCATTCTGAGTGATAAGTAATGGTGGTTTATATTAAGAAGGATCATGAAAGTAAATTTGGGTTCAGTAAGTAA
The DNA here is from genome assembly GCF_000001405.40 of Homo sapiens. Classification (NCBI taxonomy): domain Eukaryota; kingdom Metazoa; phylum Chordata; class Mammalia; order Primates; family Hominidae; genus Homo; species Homo sapiens. The sequence goes on along the minus strand of NC_000004.12, from coordinate 104,431,240 downwards.
ACACCTTAATTAGCTTTTGATATCTGCCGATGGTGAGGGAGAGCTAGGTAGAGAGCCCTATCTATAATATTTTACCGTGTCTGAAAGTTAATGTATTTTATTTTATTAATTCAACAAATATTGAGTACTACATTTTATAAAGGTGCTTGTGAGTAAAATATACACCATAATTACTTTCATGAATTTGCCATCCTTTATTATCTTTTGGGTGTTTTTATTTAAAACATGGACCTGCGTTTGAATGTTAGTAAATGGTGCTCTCGAATCCAATTTAACATTTTTCAACATTCCCCGCCCCTAACACACACACACACACAGGAAGAGAGAGAAAGAGAGAGAGGATGGAAATACTACAAAGGCAACTGGAGTAGACATAGGCGTGGATATCCAGAGTTGTTTCTGGAGTAGAATAAGGAACATTGAAGATCAACATTCAGCAATAGGAACATGTTTTACAGTAATTTTTAAATTTATATGGTTTGGCTTTGATAAAGGAATTTGATAAACAAAATGACTTGATTGAAGGCGAAAAGGCAGAAAAATGTGAATAATGTACAGAGACCAATGAATTGAAGCAGAGAATTTATCTAAATAAATCTTGAAAGATATGATTGGAATATTAGTTATATTCTTGACATTAGAAGTCCTTGAATTCTAGGCCAACTAGTCATTTATTGCTTATCTTGTGTACTGTGAAGAAATATTGAAATTATTTGAGCAAAGGAGTGATGTGGGCAAAGCCAGATTCTTTATCTTATCAGATCTATAATGGCAGATGGAGCATCCTAAATGCTATAGATAAATATATTTTATTAACTGCTTATTATGAGACTTTGCATTTCAATGCTTTTGTCACATGCAGTTGTTAAGTTTTAGTAAACTAAATATTGCCTGGATATACATACATCTCTGTTATAATGAACTGTATTAAAAATTAAGATTCACTATAGTGAAATACTGTTATTGCTATGAACCTTTTGATATCTGTTATAATTTAAGATTATTTTTCAAATGTGCTATTTTTAATTTTTAATTTTTGTGAGTATAGAAATGTTCTAATGTTTCTTGAAACCCTAGGATTGTGTATAAGTGCTTCATTCAGGAAAATTCCTAATATTCAGTTAGAATTTTATGACTCTTGACTGAAAGTGGCAATTGGAATCACTATATAAAAGTGTTTTCATTTATCATAACAGATTTATTTATTCTCAATAACTCTGCAATAACTTGTAACTTGTATTATAATACCTTTGAACTTATATCTTAAGTATCTTCTTTTGTCACTTAATATATATTAGTGCTTCTTATTAAAATTTCATTTAAAAAAATATAGATTTTATTGCCAAAAATGTTTGGAAATCACTGGAGTTAAACATGTAATTCTATACAAGAGTTAGCAGTCCTTTCTCTTTTACATTTATCTATTTTATATACATCTATTGTTCACTCAACACGTTATCTGAAAAGCTACTAGCTGGCTATATATCTCCTGTCTCTTAGTGCTTTTCACACCCTTCTTCTCCTTTGTATCTCAGCAGGCTGAAAGCCTGAAAACTACTTTTCTAGTCTGCCTTGTCAGTTGGCTTCCTGTTAGGCTCCACCACTGGGTTACACCAGTAGGGGTCTGAAGACCAAGGAGGGTGGTGGGTGGAACTTGCTCCTTCCCAGTCCCAGCTTCGGAAGATGCTTTCCACCATGGCAGCCCCAGCAGGGGCTCCAACCTCCTGCTTAGGCAATGCTCTTCTAATAGCAGAAGCAGCAGCAGCATCTCCAGTGGGATTAGCACAAGTGTATTTATTTGGCTCTTTCCTGCTTAGCTGTGGTGCAGTTCCAACAGTGTCAGCATCGGTTGCACTGCCTCCACCAGCTCAAATAGTCAGTACAGGCTCTTGGCTTCAGCCCAAGTGTAGGAGCAGCTTCTTGAGCTCTGGGTAATCCACTTCATATTGTTTCACTGGCTGGCTCCCACTTTCTTTTTTTTAGCCCTACAGCTCTTCTAAGTCTTTTGTAATGAGTTCCTGACATTAAATTCCTCTCTCCTAGAAATACCTTGAATGGCTTTTTTTTTTTTTTAACTGGACATTGATTGCTTGACTAACCATATGTGAGTGCAAGACTGCATTGGGGCTATCATGGTGAGTCAAGCTGACTGAAAACCTGACTTCATGAAACTAGAGGATACATTGAACTTACTACTATGTAATACTTTAAATGTTATTTGCAGATCGTTCTCCTCTATTTGAATATAAACTCTGCGTGGGCATTGAAACTTACTAGCCTTTTATTTGCGGAGTCTGTTGCATAGGCTAAAACTTAAAGAGGCCCAATAAAATCTTTATATTTGAAGTAATGGTAAAAACCACAATTACTTTTGCACCAACTTAATAATTGTATCCATGGAAAATGTAAAACAAGATGATGGGTGTATTAGTTTGTTTTCACACTGCCAATAAAAATGTACCTGAGAGTGGAATTATTAAAAAAAATAGGTTTAATGGATTCACAGTTCCACATGGCTGGGGAGCCCTCACAATCATAGTGGAAGGTGAAAGGCATGTCTTACATGGCAGCAGGCAAAAGAGAGACCTTGTGCAGGGAAACTCCCCTTTATAAAACCATCAGATCTATTATATCTTATAAGACTTAATCACTACCATGAGAATAGCATGGGAAAGACCCACTCCATGATTCAATTATCTCCCACTGGGTTTCTCCCTCAACACGTGGGAATTATGGGAGTTACAATTCAAGATGAGATTTGGGTGGGGACACAGCCAAACCATATTAATGGGCTTGATGTCCTCAAGGAGTTTATAATTTCATAGGAGGAGACAACCCATTTACTTTATACTTCTCTTTCTTCTACACTTTCCTTCCTGTATTCATGATCTATTTAGTCAACTACTGTGTTCTTATATATATCTCACGTATTGACTTAAAGGGCAAAGAAATGAACAGAAAAGTAGAAAGTAAAGTAATTCAGATAGAAATAAGTAACAATGCATTTTAAATTTCTATTTAGGAAATTCTTATCTCATTGGAATGGCACAGGACTTGTGGAGCAAAGCCTTTTTCTTCTAAGTTTGCACAAAATGTCAAGATATGAACCTGGCCTTTTTATGTCAGCTCAGACTCTTTTGCTAGGTAATGGCTTGATGCTATGTTTTGAATTATCTCTAACCCTAGATATGAGCAGAAGTGATTGAATATGTTTCCCTTATTTGGCTGGATGGCAGAATTTGCATCAATGGTGTTGACTGTAAAATAAAGATTTTATTATCTTTGGCCACCAGGTTGGAGCATCTGTTCACAAAGGAAAAGTTCTCAGTTTTCTTAGTGAGATGGACAGATTCATGAGATTTCAATAGTTATTTCTCTTTGTGTTCAAACTATTATAGAAGTAATTGATATTTAATGAGGATAAGGATGTTTGTTATACAATATACTTCTTCAGGCATTCTGTGACAGATATAATTGTAGTGACTCTGTCAAAGAAAGAAATACCAAAAAAGATTATGCAAATTCATTAACAAGGCATTTTTGGATATTAAGCAAAAATAGCATATTAAGGATATTGAGCATAAATAGTATGTTTTTTGTCATTATAAACACCTTATGCCTATACTCATTTTTATTACACATATTGTATTCACAGCTGCTGTTTATTTTATTGTGTGTTTTGCTTGATTTGATCTTAGGCATCAATATCTTGATAAGAAGTCACCTTTAAAATGTATTCCTTTTTACTTTTCTTTACGTTTAGTAAAATTGCTTAGGAAGTTACTGTTATTCAGCCAATATAGAAGCAGATAGTTTAAGATTACTGTATAGGTGGGGTTTTATTATTCTCCCTTTTTAAATTTTATATTAAATAAGAGTACTCATTATATAATTCTATTATAATTCCCCTCACTAATGCTGAAGCTTATGGTCACTGCCTCACAAAGTCACACCTCTCTGGGAGATGCAGAAAACACATAGATGACTTTCACAAATCTCTAATTGAAGGGTTGAAAGAAGGGAGGATTTAGAGGAGAGGGACTTCCAGACAGATTAAACTGGTTGGCATTTCTCATGTGAGATCATGACTGTGTTATATACCCAGTTGAAAATTGAGTGGAGTGGCTTGTTTTCTCCATTCTGGATGACAGAGAAAAAAATAAACAAATCTAGTGGTACAATACTTTATAAACATTTACATTTTATTTACGAGTTTTGGTAATATTTTGAATTTAGTAATATTTTGAATTTTGGATTTTAGTAATATTTTGAATTTGGTAATATTTTGAATAAAGTTAATGCATAGAATTCCATATCTTTAACAAAGAACTCAAAGACAAGTTTGGTTTCTTGTGTGTTAAACTTTTTTAATTTTAATAATTCTGAAGTTCAGTTATAGATCACATAGAAATGTACCTATGAGATGGCATCTTTAAAACAGAACAAGTGTGAAAGAGAAACTGACTTAAAGGGAGTTTTCTTACATGATGTCTAGGAAATTTGTGTTAAGAGTAATATTCACAGTTTAGTAAGTTTTTTGAAAATCAGTAAATAAGTAGAAAAATGAGTATTCTTCAAAAGTGTGTATTTTTTCCCTCAACAATTATATTGCTATAACTATAAATAAAGACGGAGTAGATGGAGCTATTATTTAAAGGCAGCTTTTTAATGAACAGAGGGTTACTAGCCTTATGCTTTTTGGTGCTGCCTTTTTGATGTTTGCAGCTTAGGGCCCCATATCACCAATTGTAAGCTGTGGCCTCACATAAAATCCAGGGAAGGCCCGACAAGCAGTCAGGGCATTTCAGAGGGTTGTCAGGTGGATTGTGCTGTGCTAAGTGAGGTGTGCAAGAAAGAAAGAAAAGAAGAAAAACAAAAAAAAGTTATATGCCAGTTCTTCCACCTTTAGTAGGGTGACAACCTCACAAGGCAACAGAGCTAAAGATGACCAAACATGATCCTCTTGGGTGAGGGCTGTCTTCGTGCCACACCATGCAGGGATTTGAACCCAGCCTTGCTGCATGAAGGGCCAGATACATGCATGTGTGGGTCACAGACTACCTCCCTGTTCTCCATTGATACTAATAATGATACTACTACTACCAGTAATGATGAAGTACTTTTGCTACTTTTTTGGGGTGCTGCACCTCTGTGCATTGAGCCAGAACAGCTTCCTCTGAGCACTAACCTGCAAACAAAGAGGAAAACAAGGAGAATCCAGACTGATGCTGTGCTCCCTGTACACAGCTCAGACCAACGCCTCTTTGCACTGTGCTTGGGCTACTGAAGAAAGAAAGATATTCATCAGTTAGGGCGGGTAACATGGAACTTTAATGAACTACTTTCTTGCCCACTTTTATCTCCAAATAGCTGTACAGATACAAGTACAAATAAAGACATGGTACAATTGCTTGATGGGGATAAAATTAATTTGTACAGTTATCCAAAAAAAATCACTCATGCAATAATTTTAGTGTGAATAAATTATATGAAAAAGAGCCATGTGCAAATGTGTTCTCATCTAATATGGGGAAAATGACTTTGCTAACCACATATTATGAGTCCTTTTTCTCTGTTATTAAGATGACTCCTCCCCCCCACCACACACACAAACACTGTTTGATTTGAGAACTCTCAGCTTTCTAAATTTCATTTCTAATCTGATACCCCTTTCCAAATAACACATTATTAGACATAAAATGTAAAACCTTTCTTCAAACTCTAAGTAGAATTTAAAAATAACATTGCACTCCCAAAAGCTTTAAATCCCACCTTCTTTCTAATCAGCCTTCCAGAGTGACTATACAAGGTTACACAGACCTGACTGATTTATGAATATAATTTTTGTTTTAATTGAAACAGCAACATTTAGGTTCCACCTTAACAGTGCACCTTAAAAGATTATCTCGGTTATTTCACAGGCACCGAGCCGGCACTAATAGTCCAAGGCAGATATTGAAAAGCAGCACAGGGCCAGGCAGATCTATTAGAAATTCCCATCCACGCGCCTCATACATATTGATTTCTGACACCAAGCAGCAGTGAAAGCCCCCGTGGGAATAATATATTTAGCAGGGTTCGCTGCGAGGAGGTCACAGAGTGCATACAGATTAGCTTCAGAGGACCAAGGCACTAGTGTTGGAGCCAAATGCTAGATTTTATATCATTTTAATCTGAACTTTTATAATCCTTTTAGTTCTTCTTTCTCTGGATGGCAGAGAGAAGGCTCCTTCACATGTATCATGCATCTTTTTCTTTATTCCTCCTATAAATGTGCAAATGCCGTTGTAATGGGGAGGAATGTTCCTTCAGCATAAGCAGCAGAGCCCCGACCAGATTTGCTTTTATAAACGGTGGTCAATTCAGATGAAGACATCTTTATTTAAAGATTTCTTTCCATGGGGGAGGGAAAATCACAAATCCGTATCTCCAGTTTTAAGATAGAAACATAAAATCCGCTCTTGTTTAAGAACCATTCCTCCCCTCCCCCTCTCACTGACACTGCAGCTTAATTGAGCAGAAGTTGCATTTATACTGTTACGTCTATGAAAACAAAAATCTAAACATTTTTTTAATTACCTTTCTGATGGGTAGGGAATGCCTGCTCATTATGCAAAGAAGTGTTGTGACTGTATCAGATAAAGGTGTCAGATGAGAGTCAAACATGCATTTTGGAGACTGGAGAGATGCCAGCAGAGCGAAAGGAAAGGTTAGAGTGGACACACTTTGACAGAAGGGTGAAATTCGTTCAGACAACAAAGGCAAATAGGAGGTTTCTCTCAACAGACACAAAGGCGTATTGTCTTCCTCCAGACTGCATTTAAATTTTAGATATTCTATAAAAAGTTCCCATGATTACTAATAATCAGAAAAAAAAACTACATCTGTGAATTGGCTTTTAAACCTGACTTCTTTTCTCTGGCATCCCAAACAAGAATAAAAGGCTGCAAAATAAAAAAAAATAAATAAAAACAGTGTAGAGATAAGCAATCAAGATTTATTTTTGAAAATATAACAATAATTACAACAAAGAAAAGGCAAATTTCAGTGTTTTTAATTTAATTTTTTAAAATTTCTATCAATAAAGATTCATTTTACCAATAAGGAATAATTAAAGCATCTAATTAAGACCTGAAATTTTCCCTGTCAGATTATCTAACTAAAATATGTCCAACATTCAAATTAGTTTCTCAGGCCTGTCTCCAATGATATATGTTAACTTTTATTTTATTTTCTAGTATGCTCAATCTGAGCACAAGCCAATAAAAGAAAGCCACTAAGTTTGGAAAAGGAGAAAAAGAAGAAATAAAACCTCAAACTCAATTTTAAAAACTTGGGAAACTGTATGAAAATCTGCTTTTGGCAAATGCCCCTTGTCAGAAATGCTTGGCTATAGAGCTGCCTAAAAACTAGACTTAAGCATACACAGAGCTAGCCAAAATCATTTTACTTTCTATTTTGTTTTTTTTGTGGAATTGCAAGTATATTGAAAGTTAGAACAAACAATGGTTCTTCTTAGCAACTAGAGAAATTTTAAGGTTAAGAAGTACCTGGATGTTGAATAATCCAAGAACTTTTTATGGTGATCACTGTATTCTGAAGAGATTGCACCAAAACATTCAAATTAAAGAAAGCAAGTGCAGAAAACCTGGAGGAAAATATTAGAAACCATTATTTGATAATGAAGCAGTTACCTCCTTGAGGAAACCAAAGAAATGGGACTCTGCAGAAGTCAGAAGTTCCTGTCATTAGAAGAGTGTATGTATATGTGTGTGTTTACTCTCATGAACTAGGTTTAGTTCGGTATAATTAATCATGTTTGCAGGTAGTAATGATAGAGTACATGATGGATGATCAGTTAAAGAAAAGTCAAAGGTTAGAGCTTGAACCAGTAAAGATACCAGGGATTAACTCACGTGTTTGGTCAAATGTTTCCTACTTTTCCTTAATATTCCCAGGTGAGAGTCACCACTCCCTTATTTGGGAACTCGGCATGCGGTACCAACTCCTATAATAAATGACTATTAGAGCTAGGTGCATCGGTCATGCCTGTAATTTCAGCACTTTGGGAGGCCAAGGCAGGAGGATCACTTGAGGCCTAGACAACGGAGCAAGACCTCATCTGTACAAAAGAATATAAAAATATTAGCTGGGTGTGGTGGCACGTGCCTGTAGTTCTAGCTACTCAGGAGGCTGAGATTAGAATATCACTAGAGCCCAAGAGTTTAAGACTGCAGTCAAAGTAAACATGCCACTGCACTCCAGCCTAGGCCACAGAACGAGACCCTGTCTCAAAAAACAAAACAAAACAAAACAAAACAAAAAAAACCCAAAAGTAATAAATGACTACTAGGGCCTACACACCTCCTCATGCCCTTTGGCTGAGCAAGTTGTCTTCTGGTTTGCAAAGGAGAAGTGGGCATCTTATATCTAGGAGCCTGCTGTAAGCCTGGAATAAGCAGTGACCCACTAAAGACTGGGTGCAAATCTATCAGGAAAGCTAGAGAACTGTGTAGGAGAAAATCACTTTGTCACACACTGGGCAAAAAACCCTGCTCAACCTGTGGCAAGGAGACCTTGACTATAATATCAACCACCTTTCCCAGTTGTCACCACATTTCTTAATTTCCTTGTACATAGGTGTTAGTCAATAATATAGGCTGACTTGAATAAATTATATTAGATAGAAGTTAGACCTAGAAGACAAAGAACAAAAAATAATTGGCAAAAAGCAAACAAAAGAAAAACATAGCAAATCCTTATCCAGCAGCTCTGTCATCCAGGTGCCCAGCATTCTGCTTGACTGCTTTGTTCTAAACTGACCACGAATCTGTGTCAGATAGACAGTCTGAGACTGATGAAGCTGTTCATTTTAGCTTGAAAGGGGTGGGGACGGTGGTATTTTCCCTCTCAAAAACAAGCTCAGGAAAATACAGGGCAAGTAAATACAAATATTGATAGTTGATCCCTTTAATTTGACTGGAGTTCCAATGCCCAGTTATCAGTTAACAATGTACATTCAATTTTTCACCTGGAGCCTACACCGCATATCTCTATCATATAATCCCATCCAGCACCAACTCTGCTAGCTCTCTGGCTTGATGAAAGTATAAAAAGTTGAACATTATGGTTTATTTTTTCCACTTGCCACTACGAGCTTGTTTTAGTAGATGAACTGCTTTGGGGGTAGGGGCAGGAGTTAACTGTTAAATTCCGAGAAACAACTATAACAAAAGAATCACCTAAAATGACTAAAACTACAAACCTTCATGCATCCTCCCTCCACTAGATAAGTCAAACTTTCTCCTATTTTAAAGCCATCATTGTGTTGCGTTTGTTTTTATCAGGTCAATGTTTCATAAATGTTGCCGATACTCTGCCAGCAGGGGAGGGACCCAGGACAGTAGCAGGGGTTGGGAAGCTGCTTGGTTTCCTACAAGTATTTAACCTCTGGTCAGACCAGAGGTTTCATCCTGCTGTCCATCATTTGTAGTGCCTGTTGGTGACTCAGAAACTGTCCTTGGGCTGAGCTACAGCAGAATGTGGGTCTATGGAAAGCATTTCTCATGCAAAGAACATTCAGAGTTTTTCTTCACTGAATATAGTACATAAATAATCTTGGAAATCCTGCAGGAAGAGGCACCCTCATTTTAATTATTTATATGAAATCTTCACTGAAGTCAAAGGAGGCTGGATGGTGGAAGTTTTTTGGATACTTCTTTGAAAATGTAATCTCGGATTCCTACACAGTTGAGAAAGTATAAAAACAAAATAGGAATTAAGTGATGAAATTATTCCTGAAATTAATTTGGACTTCCAGCTTTCCTAGCTTTGTTAAACATTTCCTTTATCTCCGTGAAGAGCTTAAAAATAATGGGCAATATGTGTGAGGAAATAAAATGTAAAGGTATTATAAACCGAGAGCATAAACTATGTGTGTGTGGTCTACAATTCCAAATTCTGACAATGTCTACAGTGTAAGAGTAAGATTCGGAGAGAATATACAGATGCCTTTGTGAGCAGGAAACAGGGAAAAAGTCCCTTCAGTTGGGGGCAAAAACGTGCATTTACTTTCAGTAGAAGTAGACACACTTAAATCCCTGCTGAGCGCCAGGGAGGGGTTGGATGAGCTGTCTAGAAAGCATTTTCTCTCTCTTTATAATGTTAGAAATCCTCGGACTGCATTGTGCATTGCAATGCAAGGATTCTGCAGTGTAGGAGCACATCAGGGCATTGAGAAAGGTTTAATGTGTTCTCATTAGAGGAGGAAGGGAGGAAGGGGGGAAGGGGTGGGGGGAGGCGCCTTGGGGGATGGAACTGAGCTGGACCGCTCTGGGAAGCATTACAATTTTGTGCCTTCTCACTTCAACTCCCTCAATCCCCTAGCTTTACATAGCTCTTTCACAGACAGTTCAGTAAAATGCCTCCCAAGCCTGATGTAAAGAGAGCTGTGTTGTACATCGCTGCTTGCAGTTTAACAGTTTATTTGCTTGGGCCTTTTAAATTTTTTCTTCCTTCCTGAGCTGCTTCAAGGAACCTCTTTTTCACCTTCACTTCCAAACAGATGAAAATCAGAAAGGAAAAGAGGACAATCTGATCAATGAAAGAAAATCTAGACGCTTTTAGAGTTATTAAGCTCCACAGAACTGCCAGTGTGGAATCCTGGCTGAAGCAGCAGAGGGGGCTGGATAATTGAGATTTTTCATAGATGGTCTGATAACTATAATTTACCAGACTCATTTATTTCACTTCCCCCCTTCCCAAGTTTGCTTGTTTTCTAGGGGAAACCAAAAATAGGCTTTCTTTTTCTTAGAAAGCATTTGATATGTGATTTATGGATTTTAACTTGTAAAGGAAGATGTCCATTTGGAAAGGGGGCCCCTTAGCAATGGTTTAACTTGTAATGAGTGAAACCATGCACCCCAAAGTCAAGGAACAAGCTCCTTTAGATATGAAATTTTGAAAATAGCTGGTGACCCCTTGTGTTTATTCACTACTGTGCCTCCCAGACAGACCATCTGAATTTTGTGCTATAGACAGAGAGCTAGCTTTCTCACTCTTATAACATGGGTTTCCAAAACTAAACAAATAACCACAGAGAAATATAAAGTTCACTCCAAGCCTTTTCCTACTTCAATTTTGAAATTTTACTCTATTCAAAAAACTTCCTGCTGGAAATAATTATAAAAATACATATAGATAATAATAAATAACATGCATTCTAATATACACAACCACCAGACGAGCTAGGCCATGTTTTATGATTCTAGTTAAGCTGGGCCATTGGCTGTCCAACCTGGATATTTTGCTTTCATAACTTTCCAGGTATGACTCATAAGAATTACGCTTACTGTTTACAGTGAAATAATATTTTCCAGCATTTATTTATTGCAAAAAATTTGGCAAAAACTATCAGTCAACCAATATATAATGTTCAATATGCCTGAGATTTTCTTCTTGACTTACAGTTCCTCTAAAGTTCCAGTTTGAATAGAAATTAAGTAAGAAATGATTTTTGGAGGTAAGTGGGTGGCCCAGACTTAATGAAGAAGTACTGAAAATTGTGAGACAAAATTCTATTCTCATTATAATTGAACAACTGACCAATGAGGTGTTTATGAGATTGGGGAAAAATGTATACACATTTAGTAACACTGATTGGAAACGAATCTGCAAGTCCAATGGCTACTGGCCACAGAAATGTGATTTCGAAGCATTCTGAAGGATGACCACCTTGTGTATCTTATTAAAACAGCTATACAGAATTATTGTATGTCACTTTACTTAGGTGGGGTAACTAATACTTTATACAAAGTTTGGACTCCTTTTGCATAACTGCGATGTCACCGAACTAATGCCATACTATGGTTGTCATTGAACTGACAAATAGATATAGGTTGCATGTCATTACTATTATGTATTAAGTATGCCTTTTGAATTTTTATAATTGAACATTGCTATGGGTTGAATATATTAAATATAAATATGTTGACTATTTTAATAGGGCAGATTTCATATTTTTTTGCCAAAATCAAATAGGATAATTTTTATACATTTACTCTTAATTGAATCTAAACAAATCCTGTTTTCTTCTTATTCTAACATTATACAAAAATGTATAATATTATTGGATCTAATTCTCATCATTTGAAATTGAGCAATTATTCTTTCATTTACACATTTTCGAAGAAGGTATCATCATGTGATGGTGTAGCATACATTGTTATACCCTATTGTGAATACTTAAAGCAATATATCTTTATTTTGAAATTTTCAATGTAAAAAGGGAGATTTTTTATTTTAATTTTTTATAATAGTAATAATGAAAGCTAACATTAACTGAGTACCAGGTTCTATGATAAAATATTTATATGTTATTTTATTTAGTCTATACATTGCACTGTGTGGTAATGTAATATGAATTTAAGGAAACTATGTCATAACTAAATTTGATAATTTACCCAAGCTCATAAAGAACTTGTCATTAAAGATGCCAGGATTCAAAGGAGGTCTGTAAATGTCACAGTTTTGTGCATTATGTTGTTCTGATTCTATAAAAATTAGGAAATTTCATAAATCACCCATTTTTTACTAGCCATTAAAATGATTTTTTCTCAGAAGTAAACAGAATTTTATCGTTGATTGAATGAAAGCTTTTAGCCAATCTGTTTCCTTGGATGATTCATGCATTTACTTATTCCAGAAGTACTGAGCACCAATTGTCTAGGTAATGTCACACTGTTCTAGGTACTGGCATGACTCACATGTAAGTGAACAGAATGAAAAGTTCCTGCTTTCATGTGTTAATATTCTACAACAGGCATAATACATACATAGTAACAAGTAACCAAATTAAAAATATTTTTTCGAAGAATGATAAATATTATGGAGGAAATCAAGATGATGTTAAAAAAGGTATGGGAAGGGTCTATTTTAGATAGGATGATCAATGAAGAGTTATGACAGATGGCACTAGGGGAACAATCTGAATGATTAGGAGTCTACCACCAAAGAGTCTTGTGAAGAACAAAAACAAGCGAATTGAATAGCATGCTTTGAGTGATAAAAGGAGAGAATTTTATGACCCTGGGAGCTAAAGGTTGAAATGGATAATATATTATCTTTAAACCGTAGTAGCAACTGTGGATTTTAAATTATGAACCATGGGAAGCCTCTGAAGGATTTCATGGAAGATAATGTATAAACTGTATTTTGTTAATATTTTGGGGAGCTTTCTTTATTGCTATATGGAAAATGGATCGTTGGGAGTAAAAACATTAGTAACTGAAAGCTACATAGATTTTGTACACCTGAATACATAGATATTATATTATATATTTATTATGCTATGCCCTAATGTTATAGTATATTATAATCACAGAATATAGACAGTAGAGTTTTATGAGATAATAGAGCGTAGTTGTTAAGGTCACCAATTCTGGAGCCAAACAAATGTGTAGAATCTTGACTCTATCACTTTAAAGTTGTGTAATCTTGAAACTTTTATTAGCCTCTTTGAATCTGTTTCTTCATTTGTGAAATCAGAATACTTATAGATTCTATTGACCTAACCTCACTGGATTGTTATGAGGTGTAGCCGCATTTGTTAAAGGCATAGAACAGCTCTTGGAATCTTGAAAATAGTAGAAAAATGTTTGTTAACTAACATTAGTTAAATACAATGTAAATACACAGCTTCTCACCACTAGTGAACTGGAGAAACCCCTTTGAGAGATCTGAGATGTGGGTTTCTGTTCTGGTGCCTGTGGATTTCTCCTTTCCTTGAGCTTGCTGAATTATACGGGCCTCTTCTGAGTGCCCCATGCTGATATGTACTAGAATGCCCTTTTGTTATAACAGGTTCCTCATTCCTATTTCTTTGCAGATACATTTGTTCAAGATTCCTATTAAATGCCCAGTGTTTTTCAGAGGCATTACTATGGAGGATTTTCTTCCTTCCAATGTGCTCTGGAAAATTCTGGCTGCCAGCTTCCCTCATTACCCAGAAATGGCTGTGTGGCATTGCAGCTTTGCTGTGTCTGGGTGCAGACTGAGCACTCTGCCTTCCTTTGTGTTCTGCTGCCTCTTGTGTTCTCTCCTGCCATAGGGAGGGATTTGCAGTCCTGGGTTGGTGGGGAGACTACCTCTCTGAGCAGACATGTCTGGCTATAACAAACTTGCCTTTTGTCAGGTACTATTTAAGACTTACTATGACCAAAGAATGATTGCTAACTTTTTCATGTCATGACATTACAGGAAATGATCATATTTATAGAGCACAGTGAAAAAAAAATGGGTACAAAGGTCCAAGGTCTGAGGTGACTCAACTGGGGCTCTGGCTAAACCAGGTCCCTCTTTTCACCTTAAAGCTGAATGGATCACAGTTGTAAATCCATTCACAGCACACCTGTGTAGCCAGCACAAGGGAAGGTGAATTCTGTTCTACAGGATAAAATTCAAATACCCTGGAATTTGATCTTTGTCTACCCTCCCAGGTTAAGTCCTTGACTGCTCATCTTTATGGCCTTTGAAGCCTTAGCATTTCAATTACCTCTGGGCCTTTGCTCCTTTAATTTCTTTAACTACCATGCCCCCAACTCTTTATGAGTTGGCACTTATCCTTTGTGTCTCTGTGCATGTACCACCTTTTCCAGAAATTGTCATGGAAGCCTTTTTTTCACTCTGATATGATCAAGCAGGTTAGATGAATTTATCTCACACTTTGCAGCACCCTATCTATTTATTTGTCATAGCTCTTAACACAATGTTTATAAATAACTGAATCCCCTAGTAAATGAATACATTCTTTAGTGGGTAATCTTAATTATTTTTGAACGCCTGACAAATTAACACAGTAATTAGTACATAAGAAGTGTTTGAATTATATATGTGTAATGGAAACTTGGATGCCTTGACTCTTTTTAGTTTTACTAATTATCTTCCTAAGTGAAGGAGCACAGGGATTTTCTATTAAACCACTCCTTATCCATATAGACTACCTCTTACATTTGTTACTATTTTAGAAGTAAAGATGCAGAGGGGTTGATGATGTGCCCCAGGTCATGAAGAATAGACAGAGTGGGACCTGGGCCCCATAAATTATGCACTCCAATCTTGCATATTGGAGGATCTTCAAAACCTCAGTTTTAATGATTTTATACACACAGTTTATAAAACTAACTTTTAAATTGCATTAAAACATAACTTTCTATTGGAAAATAAAAGGAAACCAACAGAAATAATAAGCATTTTCATATATTTTTCCTTGTTTTTTACTTTTAGTATAATATTTAGAATAACTGAAATAATGATAATCCTTTGGTGTTGAATAATATTTAAACAGTGGGAAATTACTTTTGTAATACTACTAATCATTTTTACTTTCAAAATTCACAATCCCAATAATTTTAAGAAATCTTTTCTGATAATAACATGTAAAAATTGATTTATTAAATTTTAAAAATAAGTATTTTAAAGTGATTGTTTTAGTCAAGGCATGTTCTTTTTAATTTTGTAACTTAGTGAAACATTAGTCAAGATTTCTCTAATCCTTTCCTTTCCTCAAACCTACTTATAGGTACCAAAATAATAATTATTTTCTAAAGATAGGTATTTCATATCTGAAGTCCAGTCTTAAAACATTTATGAAATTACCTTTCAGACTTAGAAAATGTGTAACATTTATATTATCTTTAGGGTTTAGGAGGCAATAGTGATATCAGTGTAATTTAAAATTGGTTTGAAAATAAATTTGGCTTAGATGGAAATATTGAATTAGATATCTTTTTTTGTTTATTTTATGGCCAATAAATAAATGTTATTTTTTGTTTGAAAACCATATATAAATATATTGAAATATTTTTAATATTTTAAGTAAACATCATTCTACTTTAAACATAAATAACATATTTATATTTATATACCTTTTTACTTATTGGTAATTAAGGGATTCCATAAAATGTTAGTCATATTGTAAATGATTGCTTGTTAAGATATGTATTGATAAAATTACAAAATATAAATGGAATTGTTTCAAATAATTTCAACAAATCAAAACACAATAACTAAATATATTTTCATTTTTCTCCATTCTTTTGCTTTACTTATACTCTTGAAATAAAAATAATCACACACACCAAATTGACCTGTTTGGCGATTAAATCAGGTTGGAAGGTAAAGCATTTGATACTCACTAAATAAAGATATGAAATGGACTTCATATGGTGTGAATATGTATCAAGAAAACATGAACTAAAATAATGTGGTCAGTAATCTTCTAGTTATCAACATGCACTATCTGAGTGAATAACAATGCAGCAGTACTCAAGTATTTGCTTAAAGCTTCCACTTTAATGTGCTTGCAAATAAGTTGGCTTCTCTCTTTCTTCCACACTCCATATCCAATCCCTCGTAGAATTCTGTCAGCTTACCTTGAAAAAATTATCTTGAGTCCAACTACTTTTCACTGTCTCTTCATGACTGTCACCCTAAACCAATCTGCTTTCACCTGTGGCCTGGACTATTTCAGCAGCCCAGAACTAGTCCCCATCTTTCTATCTTTTCATACAGATGGGTCCGTAGAGCACCCAGAGTGGCCCTTTCAAAGCAGAAGTCAGCTCCTGTTATTTCTCTGTGTTTATCACAGGCCTCCCTCCTTGCTCGAAGTAGAATCTAAAATGTTGGCAATGGTCCACATGGCCCTGCTCGATCTACCTTCTACTTACCACCTCTCTGAACTCATCTTCCTCCTCTCTTCCCCTTGCTCCTTTTGTTCAAATATCTCTCCTCCTCAGTGTAGCTTTTATCAAATGCCTAACTTAATTTTAAAAATGTCATAATTCCAACTAGGAACGTTATTCCCTTTCCCTGCTTTATTTTGCTCTATAGCCCATATCATATCCCGGTCTACAGTATCATTTGTTTTACTTACTCATTTTGCTTATTTTCTGTTTCCTACCACAGAATACAGACATTATGAAGACAGGCTTTTGGTCTGTTTTATACTAGCCTGGAACAAAGGAAGAGCTCAATACATATTTGTTGAGTAAATGAATGGATGAGTAAATGTAACAGAAAAGAAGCCTTCAGAAAATAAAAATGCCTGACAGAACTCAGTGATGCTTGTTGAAGAAATGAGTTTAGTGAAAGTCCTTTTGAAAGTATGCTTTGTGGAGAGCTCCCTATGAGAGGTTTCAATGATTCTTAAATAATTACTATTTTTAAAAACTGCTTATTTGAAATGAAAGTTTATTTGTTTCCAGTCTTTCTGTAAATATGTATTTATTATAGCTTAAATCAGGTTATATCAGAAAAATGGAAATGTGATTAATAATATGGAAAATATGTTGTTGTTGTTTTTTTGGAGAAAACCATATTGTAGGGCTCCAATTTCCTGATCTGCTGATGGAATCTGCTTTTTCTTGGATCTAGAAAAAAAGAAACTGGCACACTTGCCTCCCTGCTGCTGCCATGTTAAGCATGCTCACTTCACAAGCTCCAGCAGATGAAAGTGTAATTGTGTGGAAGGTGAATTGATTGCAATTAACCTCAGGACTTACCCTCAGGCTGGGGTATTCTGCCTCCTCTTCTAGGAATGTGCCACCAGGGCCATAATACATAGCTGATGAATACATATATCATACAGTGAAACACATATATTATGGGATAAAGTACATAAATCATGTAGAAAAACATGCATTATACTGAGATGATCAAATTATAAATGAAGCACATAAATCATAAGATTACACTGTTGAATTGTATCAGGAAACATAAATTATATAGTGAAATCCCAGGGTCACTGGAGGGTTCAACAAATAATGAAATGAGCTCCTATAACTTAAGAAAAAGTGGAGAATCTCAGCAAAAATTCATTGCTTATTATGTTGAATATTCTAGTCAATTCAATTTTATCTCCTATACCTCTTATACCCAAGGATTCAAGGCTTCACAGTATGGGGGAGGGGAACATAAAAAAACTACAAATGAAAGATTTAATCATGATGTACTATACATTTAAAAATGGAATCTTTCAAATATAATGAACATCTGTAACTAAGTTCTCAAGTCAAAGTTGGAAAGGATGGCAGTTCTCAAGTCAGCTACAAACATCAGCAGGGCAATGTCTCATTCTAAAATGAAGAATGTCTTGAATCTCAACGAGAAGATCCTAAAAAAAATGATACATAAACTTAAGATTTACTTCTTCTGAATATAGATAAGCATTTGAAATTTGGGCTGAGAAGTTGCATTAAATAATGAAAAAAAAACGTTTATATTATGCACCTAGAAAGACTTTGCTTGCCTTCCTTTGAGAATTTTTTTTTACATTTGATTTTGCTTTTTTCCTTTTACTTCTCCTACCTTTGTTCAACTCATGTACTAGTAGGATTGAAGAGAAGCTAAATAGAGAAGATAATTCTTCAATTTAGTTTTGCTTTTCAAAATTAAGTTCCAAGTTGGTAGAGGCCATTCTGCATGACTTCAAGAGAAACCCAGGCTAAAACAGTCTTTCACACACAACACAGAACAATGATACAAATCAGATCAATCCTGCAAAGTCTCTCAGTGCAATGTTTGTCCATGTGAATTATGTTCTCACTAAAGCAAGAGCCTGGAATTCACATCTATCCCCAGCTCTGGTGAGTTAGGGTTATGGTCAAAGCTTGGTGTACTGAGAGATTCCTTAGTCATAAACAAAGTGTTTGACCCATTCTATTCCTCAGGGCAATAGAGAGCCAGGGCTAACTGAATTTATACAGTGGGAATTGATAGTTTATTGCTGACCCTGGAGGGGCAGGGGCACTGACTCACATCCTATTTCTGGATTTTCTTGGCATTTGTTACTGCAGATAAAGGTAGATTATGTCAAGATGTGCTGCTAGTCCTAGAATACAATTGTGTCAAAATGCAAGTGCTAAATTTTATTTGAAGGGAGGCAATAAATTGGCACCCCCAAATGCTCCCTGCCTTCCCTAAACATCATATTTCAGTTTCTCGTTGCTACTCATATTTAGTCCTGGTTAATCCATTGGAAAGCATGTGAAAAGATACATCCTGTTATTTGTGCATAAGTGATTGTAGCTAAAACTGTAGAGCTGGAGATGCATAAAACTTCATTGTTTTAAATAGCCAGTCAAATACAAAATACAATTAAATAATTAAATATTGTGTCGTATTTAACCCATACAAATATTTAGTTTATTTGTCAATTCAGTTTTGGCCTGAATTTTGGCCTGAACAAAAACTGGTTTGTTGCTAAAATATCCGTAAATGGTTAAACCTGCTCAATATAAGTATAATCATTTTACTCTATGATCTATGTGTTTCATTAGTTGAGGTACACATTTTGCTATAATAAATGTGCTTCAGTAAATGATCTATGCATTTCTTTCTGAAATGTATGTGTTTCACTAGAAAAGGTATGTGTTCATCAACTATGAATAATGTTCCTGATGGCACCACATTATATTACTTGGCTGGTATCAGCACAGCATTACACATCCATTCCCTCATGGCCATGAGCACTGCATCTGCAGGAAGACACACATCAGACCCTGTCACTCTCAGGTGTTGATGCACATGTGCGTAAACTCTGCAGTCTTGGGAAACACAAATGGGAGGGAGCGGATGGAGTTATTTTGTAGGTGAATATGTTTGTTAAATGAATGGGAAGCAGGGATTTTTCTAGTCCTACCCCTTTTGCACCCAGGGGAGGAAAAACAATATAGCAAAACACAATTAAGATCATATCGTTTATCATGGACAAACTCCCTTCCATTTACTTCAATTAAACATTTGTTGGAATAAAAGATGAAATAACATAACTTCAAGTGAAACACTAAGAATATTATTTTTAAATTTTTGTGATTTGTATATTAAAAGGCCACCAATTTCCTGATTTCAGTGAATTGGTATACAAAATGATGAAGAGAAATTGTTTTTATAAAGTAAAATTAATTTAAAAATTAAACATATTACTGCTTCTGTAGAAGATGTTGTTGATTGCTCATTGCTGAGAAGTTTATGTTAGTTTAAAATTTAAAGGGAAAAGAAGTGTTTTTTTAAGGTATATCAAAACACACAGTGATTTGTCTCTCAATATGTTAAAATTCAAGCACAGCAATTACCCAATTGAACCCAGAGCCAATTGTTCTTGGCCCCAAGCTATCTAAAAGCAATAACTAACAAATAAATTTTTATCCACAAAAATTAGTTTTTTAAGAAAAAACTTAAAAAGACAATGACTTTTTTTATGTACAGTGGTCAATGTTCTGAAATGTGACTGATTCTTAGAAATAACCATTAATTTCAGAATTGTAACTGCTCTGCATTTTCCTTCATCATCCCGAAGAGCCTGAAATTCAATGCATGGGGTATTTGTTAATATTGTCATGAACAGAAGGAATGAATTGCAATGTGTTCTTCATGTAATAAATATGTTAATTATGACAGAATCATTTATTTTTCTCAGATTAAAACTAATGCTTTGTATATGAACTTTCTATTTACAAATCATTTTTCAATAAATACTGAACAGTCTTTTACATATGACATCAAATGATTCATTATACATGTCTCCATTTAGTGACCTAATTTTCTCTCTACTTTACATTTATCATTGCAGATATTTCTTTCATTTATTCCTGCCTTTTACATTTTTTATTTACTGAAATGCCTGAAGCCTGGGGATTATTTTTTTACTATTATGTGAATTAGGAATTTCTATAGCCTTTATCAGCTGTCGAGTAATTCATCTTATATTTGAGACATACTCTAAATAGGAACAGTCTATATTAAATAGCTCTGAAATAATTAACTCTTTGCTTATAAAGAATTGCTACAATTTTTCTAGAGTGGAATGTGTTGATAATACTTTTGTTTACATTTTTTGAAGAATGCAAACATGCACATATGAAAAAGAAGGTTCTGGACAAAAGCTATCTTCTTGATAATATTACTTTCAGCATTAAAAGTGGCTGAATTCAATCTATGTGTAAAACTGGGTCAGCCACTAATATGTCAGGAAACCCAGAAGCCATTAAATAAATAAAAAATGTTGGTTTAGACATGGGGATCAGGCATTGTTCATTTTTTAAATTCGTGTTATACTAAGTAATTTTAGTGATCTTGTGAAGTGAGTATTAGTAATATTATAATAACTTTGCCTGCTATTTTGGATATCACTAATACATGAACTATTTTTGGAGGCCTATAAATTATTGCTTGAAAACAGAAGTGGAAAATCCACTAAATATGTTTTTAGAAACTCTCACAGGGAGATTTTGAAGTCCAGATAGAATTTCCCCTAACCAAGTCAGATTAATATCCTTAATTGTATATTGCATCTTACTAAGAAAGTTCTCAAAGGCTCAAATCAGCCATATGTGAATAGTTCATAGGCAAGTTTTTTTGAGACTTGAAATGATCTAACTTATAAACATTTAACCAATTTAATTCTACCCTACATGTAATTGTGTATTTAAGAAAAATCTTTTTGGTAAAGATTCCTGAAGATCCATATTGAGAATTAACCTGAACTGAAAGCATCCCACTTTGTGGATAATGAAAATAACATATACTCACACTTTAAAAGATACAGTATTTTATTCATAGGTTTCCACTATTATACTTTTCTGTACACATAGATCCGTAATATATTTATAATGCTTAAAGGTTATTTAAAGAATAGGGTAATTTTTTCCTTTCATCCGTATTCATTCTGATTAACCTATTTTACTGGTACTATGAGGACTTATATGATCTTTACTTAATCTCAAATGTGATCTGAATTGGTGTTCTCTGAACAAAATCTAGCTCTTGCATTGTGTGTAGCCGGGATGCTTCCAGCTCTGGGTAGCAAGGCTTCTTTCCTGCAGCTTCTACAATACTTTGAGGGCTATGTTGTAAGCTTAGCTACAGAAAAATTCTCCAAACACATGAAGAAAGAAAATTTGAATATTAAATACAACTTGAATGTTTTTAGAAGAATTTATGCAGAGGCTAATACATTTAAAAGTAGGGTTAAAATCAGGTTATATTAGGCCAAACACACCTTAAATTGTTAAACAGTTTCGCAGTGACATTTTGGCCATCAGCTGCAGCCATTATCTAGGGATAAATCAATTTGCAGCAGCTGTGGACAGCTATTTGAGTGTGGAGCAGAGCAGCTTAACTGTAGAAGCATGCTAAAAGTTAAAAGGCCAGAGTCCTGCTGATTACATACAACGAATTTTTTAAAGGCAAAACCACAACACAACACTGCTGGGCTTAGAAGACATCAAGCCACTCTTGTTAATTCATTTAACCTAATAGCTGATTTGACATACTTTCTTTTCTGTCTCCCTTGTTCAGGATGGTGCATATTATAGAAACTTGTCTAAATCTTTTTTTTTTCTTGCAAATAATTCTCTATAGAGGTTCAGTTAGTGCTTCTGGCAATGGCAGAACTAGCACTTTTATGGTCTTTTAATCTGTAAAAAAGATTGTCCTTGGTTTCTTTAAAAGGTCAATATCAGGTACAGAGTTTTCTTCAATTGTAAGCAGAATGGTGCTGTACTAGATAGTCTTGCAGCGTATTAAAATAAAGGGGGTGCACAATTTGCCACAGTTATATGTTAGCTTGTTTATAACCTAGAAATTACAATGTATCTTCCTTTGTTTTTCTCACTTGACATAGTAGTGTTTTTTTCAAGTTTGAGATGTAGATTTAGAAGGTTAAAAAAATTGCTGTTTTGGGTTTTAAGTTCATACATTGGTATATCTAGAAAATGGATGGCAGAGAGGGAAGAAGGGTAAACAGCTTTCAGAAGTAAACTGGAAATTATATACAAGTTCAAGTGTGTATCAATTGTATTTCATTTAATAGATTTACTTTTCACAATGTAGTACATCAACTACAACCTCAAATGCTTGAGAAACAACAGAATAATGGTGTATATTCCATAGAGTGATGTAATCTAATAAAAAACAGTTATTGTTGTTGAAATCAGAATAAATGAATTCTGTCAAGGTGAGGAAAATATTCATTGCAAGTGAATCATTGTCATTGAAGACATGAATCTGTGGTGGTTTGAAGTTTGTATTGGAATAACTTCAACAGTCATTACTCAAGTAAAAGTTATATATGAAATATTTAGTGCCCCACCCAAATGTTAAGTGTGATAATTAAATTAGTGGTAAGAAAATATAATCAGCATTTTCCAGAGGAAAGAAAAAACTTGTTTATATGCGCTAAATATGCTTACTGGAAATTGTGACTTTACTGATTTTAAATCCCAATGTTAAATAAAAAATAAAACGACATATAAATATCATAGCATCAGCTTCTATACAGTTATGTCATATGGTCATTAAATTTTTAATTTTTTAAACATTTTAAGTTAAACTAGTAAAAATTATTTGCATATGGATTATTTGGTGATTCTGCATGGACATTTTTGTGGGAACATACCAGAATCTGAGAGAGACTGGAATTAAGGGCTATCATCCTTGAATTATAAGCAAATAATGAAAAGCATATAGCTTCATTTTTAAAACTGGGAGTAAAGTATTATGGCTTTACCAATGCATATCATTAGCAAATAAGGAACAGCAAAGACTGTAATGGTAAATAACCACCATTATTGGTAAATAATCACAATCCTTGGCTAATGGCTCTCTTTTCAAATCTATAGAAATATCATTGATGCAAATTGTGGTAAAATCCTGAACTCAAAATCCTGAACAACTTCCTGGGCAAACACTTTTCTTATTGTGAGTGGAGAATGGAGGAACACTTCCACTGAGGCTCTTGTTATTTATTTGTTCTTCAAATAAAGAATACACCTTAATAATAATAACTAACATCCATCAGCACCTAACCCAGTGCCTGACAGTGTTCAATATAAATCTCACATGCATGTTTGATCAACATTCCTAGTTTGCAAATCAGGACTGAGTCTCTGAGACGTTGAATGCCTTACCCGTGGTCATAGAATAAATAAGTAGTATTTTGAAGACTGCTAGCTGTCCCCCAATATCATTCTCCCCTTCTCCTTTTAATAATAGAAACCTGAAGTTTAAATTAGGCATGTGACTCACACCCCAGTTACGTACCACATTTTCTATCTTCTCTTGCAGTTAATTACAGCCACACTACTACATTTTGTCAATAGGTTTGAAGTAAAGTATGCTGTTTGCAGCTTCTAGGTCCTATATTAAAAGGGACTGGATCTTACTGGCCACATGTCTCAAAGCTGTGTGCTGAGTGTGACAAAGAGATATGATGCAAGGATCCTGAGACCCCAACACTGCCTAATTATAATGCCAGACCAGAAAACTTCCCCAGACTTCTACAGGAAAGAGAAATAAACTGTCTGCAGTGTTCTGTTTTTATGTTTTTAAAGTGTTTAAACTGTTTTTATGTTCTGTATTTAGGGTGTATTCTCAAGGTCTCTCTCTCTTCCTCTCTCTCCCCCAAACAGGTATTCCAACTAATAGTGTGAGAGCTGAATTTCAAATTCAAATCGGGTTTAAGAGCCAAAGCTTTTAAACACTGTAATACGTCCAATTAAAAGTGTTGTTTGGTAGGATTATCAAGATTATTTCTGATTTAGGAATTTTTCCAGTTAGTAATTTATATCCATAGAACTGTTAGATCAACTAACTTTGGCAAATAAAAACAACAAATAGAAGATAAATATTGGCCGGTTACAGTGGCTCACGCCTGTAATCCCAGCACTTTGGGAGGCCGAGGTGGGCAGATCACAAGGTCAGGAGATAGAGACCATCCTGGCTAACATCGTGAAACCCTGTTTCTACTAAAAATACAAAAAAATTAGCCGGGCATGGTGGTGGGCACCTGTACTCCCAGCTACTTGGGAGGCTGAGGCAGGAGAATGATGTGAACCCGGGAGGTGGAGCTTGCAGTGAGCCAAGATCGTGCCACTGCACTCCAGCCTGGGCAACAGAACAAGACTCCGTCTCAAAAATAAATAAATAAATATATATATAAATGAATAAATATTGTAGGAGAAAGTATAGGCTCTACTAATTTTTTTTTCTGAACTAATTTTCCTTAATTACTTAACTTGCTAGAAATATGCAAAATATCACATGGTTAGCTGATCTGTTTCATCGCCTTCACTTTATACATTTGGTTAATATTTATTCCTTCAAATATCTCTGTATTGTTTCCTGATTGTGGGTGTCCATCTATTTCTTTTTTTTTTTTTAATAATTTCTAATTTCTTAGAGTTCTTATACTGTTCCTTGCCCTGCCTCATCAATATTAGATAACTTCAAGCTCTCAAATGACTCCAAGAATTTACAAATCACTCCTATAAATATGCTCAATTAATCTAAAGTAGTTGGCAAGTAAAACTTTAAATAAAAAATGTACATCCAAAAATATGTGGAGACTTCCAGTTTCTGATTTAAGATAGAAGTAATTTGGAAGTAGTCACTCCCATCATCACAAGAGAAATGGCAAACAAGCTGAAAATCAATAAATCTTAGGTCCATCAGAGAATTGAGGTCACAGAGAAAACTGCTATCTCAAAACTGGAGAAACAGGTGAATTCAGAGAATCACAGCTTACTGGGAACAGAAGCCACTTCTGGGTTCTAATAGTAACAGTTAAAGGGTAATTGACTACTTGCCAGAGATTGTGTGTGTATTGATTTGAGAAATTAAAAGTCAAAACCCAAAACAAACAAACAAAAACTCCTGGGGACTCAATCTTAGGGGGAAGGGGGAGCATATGCTTTTGTGCATTTTACCTCCAAGAGCCCCACCATATTCTCAGAGTGAAAAATAAGAGATATATGCATTCATGCTTCTGGCAGGGAAGGGGGAAAGTAACTATTCTGAAATAATCCTAGAGTGCTCTCTTCTCCTAAAAAATTACCTGCCCACAAGGAAAACTATTTTAGCAGAGCCTAATTGACTGAGTTTTACCAGCACCTAATCAACCTGAAAAAGAGAAATACCCAACACTAGTCCCCTTGAGTTTTCCTGTCTCACATGAAGAGGGGAAGTAAAAAGGCTGAGAAGTGCTTGTAAAAGTTACAGCCCAAGGACACAGACTCCTTAGAAGACCAAGATCTAACAGTAAGGTGGTAGTATCTTCCTGCCATCTTACCACCACCTCAACACCACCGCAATCAAGCTCCTGTATATTAATGGGGGATTATCGCTGAAAGAACTTCAAGCATCAGACCCTATTTAAGAAGGAGTCTTTAGGAAAATCCACAGGCAACAGGGGAAACAAAAACAAGGTCACTAGAAGAAATATTAGCCTCTGACACAACAGCTACAGCAAACAGTAAATATAACCCAACTCAGCTGGCTAAATATAAAGGATCACATTTAAGTCCTGTGTAGTTTGGTCCTTTTACCCAGTATAAAGTCTGGCTTTCAGCAAAAAATTACATGGCATACTAAAAAAAAAAAAAAAAAAAATCATAGTCAGAAGAGACCAAATAAACTTTAGAATCAGACTCAGATATGGCAGAGATTTTGGACTTTATCAGCCTGGAAATTTAAAACAACTATTTCTGTCATTTCAGCCAGTTCAGCCAGGTTAAGAACTCTTGTTGGAATCTGGCGCGGTCGTTTGGAGGACATATGATACTCTGGCCATTTGAATTACTGGAGTTCTTGTGTTTGTTCTTTCTTATTTCTGCATGTGGGTGTTCCCTTAACTTCAGTGTTGACTGAGTACCGTTAATAGACTTATTTTCTGGATGTTTTTACAGGGCGGAGGCGTAGCCAACAGATGGCAATTCTAAGAAAGAATCAAAAGGAAATGGTAGAAATAAGCCACACTGTAATGAAATGAGCAATGCCTTGGATGGGCTTATCAGTAGTAGCCTTGTCATGGCCAAGGAATAAAATCAACGAGTTTGAATATATGTCTCTAGAAACTCCTCAAATTGAAAGGCAGAAAGAATCAGGAAAATACATATATGAAGAAAACTATAAAACTTTGTTGAGAGAAAACCAAAGAACTAAGAAAATGGTTCTAAGAACTACTTATTCTTAGTTCTTAGTTTTAAGAACTAAGAAAAGCTATTTCATGCTTATAGATAGGAAGGCTCAATATTGTCAATATATAAGTTCTTCCAGCATTGATCTATAGATTCGTATACATCTTGCACAAATGGTACTGTGTTTTCAGTTTCAAATTCCACTTGTTCATTGTTGGTATATACAAACTTTTGTATATTAGCCTTGTATCCTAAAACCTTGTGATAACCACTTAACAAACTCTTAAATACCAACAATAGGAAAACAAACAACCTCATTTTAAAAATGGGCCAAAGACACAGAACTCCCACCAAAGAGGATATTTAGATGGCAAACAAGCATATGAAAAGATGATCCACATCATATGTCATCAAGGAAATGCACATTTAAAAAATTGATATACTACTACACAATAATTAGAATAGCTGAAATCCAGAACACTGACAACACAAAATGCTGGCAAGGATCTGGTGGTACAAGAACAACTCTCATTCATTCCTGTTGAGAATGCAAAATGCTTTCAGCCACTGTGGAAGGCAGTTCGGCAGTATCTTACCACAATACATATACTCTTGCCATACCATCTAGCAATTTTGCTTCATAGCATTTATATAATGCACTTAAAAACTCATGTCCACACACACAAGAAACCTGTACATGGATGTTTACAGCAGTTTTATTCACAGTTCTCAAAACTTGGGAGCAACAAAGTTGTCCTACAATATGTGAATGAATACATAAGCTTTGGTACCTCCAGACATCCAGACAATGGAATATTATTCAGTGCTAAAAAGAAATGAGGTATCAAGCCTTGAAAAGATACAGAAGAAACTTCAGTGCATAATAGTAAGTAAAAGCAGCCAATCTGAAAAGTCAACTTATTGTATGATTTCAATTATGTGACATTCTGGAAAAGGCAAAACTCTGGAGACAGTAAAACAAATAATGGTGGCCAGGGGTTAGGGAGAAGGGAGGGATAAATACACAGAGCACAGATAATTTCCAGGACAGTGAAACTATTCTATATGACATTATAATAATGCATGCATGTGCTTATAAATTTATTCAAACCCAAAGAATGTACAACAATAAGAATAAACCTTATGTGTCAATTTAGGTATATAAATAGTAATAACTGCATCACTCGGTGGTAAGATGTTGATAATAGAGGGAGCTATATAGGGACGGGAGCATGGAATATATGAGAAATCTATGTATCTTCCTATTAATTTTGTGTGAACCTAAAACTGCTCTAGAATTAAGTTTACTCTTTAAAAAAAGAAAAAATTAAAGTATTAATTGTATAGAAAAATATGTGAATGTGTATTTTTATTGTAAGCTCAAAGAAATGTAAAAATTGCTATAATGTAATCCAAACCTTATAAAGTGGAAAAATTCACTGCATTGTTAAATTCTATATTCTTTCTTGCCCTTTTATTCATAGATATCATTTAAATTATATGTTTGGTAATATTAAACAATACTGATTTTTAGGGTGTTTGAAATATGCTTATTTTTAAGACTTCTACAACTATTCTTGAAAAAATATTAATATAGTCCCTGCTGTACCTCTATGTGGTGCGTCTTTATCTTTCACAAAGATTATTATTATACTTTAACAAATATTCTTCCAATATTTGTGTTTTACAGGCTAGTGCTAGAATTATTTGGATTGCCTCTGAGAGGAAAGTGGCAAGCCTACTTCTCAACTGCTATAATATGTACACTGCTATAATATGTAGAGTGGTGGAGGCTATAAAGTATTTAGGTTCTAGTCAGTTGGTATGGATATAATTCTTGAATCTCTGTCAAATGGCTTCATAAATAACTATTGCTAAGTCAGTTTGGCAAAATGATATTGATAATTATTAGCAATTCATGGCACAGCAGTCAGTTTAATGCTATAATAACGAAGGTCTGCATAAGCCAGCTAATACCACTTCTCTATTTATTACAATCCTTTTGTTTGTTTGTTTGTTTGTTTGAGATGGAGTCTCGCTCTGTCATCCAGGCTGGTGGAGTGCAGTGGCGCCATCTCGGCTTACTGCAAGGTGCGCTTCCTGGGTTCATGCCATTCTCCTGCCTCAGCCTCCCTAGTAGCTGGGACTAGAGGCGTTCGCCACCATGCCTAGCTAATTTTGTTTTTGTATAATTTATATGACGTAACTGCAAATACTTTAAAACCAAACCTTAACAATTTTTAAATATTTCCCTACCTTTTCTCTCTCCCTCTCTCTCTAGTATTTATATTTATTTCTCACTCATTACCATATTATTTAACTTCACTTAATTATCAGTTGATAGTATTCTCTGTATCCTAGCAAAAAGACAAAAATGAAATATTCATCAAAAGATTTATCATTTGTAGATTCACTTTCATAAGGGTGCTGCAAAGAATTTTCTTGGCAAACAAGATATCTTATAAACTACTTCACATGTGATGACTTTCTTTATATATACATCAGCAAAATTAAACAAGAAAGTGATACTGGCTAGGATGCAGACATGGGTTTCTTATTTTTTAATGAAATTATATTAATTAGAATAGTATTCTACTTCAACTCAAAGGTATGATGATGATGATCACTGTGTAAAATGTTTTACTGCTATGCTTATAATAGCTACAGTCTTGCTAACGATTGGAGAAGAATAGTACCACATGCATACAATAGAATAGACCCAAATCATCAGCAGTTTATTGATTTCCACCCCAGTCACCAGTAAGAATTCAAAAGTAATTAATTTTTAAACATTGCTCTTATAGTTCAAACCTCGTAAAATTTACTTGTCTGTTCTAGTACTGTTTTTCTGTGTTAGCATTTTCTACAATGCTAATGTAAATTTTTTTTTCTAAAATAATCATGCTGTACGTGGATAAAAAGAGTTTAACTTTTCTTCCCAGCATTTGTGCCTTTTTGTCTTTTATTTCATTTTCTTGCCTTATTGCACTGGCTAGGATGTCCATTGCAATTTTGAATGGAAATGGCAGGAGCAAAAATCCTGGCCTTGTTTTTGATCTTGGGGTAATTATTCAATATTTCAATTTGTTTTTCTGCTTACTTCCTTTATTTATTAGTATGTGGCTTAATCTCCAAATATTGGGGGTTTTCTAAGGAAACAAAATATATTCTATAAGATCTACTTGTGTTGAAATTTATTGTTGCTATTTTATGAGCCAGGATATGGTCTATCATGTAGAGCACTCCATGTGCACTTAAAAATATACATATTCTGAATTTATAGACTGTAATGTTTCAGAAAGATTAATTAAGTCAAATTGTTGATGGTGTTGTTCAAATCTCCTATATTGTTAATGATGTTGCTTACTTTTTTAATCAATTACAAAGGCAGTGGTGTTAAAACCTCTAACTGTGTTTGTGGATTTGCCTATTTCTCCATTTAGTTCTGTAATTTTTTTCCCTTCAGGGATTTGGAAGCATTGTTACTGAGTTTATATACAGTTAGAAATGTTAGATTCTTTCTTATGGGTTGAACTTTTAATGAGATGTTTCCTATTCACCTCTGGTAATATTTTTTGTCCTATAGTCTACTTTACATGGCATTAATATAGCAACTCTTATTTTTCTTGTGCATACTATTTGCATAGTTTATACGCTTCCACAAGTTTACTTTCAACCTATCTGTGTATTTGTATTTGATACATTACTTGTACAAAGCATATAGTTGGGTCTTTCAAAATATCTTGACAAACCTTTTAATTGGAGAATACAGTCCATTTATCTTTAATATAATTGTTCATTTTTTTTTGGATTAGGTTTATCCCCTTACTATTTATTTTCTAGTTGTCCATCTGATTTTTTTTCAATTTTTCACTTACTGTCTCTTTTGGTTGATAAAATTGTTTAGTATTCTGTTTTAATTTCTCTATTGTCTTTTATCTTAGTATTATCATTTTACTTTTTTTCTGGAAATAAAAAAACCTTAATTTAGTACAGTATTTTTAGTGCTAAGAACATTTTATTATATTTCACTACATATTCTATTATGATGTGCATTTTGATTCTATTTATCCTCTATCTTTCAGCTACATATCTCCACATATTTTATGAAAACTAAATAATATATCTATAGATTTCATTAATAACAAAGTGTAATGTTATTTTTATGTTAATTTATTGTTTTTGCATTAAATTAAGACATAAAAGGTAATATTTTATATTCTCCATATATTTACTATTCCCAATATTTCTTATTTCTTCCTGTAGATCAAAGTTTCATTTAGTGTGGTTTCCCTTTAAATTGAATAATTTTCTTTATTTATTTTTTTATAGTGTAGCTGTACTGGTGACTAATGTTCTTAGCTTTTGTTATGTGAAAATTTGGCCTTATTTTTTGAAGGACATTTTGCTGCATATAAAATATGACCCAAAAGTTATTTTTAATTTTAATACTTTAAAGCTGTTTGATCATTGCCTTCTAGCCTCTATTGTCTCTAGGACAATGTCTGCTATTATTAGCACTATTGTTATCCATTGCATAATTTGTCTCTTTTTTCCATGACTGCTTTTATTATTTTCCTCCAGCTTCTATTTGTTTTACTATAATTTTCTTAAGTGTGCTTGTCTAGGCATTTACCTTGTTTAGGTTTTATAGAAGTTCTTTGATCTGTCAGTTGATGTTTTCTTTTTTTTTTTCACGAATTTGGAAATTTTTCAACCATTATACTTTATATGTTTTAAATATATTTTCTGTTCTATTTTATCCTCTCCCTCTGCTATTTGAATTACAAGTATGTTAGATTGCTTGATCTTGTTCCACTGGTCCTTCAAGTTCTCTTAAATATTTTTCTATCTATTTTCTGCCTTTTTTCCATATTGATGAATTTCTATTCATGTGTTTTTAAGCTCAGTAATTCTTCAGGCTTTCATTTTCTGTTAAGTCACCCAGTGGATATGTCACTTCAAATATTGTGCTTTTTGGTTTGATAGTTGTCAATGAGCTCTTTTAAAAATAGTTTCCATTTATCTGCTGAGATTCATTATAATGGTCTTTTTCTTCAAGCTTTTGTACATATGCATAAAAATTGTTTATAAGTTCCATAATTCAACCTTTGGGTCATTTCAGGCTTCATTTCTGTAGACTACTTTTTTTTTTGTTAGTTTTAGACACATTCTTTTTCATTTTCATGTCTAGTAATGTTTTTATTGTATGTTAGACATTGCGGTAATGCATTGTAGTGAGTCTAGCTCTATGTTTAAAAACATAGAACATTTCTTAAAGAGCCAGATAGTAAATATTTTAGCTTGTGTGTTAGATGCTCTCTGCAGTAACTACCTGACTCTGCTGTTACAATAGAAAATAAGCAACAAAAAATAATTAAACAAACAGATGTGGCTATGTTCTAATAAAACTTTACAAAAACTGGTGGTTTGCCTGTGTAGTAAAGTTTACTCAACTTTTCTCTAGAGTATGCCTTTGTGTGTGTGTCTGTGTGTGTGTTAGGTTTTATTATGGCAGGCAGTTAGATAAACTGGAAAATCTTTTTTGTCCTGTACTTTTTTTTTTGTTTAATCTTTATTTTGATGGCTCTATATCAGTTTTGAATATTGCTCTAGGTTTTTTTCTTACACCCAAAGTCTAGGCTTTCCACATCTCTGCTAAATAGCCAAGTCGTTCAGCAAAGACTCTTAGGCTGACTGTAACTTCTGGTGTCACATTCAGCAGTCAGCCAAACATCAAATGATTACCTACAGGCACTGTGGAGTTTCACTCTGTATATCCAGGCCAGCCCTTAGCCAAGGCCCATGTTTTGAATCTCTATGCAGACTTCTATTTTCTAACTCTATGCTCCTCCTTCTTATCCAGTATTCTGCTCAAAAATTCTAGCCATTTTTACTGATTTGAACTCTCATCCCTGCATCCTCAGTGCAACAAAATTGTTACTCAGTTTGGGCTTCACTTCCCTGTGCACCAGAACAGTAAATATTCCCAGTCAGAAGCTCGTGAGATTGCAGAAACTACCTCAAAGTTCACAGTATTACATTGCCTATTGTTTAACACCGGAAAATAGTCGCTACACATATTTTTTCCTACTTTTTAAAGTTTTTTCCTGTTTTTTTTTTTTTTTTTTGGTGAGAGGGCAAGTCCAGTACCAGTTATTTTGTTAAGACTGAAAGTGGATATACATCAATGCTTTGCAAAGCATTCTTAAATTTTTCAATAAGACTCCATTCATTTCTGCTGAGATTAGACTTCTAGAATATTTCATCAAGTTTATGTCATTGGCTGTTGGCCACTTAATAATATTTCAACATAGCATTCAGAATATATTCAGAGTGAATTTATACATCTGAAATGTCATTACTTGAATATATAACCATTAAGTATGCAACTGTGCCAACAACTGTATAGGGAGAGTTTAAACAGTAAAAGGGTGTAATATTAAAAGAAAACTATATATTTGAATGACATTATAGACTATGGATACTTTTGATCTAATTCTTAATATTTCCCTACACAATTTCATATTTTCCTATTCTTCAGTATTCTATATATACTAAAATCAGTTAGTGCTTTGCTTATCACTCTTCACACATGTCTCTAACTGTAAAAGCCCTGACATTGAAATTTATACTGGAAATAACGTACTTAGAATAATCATCATTATCAAATTTTAATTATTTTAGGAATGTAATTGAACATATAAATTAGAAACAGTATGTCCACTATAATGCATATATCAGTAATCTGATCAAGCATATAATTTTTATAAGAAGAAAACTTGACAGAAAGTCAGAAGACTGGTCTCTATTCCTAGTTATCCTGCTCTAGAATTCACAACTTTTTTGGGCCTCAGCCCAGTGGGAGCTTGGGGTAGAGCCTAAATCTGCATGAAAGCCACTTAGAATGTTTGTCCAAAATGCAGATTTCTGGGGAGTCCATCCAAATCTCAAGTATAATAAAGGTTGAGAATCTTTATAAAAAAAGTGGTTTCTGATATTACATTTATATCCAAAGCCTATATTAAGGGAACATGTAGTATAACAATGTTTCTTTTCAACAAAATTATTTGTACAGCCCCTGTGGTGTTTAAAACAGTGGCTGCTCTTTGGAAAGTTAACAGATGTGGCAAATACAGGATTTAACTTGCTATTAAAACACGTAAATTACAGAAATCAACTTTATAACCAGCATTATTTTGTGGATAGAGTTAATACTTTGCCATTAACTTTGAAGAAGGCTATTTAACCTCTTTAATTTTAATAGACACATACTGATTGTATTATGAAAATAAATTGAATGAGGAACATTATATGGTTGGAAAAAATGATTGCTAATGCTCCTTCCGGATTTGCCTTTCTCTCTATATACAAAGTGTAAAATCTGAAGATTGACATCAATCTACATGTAACTTTTATTATACAGACTACTATTTACTTTGTTATAGTAACAAATGTATAATAATTATTCTATCAGATTATATTTTATGAATATTTTTCTCCATTTAAAGTAAAATTCCAAGTTTTTTTTGGCTACTCTCCTATATTCAAGTTTCCATAAGAGAACTTCTATTTCTGGGTGTAAACAGTATTGGAACAACAATTATCATTCTGCCTTTTTTCTTCTCACACCTTACTTCCTCAAAGAAGAAAGATTTGAAACTCAGATTGCAATTTGTTCCATATTTGGATCTTTCTAAAGTTCTGGCATGCAATGTCTGTGGCTTCTTAACCCAAGTTGTACTAGGAATGCAATGAATGAACACATTAGGCTCTGTTACTTGTGAAGCATACAGATGACTCTAAATATATTGCTTTTAAAATAAACCTTGTCAAATTACAGAAATGTGGTGAAGCATACCCTTATCTACAGAAGAGAGAGGGTAGCATTGTGTTGGGCAGATTTTCTACAAGGAAAACCTCATGTAATTAACATGATTCTGGCCCTTTAACTTTTAACATGCTTCCCCAATTAAGCTTTCAAGGCCTTGAACTACAATATCTGGCCACAGCTGCTGGAAATTGACTTATCTCAGAAGATCATTGGAGCTTCTGACCTCTCTGTTAGAGAATTTTATTTAGCTTTTTAGATATTTGCCTCCTTTTTGCCCTAGAGGAAGGGTGAAAAAAAAAAGATGTAAATATTCGCGTATGTTCTAAGTTTTCACTATTTCAATCTTTTTTTCAATACTATATATTTGTATTTAGTCACTATTCTGTAAAGGTTGAACTATAGCTATTTAATGTTACATACACTTGCAAAAATATATAATGCAAAAAATATTTAGCTTATCTTATAAATATTAAAATGATATGTGGTGGATGTTTTGCTTACCTATCAAAAAATTTTATTTCAGTCTAAATCCTCACATAAATTATTATTACTACTGTTATTGTTGTTGCATTTATAAAATTAATGATTAAGTATTAACCAAATAATAATTCTATCTCTTTTGAAATGTGCTAAATATTCAAATCGTCATCTTGGGTTCAGGACCTGTATAGCCCTTTCCACTGGCATTTTTTTTTTTTTACTTTTTTAAAAAATAGAGTTTGCAAGGGTTATATGTCAGAAATGTCCACTTTTTTAAGAATTCAAGACCAGAATATCCTGTCTTGACTTTGCTGAAGAAAACCTTCCTGCACACAGCACCTTATGTTTACATGTGAGATTTGCCACTGTGAAGATTCCTGCCTCGTCTGTGTCTTGGCATGCAGCAGCCCCATGGGACAACAACATGCCCTCTCCAGGGTGGTTTTTGCCAGCACTGCACTTTTGCTTCTGTCATTCCCCTGCCTTAGTCCTAGTGGTTGTAACAAACCACAGGTGTTACAAACTCTAAATTGGAATTCGATGTTGGATTCAAAAACTCATGATAATTACACAGCTGTTTTAAATTGTGGTTAAGTGGCCAAAAACTGCCAAGAAACCCCACCCACATTCATTACTGTCTAAACGAAAAGGACGTGTATACAGTGATTATGAGGTTTCATATGACTCCCCCAAGCCATAGAGCAGGCTTTCCTAATTGTCAGCTGGACTGTGCAGTGCTTGTTTAAAATAATTAGAGTGCCGCAGCAGCTTCAGCAGCAAACCTCTCTTTTTTTATTTTTTTTTTAAATCTCATTGCAGGTTTTTATATCAGATACTATCAGCTTCCTCTTCATTTTAACACTATTATTCTGCCAGTCTGGAAAATGGAGAAGAGGAAAGAAAAGAATTATCCTTAATGTACACAAATAATGCAGCTCCAAAGTCAGGAAGATACAGCACCATGTGTGAGATGGATGGAAACAATTCAGCAAACAAATCTAAACTGAGGGGAAAAACGTGGTTCTCTCTTATTTTTTTTCAAGAAGGATAGCTGAAATCTTTCTTAATTACCGCTTATTCCAATGACAGAATTGTAATTTATCATTTAGTTGTAATTTGACATATGTTCACACCTTTGCCATTTCCAATTTCCTCCTTCATTCTAATTGTCTGCTTCACTCGCCTGTCATGCGCTTCTCTTGGGATTAATTCGAGCTGTCTGTCTGCACCAGGCTACCAGCACACTTGGGGCTGCCGAGAGCGTGACAGTGTCAATGTGCACACAGTTTATCTAAGACATTACCCAGCCATCACACTCCGGGATCTTCTCTTCCCTCACTGTTTACTGTTTATTCCACTTTGCATTTGTGACTTTTCTGTGTTTTATTAGACTCTAATTATGCTCTTGGCTGTCAGCTGTAAAGAGAGAAAACGTTACATTAATTACAGTGGAGGGGGAGGCGCTTGGGATTGGTAGTAAATGGACCAGTAGATGTCTCTCTCTGTCTCTAAGATCCACGCGTGATTTAAATACTCTTTTTGCTTCACTTTGGTTTGCATCCTTGATAGATGCCTGCACTCAAATGTAAAATATGCAAACATTCAAGCGAACGTAACTTTTACATGCACAACTGTATTTTTCCTCATCTCATCCAAAACTAGGAACATTGGCATAGGAAGACAGAAACCTCAGCTTTCAGGTAACCATGGGTTTTTTTTAAAATGTCAATTGTTTAATTCATGGATGTTGTCAGCACAAGCATGATGGGGAGTGGTGATGGTGAGGAGCGTATTTAGTGAGCAGTGGTAGAGTACAATTTTTGTAGAGGTAGCTGTTGTTTTGAATCATTAGAAACAGTTAATAGTCATTTTTTCCTCCTTCCTAAGGCCATCTCAGTCCATTAAACTCCAGCAATAATTTCTGCATATGGCATCAATTTTTTTTTTTGCTTTCTTCAGAAAAAAGTTCTTCTTGTTGCTTCCAGCCTACGTAAACCATAAAAATATGTTTTCTGTTCTCCTGCTACATAGATTTTCATTGTAGCTAAAACTTCCTGGTAATATGAAACAGAGGAAATATATCCTCCCCCACCCCTTTAGGCTGTTAACGTGGGTAGTAATTCATTAAATTGGTTGCATCATTCTCCCAATGGCCTGAAAGAGTGAAAGTGACTACTTTGAATATCAAATTATCCATGAAAATGGATTTATATTTTATTTTCTCCTGATAATTTCATCAGTCTTGTTTCAGGTAATTGTGGGACTGAAGCTAATCTGTGGCTTAGATTTCTTTCCTATTTTTTTGTAATCCCAGCAATTCTCCTAATTATGTTTTTTGGCTTCTGACTCAGCTTTAATTCTATATACTGTCAGATGCTGTATAACTGCCTGATCATCACTTCACATATTCTTAACTTGTGAAATACCTGTATTCTACAGATATATATTAAATCATATTCCTAAGAGTTAGAGTTTTAATGGGAAATTAATAAGGCATGAGTGAAGAAAGTAACAGTCTATAAAATATGAACAAAGTTGTGAAATATTGTCTAGGCTTTTTTTTTAACTTTCAAATAACAGACAATAAATTTCTGGCATTTACCTACACTACCTTAACTATAATATAAACATT
The DNA here is from genome assembly GCF_000001405.40 of Homo sapiens. Lineage (NCBI taxonomy): Eukaryota > Metazoa > Chordata > Mammalia > Primates > Hominidae > Homo > Homo sapiens. The sequence goes on along the minus strand of NC_000004.12, from coordinate 104,393,325 downwards.
ATATATCAAGACAATATCTAAGAATATTAACATCTTGTGCTGATCAAAAGCAACTTTTTGTTAATTTCATTTTTATTCTTCTAACATTATTCTAGGGTAAATCCATTATAAAATATTATTAAAGTATAAATTAAGCTTATTGAAGTTGTGCAACTAGAATGTAACCAATTATAATCACAATCTCAGCAACTGGAATTTTCTAGTATTTAATTTTTAAGCTACATACTTTGACAGAGAAAATATAAAAGTTCAAGAGTAAAGGGAGAGAGATGAGAGAATGAAGAAGAGAGTAGAAAAGGAAATAAAGACAAGTGCAACTTAAGGACAACAAATCATCAAATTAGCTAAAATGCGGTATTAAACACGAATAGTCAAAAAGTTTTATAATATTTGAACTCTCCTAATAGGACTTATTTTTAGCACTATGCATAATTTTATGAAAATAATGTAAGACCTTGATTATTACGTACCTGTATTACTGAAACACATTTTCAACTGGCTTCTCTTCTTTCAAATGCAGAACCTCTCTAATACGTGTCGTTATGATACCCTAATGACTCTAGCTCAAATATTCTCTTCATTTTATGGGTCCCTGCCTTACCTTCTTTACTGGCTCTGAAAATCATCCATAATTGGATTTTGTTCTAAATGTGTATGTACCTATTTCCCACCACTCTATTGTAAGAACATGCCATGCTCATTATTGACAGATTGATTGGTTTATTCATTCATTCACATTTGTTGGACAGGTAATAGTAATGTATATAAAGCAGTGAGTAAGACAGAAACCATTTCTAGAGTCATGGAACGTACTTTCAGGTGACCAGTTTGTTCTTTGCTGATTCCCACACAGTAATTATGTTTGCCTCTGTGCTTTTGCTCATATTATATATTTTTTCTCTTTCCATGTATTTCTGCCAGCTCTGAAAAGCCAACATACTGTTTTTTGTTTTTTTTTTTTTTTCTCCTGAGACAGGGTCTCGCTCTGTTACCCAGGTTGGAGTGCAGTGGCGTGATCTTGGCTCACTGCAACCCTCCGCCTCCCAGGTTCAAGCGATTCTCCTGCCTCAGCCTCCCATGTAGCTGAGACTATAGGCATGCGCCACCACGCCTCGCAATTTTTTTTTTTTTTTTTTTTTTTAGTAGAGATGGGGTTTCATCATGTTGGTCAGGCTGGTCTCGAACTCCAGACCTCAAATGATCCGCCCATCTCAGCCTCCCAAAGTGCTGGGAGTACAGGTGTGAGCCACCGCACCTGGCTCCAACCTACTTTTGAAAGTACAGATTAAGTCTAATCTTTCTAATGAAGTATTTCTATCCCACACAGAACCAGAACATTCCACATTTTATTACATATTATTTTATATATTTTTAAATGTTTTTTTTTCGATTTTATTGTGTCAAAGTCTGTTTCCTTTTTATCCTTCAATGGCTAAAGCAGGATTTCTTGAGTAAGAATGTGCATCACAATAATTTGTGGAGCTTTTTAATAGTCTACTTCCAAATTGCTATACTTTACAGGTTGGGTCCCTGGGTGCATTTGTTTACAAGGTATCTTAGGGTTTAGGTCCCTGGGTGTACTTGTTTAAAAGCCATCCCAAGAAAATCTGGTGCATTCTTCTGGTTAAGAGCCACTGCCTTAACCAACATGGATACAGTGCACATTGATTAATGAATGAACTGATTGATCTGCAAATTAAACTGTATTATGTTGCCTGGACTACATAGTCCTAAGAAAGTTAAATCACTTTACCTGTGCTTCTAAATACTTCCTATAGAAACATGGTAAAAGACTTTGGAATATTCATATGAAAGATAATAACATTAGCGTAATATCCTATTTTTATTTTATTAGATGAAATTGAGAATAAATGACTCTAAACCTGTGTTTAATGAAAGAAATATTATGAAAAAATTTACTATTTTTATTTTATACAAAAGAAATCCATGACATATTTTGCAATTATAAAGTAAAATAAAAAATAACATGGCTAGAAAACAAGAGTCTTAGTTATAAAATGTTTATATTAAATTTTTAAAAATCAATATAATTTATAGAAAACATGAGATTAAGAAAAGACTTATTTCTTAATGTTTTGTAGTTTAAAGACTTCCTAGCAGAATATATGAACTTATACTGATAAATGATGATTGAAATAATTTGGTCTGCTTTGCAAAATGGAGTTACAGGCGTTTGAAATTATGACTAAGTGGCCATATAAGCAATCTAATAACCCAATAAGACTGTATATGGTCAAAGTGCCTATTTGTTTGGATGAGTGTGACTGTGGAAGAAAACTTTAAAGCATATCAATTTAAAAGAGTATAATGGGAGAAAATCAGGAGAGCTTACATAAAAACTACAAGACCTGAACATAAATAGGAATCCAGGATCCTGCTATCAAAAAATCAGCAAAAAATAACCTGCAATGCATGTTACTTCCACTAATTTTAGTGTTTTTAGGATATAAGAGAGAATATACTGCTGTCAATCTCCTTTTCTCCATCAGCGTTTAATGGGCAAACATAGATGATATGGAAATACAAAGAAAAAAATTATTTGGGTTATGCCATATTTTCTTGATGCAGATCAACTTTACCACAAAAAAGTATAAAATTTGAGCAAAATAAAAAAAAAATTGAAGCCATCATTAACCAGAATGTTAGAGGTATAGATAAAAAAGAAAATGGAATTTTCCATGATTTTCATTTTTTTGTTTCATTTTTCAATTAAAATAAAAATAAAATGTATCAATATCCTATGCCACTTCTCCCCTCACCCTTCCAGTTACTTGCACCAAAACTAAAGAAAGTTATGTAGGCTAAATAAAATTTTTACAATATGAAAGCATGGAACTTTGTAAAGTAATGTAGAGAAAAGGTAAGGGATAAAATAATATTTGGTTAAATATGAATTATGAAGGCATAAAAATAATAATGACATATGAAGAAAAAATACATAAAATTAATATCCATGGCCATAAGCAACACAAGAGGCAGGAGGTGAATAAAGAGCGTTCTAAGATCCTCCAGAAAGTAACAGAGAACTAATTTACTTAAAATCCTAGGAAATCATGAGGATGTATAATTTCTAACAAAATAATTTAAAGATTTCAAAAAGAATGTATAGTGCTAAAACTAGATGATAAAAAATGCTTAATCAAAAAAGAAAAAAGAAAAAGAAATATATAATAAGCAGGATCAACAAAAACAAATAAGAAGATGGCAGGTTTAAACCTCAAAATAAAAACTAATACAATTAGTATAGATTAAAAAGGTTTGGAAAACTATAACCTTAATCTGTTTTTTAAAATATGGATAAAGTTTTATTGAAACACAGTTACACTCATTTATTTCTGTCTATGGCTGCTTTTGGACTACAATGGCAGTGTTGAGTAGCTGTGACACACAATAGATATGGCCCACAAAATAAAAAATAATCTTGCCTTTTATAAAAAAAAATTCCCAATCCTTTCTCTAAAAACCTAGATTATCAAAGTAAAAGAAAGAGAAATTTTTTATACCACTTAAATTGCTATAAATAAGTAAATAAATACAGGATATACAAATGTAAATATGTGTGTTATATATTACATGAATATAAGTATATAGAATTTTGAAAGAAAAAAGATGAAAAAAAAGCATATCATATAAACACCAGAAGAAAACTAGTGGAATTGATTTTAAAATAAAAAAGCATCAGTTAATATAAAAAGGGATATTTCATAATTATTAAGAAGAAAAACTGGAAGATGAAATAATAGTTGTACATTTTTATGTACCTACTAGCATAGCTCCATGTACATAAAGCTAAAACTGGTAGAAGTAAAAGGGAATATTTATAAATATATATTTTAACACTTCTCTCATTAACTGACAGAACAAACCTGTCTATCCATAAATAAGAATGTGAATGTTTGAACCACACAATTATAAACTACTTAATTGATGTCTGCTGTCTATCTGTTTGTCCACCCATTCATCCATCCATTGAACTATCTTTCTGTCAAACTCACTCAACCACAGAATATACAATATCTATTGTTTTCAAGGGCATATGGAGTGTTTATCAAAATGTAAAATACGTTGTGCAATAAAGCAAGTCTCAAAAATAATCAAAATAGGAAATCATACATAATGTGCTCTGTCTATAGTAGAATTAACATAAAAATCAATAATAAATAAAATCTACACATATTTTGAAGTTAAGCAACAATCTAGTACATAACCCTTGGGCCAATGAAATTAAAAAGTAAATTAGAAAACAGTTTGAGCTGATTGGTAATAAAAAATGGCATATCAAAACTAGTGAGATGCAAATAAAAAGCATACATGGTAAAAATACATTGCACATTTTATAATTATAAAATGATCATATTTTAAAAACACTACTTATATTACCAAGAGGCTCCTAAAATTATTCATCTCAAGTTAGAAAGCAGCACCAAATTAAACACAAAGGTAGTAGGAGGAAATAAAGATAACACTAAACGTTAATAAGAAAAACAACACAGAGATGATGAAAGTCTAAACTGGTTCTATGAAATGTCAATAAAACTGATAAACCTGTGTAGCCTGACCAGAAAGGAGGAGGGGAAAGGGAACAAATTAGCCTATCATGAATGATAAAGAAGACACCACTAAGCCTATACAGATATTAAAACTAAGACTCTAACTACAGATTTCTAATAATAATAAGAATATGTTGAAAACAACTTATTCAAAAAATGAAAAATTCATATGAAATTCACATATTTCCAGTAATAAAAGGCCTTGACAATATATCAAAACTGACACAAGATCTACAAAAGAAAAGTGATGGCCCTATATCTGTTAAATTCGTCAGATCTCTAAATGAGAACCTTCTTCCTATTAAAGCTACAGAATGTGTTCCATTCAACAATGAATTCTACAAATCATTCAGAAAAAGTAATGTAATCCTATATGAAATATTCCAAAGAAAAGCAAAGAAGGAGTAATTCCCAATTTATTTTATAAAGTCAACAATCTTTTATAAGAATGGGGAAAAGTGCATATACCAATCTCTTTAAATAAAATTCTTAAAAAGAGTTCTTAAAAAAAACCAACTAGGTTTTGTTTTATATGAATGCAAAGTTGGACAATTGTTAACCCATCAAGGTAGTGCATCAGACTAACAGAGCAAAAGAGAAATATCATGTGTTTATCTCAAAAGATGCAGAGAAAGACAGCTACCATAAAACGATTAGTAAAGTAGAAGTAGAAATTTTCTTTAGGAGCATACAAAAAATTACAGTAAGCTTTCCATCTAAATCCAGAATAAGATCAATATATCCACCATCTCCACTTCAAATATGTACTTGAGATGTAGTCAGTGCAACATATCATGAAAAAGAATGGTATAAGAATTCAAAATGAAGAAATAAAAATGTCTTCTTAATATTGAAAGCATGTAGAAAATTCCAAAGAATCAATTGGAATTAATATCTAAATTTAACATGGTCTTTAAATATAAAATTAGTAAATAAAATTAATTTTATGTCTATATACCAACAATGAACACTTATAAAGTAAAATTGAGAAAATTATTATTAATTGCAATAGCACCAAAGGTCATTGAATAAGAATAATCTCACAAAATTTATACAAACTCTCTACACAAAAAACTACAAAATATTTTTGAGAGATTAAAGAGAGCCTAAATATAAAGGGCATATTACGTCCATGAAAGAAAATGTCAATTTTCCCCAAATTGATCCAGAGGGTCAATGTAATCCCAATAAAAATTCCAAAAGTTTTGTTTTATAGAAACCGATAAGATTCCAAAATGTATACAGAAGTGCAAACAGCCAGGGGGAATCAAGACAAATTAGACATGCTTGAAGTAGAACAAAATTTTAAGACTTACACTATGAGATATTAGGAATTGTTGTAAAGCCACAGGTGTTTAAAAAATGAGGGACCCTTGATGGAAGCACAGATAAATGGCCTCTGTCACAGAACAGGGTGTCTAGAAATAGACCAACAAGTATAAAGACACTGGACTGATAACAAGGTGATGCCTTCAAGTGAAAGGAAAACAACTGTCTTTTCAATAAATGATGCTGGGTCACTGAGACATCTTTTTGGGAAAACAATAAATGTTGACTCTTGCTCACATCAGGAGGAAAATCAATTCCATGTGGATTATAGAATAATGTATAAAAGATAAAGCATAAAGCTTTTAGAAAATGACATATAGAAGATTTTTGACCCTGGCATAGGTAAATATTTCTTAAACAGAAAACAATTTTTCCCAACCCTAAAGGAAAATATTGATAATTTAGATATAATAAAATTAAGATATCATGTTTATTAAAATATACTATTTTAATGTAAAGAATGAAAAATATGCCACAGGGCAGAAGAATAAATATTTAATATATATAACTGATAAATTACATGTATGCGGAATATATAAAGAACTTCCAAAAACCATTAAAGCTGAAAAAGAGGTAACCAAATACAAAAATCAGCAATAAATACATTAAAAAGTATTTAACTTCATCAGTTTTCAGGGAAATGCAAGCTAAAATCACAGTGAGATACACCACCACACATACCAGAAAGGTGAAAATTATACTAACAATACCATATATTGACAAAGAGGTAGCATAATTGGAACTCAGACATTGCTAACAGGGCTTAAATATTTAGCATCATTTTGAAAAACTGCAGTGGTATCTACAAATGTGAAAATGCATATTCTAGGTAATTCTACTGATATGCATACACTTGTCAGAACTGCATATGTCTGTTCCCCAAAACATATATACAAGAATGTTCATAAGTTACATTATGTGTAATAGTAAACCAAATATTGCATGCTGTCTTTTATAAGTGGGAACTAAATTATGAGAACACATGGACACATAGAGGGGAACAATGCACACTGGGGCCTTTCGAAGGGTGGAGGTTGGGAGGAGGGAGAGTATCAAGAAAAAAGACTAACTGGTCCTAGACTTAATACCTGGGTGATGAAATAATCTATACAACAAACCCCCATGGCTCAAGTTTACCTACGTAATAAGCCTGCATTTGTAACCCTGAACTTAAAATGAAAGTTAAAAAAAATTTGGAAAATAAATGACCACCAAAAATAAAATGGGTAAATAAATGTGCAATTTTCACACAATGGACTACTATACAGCTATGAAAATAAATGAAATATTGTTACACCACCAACATGAATGAATATCAGGCTATTACTGTGAGTGAAGAAAAGCTAGACACAAAATAATAAGTATTATATAATTTCATTATATAAATTTTTAAAATAAGCAAAACTAACAGTGTTAAATACTGGGATAATGGTTGTCTTTGGATAGGCAGTCCAGCTGTGACTGAAAAAGGCACATTGGAGCTTCTGGGATTTTGGTAATATTTTATTTCTTGACTCAGCAGTTTTTACGAGTTTGTCCACTTTAAGATTCACAAATCTGTGAATGTATCATCTTTCTCTCCTTCAGCTCATGCTGTAGACTGAATAGTGTCCCTTCAAATTCATATGCTAAAGCCCTTACCCCCTTGTGATCATATTTGGAGATGGTGGGGCCTTTGGGAGGTAACTAGGATTGAGTTCATGAGCATGGGCCATAATCTGGTGGGATCACTGGCTTTAAAGGAAGCCACATCAGACTTCTTGCAGTCATTAGTACAAGTATATTGTGTGCCTATAGAAAATCTCAAAGAATCTATAGGAATTAATATCTAAACTTAAGATGGTCTTTGGATATAAAATTACAATCATAATTGAACAGTAACTATGGTTATATGATATACAGTTTTCTCTAGTCCAAGCTGAGATCCAGGTATATAATCCAGGTACTGTATTAGTGTATGTGATTATAAATAGTTGAAAAATTTAATTCCACAGATTTCTGGGAAATTCTATAATCTATAATAATCAATATGTTTAGATTTTAACTCTATAGTGGGTATCAAATATTGCAAATCTTTCTAATATACTTTCGTTCACTGATTTTTAGGTTTTTAACTCTCTTCTAAGTTGTTCTTGCTTCTGTTTAGCCAATTTGAACTCTGTTGCTCAAGAATACATACTCAGATATGGACTGTAATTAGGCCTCCAATTTTAATTCTTTTAACTACCACCCCCTCTACAAAAAAAGAGAAAGATAAAACTACTAAAATCAAGCATTGGTTCTGTATGTATATACCTGAGTCTTGAAACACAAGGACTTCGAAGTGATAATGTTGTGCTTTGCATTTGTGTAGCACTGTCCTTTCTAAAGCACTTTACATAATTTAACTCATTATATCTGATTATATATTTTATTAGCATATTATTTAATGAAGTATATAAAACACAAAACTATTCTTTAAAATACTCATTTCATTCTGCTTCTACATTAGCAGTCTCAGCTCATCTACATTTTGATCAGTTATCTGCTATTCTTTCTTTTGAACATTTCATTTCAAAACCAGAGTTAAGGAGTAATTGTAAATGTAGCATGCTTTTTTCCTGAGTTATTTCATAGTTAATTTGTTGTCTTGATGGTATATTTTACTTTTTCTGGCATTTTCCTCACAATAGTGTTAATCCTGTTTTTAAAATAATCACAGTGTGGCTATTCTAAAGAGTCTTAATTGATTACTACCTTATTGCTCACAGCTTATTCTTCATCCTCTGTTACTAATTTTAAATCTGTTCCTTATACTCTATTTAAACTATAGATTTTCAATATCTTTTATACATTGATTCACCAAACCTCTCACCCTTGAGCAGCAACCTCTTATGAGGTGATTTTGTGTCTGTCCTCTATTCCCCCACATTTTGACCTTTGGTAAGGTTCTACCCTGAAACGTCATCTCTTTTTTGAGCAGCATTGACAATCCCTGCTACAAGATTGAATCTTCTCCACAATGATTTCAATTGCTGCCTTTCAACTGTTTGGGCTTACTGTTCCATAAAGCAATAAAAAAAAAAACTCTCTACACAAAGATATTCCACATCAAGTTGGTAGCAAGTAAACATAATTAATGTATAAAAGACAAAGGATTAAAGTTGCTTAATGGAATTGTCTGTTTCTAAGCAATCTCCTAAAATTGTCTGTTCTAAATCGTCATCAATCAATATCCTAATAAGAGTGTTCATTGATAAGCACATTAGTTTTTCTTTACAAGTTTAGTTTATAAATCATTCTTAACACGTATTTACATAAAATATAATAGCCATCTTTTTCATTCACATCATGTTTTCTTTATTTCTTATTCACTCTAATCTGGATATTTTTATTGATTGTAAAAATTAATATTTTGTATTTATTTTATTCCTAAGAATTATTATCTTTTGACATAATCACTGTGATTATGTTCTTACAGTAGTTGTGAATAATATACCATATTCTATAAACATATATTATTACCAGTGGGGGACAGAGGCAGACAAAGAAATATTGGCTAATAAGGACCAGAACTTAGACAAGTAGGCCTTGCTTATTGTCTCAGAACCCATGGATGAAGAGATTGGGTTAGAGCGGTCAGAACCTTGGCCAAAATCTGTGCGGTGGAAAGAGAAACCAGTTTGAAATGGTTAGGCTTTGTGTCTCCACCCAAATCTCATCTTGAATTACAATCCCCATTATCCCCACCTGCCAAGGGAGAGACCAGGTGGAAGTAATTGAATGATGGGGCGGTTTTCTCCATGCTGTTCTTGTGATAGTGAGAGAGTTCTCACGAGATCTGATGGTTTTATAAGGGGTCTTCCCTCCTTTACTCAGCACTTCTCCTGCCTGCCGTTTTTGTGAAGAAGGTGCCCTGTTTCCTCTTTACCTTCTGCCATGATTGTAAGTTTCCTGAGGTTTCCACAGCCATGCTGAACTGTGAGTCAATTAAACCGCTTTCCTTTATAAATTACCCAGTCTCAAGGAGTTCTTTATAGCAGTGTGAAAATGGACTAATACAAGTTGAAACATTGATGTCAAGAATGAGCCAGTGTCTTTGGAAGCACAGGTTCTTCATGCACTTTGTTTTCAAGGCCTGAGTTGAGACACAAGAATTGAAATAAAGTGTAGGTGGAACTAAAGTCACAGGCCAAGCACATAGGTGTGCGTTCTTCGAATTGAGGAACAGAGTCACATTGTTCTCAGTAACATGGTGAAATAATCACATCATCCCACTCTGTTCCTCCCCGGACGTGAATCATCCCTTCGTTCAGCATATTCACCTTGTGTAACCTACCAGCCAGTCAGTCATTTGGTAGCCATCTCAGTTATCAGCTCAACTGTTGAGGTATTGCAGTACCTGTTTTCTTTTTTTTTTCTGTTTTTTTTTAAATTATTATTATTATACTTTAAGTTTTAGGGTACATGTGCACAATGTACAGGTTAGTGACATATGTATACATGTGCCATGCTGGTGTGCTGCACCCATTAACTCGTCATTTAGCATTAGGTATATCTCCTAATGCTATCCCTCCCCCCTCCCCCCACCCCACAACAGTCCCCAGAGTGTGATGTTCCCCTTCCTGTGTCCATGTGTTCTTATTGTTCAATTCCCACCTATGAGTGAGAACATGCGGTGTTTGGTTTTTTGTCCTTGCGATAGTTTACTGAGAATGATGATTTCCAATTTCATCCATGTCCCTACAAAGGACATGAACTCATCATTTTTTATGGCTGCATAGTATTCCATGGTGTATATTTGCCACATTTTTTCAATAACTCTTATTTTGCTTAGCAGTGACTCCAAAGCACAAGAGCAGTGATGCTGGCATACCGTTATAATTTTATTTTATTATTAGTTACTGTTGTCAATCTCGTACTGTGCCTAATGTATACATGTTATCGTAAGTATGCATGTATAAGCAAAAGCACAGTATATATTGGGCTCAGCACTATCTACATTTCAGGCATCCACTAGGGGTCTTGGAATGTGTCTCTAGAGGATAAGGGAGGACTACTGTGGTGATAAATTGAAAAAAAAAATCAGTCTGGCTGGTAATCACGTTTTTTTTTTTAACAGAACATTAGTGATACTTGCATTGAGATATAATGTCAAGAGAACAAAATATTTTCAACCTGACACACGCAAGCCACACTTAGACTCACAATAGTCCAAATCCTCTCCTTCTGAGTGACTGCTGCTTTTTAGGAATGACATTCTAGCTCTACTTTTTTCCTCTTTCTCTTCTTAAATCACTTTCACTTCAACTTTTTAAAATGTTTTACCATATCTACTAAGAACACTTTATTATGACTATCTTTGCTCTCCTTCTTGTTACATTGACTTTCCTATGCACAGCTCTTTCACTAGTTCCTTGAACTTTGCTGCATTTCTCATAGTGCCTCATAATTCATATGTGAATGTTTCTACTTGCCACTTTTCTAGTTATATGTATGTGTAACCTATACATGGTTTTGAGCTCTGTTTAGTAATCTGGGTAATAAAGTGTAATAATCTAGTAAAGGAAATAAGTACTTCTCACACCTTGCTTTTATGAGTTGTGTATTGACTTTAACTCATTCGGTTTTAAATAAAATCTACTGAAGTCAAACAATTTTCTCCCAAGTATTTTTTCCCAATTTACTTGCAATATTAATCCTTTTGTGCATTTATCCTAAATCATATAGCTCTAAAGCAGGGATGGCATATACTTGGCAATAAGGGATGTCTTTCCCTCCCTACAGCTACAGTTTTATAAAGCGCTTAAGAAAATCCAGTGGCCTCTTCCCTACTCAACAAACCCACATTCTTCTCAGAGGTCACAAAGTTCAGCACTTTTAAGTGTTTCTTCTGATATTTATCTCTGTATTTAAATAATATGTTTTTACTTAGATTTGTTTTTAGATTTTGAGAATGAAGCTCTATTGAACACCTTCTCATGCATGCACATTCCCTTCCCCATCCATCACACTGTTGTTATACCATAATACGTGCTTATACTAATGCTGAGCATTTAACTTTTTATGAGTGCATAATTTTAATTCATAGCTAAGCCATATTCTTTACCATAATTGCACATCTTTTTTACATGTCTTTGTTTCTCAGTTAATATTGATCCTCTGATTTGCTTAGTTTTTCATGAAAATATTACTAATATAGACCCAAACATTTTGCCCATAGGAATAAAATATCTCCCAACAATAAGTTTAAATACTTTCTACCAATCTTCAATTTCATTTTCTTATTCAGATATATCCCTCCTTAAACTGCCTGTCCTCCTGTATTTACCAGTTGCTTGCTAAACCTCACATACCACTGTCTTCTTGAGATCTCCCTTCCCTATAAGTATAGGGCTCATTGCATTCTTCTTTCTTGAATACTCTGATTTTATATCTTGATTGGTTTTTTCATCGCTAGATTATCTTTAATAAGTTTACTGAGAAATTCACAAGGAGGGTAAGTTTGAGATTTGGCATAGCTGAACTCTTTACCTTCAGACTTGATTTACAGTTGTTAGAACCCAGGTTGGAAATCATATTTCCCTAGAATTGTGAAGGAATTATATGGCAAAGATATACACTTTGTTGTATGGTAAAAACATACACTGCTTCATTTTTCTATTGGCCTTCTTTACTAGTAGGGGACACATGGCTGGGTTTTAGTGATGTATGCAATTTCCAGCTCCGGTCCTTACAACCTCCACAGAAATTGCCCTCTTTTATTAAATTGCAGCCTAATTGCAGTTGGTGAACTCTAAGGCCGTAGGTGACAGCAGAAGTACTATATGAGAAGATGTAGGCTCCGCAAATACTACTATCACAGATAGGTCTAAGTCATGAGAAATAATTAAAAACTATGTGTTGAGCCGCTGGGATTTGAGAATTGTGTGTTACAGAAATCAGTTTGTGCTCACTAATACACATGTTCCATTGTTTTCTAGCTCCAAGATATGCTGCTAAGACGTCCAATGCTATTCCGTTGCCTGATCCTTTATATATCACCTAATTCTTTTTCATTTTGTCCTTTGGTTCTATACATATGAATATATTTATGTGTGTGTATGTGTACACACACACATATATAGGCATATATACACACACGCATGCTTGTGTGTATTTTTTTATTTCTTACTCTGGGCAATCTGTAGGTCATTTTGATTTGAAGACTCATGTCCTTCAATTCTTGTGCTTTTTTATTAACTGGTTTGTCTCACATAGGTAATAGACTCTAGAATGATGTTTGTTTATCTCTTCTTTCCAGTTTTACATCTCTTTGCTTGGTAGTTCTACATTCAGGGAGATGTCTTCAAATTTAACTTCTACTTTTTTTTGCATTTATTTGTATATTATTACATTTTCACTGACAAAAATTGTATATATTTATGGTATGCAACAAGATGTTTTGAAATTAGTATACATGGTAGAATGGCTAAATCCAGATAATTAACATATGTAATTAAAATCTTCTCTCTTAAAAGTTTTTATGTATACAATACATAGTTTTTAACTACAGTCATCGTGTTGTACAAAAGATCTCTTGAAGTTTTTTTTTTCCTAACCGAAAACTTGTATCCTTTGACCCATGCATCCCCATTCCCCTACTTCCCCAAGCCCTTGGTAACCACATATTACTTTCTCCCTCTATGAGTTCAACTTTTGGACTCATATTCTCCATGTTGTCACAAATGAGAGGATTTTGTTCTTTCTTTCTTTATTTATTTTATATATAGATTTTTATTATACTTTAAGTTCTAGGGTGCATGTGCACAACATGCAGATTTGTTACATACATATACATGTGCCATGTTGGTGTGGTGCACCCATTAACTCATCATTTATATTAGGTATATCTCCTAATGCTATCCCTCCCCACTCCCCCCACCCCACAACAGGCCCCAGTGTGTGATGTTCCCCTTCCTGTGTCCAAGTGTTCTCATTGTTCAATTCCCACCTATGAGTGAGAACATGCGGTGTTTGGTTTTTTGTCCTTGCGATAGCTGGTTCCCAGCTTCATCCATGTCCCTACAAAGGACATGAACTCATCATTTTTTATGGCTGCATAGTATTCCATGGTGTATATGTGCCACATTTTCTTAATCCAGTCTATCATTGTTGGACATTTGGGTTGGTTCCAAGTCTTTGCTATTGTGAATAGTGCCACAATAAACATACGTGTGCATGTGTCTTTATAGCAGCATGATTTATAATCCTTTGGGTATATACCCAGTAATAGGATGGCTGGGTCAAATGGTATTTCTAGTTCTAGATCCCTGAGGAATCGCCACACTGACTTCCACAATGGTTGAACTAGTTTACAGTCCCACCAACAGTGTCAAAGTGTTCCTATTTCTCCACATCCTCTCCAGCACCTGTTGTTTCCTGACTTTTTAATGATCGCCATTCTAACTGGTGTGAGATGGTATCTCATTGTGGTTTCGATTTGCATTTCTCTGATGGCCAGTGATGATGAGCATTTTTTCACGTGTCTTTTGGCTGCATGAATGTCTTCTTTTGAGAAGTGTCTGTTCATATCCTTCACCCACTTGTTGATGGGGTTGTTTTTTTTCTTGTAAATTTGTTTGAATTGTTTGTAGATTCTGGATATTAGCCCTTTGTCAGATGAGTAGATTGCAAAAATTTTCTCCCATTCTATAGGTTGCACGTTCACCCTGGTGGTAGTTTCTTTTGCTGTGCAGAAGTTCTTTAGTTTAATTAGATCCCATTTGTCAATTTTGGCTTTTGTTGCCATTGTTTTTGGTGTTTTAGACATGAAGTCCTTGCCCATGCCTATGTCCTGAATGGTATTGCCTAGGTTTTCTTCTAGGGTTTTTATGGTTTTAGGTCTAACATTTAAGTCTTTAATCCATCTTGAATTATTTTTTGTATAAAGTGTAAGGAAGGGATCCAGTTTCAGCTTTTTACATATAGCTAGCCAGTTTTCCCAGCACCATTGTTAAATACGAAATCCTTTACCCATTTCTTGTTTTTGTCAGGTTTCTCAAAGATCAGATAGTTGTATATGTGTAGTATTATTTCTGAGGGCTTTGTTTTCTTCCATTGGTCTATATCTCTGTTTTGGTACCAGTACCATGCTGTTTTGGTTACTGTAGCCTTGTAGTATAGTTTGAAGTCAGGTAGTGTGATGCCTCCAGCTTTATTCTTTTGGCTTAGGATTATCTTGGCAATGGGGGCTCTTTCTTTGGTTCCATATGAAATTTAAAGTAGTTTTTTCCAATTCTGTGAAGAAAGTCATTGGCAGCTTGATGGGGATGGCATTGAATCTATAAATTACCTTGGGCAGTATGGCCATTTTCACGATATTGATTCTTCCTATCCATGAGCATGGAATGTTCTTCCATTTGTTTGTATCTTCTTTTATTTCATTGAGCAGTGGTTTGTAGTTCTCCTTGAAGACGTCCTTCACATCCCTTGTAAGTTGGATTCCTAGGTATTGTATTCTCTTTGAAGCAATTGTGAATGGGAGTTCACTCATGATTTGGCTCTCTGTTTGTCTGTTATTGGTGTATAAGAATGCTTGTGATTTTTGCAGATTGATTTTGTATCTTGAGACTTCGCTGAAGTTGCTTATCAGCTTAAGGAGATTTTGGGCTGAGATGATGGGGTTTTCTAGATATACAATCATGTCATCTACAAACAGGGACAATTTGACTTCCTCTTTTCCTAATTGAATACCCTTTATTTCTTTCTCCTGCCTGATTGCCCTGGCCAGAACTTCCAACACTATGTTGAATAGGAGTGGTGAGAGAGGGCATCCCTGTCTTGTGCCAGTTTTCAAAGGGAATGCTTCCAGTTTTTGCCCATTCAGTATGATATTGGCTGTGGGTCTGTCATAAATAGCTCTTATTATTTTGAGATACATCCCATCAATACCTAATTTATTGAGAGTTTTTAGCATGAAGGGCTGTTGAATTTTGTCAAAGGACTTTTCTGCATCTATTGAGATAGTCATGTGGTTTTTGTCTTTGGTTCTGCTTATATGCTGTATTATGTTTACTGATTTGCGTATGTTGAACCAGACTTGCATCCCAGGGATGAAGCCCCCTTGATCATGGTTGATAAGCTTTTTGATGTGCTGCTGGATTCGGTTTGCCAGTATTTTATTGAGGATTTTTGCATCAATGTTCATCAGGGATATTGGTCTAAAATTCTCTTTTTTTGTTGTGTCTCTGTGAGGCTTTAGTATCAGGATGATGCTGGCCTCATAAAATGAGTTAGGGAGGATTCCCTCTTTTTCTATTGATTGGAATAATTTCAGAAGGAATGCTACCAGTTCCTCCTAATACCTCTGGTAGAATTCAGCTGTGAATCCATCTGGTCCTGGACTTTTTTTGGTTGGTAAGCTATTAATTATTGCCTGAATTTCAGAGCCTGTTATTGGTCTATTCAGAGATTCAACTTCTTCCTGGTTTAGTCTTGGGAGAGTGTATGTGTTGAGGAATTTATCATTTCTTCTAGATTTTCTAGTTTATTTGCGTAGAGGTGTTTATAGTATTCTCTGATGATAGTTTGTATTTCTATGGGATTGGTGGTGATATCCCCTTTATCATTTTTTATGGCATCTGTTTGATTCTTCTCTCTTTTCTTCTTTATTAGTCTTGCTAGTGGTCCATCAATTTTGTTGATCTTTTCAAAAAACTAGCTCCTGGATTCATT
Source organism: Homo sapiens (assembly GCF_000001405.40). Classification (NCBI taxonomy): domain Eukaryota; kingdom Metazoa; phylum Chordata; class Mammalia; order Primates; family Hominidae; genus Homo; species Homo sapiens. The sequence goes on along the minus strand of NC_000004.12, from coordinate 104,376,730 downwards.
GATTTTTTTGAAGGGTTTTTTGTGTCTCTATTTCCTTCAGTTCTGCTCTGATCTTAGTTATTTCTTGCCTTCAGCTAGCTTTTGAATGTGTTTGCTCTTGCTTCTCTAGTTCTTTTAATTGTGATGTTAGGGTGTCAATTTTAGATCTTTCCTGCTTTCTCTTGTGGGCCTTGTTTGCTATAAATTTCCCTCTAGACACTGCTTTGAATGTGTCCCAGAGATTCTGGTATGTTGTGTCTTTGTTCTCATTGGTTTCAAAGAACATCTTTATTTCTGCCTTCATTTCGTTATGTACCCAGTAGTCATTCAGGAGCAGGTTGTTCAGTTTCCATGTAGTTGAGTGGTTTTGAGTGAGTTTCTTAATCCTGAGTTCTAGTTTGATTGCACTGTGGTCTGAGAGACAGTTTGTTATAATTTCTGCTCTTTTACATTTGCTGAGGAGTGTTTTACTTCCAACTATGGGGTCAATTTTGGAATAAGTGTGGTGTGGTACTGGGGAGAATGTATATTCTGTTGATTTGGGGTGGAGAGTTCTGTAGATATCTGTTAGGTCTGCTTGGTGCAGGGCTGAGTTCAATTCCTGTTCTTTTTTTTATAGCTGAATGGTATTTTACTGTGTATATTTCTTGTACACTTAGGTTAATTCCATATCTTGGCTATCGTAAATAGTGCTGCAATTAACATGACGGTGCAGATATCTCTTCAACATACTGATTTCAAATCTTTTGGATACATACCCACAAGTAGGAATGCTGGATCATATGGTAATTCTATTATTGTTTTTTAGCAACCCCTGTACTGTTCACCATAATGGTGAACATTAATTAATTAATTCACATTCCTACCAACAGTATACAAAGGTTCTCTTTTCTCTACATTCTTGCCAACACTTCATCTTTTGATAAGAGCCATTATAACAGGTATTATGGTTTTAATTGCAATTGCCTGATGATCAGTGATGTTGAGCATTTTTTCATATACCTGTTAGTCTTTTGTATTTCTTTGTTTGAGAAATGTCTATGCTAGTTCCTTACCCATTTTTAAATTGAATTACTTATGTTTTTGCTATTGAGTTATGTTTTAAAATATATTTTGAATATTAACCCCTTATCAGATGTAAGTATTTTCTTCCATTCTGTAAGTTGTCTCTTCGCTCTGTTGATGGTTTCCTTTTTCATGTAGTTTTTATTATTTTGTTCATATTTTAAATTTTCAATAATTATTTTATTGTCTCTGAATTTTACTTTTCAAATAACCTCCTGTTCTTATTTCATGATTTCAATATTTCTTTTATTACTCTGGGTTTATTTTTTCAAAACCTGTTCGTTTCACTTAGTATAAAAGCCAAATTGCTTACATTTTTCTGATAGCCTTGTAATATAGTATACTCTCTAGCCATCCTTTACCTCTCTGATCTCATCTTCTACTGCATTTCTCTGTGCTCTGGCATTTTATTTGTACTGTTTTCCCTAATGTACTTTGGACCCAGCAGACACTTGCCGTTTCCTCTGTCCCCCAAATAGCTACATGACTTTCTCCCTCATCTGCATTAGGTCTTTAAATAAAGACCTAATGTCACATTCCCACAGATGCTCTACAAAACCTGTTTAATATTCTGCCCCACCTTCCCAGTTTCCCTTCTGTTGTATTTTTCTTCATCACAGTTGTTATTTTTTACTTATTTATCTTATTTATTGTCTGATTATCCCCAGTAGAATAGATGTTCTATTAGGGTGGGCTTTTTAATTTCAACAGACAAATCCCCAGTTTACAGAGCTTTCATGGAAAATATTGATGCTCAAATATTTTAAGGGATCTTGAAATCACATCTGCATCCAATGCACAGGAAAAAAAAACCTCTAAATTAAAACATAAGAGTTGTTTTGCAGAAAAACTTGCAAAATCTTAGGGATAACAAATAGTCATTCTTTGAGACTCCTTCAACAGGTATAGCATGAATTCTTTCCAACAGTAACATTTTCTGAGTCCAATGTTTATTTATTTTGATTCCTTCATTTCAACACCAACTTTTTGCAATCACCTTCAAAAATACACATCTTTTGACCCAGAATAATATTTAGTCTTTGTTGTTTTGATGGTCAATATTGAGATTAGCAAAATATTGCTCTCTTTATTCTTTATTTTTTCCTTCCTATTACATACCTTTACTCATTAATTATTAAACTTTCTCCTTTTTTGTCTTACAGTTTTTTCTTATTTACTCCATCTGCATTGATAAATACTTAGTGTTTTACAAGTTCTTATTCAGAATTTGTGAGGGAAGGGGAAGCGTGGAGATACAGAAATAGCCAAAGATATAATGTTCATTTCCTATCTATGTCCCTTTACTTGACTAGTTTAAAAACAAAAAGAAAAACAAAAATAATCTAACTTTTCTGTAAGTCTCTAAGATAATTCCATTATACTGTTGCTTTGCATACTTCATTTTGTTTACTAGTTTTATTAAAACTGTAGACAATTGAATTAAATATTTGATTTTACATGTGTGCTGCAAAGTGTGATGTTCTTTGTCATACAATATTAATCCCTTATTATCTTTACACCTCAGATGTCAAATAGAACAAAACTGAAACGTGCAAAAGTATTGTGGTGCCAGAGCAATGGTACATGTGTGGAATTGAGAGAAAAAGACCACTGTAGTAGGAACTGTGGTATGCAACCCTAAACTCCCTTACCCAGTTTCTGAAAGTGCTGCCAGCAGAGAGCCTACAACTGTCAGTCACTTTAGGGATTGCTTCATCTGTGGGAAACTATTTGCCCAATGCCAAATCCCTTCCTTGGATAGCCTATATCCAATGACTGATTAATGGATGACTTTGAAGTTTTGTCCACCTTTATACCCAACTCAGGACATTTGTGAAGCACCATGGAGTGAGCAAAAGCTGCCATTGAGCCTGCCTCTTAGCTTGAGTTCTCCCTCTGCCCAGTCCTACTCCCTTCCCATTCCTTCCATCATTGTCGACCCCAAGGACATTGTTTAGCGATTATTCTGCAGGCTAAATTTCCTGTCAGAGTCTGCTTCTTTGAACAACCAAACAACACCAGTTTTCAAAAGATCTTGTGCCTTCTTTCTGCAAATATTTAAACTGAACTTCAAGTCCCACATGCCTGAAATGTGATATTTTAAAAATCACTTCATCATAAAGTAATTGTTTTTCAATCCTTTGTATTAATAATAAAATTCATGGTCAGCAGTATTGTTTTATGTTGTTTTTATAAGGTAATATATTGTTTCCAAAAATGTTTCTAAAAAACATTCTGGCCAGGTGCGGTGGCTCACGTCTGTAATCCTAGCACTTTGAGAGGCTGATGCAGGCAGATCACGAGGTCAGGAATTCGAGACCACCCTGATCAACATGGTGAAACCCTGTCTCTACTAAAAACACAAAAATTAGCTGGGTGTGGTGGCATGTGTCTGTAGTCCCAGCTACTAGGGAGGCTGAGGCAGGAGAATTGCTTAAACCTGGGAGGTGGAAGTTGCAGTGAGCCGAGATCATGCCACTTCACTCCAGTCTGGCAGACAGAGTGAGACTCCGTCCCCCCCCACCAAAAAAAAAAAAAAGTTCTTTATCTCATTCATCTCCATTCAATAATTACTAAAGACTAGCAAGATACTAGATGCTATGGATACTGAAGTCAACAACTGGCTCTATCCTGAACAAGTTTACAATCCTGTGGAATTAGACTAATAAGTAAATCAAAAATTGTAATAATAAAATGCTACACAGAAATACACAGAAGTCTTCAGAAACATTCAGGTGTGAGATATAACATGAACTGAGAAGTTGGAGGTATGTCAGGGAAAGCTTCCATGAGGAAGAGATGCTGAATTTAAATACTGAAGCATTAGAAATATTAGGCATATTTCATTAATCAGGTTAAGTTAGGCTGTGCTGTGGTATAAATAAAGTGGACCAGTACCCTAAAGGTGTACTTCTTTATCATGCTACATTATGATGCAGAATGATGGCTCTTCAGGATAACTACCCTTTCAAGAGTCTTGGTTCCTTCAAGGTTCATCATCTTGGCTTCATCATCTCAGATTCCTTTTATTCCAAATGTACAAATGAGGAAGAGTAAGCTTGGCAGATGGAACAATGTTTTCACCTAACTCTGAAGGTTTTGTATATCATTTTGACCATAATTTTTTATCCAGACTACTTACACAATTCTATCCTCATGCAAGGGAGGTTGTGAAATATTTATAAGGAAGAGGAAATGGAATTTATGGAGTGAATAGAAAGCCTCTGAAACAGAAGTGTAAAAGTGGAAAGTGCTTCAGATGGAAGGAAAAGCAAGTACAAATACACATAGTTAAGAGACAGCATGGCACATATTGCATAAGAAGAGATAAGGAGGGGTACAGGATGAGGGCAAAGAGGTCATCAAGGATCACATTATAAAGGGGATTGTATGGCATGGTAAAGAATTTTTCCCTTACCTGAGACATAGAATTGTTATTAACATGTTTTAAGCAAGAGGGTGATATGATTATAATTCTTTTTATAGAATTGCTTTAGCCTTGCTGAGCACAGAATGGGGGAAGAAGGCAGAACAGGGCAACAAGTTTGCAGGCAGGGAGGTTAATAACAGTATATAATATGCTTTCTGTGGGATGTAAATGTTGTTACCTGATATTAACTATGTAACTGAATATTTATTTTTCAAACAAACACTCTAAGTGCTCCTATAATTTGTAGTCTACACAAAGAAATGATGTAGAGCTTCTTTATCATGCCAATTTATGATTTATCTCTTTGGAATAATTTGTTTCATACTGAAGTCTTATAAATTAGGTTTAAGTTCAGCTTTACAAAATAGAATCTTAAGCAAGAATGACTTAAATAATATACATGTACATTTCTCCCTAATGTGAAATAATTCTGTAGATTATTATAGCACTGGACTGATGGTTTTATGGGCATTGGGGGCCTGGGATTCTTTCTAACACACAGCATTGTCATCATAGTCCAAAATGACTGCTAAAGCTTCAGTCATTGCATCTGTGTTTCAAGTAACAGAAAATGAAACGAGGATTGTAAAAGGGTGCTATATCTTGGATATTTGACTCCCCTAAATCTCATTTGATCTCCAGTGTTGGAGGTGGGTCTTAATGGGAGGTGTCTGGGTCATTGGTGCTGTCCTCACAGTAATGAGTGAGTTCTCATTCTATTAGTTCCTTCGTGAACAGGTGGTTAAAAAGAGACGGGTGTCCTCCTCCATTCTGTCTTGCCTTTTCTCTCACCATGTATGTCTGCCCACACTGGCTTCCCTTCCCCTTCTGCCGTGAGTGGAAGCAGCCTGAGGCCTTCACCTGAAGCAGATGCTGGTGCCTTGCTTCTTGTACAGCCTACAGAACCATGAGCCACGTAAATCTCTTTTCTTTATATATTCCCAGGCCCAGGTATTCCTTTGTAGCAGCACTAATGGACCAAGACAAAGGGTATACCTCCATCTTTGCAAGAAGACTTCTTGGAAGTTCCGTATCACTTATCCACTTGTACCTCAGTGACCAGACTTACTCACATGACCACACCTAGTTGAAACAGAAGTTGTTTCTTTACTTGTGTGGCAATGTGCTCAGCTAAAATAAAAATTGTATTAATTTGTTAGATAATTGGAAAAAGGATATTTGCTAAGGAACCAGAAGTCTCTGCCACTACCTTTTCAATTAGCTACCATTACCGTTTTAAGTTTATTTTATTCACTACCCCACTATAGTGTTGCTTTATGAAGATTCAGATCCCCATTTATTGCTTTACTAGGAAATACTAATTCTAGGAAAGAATTCATTCTCCTGGCCTTCCATGTGGTGAGCTTTCTTTACAAGGCCTCTCTTTACACCATTCCCACTGTTCAGGTAAGGAATAAATTGCTAATTGGTGGTTGAAAAAGTATGATATTCATTATCCAGGTTTCTTTTCCTGGATAGAGGTAATCTAAAAATAAAAAAAAAAAACACCTTTGAGATTAACTTTCATTTCTCTCCTCTGTGCTTTTGATCAGTATGAGGCAAGGATCTTGTGTGAGTTTGTTCTTCAAATCTTGAGTGAGCTATCTTATGGTCTAGGCTTACAGATGGGATTAATGGTGGTGGGAACATTTGAAAACACATTTGGGCACAGATTTAAAGCCACAGTCTTTAATCATTTTTCTATTGTAATTGAAGCTCATCTTTTGATATTTTCTTTCTGGATTTTATTTTTCAGTGGGTCATAACTTAAGGAAGGTGATAGGCACATGGTTTGCAGCTCTCTAATTCCCCATTATTCAGGAGATTCTGACCAGAGATTCCAAAAAACAAAGCTTATAGGGGTCAGGTCAAGAATGTAATGAATAGAGCTACCTCATGAAAGAAGACAGACAAACTTAAGAGTCATATAAAGAGGAGGTGGCTTCTCAGCTCTAGTTGATGACTACCAGGTAGAAATTTTGATTTACAGTTATGCAATTTTTCTGTTTTGGGGAAGAAACTAGAAATGTAGATTTTCATATTAAATTACCTGGTTGTGTAAAATATTCATCAAATTTAACAATCAAAGAAATACTGTGTGAACAAAACAAAACCTGTCTGTAGAGTCCCAAGGTAACAGTTTATTCTGAAAGCCTATCATTGTCTAAAAATCCCACAGTGTTTGTTCAAGCAGGGTGGGTTATTATTTTCCTAGTACAAGGGGTTCATATGATTGTGACTAGGCATTTTAGAATGGGGAATAAAATATGACTTTAGAGAGAAAGTCCCCTAGCAGTATGAAAATATCCATGGCTAAAAGTAAGGACTACTCAATGCAGTCTGTGTTTAAAGAAACACACTGGTTGGAAAGAGAATTTGCCTTTGACATTTTTTTTCTTTTAATGATATTCCCCTCATCCCCTTGTTTGGTAGTAGTGACTGAATTGTATATAATTATAGCTAAGAAAATGATAGTGTTTAAAAACTTTGTCAAAAGCTTATTTACCACAGATATTCAGGAGGTAGGAAAGAGGTAATATGAATATTCCTACAGTTGAAGCAGCTAGCCTTGTTTCAGAGGCATAGTAGGACTTTAAAAATGGAAACCAGCTAAGGCATTGTCATAGAAAACATTGCTAAGACTCTGCTCTGGCATGGACAGCTCACAGGAGCAAAAAAAAAAAAAATAAAAAATAAAAAATAAATTGGCGCATCCTCTCTCTTACACTCTCTTTCTTCTTCTTTCTAAAAGAGAGAGTATATTTCCAAGAGTCATTGCATATTTTTAAAAATTTCACCACACATTCATGCATCGATATCTTTTTTTTTTAAAATCCAACCTTAGAACACAGGGCTAAGTTTATTTTTTCAAATAATGGAGGTCAGGGATAAGCAATAGAGGTTGCAGCCCTGCTCCGGGAGGAATGCTCACATTTCATTACCCAGTGATTTCAGTTAGTGAGGTACCAAATCCAAAATTTTATATAAAATCTACACTATTAATTTCACCTTATTTCTCCAATTGTATCTCATTTTTATGTTATATAAAATGTTCAATTCTGACATGTAGAAAAATCAAAAATTTAAGTATGTGAGAATCAGTCTATGGAATACAGAATTAAATAGAAACATAATCATTTTAGTGTGACTTGTATAGAAAGCTAATATTATTCCAGAACCAAATATGTTATTATTGCTTATTATATTAAGTCCATTACATCATTGCTGATACATTTATTTTTTTAACATTCAGCTGATCCAATCAGATCTAATGATGAAAGTACTATCAACAAATATGTAACATTTCCTTTGGTTATTCCTGTTTCATTAATGGGCATTTACCTTTGACTTAATCTTATTCCTAAATCTTAAGGACAGCATAGGAAAAATGAAACCTAATACTGTTATACTTTTAAGATCATTCTGCTCTTTTGCTCTATGTGTCACTTGACAGTTCAACGACAATTAGACACTCGATAACTGAAAAACTTGTTTATGTTGAAAAAAAGTAGAGTTCTATTCTTGGACAGCACATTTATGCACACACTTTTTTGAGACATGGCATATTGAGGGAATTTATGTGCTCCTATTCTATAATACAGGTGGTGAGGTCAATTTCACTGTAAGGTACAACCTCTCAACATAGCTTTTGGGGGCTTGTTGACATTTCTTAAGCAGGGAGTTATTCATATACCCCATCAGTCCTTATTCCCAGCAGTCAGGACTGCCACATTCAGCAGTTTACAAGAGATTTAGAGTAGATGATCTAATAAATTAACCCTGGTTTTGCACACAGGCACATCAGGGAATATCTTAAGATCTTCAGGTTCTGCATCTTGCCACCCTTCAGAACTTGCTTACTACATGAGCAGTATGAACAAACTATGAGTTGACAATTTGTTGAAACTTTTTCACAACTTCTTCAGCCTGGGATGCTGTCTTCTGGGTGCCACGTTTATATCTTCTTGGCCTGCCCCTCTCTTCTCTGACCCCCACCCAAAACTCCAATATTCCTCACCTCTGTCAGATAACCATTTCCCAACTTCCCACCATTTGTCTTGACTCCATAACATTTCGGCATGGGTATGTAAGACATAGAAGTTATTAAATAGGGACCTGTGAGGCATAATCCATGTTTGAAAATTGATTATGTTTGCCCTTCTAGGTTGCCTCTGCAGTGTTCTCATGTTGCCTCACTCTGTAAGAATCCATATGGTTTCATTGTTATTTTTTCCTGAAACTTCAGGTAAAAGTAGTCTAAGGTAAGATGAGTTTCTGTAGGAAACCCCAAAGCAAGTTTTGGAAATTAGATTACTCATTTGTTTCCATGACCTAGGGACTATCTAATAGAAATATATGACAAGCCACACATGTAATTTTAAGTTTTCTAGCAGCCACATTAAAAATAGTGAAAACACGTAGAACAAACTTAATACATTTTGTTTCAGTGCATGCATAAAATTTATGATTTCAACATGTAATCAGGATTAAATTTATTAATAATATACTTTAAATATTTTTATAATAAATATCTAAAACCAAATGTGTATTCTACACTTATAGGAAACCTCAATTTGGATAACAATTTTTGTCAGAAAAATTGGATCTGTGTCTAGATTTCATAAACTTTATATTTAAAAAGTTAGATACCATTAACTAAATTGTACCAAGCATATCGAAAAATTTTCCAATAACTAAAATGTATACCAAAAACTCATTTTCTTTTCAGTATTTTAGGTTATGAGCTGATAACATTTAATTATAAATATGGATAAAATATATCAAAATATAAATTGAGCAGCATCACATAATCATGTAAGCTAAGAACTGTACTTTTTATTGTTCTTTCTTTTTTTTATCTTTTATTTTAGGTTCAGCAGTACATGTGCAGTTTTGTCACCTATATTTGTTATATAGGTAAATTGCATGTTACAGGGGTTTGGTGTACAGATTATTTCACATCCAGGTAATAAGCATAGTACTTGATAGGTAGCTTTTCAATCTTTACCCTCCTCCCACCCTCCACCCTTAAGTAGGCCCTGGTGTCTGTTCTTCTCTTCCTTGTGTCCATGTGTATTCTGCTACACTCCCACTTAGAAGTGAGAATATGCAGTATTTGGTTTTCTCTTCCTCCATCAGCTGGCTTAGGTTCATGGCCTCCAGCTCTATCCAGGTTGCTGCAAAGAACATGACCTCATTCTTTTTTACGGCTGCATAGTATTCCATAGTGTATATGCACTACATTTTTTTTCTTTTTAATTTTTATTTTTATTTTAAGTTCTGGGGTACATGTGCAGGATGTGCAGGTTCATTACATAGTGCCATAGTGGTTTCCTGCACCTATCAACCTCTCACCTAGCATATTTTCTTTATCCAGACTGACATTGATGGACATTTCGGTTGATTCCATGTCTTTGCTATTGTGAATATTGCTGTGATAAACATATGCATGCATTTGTCTTTACAGCAGAATGATTTACATTCCTTTGGGTATATACCCAAAAATAGGATTGCTGAGTGAAATGGTACTTCTATTTCAAGTTCTTTGAAAAATCACCAAACCTCTTTCCACAGTGGCTGATCTAATTTACATTTCTACCAGTAGTGTGTAACCATTCCCTTTTCTCTGCAACTTTACCAGCATCTATTGTTTCTTGACTTTTTAATAATAGCCATTCTGACTGGTGTGAGATAGCATCTCATTGCGGTTTGGATTTTCATTTCTCTAATGATTAGTGATGTTGAACATTTTTTCATATGTTTCTTGGCCACTTGTATGTCTTTTTTTGAAAAGTATCTGTTTATGTTCTTGGCCATTTTTAATGAAGTCCTTTTTTTATTGTTGCATTACATTTTTTATAGATTCTGGATATTTCACCTTTGCTGGATGCATAGCTTGTGAATATTTTCTACCATTCTGTAGGTTGTCTTCTTACTCTGTTGAACTATTTAGTTTAATTAGATCCCACTTGTTAATATTTCTTTGTTGCAATTGCTTTTTGGGATGTAACCAAAAATTCTTGTCTATGGTTGCTGTAAAAAAGGATATTGTCTAAGTTTTCCTCTAGGATTTTTCTAGATTGATGTCTTACATTTTAATTTTTAATATATCTTTATTTCTCCTTCACTTATAAAGTTTAGTTTTGCAGTATATGAAATCCTTGATCAAAATGTCTTTTATTTAAGGTTGCTTAAAATAGGCCCCCAATCTCTTCTGGCCTGTGAGGTTTTCTGCTGAGAGATCCATTGCTAGCCTGATGGGTTTCCCCTTATACATGACCGGACCCTTCTCTCTTGTTGCCTTTATAATTTTTTTTCTTATGCACTGACCTGCATGAATCTGATGAGTATTCACCTTGGGGACAGTTGTCTTGTATATTATCTAGCTGGGGTTCTCCGGATTTCTTGAATTTGCATGTCATCCTCTAGTGAGATTGGGGAAATTTTTGTGGGCTCTATCCCCAAATATATTTTTCAACTTGCTTATACTCTTTCTATTTCTCTCAGAAATGCCAATAAGTGATATATTTGGTATCTTTACATCATCCTATATTTCTCAGAGGTTTTGATCATCTTCAAAAATTCATTTTTGTTTATTTTTGTCTGCCTGAGTTAATTCAAAGAACTAGTCTTTGAGGTCTGAGGTTATTTCCTCAGCTCATTCTGTTTTCCTGTTAATACTTCTGGTTGTATTATGAAATTCTTGTATTGATTTTTTAGCTCTAGAGATTTAGTTCTTTCTTAAAATAACTATTTCATCTTTCAGCTCTTGAATCATTTTACTGGATTCCTTAGATTGGCTTTGAAATATCTCTTGAATCTCAGTGAGCTTCCTTACCATTCAGATGATGAATTCTTTGTGATTTCAGTCATTTCAAATTGGTTAAGAATCACTGTTGGGGAGCTAGCGGACTGGTTTGGAGGTAAGGACACATTCTGGTCTTTTGAATTGCCAGAGTTCCTGCACTGATTCTTTCTCATCTAGGAGGGCTTCTCCTTTAATTGTGGTATAATGGTGTAAGTGGAGCCAATCAGTTGGCTTTGTTTCTAGATGTTTTCAGAGGGCCAAGGCTATGTACAGGGTTTTTATTGTTGTTGCATTATTGCCCTTGGTTTCACAGAGGGGTATATTTAGCAAAATATTTTTGGTGTTCTAGTTCGGGCTGTGATCCAGTAGATGACACTTAAAAGTAATGGCTGGTAGAGAGGCTCTTAGCCATGCAGCTCCTTTGTATTTCCTCACATTTACAACAATATTCTGTGATGCAGGGAAAAGAGAGGTGATCCCCTCACCAGGTCCACTCACGGGCCTCTGAGAAGTCCCCTCCAATCACTGGCACTGCACCTGCATTTCTTTTGTTAGGTGTTCAAGGCCATGGAGCTCCCTGGGGCAGAGGCCTCCACGGGGAGACAGGCTACACACTTTCCAGACTGGCCCTGCAGAAGGAGGCACACCCTTCCCCATGCTGGCCTACAAACCCATGCACTTCACCCCTCTCAGTGCTCTGAGAGTGTGGGCTCCTCCCTTGCTTGTGTGCTAGCCCCATATCTGAGCTCAGCACTCCTGAGCTCCATGCCACAGCCCTGGGCTGTCTGGACTGGTTCTGGCCCCATCCTCCAGACCCTTACGGTTGGGTTCCAGGTGAGCTAGGAGATCCAATGTACTCTCAGGCTGCCAGGAATGTGCTCAAGTAGAGCAAATCACCCAGACTAAGCAGCAGAGACTGCACTGTGCACATGTTCTTGCTGAATGGCAAATCAGGGGCTCTGGGAGGAGCTGGCAAGCAAGAGGGCCTGTAGAACAGATGAGTCTTGGCTCCCCATTGGCTGAAACCTTGTCTCTGCCTATTCACAAGGGAAATTACCCTGCCATCTCAAACATTCATGGGAGATGTGGTGTATTAGTCTATTCTCACATTGCTCTAAAGACTGGCCAACTTATAAAGAAAATAGGTTTAATTGACTCAAGTTTCACAAGATGTATGGAAAGCATGGCTGGGGAGCCCTCAGGAGACTTACAATCATGGCAGAAGGGCAAAGGGGAAGCAAGCACCTTCTTCACATGACAGACAGGGAGAGAGAGAGAGGAGGGCGGAGCTACATACCTGTAAACAACGAGATCTTATGAGAACTCTATTAACAGGCAGCACTAGGGGAGTGGTGCTAAACCATTAGAAACCACCCCAATGATCCAATCACCTTCCACCAGGCCCCACCTCCAACACCTGGGATCACAATTCAACATGAGATTTGGGTGGGGACACAGAGCCAAATCATATCATGTGGGTTCTCCTGTAGCTAGAATCCTAGAGGTCTGTGTGAGGGTGAGCAGTCCTACAATCCATTCACTGACTCCTTCACCCAGGAGCTGTTCAGGGCCGGGAACTTGCCCTGCCATTCAGGTACCCTGGGCAGAGTTTCCAGCTTTCTCCTTCATCCTCAGTGTCTGCATTATATCTATATCCACTCTCAGCATTTTCTTTCTGAAGATCTATTCAAATTATGTTGGTTTGCTAGAAACTTTGATAGCTCACAGTGGGAGTAATGCTTCCTAGCTATGCCTAGTCAGCGATCTTGTTCTCCCTTCTATTTTTTTTTAAATGAGTATTTAAGACATTTCATAGTTGGCCAAAATAACAAGCTTACATTCTATAGAATTTATTAATATTTTGGGAGGGTTTTTAATTTAGATTTTAGTCCACAAATTTAATTAATTAATTTTTGACAGCTGAGAAGAAACTTCCTATATTCACTATGTATGTGCAGAAAAATATTTTTTTAAGCAGGATTATTAAGATATAATTAACATATAATAAAATACATATATTTAAAGTGTACAAATTTTAAAAACTGAAATACACCTACACCCATGGAACCATCACTATAATCAAGATAATGAACATATTCATCACTCCAAGAAGTGCCTATTTATGATATTTTTTCTTCCCATATCATTTCCCACTTCCATTCCTAGATAACCATTGATTTGCTTTCTGGCAAAAAAATCAGAAAACCAGCAACAATTTTTTTCTCTATAGAGCTAACAATTTTTTTCTCTATAGTAAATATTTTGTGCTATGGAGTGCATATGCTACTCAACTCTGAAGTTGTAACACAAGCACAGCCCATAGAAAGTACATAAATTAATAGACATACTATGTTCTAATAAAATTTTATTTATAAAATAAGGTAGCCACACAGATTTGGCTCTCTGGGACACAGTTTGCCAAGCACTGCTACAGATTACTTTATAATTTACAAAAATGTATGTAAATAGAATCAGGAAGTATGTTCTCATCTTTTAGTCTGGGTTTTTTCACTCAGAGGTTGTTTTTGTGGCTTGTCTTTTATTTATTTTAATTGTGTCTTCCAAAGAGCCGAAGTTTTAAATTTTGATAAAGATCAATTTATCCACATGTCATTTTAAGGATGTCCCCTTTGCTTTCATATCTAAGAAATATTTGTCTAATTCAAGGTCACAAAGATTGTCTTCTATATTTTCTTCTAGAATTTTTATAGTTTTAGGTTATACATTTAAGTTTATGCTCTATCTTGAGTTAATTTACTTACATATGGATATTCACCTACAGATTCCTCACTGAATAGCCTTTGCATCTTTGTTGAAAATCACTTATCCATATATGTGTAGGTCAATTTCCATACTCAATTTTCTCTTCCATTGATCTATTTGTCTATCTTTATGTCAAGAATAGTTTTGGTCCTGATGCCTGGTGTAGTAATATGTGCCTATAGTCCCAGCTACTGGAGAAACTGAGGAAGGAGGATCCCTTCAGCCTAGGAGTTGTAAGCCAATCTGGGCAACATAGCAAGACTCTGTCCTTAAAAAAAATCGTATGCATTCTAAGCAGAGGGATGACTATTTACAATCCGCTAACTTTGGGAATAACTTGTTACATAGCAATAGAGGCCTAATACAATGGTTTACATTTACATAAGTATCACTATAATGCATACTAGCTACATAACATTTTCAAATAAATTACAATGTGAAATTGATGTACATAAATAATCATTTGAATTGAATCAGTCAGTTGATACCAACTAGATGGATTATCTGTGTATGTGTAATACCAGAAATATCTGGTTATATTTGACACTAGAAACTACACATGCATGTAGCATTTATAACTATACAACAATATCATCTTACAGTATGTGAAGCATAGTCCAACCAAAATAGAAAAGCTATGTTTAATGTTAAAATATTTTACACTGCTTTCATTTTAAAACATAAATTAAAATTAATTAAAATAAAATTAATAAATCAGTTGCTCTTTCTCCAGTTTCACATTTCAATTGGTCAATTGCCACATGTACTTAGTGGTGATCAAGGTACTAAACATGATAGATTTAGTATGTGTTATACTAGGTTAAACTATCTAATTCATAGGTGGTTAGATATATAGATATGGTTATTTTAATATCTCATAGAAACACAAAGAAAGATTCAGAGACTAACATCACATTTCCTTTTCTTATTCCATATTATTATGCATTAATTAAATCAGCTACTACTCTACTGTGTATATTTGAGTGATAATAAACTACAACGTCTGCCTCATACAGTAAAAAAGAGCTTTAAATTCTTGTCAACTACAAAAAAGGCAAAGTGGTCAAGGCTAACGAGGCTCAAAGACAATGATGGACAGATGCAATTTTCGAGAATTTTCCTGTTCGGAAAGAACACAGGAGGATGTTAAAGGGCTCACAAAGGCTAATATTTCATGGCAAAAAAGACGATTTGTCTTATTCCTCATGTCCTGCATTGCTCTTTCTGAACAAGGATTTTTTGCACAGGTTATGTGTCTCTCTTGTTCAGGTCAGACTTTAGAGTGCTTGTGGCATTAATTTAATAGTGAGAGAACATGCTGGAATTCTCTAATGCTATTCACCTCTAGAAAAAAGGCAATGCATCACGGTTTAGTTCCCTTATGGCACTGTCTTATTTGGTCAGATAGTCATTGTATAAAGAATACGCTGACACTTTTTGATGTGGAAGCTGTCAAGGTAGTCTGTTTGGGTCATATCCGCATGGGAAGCATTAAGTTAAATGTTGCACAATTATTAAAAAAAATTTAGGACATAGAGGTTTTTTTCCTTTTTCTTTAGCTATTGAGATTTTAATCAAAATCACACCAGTATTTCTTTTTAATTTGAGGTGCATAAATACAGGTAAAATTCTATGTTTATGGAAACAAATCAGTATGGATTTGAATATACAATGTGACATGGAAGTGCAAAATTATGAATTATTTATTTATCTGAATACAACTTGCGGATGAAATCTATTACGATTTAATATTTAGAAATTCAGAACTTAAACTTAGTCACTGCCCAGGTCAAAAAAATAATCTATTTTAAATTAATTTAGAAAATTAAGTGTTTCTTGAATCTACCCTTTGTAAAAATAGATTTGGGGGCACAAGTGCAGATTTCTTACATGCATATATTGCATAGTGGTGAAGTCTGGGCTTTTTAGCCATCACCCAGATAGTGAACATTGTACCCAATAGGCAATTTTTCAACTCTCACCCGGCTCCCACCCTCTCACTTTTGTAGTCTCCAATGTCTGTTACTCCACTCTGTATGTCCATGTATACACATGTTTAGGTTACACTTATAATTGAAAACATGCAGTTTTCCCTTTCTGTTTCTGAGCATTTTTGCATAGGATAATGGCCTCCAATTCCATCCGTATTCCTGCAAAAGACATGCTTTCATTACTTTTTATAGCTGAGTAGTATTCCATGGTATATATATACCACACTTTTTTAGCCAGTCAACCATTGACAGATACTTAGGTTGATTCCATACCTTTGTGATTGTGAATACTGCAGCAATAAACATACTAGTGCAGGTATCTTTTTGATGTAATGATTTCTTTCCCTTTGGGTATATACTTGGTAATGAGATTGCTGGATCAAATGGTATTTCTACTTTTAGTTTTGCATAAACTTTGTACTAACTTACATTCCCGCCAATGGTGTGTAAGTGTTCCCCTTTCTCCACTTCCTCACCAGTATCTGTTGTTTTTTTGACTTTTTACTAATAGCCATTCTGACTGGTGTAAGATGGATCTCATTGTGTTTTTTTAAGTATAGATATATTTATTCACTTAGTGGCTATAACACATCAAGTGAGTGAATTAGCATGGTAACTAGAATCACATAAAATATATGCATTAAATTGGAAAATAATTGACAAACATGAAAACTTTATTTTCAGTTCTTATTATGATCCTTTCATTATTCACTCCAAGATTTGTTGTAGATTTTATACCAGACATTTCCATTTACTTTTTTGTTTCTTTTTTTTAAGACAGAGTCTTACTCTGTCACAATCTTGGCTCACTGCAACCTCCACCTCACAGGTTCAAGTGAGTCTTCTGCCTCAGCCTCCTTGAGTAGCTGGGATTACAGGTGCCCACCACCACACCGAGCTAATTTTTAAAAATTATTTTTAGTAGAGATGGGGTTTCACTATGCTGGCCAGGCTGGCCTCGAACTCCTGTCCTCAAGTGATCTGCCCACCTCAGCCTGCCAAAATGCTGGGAATACAGGCATGAGCCACGGTGCCCAGCCCTATTGTCTTTTTTGTTCGTGCATTTTTAAATATTTAATTTTTGTGGTTACACAGTAGGTGTGTATATTTCTAAGGTACAGGAGATATTTTGATATAGACATGCAATGTATAGTAATTACATCAGGGTAAATGGAGTAGCCATCACCTCGAGCATTTTTTCTTTGTGTTATGAAGAATCCAATTATACTCTTTTAGTTACTTTAAAATCTACAACGTATTATTGATTATAGTCAATCTGTTGTGCTATTAAACACTAGATCTTATTCATTCTTTCTGTTTTCTTTCACCCATTAACCAACCCCACTTCCCTCCAACACCCACCATTACTCTCCCCAGCCTCTGGTAACCATCCCTCCACTCTGTCTCCATGAGTTCAAATGATTTAATTTTTAGCTCCCACAAATAAGTGAGAACATTCAAATTTATCTTCCTGTGCCTGGATTATTTCACTTAAAATAATGATCTCCAGTTCCACCCATGTTGTAACAAATGACACGACCTCATTCTTTTTATGGCTAAATAATACTCCATTGTGCATATATACCAAATTTTGCTTATCCATTTATCTATCAATGGACACTTAGTTTGCTTCCTCATCTTGGCTATAATGATTAAGTCTGCAATAAAGATGGGAATGCAGATATCTCTTCAATATACTGATTTCCTTTCTTCTCATCTAGCCGTGGGATTGCCAGATCATATGGTAGCTCAATTTTTGCTTTTTGAGGAACCTGTAAACAGTTCCTCAAAGTTATTGTACTAATTTGCATTTCTACCAACAGTATACTAGGGTTCACTTTTCCCCATATCCTCACCAACATTTGTTATTGCCTGCCTTTTGGATAAAAGCCATTTTAAAAGGGGTGAGATGATATCTCATTGTAGTTTTCATTGGCATTTTTCTGATGACCAATAATGTTGTGCACCTTTTCAAATACCTGTTTTCCATTTCTATGTCTTCTTTTGAGAAATGGCTATTCAGATCTTGTGCCCATTTTTAAATCAGATTATTAAACTTTTTCTTATAGCGTGGTTTGAGCTCCTTAAATATTCTGGTTAAAAATTCCTTGTTTGATGGGTAGTATGCAAACATTTTCTCCCATTCTGAGGGTTGGCTCTTTACTTTGGTGATGGTTTTCTTTTCTGTGTAAAAGCTTGTTAACTTGATATGATACGATTTGTCCATTTTTGCTTTGGTTGCCTGTGCTTGTGGGGGTATTACTAAAGAAATCTTTGCCCAGTCTAATGTCCTGGAGAATTTCCCCAAGGCTTTCTTTTAGCAGTTTCATAGTTTGAGGACTTAGATTTAAATGTGTAATCCATTTTGATTTTTTATATGGTGAGAAATAGAGATCTAGTTTCATTCTCCTGCATGTGGATATCCAGTTTTCCCAGCACCATTTATTGAAGAGACTGTCCTTTCCTTAATGTATGTTCCTGGCACCTTTGTCAAAAATGAGTTCAAGGTAAATTTATGGATATGTTTCTGGGTTTTCTATTCTGTCTCATTGGTCTATGTGTCCATTTTTATGCCAGTTTCATGCTGTTTTAGTTACTATATTTTTGTTGTATAATTTGATGTCAGGTAATGTGTTTCCTCCAGTTTTGTTCTTTTTGCTTTTGGCTTTTCTGGGTGTTTTGTGGTCCATATAAACTGCAAAATTGGTTTTTCTATTTCTGTGAAGAATGTCTTTGGTATTTTGATAAGGATTGAATTTAATCTGTAGATTTCTTTGGGTAATAAGGATTTTTCAAAAATATTGATTATTCCAATCCATGAATATGGACATCTTTCCATCTATTCGTGTCTTCATTTTTACTTTTTGGTGTCCTCTTCAATTTCTTACATCAAAATTTTATAGTTTTTTTTTAATTGTAGAGGTCTTTCATTTCTTTGGTTAATTTCATTCCTAGGTATTTAATTTTATTTGTAATTATTATAAATGGGATAACTTTCTTGATTTCCTTTTAGGATTGGTCATTGTTGGTATATAGAAATCTTACTGTTTTTTGTAGTTAATTTTGTATCCTGAACTTTACTAAATTGGTTGAGCAGTTGTAATAGTTTTTTGATGGGGTCTTTAGGTTTTTCCAAATGTAAGATTAAATAATCTTCAAAATGATAATTTGACTTCTTCTCTTAATATTTGGATGTCTTTTATTTCTTTCTCTTGTCAGATTGCTTTAGCTAGGACTTCTAGTATTATGTTAAATAGGAGTAGTGAAAGCAGGCATCCTTGTGATCCAGATCTTAGAGAAAAGGATTTCAGTTTTTCCCGTTCAGTATGATTGCAGTGGGTCTGTGGTATAAGGCTTTGATTATGTTGAGGTATGTTCCTTCTAGTATTTTGATGGTTTTTATCATGAAGAAATGTTGAATTTTATCAAATGAATTTTTGGCATCAGTTGAAATGATCATATGGTTTTTATCCTTCATTCTGTTGATACAATGCATCACATTGACTGATTTGCATGTGTTGAACCATCCTTGCATCACTGGGATAAATACCACTTGGTCATGATGATTGATCTTTTTAATGTGTTGTTGATTTCAGTTTGCTACTATTTTGTTAAGAATTTTTGCATCAATATTCATCAGGGATATTGGCCTGTATTATTGTTTTTTATGTGTTTCTGTCTGGTTTGGTATCAGAGTAATATTGACCTCATAGAAGAAGTTTGGAAGTTTTCCCTTCTCTTCTATTTTTCAGAATAGTTTGAGTAGGATTGGTATTAGTTCTTTAAATGGTAGAATTCAGCAGTGAATCCATCGAGTCCTGTATTAGGGTTCTCTAGACGGACAGAACTAATGGAATATATATATATATATATATATATATATATACACATATATATATATGTATGTGTATATATATATATTTCTTGAAATAAATGATAATGGAAATACAACATACCAAAACCTGTGGGATAAAGAAAAACAATACTAAGAGGGAATTTTATACCTATAAGTGCTTACATCAAAAAAGGTAGAAAAACATTAAATAAACAACTTAATGATGCACCTTGAAATCTAGGCGGGGCATGATTTCTCATGCCTGTAATCCCAGCACAATGAAAGGGATATATATATATATATATATGTTTATTAAGCATTAATTTACATGATCACAAGGTCCCACAACAGGAGGTCTGCAGGTTGAGGAGCAAGGAGAGCCAGTCCAAGTTCCAAAACTGAAGAACTTGGAGCCTTGTGTTTGAGGGCAGGCAACATGCAGCATGGGAGAAAGATGTCGGCTAGGAGGCTAGGCCAGTCTCTCTTTTCACATTTTTATGCCTGCTTATATTCTAGCTGTGCTTGCAGCTGATTAGATGGCACCCACTCAGATTAAGGGTGGATATGCCTTTCCCAGCCCACTGACTTAAATGTTAATCTCCTTTGGCAACACCTTCACAGACACACTTAGAATCAACACTTGATACCCTTCAATCCAATCAAGTTGACACTCAGTATTAACCATCACAAGTTCTGAGCTTTTCTTTGCTGTGAGACTTTTTATTATGGCTTTGACTTCATTACTTGTTATTGATTTGTTCAGATTTTGAATTTCTTAATGGTTCAATCTTGGTAGGTTGTATATGTCTATGAATTTATTTGTTTCTTCTAGATTTTTCAACTGATTGGCATATAGTTGATGATAGTAGCCTCTAATGATTCTTTGAATTTCTTTGGTATCATTTGTAATATCTCCCTTTCATCTCTGATTTTATTTATTTGGATTCTCTCTCTGTTTTTCTTTAATCTAGCTAAAAGTATGTCAATTTTATTTATCTTTTCAGAAAACAACTTTCATTTTGTTCATCTTTGGTATAGCTTTCTACATATCTATTTCATTTATTTCTTCACTGATACTTATTATTTTCTTTCTCTTACTAAGAAGTTTTTTTTGGTCTTGTTTTTCTTTTCATTTTTTTCTTTTCTTTTCTTTTCTTTCGTTTTTTCAAGTTCTCACTATGTTGCCCAGGCTTGTCTTGACTCATTGGCTCAAGTAATCTCACTTCAGCTTCTCATTGTGCTGGGATTACAGGCACGAACAACCACACCCAACCTAGTTTTTTAAGGTGCATCTTTAAGTTGTTTATTTGATGTTTTTCTACCTTTTTTGAGGTAAGCACTTATAGGTATAAAATTCCCTCTTTGTACTGCTTTTGCTTTATCCCACAGGTTTTGGTATGTTGTGTTTCCATTATCATTTATTTCAAGAATAATTTTTCAGTTTCCTTCTTAATATCTTCATTGACCCATAGGTCATTCAGAAGTATATTGTGTAATTTTCATGTGTCTGTATAGTTTCCAAAACTCCTCTTTTCTTTTTTTTCAAGATGGAGTGTCACTCTGTTGCCCAGGCTGGAGTGCAGTGGCATGATCTTGGCACACTGCCACCTCCGAGTAGCTGGGATTACAAGCCCCTGCCACCATGCCTGGCTAATTTTTGTATTTTTAGTAGAGAGGGGATTTCACCATCTTGGCCAGGCTGGTCTTGAACTCCTGACCTCATGGTCCACCTGCCTTGGCCTCTCAAAGTGCTGGGATTACAGGTGTGAGCCAGTGTGCCCAGCTCCTCTTCTTTTTGAGTTCCAGTTTTATTCTACTCTGGTCAGAGAAGATGCTTGATATTGTTTCAATTTTTTAGAATGTTTTAAGAGTTGATTTGTGATGTAACATATTATTAAGAGTGATCTGTGTGCTGAGCAGAAGAATGTATTTTAAAGCTGTTAGATGAAATGTTCCTTCAATACCTATTAAGTTCATTTGGTCTATACTGTAGAATAAGTCCAGTGTTTCTTTGTTTATTTTATGTCTGGATGTTCTATCCAATTATGAAAGTTGGGATCTGAAGCCTCCAGCTATTATTGTACTGGGATCTATCTCTCTTTAGCTCTAATAATACTTGCTTTAGTATACGGATATTCCAGTATTGAGTGCATATATATTGGCAATTGTTATATTCGCTTATTAGATTGACCCTTTGTCATTATATAATGACCTTTTTTGTCTTTTCTCATAATGTTTCTTGAAATCTATTTTTTTCTGATATAAGTATGCTACTGTGGCCCTGGGGGCCCTGCCCTGCTGTCTGCCCAGCCCATGCCATCTGTGGGGTGTGGCAGGCTCCCTCACACCTTACCTCCCTCTGTGTCAATGAACCTGGGGCCCCCTCCCTACTTCCTTCATACAGGACCCTGACCTCTGGCCAGCAGGGTGGCCCTGGGCCCATGTCTAGGGCACTAGGGCAGGGTCTGTGAGAGAGACTGGGGTGACACTAGGGCCTGGTACAGGTGAGGGAGGTGCACACTGGAGGGGAAAAGGGGCCCCCATCCACCTGTGCAGCTGGTGGGCAATGCTGTGTTGTTATGTCGTTGTAATATAAATACAGATTTTTATATTTTCATATGTCATATATTTTATGTTATTGTAGTATAAATATGGGTTTTATACCTCAAAAACACATTTTAAAATCGATGTTGATTTAAAGTTTGTTTTATAAGACATAGATATAGCTACTTCCGCTCACTTTTGTTTTTTATTTGCATGGAATATCTTTATCCACTCCTTTACTTTGGGTCTGCGAATTTCTTTAACCATCAGGTGGGTTTCTTGGAGACAGCATATGAATGAATCTTATTTTTTAAAAATATACTCTCCTCAGTCTATATCATTTAAATGCAGCATTTAGTTCATTAATTTTCAAGGTTAATATTGATACGGCTTTTTTCCTGTCATGATGTTAATGGTTATTTTTTTTGTAGTCTCAATTGTATGTTTACTTTATAAGATCTGTGAGTTATATACATTCATGTGTTTTTATGACTGAGGGTATTGCCGTTTTGTTTACGTGTTTAGAACTCCTTTGATCATTTCTTATAGGGCTGGTTTAATAGTGATAAATTCCCTTCATGTTTGCTTGTCTAGGAAATACTTTATTTCTCCTTCATTTATGAAGTTTAGTTTAGAAGGATACAGTATTCTTGGGTGTTCATTTTTTTAAGAAGAATACAAGTAGGGCCCTATTCCCTTTTGGCTTGTAAGATTTCTGCCGAGAAGTCCACTGTTAGTCTGATGGAATATTCTTCAGAGGTGATTTGATGCACCTCTCTTGATTTTAGAGTGTTGTCTTTCAGTTGACTTTGGATGGTCTGATGAGTATATGCCTTGATGATATTCATTTTGAAATGTATCTTACAAGTACTTCTGAGCTTTTTGTATACGTATGTCTACATTTCTACCAAGACCAGTGTAATTTTCCTAAATTATTCCCTCAAATATGTTTTCCAAAGTTTTTACTTTTTCAGGTATGCTTACAATTCATAGGTTATGTTGTAAATATAGAATGTAATTCTATATTTCTTGAAGTTTTGTTTATTTAAAAAATTTTTTTCTTCATTTTGATCTGACTGCGTTAATTCAAAAGAGCATTCTTCAAGCTCTGAAATTCTTTCCTCTGCTTGGTCTAGTCTATTATTAAAGCTTTCAGCTCTATTTTGTAATTTCTTCAGTAAATTATTCATTTCTAGAAATTCTTCTTAAAATATCTCTTTAGTAAATTTTTATTCATATCTCGAATTGCTCTTTTGATATCTTTGTGTTGGTTTTCAACTTTCTTTTGGATATCATTGAACTTGCTTACAACCCATATTTGAATTCTTTATCTGTCATTTCAAAATTTTCATTTTGGTTAGAATACATTGCTAGAGAACTAGTGTGATTCTTAGGGAGTGTCACAATGCTGTTTTCTTCATGGTGCTAGAGTTCTTATGCTGGCTGGTTTCCTTTTCATCCAGAGAATCTGTCACTTTTTTATTTTTTAGTTAGTTTAGATGGGAGGTTTTTTTTTTTTTGTCCTCTTTTGAGGGTGTAACTGTTGCATATGTTAGGTAGGGTCCTTCATCTTTTCTTCCTTGTATTTTTAGGGGCCAAATCTGTGTATGAATTCCTTGGTTATAGATAGCCTTAGTGTAATGTTTTTCTCAAATGTTGATTGTATGTTGTAGTAGCAGTGTAATGTGCATATGAACAGCCTTATTGTCTCCTGAAAAGACAGAGAGGGAAAGAGGTGGTGGTGCCTGGAGCCTTATCTACTTCCCCAGCACCGTGCACTTCTGTTAGAAGCCTCCCGAAGTTCAACCTATAGGCCTGTGGGTTGCACTTGCAAGTAAGAGCCAGCCAAATGCTGTAAAATGGTATCCACAGATGTTGTAATGGGACATGTAGGTTGACCTCTCAGCCAGTAGGTGGCACTTGCAGGAGAGAGACAGCTGTGATGGTGGCAGTGGGATTTCTACTTGGCCCTTGTTCATCAGAACTACTGGGGTGTCCCAGGTGATGGGTGGGGCAGTGGAGCTCTCAGGGATTCCTGTTCCATGCCCTGCCACAGTGGCATCTGGAGGGAGCATAGTTGAGCATGGCTGTGTTGGGCAAACCTATGAACAGGCTCTCCAGTGCAGCTCTTGTGCCAGCCTCTTTGGGGGTCTAGGGGCAGCTCTCAGGCCACTGGGGTAACCCTCCAGGGAAGGGTGGATGTTTCTCTCTTGTGTCACAGAGTCTACACGGGGGAAGGGGGTGGCACAGAGTCTTCAGCCTAGCAAGTGGCAGTGGAACCTACTCAGCTCCCACACCCTCAACTCATGGGTCACTTTCTAGTATCCAGCTTCCAGCAGCAGGCCAGGAAGTTTAGGCTAGTCCCAAGCAATCTGTGTCTAATCACCGAACCATCCCAGGCCAGGAGACTCCCTGTCTAGAGCAAAAACCTCAGCTACCGGCCCACATTCTTTGTGGTCTAGTTTTGTTAAGGGAGGGACACCTATCTCCCTCACCACAGTACAAACCTGCACCACATTCTTTTCTGTATTCTGTTGGAATACAGAGAGGGAGAGAAAAGGCAGAGATAGGGGAGAAGCATGCTTATCTCCCACTTGAGAACAGTTTACAAATATCATCACCATACCCCTGGAAGGTGTGCTCCAGTCCGGGCAAACAGGAACAGGCCACTGGACTTGTTCTCTGGCCCCTTGAGCTCAAGCACTGGCTGTGATAAGGAGGGATGAACTCCTCCCAGGTTGCAGACAAAACAGTAAGGGCAATGGCGGATATGCTACGAGCCTGACACTGGGAAAGGTGAGTCTCCTTCAGCAGGAATGGCCAGGAAGGCAGTCTTGGGAGGGACTGGCAGGTATGGGGTATATGGTTTGAGTGCATCTTGGTCCTGCAGCTATGGGAGTGAAACCTATCTTTGAAGCATGTGAGAGTACCTGGGCCCCTGCTTATTCCCTGGCTCAGCTGACAGCAGCAGCAGCTTAGGGCAGGACACAGAGCCTTGGGGATGGATACACAGAATGGTGCTTTGTTACAGCTTCCCAGGGCACAGAAGCCTGACAGGCTTCACATGAGTTCTAGCAGTACATCTTGGTCACCAGGCAGCTCCTTTTGCCAGTCTAAAGGTCTACAGGTCTATCTCCTGTAGCTAGGATTGCAGATGTCCTCATTGGGATTGTAGAGCCCTAGGGTCCTTTCACTTACCCCTTCCTTGGGTCAATGTCTTGGTCTGTGGGCTACTCTTGGCACTTGACAACCCCAAGGAGGCAGCCCCATTTCCTCTTCCTTCACCCCTTGTTGTCTTCTGTTGCCTCTCTATTGAATTTTAGTGTTTTCTCTCAGGAGATCTGTTTGAAGTGTGAATATTTGCTTAATATTTTGGTTTCTCTTCATGGAAGAAGTATTTCTTAGCTGCATCTGGTCAGCCATCTTGAACCTCCTAATTACTGTTTTTTCTTCACTGTTCCCTATCTAAGTGTGGGATGATGGACAGGGTTTTACAGAGGATTTTGGAGCAGGTATCTCTTCCCCATTTATTTCCACTATGTTCTCAGTTAAATACTTTCTGACCTCCAAAACAAGTAGCTGGTCTCCTTCTAGTCCAACAGTGTTTGCTGGAATTCTCTGTTAATGTCCTCAGTTTTTGTCATGGTCTCTACCTGCAAGAAGCACACTGTGCCATCCTTGTGCTGAAACCACACTCCCTCTCATGTCTTCCACCAGCACTCTCAGCACTTTCAAATCCTTCATAGAATCTTTCTGAAAATTCTAGATCTTTCCTATTTTCTCCTGATTACTATGAGGAAGTTTGGAGGGTGACATGTGGAAAGTATGGCTCAGATGTTTCCTTTTTTTAAAAAAAAAAAAAAGAGAGAGAGAGAGAGATGGTGTCTCACTTTGTTACCCAGGCTGGAGTACAGTGGTGTAATCATGACCCACTGCAGCCTCTACCTTCTAGCTTCAAGCAGTCCTCTCACCTCAGCCTCCCAAGTAGCTGAGACTACAGGCCCATGCCAGCATGCCTAGCAAATTTTTAAAGTTCTTTTGTAGAGATGTGGTCTTACTATATTGCCTAGGCTGGTCTTGAACTCTTGGGCTCAAGTAATCCTGCTGCCTTGGCTGCCTCAAGTGTTGGAATTACAGGCACGAGCCACAATTCTGGCCTGGCTCATTTCTTTGCCTAAATATATCATGCTACTTTGTCTTCTCCATTTGGCAAACAACAACCTATAATGCATTTCTTTCCAGACTTCTAAACCAGAATACCATCACAAGCTCTCTCTGCTTTTATTTTTTCCTCAATTTATTTGAGATTTCTATCATCTTACTCTTTCTCTGATACTTAGGTTTATAGGAACTAAAGCACTAGGTCCTTTCTCATTGACTTCAGCAGTGTTTTTACTGTAGCCTACACACTACATAGTTATTTTGCTACTTCCTTAACAACCCTTAAAGTGTTTATCTCCTTCCTGTATTTTTGACTATTTTCGACCCTCTTTTCTATGCCATCTCTATCTTCTTCCTAACAAAATAAATGTGATTGAACTAATGGGTAGAGAGCCTTAGGATAAGTAAGGCAATAGAAATATTGTCAAGAAATAAAAGGCCTAGACAACAAAATTCTTGTATTAGGTATCCAAATAGCTACTTGCTTGGAAGTGGAAGTACTCCTATGAGAGTACGTATTCTTTGCAAGAATGCAGAGATTTATAATGGTGAGGGGTGAGAATGCAAAGGATCAAATTTGGGTAAGTGGATAGTTGGATGTCAAGAAGTTATTAGTGTAGTATGTAAAGTTGTCTGAAACTTCTGGGAACAGAGGCAATGCATGACATTAATGTAAGGAGACAAGAGAACTTTCATTACTCCAGCCAACCAAAAGGCTGAGATTAACCAGAGCAAGAAAGACATCTCAAGCAGAGACTAGTGAATATCAATCTTCCCTCATGCCTGGAAAATACAAAACCCATCCAGGAAATCAGCCCTTGATGTTTAGGGTGGGAGATATGGGACTAGAAAACACTGTGAATTGACAGTTATAAAAAGAGTCATAGTTTTTTTTTTCCCTTGTTTTTGTCTTTCTGAGATCATCTTAAAACAGAAAAAACAAGTATGTTCTTTAAAAGCAGAATTTAGTTGCACCATCCCAACATCTGAGTAAAACCGAGGCTTTAGAATCTATTGAGGTAAATTAGAGAATATTTGATTATAATTTACACATAAAATATAATATATGTGTTTTACACCTATTTAGAACACTCAAAGCTTGGTATATTGGCATAAACTCTAAATATACTGTCAAAGCAGTCCCTACATCATGTCATGGAAATACGGTCTCTTAATCATTGTAAAGTGGGAGGACCCAGAGAGATCAACTTCACCAAAGGTCTTTGCTTCTCCTTTTTGACTTTTTCCCTGATAGAGCCTACAATTTAAAATAAATATTCTACTAAATAAGTAATAGAAGTTACAGACTAATTGTAAACAAATGAACACTAAAAATAGATAATAAGCTTTGGAAAACTTTGGAGAGATTGAACCTGCAGTTTAGAATGACTGATCTGAACGCCTGCTTCCGTGCAGTGCCCTCACTGGAAATGACCTCCCATTACTGTTGCCATATCCTTTTTATCAGTGAACCATATTTAGATCTAAGCCTCTTTCCCTAGATTTTTTCTCCAAAAATTATTCACTCGGGGCAGTTGTGTATGTAGCAGAGCTCATTGAAAGTTTGCAGAGGGACTTTAATCATAAAAATTCAAACTCCTTAATATTAAATAGTAGTATCTTTCTCCTTAAAAATCTTTTGTACATGGATCACAGATAATTTCTCACTGGCAACTTTTCTCTGTTAAAAATCTTTTGTACATGGATCACAGATAATTTCTCACTGGCAACTTTTCTCTGCAGACTCTAGATGCATAAGTTGTTATTTAGTTCACATTCATTCTCTCCTCTCCACAATTCTTGCTTCCTCTACTCTTTTCTGTTTTGTTTGTTGTGAACTCATGTTATTAACGATATTATGGAATTCTATGATTACTAGGTTTTAAATGCGCTCTTCCCAAGCTGATATTCTTATGGTTGGTGTTGAGGAGACTTCATCCCAAGACCACTTAAAATTAAATCTTAGATGAGCTTTTCTAGGTCATGTGACCTGTGAGAATTTGAAACCCACACTCCTAATACTCAGGCGATATGTATGTGTATATTAAAGCCTTCCACTAAAATGCAGGCTGAGCTAGTCAGTTTTCTTTGCTATTTACTTTTGTGGGGCAGACAATTTTCTGGTCCACCCTTTCATGTAAAAATCGTTGGCTTTTGTGGAAATCTTTATTCCAACTCCTCTCATTACATGGGTTCAATGTCATGTGTTCATGTCCATGTGTGTCTTTATGACCTAAAGCTCTGAATTGTAGGGACTGGCAAACTCCCTTTCCGTAGTTAGCAGCTTTAGCACCTTCTGTTAGATGTAGATTTAGGCTTTCATTTCATATTTCTTTCATGTGAATATTCTTTATTTTCTTGACAGCTTAGACAGATTAGAAGAATTACATATATGTATATATATATACACACACACATACACACATATTTGTCTTTTACATATGATACATAATTATATATTATTTTAAATATATAATATTTGTGTGTGTGTATCTTTTTTTCAGCCAATTTTGTTTTGTATCAGATTTTTCATACACAGGGAGATTTCAGGATATCTGGTCAACTATATTTCCAGAAATGCAAGTACTCCTTTCATCTCACCATCAATTTCTGTTGAGCTCTAACAGATTTTTGTGACATCTATATTACAATACTGTTTCTTCACACAACTGCATCATTTTTCTAAAATTTTACCCATAAATCGTTATCAATGGCAAATTGTGGCAATTGTATTGTTAGGGCTTTCATTTGGAATTTTTAAAAGTATGTATTGATGGACCACATCATAGTTGGGCTTTTATTTTCTCTGGGGTTAGAGTCCACTAGACCTTGGTTTGGCTTATATTCAGCTGTCTAAACCAGTGCTATTCAAAGCGTGGTCTGTGGAACAATGTTGGTCCATGAACTATTTATTAGTGTCTGTTAAAACAAAATAATACCGACATGATCAGGCACAGTGCCTCATGCCTGTAATCCCAGAACTTTGGGAGGCTGAGGTGGGCAGATCACTTGAGATCAGGAGTCTGAGACCAGCCTGGTCAACATGGTGAAACCCTGCCTCTACTAAAAATACAAAAATTAGCCGGGTGTAGTGGTAGGCACCTGTAATCCCAGCTACTCAGTAGGCTGAGGCAGGAGAATTGCTTGAACTGGGAGATGGAGGTTGCAGTGAGCCAACATCGTGACACTGCACTCCAGCCTGGGAGACATAGCAAGACAGAGTGATACTCCATCTCAGAACAAAAACAAAAACAACAAAAACAGATATGGAGTATTTAGGAATTTGTATAGTAATTCGAAGTGGCAGAGATAGTCAAGAATGTGATAGGCTATCCAGTCTTGTTGAGCAGGGAATAGACTATTTGTCCTGATGGCAAAGTCATGCTGATTTGCTGATTGGCGCAAGCTGTGTGATAGGTGTGCATAGAATTAACTTGTATTAGTCTATGCAAAATTGTGTTGGGGAGATAAGTACTGGTCCTTGAAAAGAGACAGTTTGAGAAAGATCAGTCTAAGTAATAATGTGTGCTTTACACCTTTCAAATAGTTATTGCTAGAGGTATATTCAGTTATTTAAGTTTATCACTGATCAGGCCAAATTCTAGACTTTGTTTATAGAGACCAGTTGAAATCACATATCTACACCTCTTCCACACATCATAGGTCACATGAAGGAACCAATAACTTTGAAAGTTATAAACATAAATGTCTCACTTGTGCTGAAAACAAAGGACCTGTACTATGATCAGTCAATAAGCAGTTGGATTTACTTACTGGAAAACAGTAAGTTAAGGTGGTCATCATCATTTTTGTTACTATTTCATGCACTTAAAGCTGAGAGGAATGCTGTAGTAATCAACATTTCTATCCAGCATACCTAATTTTTGAGCATTAATAGTGAATGCGAAAGTGTAAGTATGCAAGTGTCACAGGATCCTTAGGGTGTTGCTTCACCAGCTGGAAACCTCTGTGGCTGGTGGTGCCTCAGCTTGTGTTCTGCTCATGCCTGCTGGGATTGTTTCACCCACTAGACCTAGCAGGCTGCACTTGGCTTGTGCTACCAGCCTGGATCCCACACCTGCCAAGGGTGAGCCAGGAGCAGAGCAGAGAGGGAGAGGTGTATGTGAGCACCTGAGCTCAGGATTCACCCACTATGCACAGCTGGGAAAACAGGTGCTATGGCAGGGTGGGCAGCTCCAGGGACAGGCACAGGCACCAGCTCCATGCAAGGCTGTGGCTGGACCAGACATACCACAAGAGGCTTCCGCTGCAAGCACCAGCCTCTGGACAAGGGGAATGAGGTGGTGCCCAAGAGCTAGGAGATGTCAGGAACTGCAGATGCCCAAAGAGGGTGTCACAGCCCTGGCTCGGGGAGCCCTGAGGTCTGGGTTCCCAGAAGGGCTGCAGCTCTTTTCTCCTTCTTGTCACCCGCCGCATGGCAAGCAGGATTGGTGGCATGTTTCTGGGGGTGTTTTTCAGCCTGTTTGAGTTACAGCTCTTTCAGTCCCACTGCCTCACTCCAGCCTGTGGCTCCCAGGCTGGCCCAGCTCTGCCACTGCTTCCTATCATGTGAGGCAGCCACTTGGCCCCTACAGAAGGAAGAGAGCTCTGGCTCAGGGAATCCTGAGGCCTGGGCCCCCAGAAAGGTTGCAATCTTCACTTCCACAGTCTGAAAGCATGTCACTGCCTACAGCTGGTGAGCCAGCCAGGAACACATTACAGCTCCTTTCACTCCCACCAGTCTGTGAGTCCTGAGTTCTTGTCCCACATCTGGGAAGAATGAGGTTACATGGACAACTGGAGGGTGAGCAAAGTGGAGAGGAGATTTACTGAGTGACAGGCAGCTCTCAGCAGTGAGGAGACCTGAGATGGGTAGCTCCTATCTACAGGCAGGTCATCCTGACAACTCTAGAGGAGACCCAGTGTGGGTAGCTCTTATTCACAGGCAGGTGGTCTCAGCAAGTGTAGATGAGACCTGAAGAGGGTAGCTCCTACCTGCAGGCAGTTAGTCCCAACAAGTTCCTGAGTCTGGCTGAGTCTGGGGTTTTTATGGGCTCAGAAGGGAGGCAGTGCATGCTGATTGGTTCATGGGTGGTCACGGGTGGGCCTGGAAAGAGCACCATCTGATTGGCCAAAAGGCATCAAGGAAGTTCTCACCCCACGTCTCGGACTCCGCCTGGAACTGACAACCTGGTCCCCAGGCTTCAGGTCTTCCCTGGCCTGAAGGTGGGGTTTCACTGGGGACCCTCCCCTTCCCCACCCAGGAACCTGTGGCTCAGCCATCAACATGCCGCCCACGGTGCCCAGGCTGTCCGTGCCGAGGGACACCTGCAGGCCCAGGCTGAGCCACCCTCAGCCTCCCAGCCTCCCTCCTGCATGCATCAGCATCCAAAATCTAGAGAGAGCCACGGTGGCAGGGGGCTGGCATGTCAGCACTGCCCTGAGTGTGTACACACCTGGCTGGGTTGTGATACCACCTGGGTTTGGCCACAACTTTGCTGTGCACTGGAGCATGTGCCAGGAGCAGGAGCAAGCACTCCCGAGCCTGCAGGGGCAGGAGGCTTCCCAGGCCCCTGAGGGTATACGGATGCCTGGGCCTGGAGCCATAGCTGGGCAGCTGCAGCTGCACCCAGGAGCATGGGCTCCTGCCCAACCAACTCAGTAGGGTGTGGTGCTCCTGCTGGGATCACCTATTCCTGGCCCCTGCTGGCCCTGTGGAGCGTGCAGCTCTGACTGTGCCTCTCCCACCGCAGCTGATGTCCTTGCAGTGGCTGCTCCATTTGGGCCGCCACCACCATCACAAGCGTTAACTGTGCTTTTACTTGCTTTCTTTAATTTTCCCAATCCATTAGTATTTCCTACATCTCTTCACTTTTCTAAGAAGTTTTCTGTGTATTTTCTCACCTCAATTTTTAAGTATTCTTTCTTGTCATCATTCTTTATATTACAAACATTTATTGAGCATTATCTAGGTGTCAGGCAGTGCTATTGCCTCTAGGTATAAAGAGAGGAATCAAATACTTTTTCTGTCAACAAGAAGCTTACAATATAGTTTGGTCCATCATATATATAACAAGATGACTATTGTAAATATGATAAATCCATGAATGAAGTGTAGTAGGAGATTTAAAAAGGAAAGTCTCAAAATTCTACATGGGAAAGTTATGAAATATTGTATAAATTAGGCAATGCTTTCACTGAAATCAAAAATAACGAAGTGTTATCTAAGAAGACTGGAAAAATGTGGTGAGGTGAAAGATTTCTTAGAGCTAATTCCATATAGGTACACAGAAAAGCTTTCCTTTTAAAAAGAGGAGGTTGGTGGCAAAAACAAAACATAATTAGATCCTAAGCACTGCCAAAATATTACTCCTTAACTATTAAAAGGCAGGAGAGAGATAAATGTTTGAATTTAACCTACCAGATCTCTCTTTTTTAAGAAAATCTTTTATTTTCTTTGTTCTGTTTACTTCACTTTTCTGGGCCCAAAGAAACAATCAAGAAAAATTTTTATGATAAATTTCTTAAATATCATAAAGTGGAAAGAAGCTGGTTGCTAGCAAGAGTAGGGAAGCATAGTGGAGAAATATATCTAGCAGAAAAGAGGATGTCACTAACTGCTGAGCAAGAATTGTCAGGCAAGGTGTGCAGAAAGCCAGACAGTTGCAGAACAAGGGTTCAGCAAGCCTTGGAATACAATGAGGCAGGGGAGAATTTATGGACTCAGTTAAATGATAGGAAAATACCAGACTATAGGAATAGTCTCTAGTGAAATGAATATTCTTGCAGCAAATCATAAAGTGAATATGTGTGAATCTACTACTGCTTTCCACAATTTAGTTCTGATTTCCTTGCATGACTTTTCAAGAGAAAAAGATAGAAATGGTATAAGAGAGAATTTCCACCATTTACATGATTCCTTTCTTCTAAATGTCAGTCTTTTGAAGAAATGCATACAATAATGCTTTTATTTCTAATCTTTACTACTAAGACTGTTACTAAGTATTATCAAGGCCATGAGAAAGCAAAGCATGTTTATATAAATTAACTAGTTGTTTCCTTCTGCTTTCTCCTACTGATACTAACCTATTTTTACATTCAACCCACACACATAAACACACACATACAAAGATACACACACATTCACACTTCAACTTGTAAAAATATTTTAGACATCCTTTATTAATTGACTACTAGTAAATACTTAATTTAAACATTTGCTAGGAATTTGGAAAGATAACTTGGGGAATAGCATAGATTTGTTTTAATTTGTGGAAGATCTCTTTGCTTTCTCTAAGTCACAATGAATAGGGGAAAACGATCACTCCATGAAAACTGGGTTTTGTATGACTGACACATACTGCATTTTTAATAACACAGACTGAAATGCATTATTCAGAATGCACTGTTGTCCAGCATTTCAGCTCTGCTGTAGATCTTCGTACTTTTAGTGAGTCTGTTGTCTGCAAAAATTCAAATTATTTTTGTGATCAATACTAGTGACCAAGATACTGTTTGTCCAGTAAAACATAGTAAACTAGAACTAAGGATTATAATATCATATTTCAATTGATCAAATAGTTATAAATCAGTATTTAGTGTGAGCTGTCTCAATAAATATCTAAACATATCTAGCTATTTTTATTTTTCCTTTGACTTGTGAGAATAACATCATATTTACACAAGAGAAGCACGTGATTCCAGGGAACAATGCATGGGTATAAATATTACTTTTTAACAGCACAATAGAGCCCTTAACCAGTTTCAGAAGTCTTGAAGCTTAGAGATGATAAAGTGAAAGATGATGTTATTTATTGTTATTCATCTAGTAATTATATGGTCTCAACTTGTCAGGATGAAATATATTTATTTTTTAGTGACCCAGGCTATCAGAGCATACCGTTATGGTTAGGGGCTCAAAGACTAGAACCAGTTCAATAGCCCCTGGTGTTCTAAAATTAATCTTTTTATATGCAGACAATAAAGCAATCATATAAAACTTGGAGTCAGAAAAATGTGACTCGAGACCCAACTTGACTACTTGCTACTAGCTGAGTGGTTTTAAGTTATTTGTTATCATTTTCTTCATCTGTGAAAGAAGGGTTATAATAATCCCTACTGTAAAGATTCCTGTGAGATTCAAATGAGATAATGTAAATACATATGATTCATAAGTGATATTATAAATTCCTGTACTAGAGTTTTATATTTATTGTTATTGCCCAAGTTTTAACTTTTATTTTGAAATATTTGACTTCATCACTTTGAAACATGATTTCAAGATCAACGTTTGCAGTGATTAACTGTCAGTGACTTAGACTTTCACCTTTCATATACTTGATAGGATTTTCAGTCTAAACTTTCATAGAAGCAGTGTATTAAAAGCAATTAAGAAAAATAATCAGCACAACTTCAGGGTACTTACCTTGTATAGATAAAATGATCTATAGTTAGAACACTTTTGGTATTTAATATTTAGCATTCCTGCTTATTCCTATCCAATAATGACCTCTGTAAGTTAATGATCTGTAGTAATTTGTAATTAAGATAATAACACCTACTACATGGGGTTTCAGAAAAAAATAAGTGAGGTAACATAAGAAAAATGCTTTGGGCAAATTTGAATGAAGCCTGAGAATATGTTTAGCGTGTGAGAATACAAGATTAGGAAGTAAATGATCATAGGCCATCGCCAAGCAACTGGTATCAACAAGTGTTAGAGAAAAAATAAAAAGACTTATAAAAGTTCATAGGGCTGCATTTAAATTGATTAACAGAAGTCTTATGTATTTTTTTTTCTGTGTTTGGGAATCCTATAAAAAAGAATTTTTTTCAAAAAAAAACTTAATCATGAGTAAAACTCTCCTGTAACTGCTTGTTTTATTCCTATCTAGAATCCAATATACGAGGTGAAGAAGCAGTCAACACAACAAAGAAGAAAGGAGGAAAGCAAGTAGAGGAACAAGGAGGCAAAGGTAAGGAGATGTAATGAGGTGGTTAGAAGAAGGAGTAATAATGTGTAATAAGTGTAGACTATATCTCTTTCTCCTTCCTCAACACCTTTCATTTACTCTTCCAAGTCTGAAGGACTTGAAAAGTTTACAAAAATACCCATTCAAGTTTTTTTTTTGTTTTTTTTTTTTCAGGCTTAATTCCTGTATATAGCTTCGCACTTCTCTTTGCTAACCCCATCCTCCAACTCACACAAAGCCAGTGAGGTGGCGCATGTCTGTAGTCCCAGCTACTTAGGAGGTTGAGGCTGGAGAATTGCTTGAGGCCGGAAGTTTGAGGATGTACTATGTTATGATCACCCCTGTGAATAGCCACTACACTCCAGCCTAGTCAACATAGCAAGTCTCCATTTGTGAAAAATAAAAAAAGA
The DNA here is from genome assembly GCF_000001405.40 of Homo sapiens. NCBI lineage: Eukaryota > Metazoa > Chordata > Mammalia > Primates > Hominidae > Homo > Homo sapiens. The sequence continues at coordinate 104,340,772 of NC_000004.12, read as the reverse complement.
AAGAAAAAGAAAACACACATGTACACATACCATACTTTCCCTTACGCTGCTTTCAAAGTAATTCAATAGAAAAACATAAGTGAAGTTAGAGTTTTCATTAGTCTTTAGTATAGTAATTAGCATGTTTCATCTAGTTGACTATGTTTATATATTTTGGGCATTAATAACTATATATTTGTATATATAATTAAATAATGGATACAATAACTATATTTATAAATAACTATATTAATCCATAAAATTATAATTTTTAAAATTACAAGTGATTGAAATATATGAAAGCAGTAAATAATAATTTTTAAATTTCAATTAATATAGATGTTATTTTATGGCAGTAGAATTCAGATATTTTTCAAATTTTTAACATCTCTTGGCTATTGATGCCTTTTTGGTACATGCTAACTTACTCCAGTAATTTGGTTCAGCATTTCACCTCATGTTAGTAAATAAAAATAATGGTGTGTTCACAGGTGAGCAAAGCAGTTACTGATCCCTGAAATAATAAATGTTTCAAATATACTGAACCAAAAGAATGATGTGATTTTTTTTATTTTATGTTGAAAATACTGAGCTAAAAATACTAAAGAAAATGAGAGAGATAAATTATATAAGTTAGATTTTCTATCCTTCATAACTCCAAATTAATAGCATGTCATTCAATGTAATTGCTCCTTTGGAGTTTTTAAAGAAAAACGTCCTTCTCTGTGGGATTTGTTATTTTAATTTTCATAGTTCATAATTAACCTTACAGTTGCATTTACACACTGAATCAAAGTGTACAGCGCAATATTTCAATTGTGATTTTGAGTGTGATTAATTTAGCTAGTTCTCCCCAGAGGCTTCTCCTTCTTTATTGTATTAATATTTCCCATCTCCCCATAATCTGCAAAGTGAATTGGATAAGTGAATCCATATAATATACAATTTATATGACTATAGTACAATATCAGAATTAGAAGGCTGATGATAATATAGAGTGTTGTGTATTGTTCTATATTATTTTCCCCACAATTTATTGGATTTATTTTTCACAATTCACTTTTCAGATTATGGCAACTGTTCAATACAATATGAAAGTGTTAGGCAGAGGATGTGTAAGAAACAAAAAAGCTTTCTTATTTATGGTAAATGATGTATCTTATAATATCATCTTTTTTTAACACATAAAAAGAAGATGAAACAAAACGTGTATTCGCTAAGTTTTTCTGTTCCTGAAGAACGTTTAGTTCATTTACATTTAGTGTAATTACTAAGAGGGTTGTTATTTGATTTTAGTCATTTTTTTTCTTTTGCCATTTGAATTAATCAGATATATTTTAATTTTCATCAATTTCCTCCTACTGATTTGTAGTAGTAATATTCCTCTAGAATACTAGATATTACACTAGAGATTACAATAGCATTTCTGAGTTCTTCTGGTCTAATAGAAATTATTACCTTTATCACATCTAGATAATGCTAAAATTTTATAATACTTTAATTACAATTAAATTCTTCTTTGTAATGTATGCATTACAGTAGCATGCATTTTAATTTTATATTTGATTTTTAAATTCCACAAGAAAATTACAATTCATGTATGTTATCCATGTATGTACCATGAGGACATTGTTCTTCAATGCGACATTTATTTCCATAATTTTATTTGGGATTATTTTTCCTCTGCCTAAAGAAGTGTTTCTTCTCAATATTTAAGTCATACCTAGTGAGATATAACACACTGTATTAAAATATAAAAATATTATGAACATATCAGTGATAATGCTTAATTTTTTTAAACTTTAAAAGTATAATTATACATTCACTGGGCTTTGCAAAGATAGTGTAGAGAGTTTCTTGGTACCCTTTAAAAGTTCTCCTAATGACTACAATTTGCACACTTGTAGTATAATCTCAGAAATAGGAGACTGTCTAAAATGAAAAGAGGACATTACCACTGACCTCATAACAAGAAAACCATCAGAGTATATGAATACCTTTATGTACAAAAAAGTAGAAAATCTTAAAGAAATGAATAAATTCCTGGAAATATACAACCTCCCAAGAGTGAATCAGGAAGGAATTGAGGCCATAAACAGATCAATAGCAAGTTCCAAAATTGAATCAGTAATGAAAAGCCTACCAAATAGAAGAAAGCCCTGAACCAGATGAATTCAAAGCTGAATTCTGCCAGGTGTATTAAAAAGAGCTGGTACAAATTCTACCAAAGTTATTCCAAAAAATTTAGAAGAAGGTATTCCTCGCTATCTCATTCTGTAAGGTCAGCATCATTCTGATACCAAAACCTGTCAGAGACAGGCCAATATCCCTGATGAACATTGATACAAAATATTCAACAAAATACTAGCAAACCAAATCCAGCAGTACATCATAATGCTAATCCATCACAGTCAAGTAGGATTTATTCCTAGGATGCAAAGTTGGTTCAACATAGGCATATCAATAAACGTGATTCATGACATAAACAGAACTAACAACAAAAACTCCATGGTCACCTCAATAGACACAGAAAAAGCTTTGATGTAATTTAATATTTCTTCACATTTAAAAATCCCCCAACAAACTATGCGTTAATGGAACATACCTCAAAATAATGAGTCATCTATAACAAACCCATAATCAACATTGTACTGAATGGCAAAAGCTGGAAGCATTCTCCTTGAGAACCAGAACAAGACAAGGATGCCCACTCACACAACTCTTATTCGCCATGGTACTGAAAGTCCTAACCAGAGCAATAAGACAAGAGAAATAAAAGGCTTCCAAATAGAAAGAAAAGTCAAACTACCTATATTCACAGATGATATGACATTGTATCTAAAAAACCCATAGTCTCTACCCCAGAGCTCCTAGATCTGGTAAACAACTTCAGTAAAGTTTTAGGGTACAAAATCAAAGTACAAAAACCAGTAGCATTTCTATACACCAACATCCAAGCTGAAAGCCAAATCAAGAATGCAACCCCGTTTACAATACCCAGGAAAATAAAATCCCAGAAATACAGATAACCATGAAAGTAAAAGATTTCTACAATGAAAATTATAAAAACACTGCTGAAATAAATAAAAGAGGACACAAACAAATGGAAAACACATCCTATGCTCATAGATAGGAAGAGTCAATATCGTTAAAATGACCACACCACCCAGAGCATTTTACAGATTCAATGCTATTCCTATCAAACTACCAACAACATTTTTTTAACAGAATTAAGAAAAAAAATTCTTCTAAAATTCATGTGAAACCAAAAGAGAGCCTGAGTGGCCAAAGCAATCCTAAGCATAAAGAACAAAGTCACATTACCTGATTTCAAACTACAAGGCTACAGTAACCAAAACAGCATGATACTGGCACAAAAACAAACATATGGGCCAATATAACAGGTTAGAGAACCCAGAAGTAAAGCCACACACCTATAATCATTGGATTTTCAACAAATTTGATCAAAAATAGCAATGGGGAATGGACTCCCTATTCAATAATTGGTGCTGGAGTTACTGGATAGCCATACGCAGAAGATTGAAACTGGACCCCTTTCACCATATACAAAAATCAACTCAGGTGGATTAAAGACTTAAATATAAGACATCAAACTGTAAAAACCCCAAAAGACAACCTAGAACATATTATTCTGGACATAGGTGTTGCCAAAGTCTCATGATGAAGTCACCAAAAGCAACTGTGACAAAAATAAAAATTTACAAGTGGCACCTAATTAAACTAAAAAGCTTCTGCACAGCAAAAGAAACTATCAACAGAGTAAACAGACAACCTACAGAATGGGAGAAAATATTCACAAACTATGCATCCAATAAAGGTCTAAATTCCAGAATCTACAAGGAACTTAAACAAATCAACAAGCAAGAAACAACCCCATTAAAAAGTGGGCAAAGGACATGAACAGACACTTCTCAAAAGAGTACATACATGCAGCCAAGAAGCATATGAAAAAATGCTCTACATCACTAATCGCTAGAGAAATGCAAATCAAAACCACAATGAGATATTATCTCATACCCATCAGAATGTCTACTATTAAAAAGTCAAAAAATGACAGATGCTTGTGAGATTGCAGAGAAGAGGGAATGCTTATACACTGCTGGTAGAATGTAAATTAGTTCATCAACCGTGGAAAGCAGTTTAAGAATTTGTCAAAGAACTTAGAGCTATTATTTAACACAGCAATCTCATTACTGGGTATATACCCAAAGGGATATAAAGGAATATAAATTATTCTACCATAAAAATACATGCACAGATATGTTCATTGCAACACTGTTCACAATAGCAAAGACATGGAATCCACCTAAATGCCTGCCAATGGTGGACTGGAAAATGTGGTACATATACACCATGGAATACTACACAGCCATTAAAAAAATGAGATCAAGTCCTCTGCAGCAACACGGATGGAGGCCATTATCCTAAACAAATTAACACACGAACAGAAAATCAAATACTGTATGTTCTCACTTACAAGTGGGAGCTAACATTGTGTATATATGAATATAAGGAAGGAAACAATAGACACTGTGGTCTACTTAAGAGTGAAGGGTGGGAGGACTGTGAGGATTGAATAATTATCCGTCGGATACTATGCTTAATACCTACAGCAAGATTAACACTTGCTGTAAGTTTTTGTAATGGTTCTCTCTTTTCACTATTTTCTTTAAAATATTTATCATAAATAGGTTTATTAGTTAGTGTTCTCCAGAGAAACAGAACCAATAAGATATATATAGCTTTATAAGAGGAAATGTTTAAATGGAAATTGCCTCATGCAGTTAAGCTCAGATAATGTAGAATAGGTAAGGTAATAATCAAGAAGAACATAAAGTTGGAGAACCAATGCTACCAGATATCAAGACTTATTTAAAACACTAATGAGAGTAATTAATATCAGCATAGCATTGATGCAAAGATAGGAGTTATAAAATGCAACATGAGAGACAGTTGTTAAACAGACCCAAAGATTGTCACTCATCTTGTGTATTACAGAGTCCACTGCAGTTGAATGGGGAAAGGAGAACTTTTACGAAATGGCACTGGGTCAATTAGATGTCTGTAAGAGAAGAAATAAACCTTGATTTCAGGCATATGTAACATAAATTTCAGATGAATCATTGATCTAAAATTAAAAGCTAAACAATCAAACTTCTAGAAGTCTTTGAGATAGGAGAAGACAAATTAAACCATAAAAGAAAAATGACTGATATTGAATTTGAGAATTTCTTTAGTTTGATTCGATCTTATTTGTCAATATTTACTTTTCCTGCAATTGCTTTTGGTGTCTTCATCATGAAATCATTGCCAGTGCCTATGTCTTGAATAGTATTGCCTAGGTTGTCTTTCAGAGTTTTTATAGTTTTGGGTTTTACATTTAAGTCTTTATTCCATCTATGGTGGAAGGAAGCAGTCCAATTTCAATCTTCTCCATATGGCTATCCAGTTATTCCAAAAACATTTATTGAATAAGGAATCCTTTCCCCATTGCTTGTTTTTGTCAGGTTTGTCAAAGATTAGATAGTTGTAGGTGTGCAGTCTTATTTTGGGATTCTCTATTCTGCTCCTCTGGTCTATATGCCTGTTTTTGTACAAGTACCATGCTGTTTTGGTTATCATAGCACTGTAGTATAGTTTGCAGTCAGGTAACATGATGCCTCTTGCTTTGTTTATTTTGGTTAAGATTGCCTTGTCTATTCAGGCTCTTTGTTGGTTCCATATGAATTTTAAAATTATTTTCTCTAGTTTATGAAGAATGTCAATGGTAGTTTGACAGAATTAGCATTGAATCTATAAATTGCTATGTGCAGTATGGCATTTTAGTGATATTGATTCTTCCTATTCATGAGCATGGATTTTTTAAAAAAATTGTTTGTGTCATCTCTGATTTCTTTGAACAGTGGTTTGTAGTTCTCCTTGAAGAGATCTTTCACCTCCCTAGTTAGCTGTATTCCTAGATATTTTATTATTTTTGTGGCAACTGTGAATGGGAATTCATTCATGATTTGGCTCTCTGCTTGACTGTTGTTGGTGCATAGGAATGCTAGTAATTTTTGCACATTGATTTTGTATCCTGAGACTTTGCTAAAGCTCTTTATCAAATTAAGAAGCTTTGGGGTTGAGACAATGGGGTTTTCTAGACACAGGATCATGTTGTCTGAAAACAGGCATAGTTTGACTTCCTCTTTTCCTATTTTGAGCTCTTTATTTCTTTCTCTTGCCTGATTGCCCTGGCTAGAATTTCCAATACTATGTTGAACAGGAGTGGTGAGAGAGGGCCTCCTTGTCTTGTGCCAGTTTTCAAGGGGAAGTCTTCTAGCTTTTGCCCATTCAGTATGATGGCTGTGGATTTGCCCTATATGGCTCTTATTATTTTGAGGTATATTCCTTCAGTAACTATTGATAGTTTTTAACATGAATGGATGTTGAATTTTATCAAAAGACTTTTCTGCATCTATTGATACAATCACTTGATTTTTGTCTTTAGTTTTATTTATGTGATGAATCACATTTATTGATTTGTATATGTTGAACCAACCTTGCATCTAAGGCATGAAGCCTACTTAGTCATGGTGAATAACCTGTTTGCTGTGCTACTAGGTTCAGTTTGCCAGGATTTTGTTAAAGATTTTTGTTAATGTTCCTCAAGGATATTGGCCTGAAGTTTTCTTGTTTTGTTGTATCTCTGCCAGGTTTTGGTATCAGGATGATGCTGGCTTCATAGAATGAATTAAGGAGGAGGCCCTCCCCCTCATTTTTGGAGGAAAAGTTTTAGTAGGAATGGTACCAGCTCTTCTTTGTACACCTGGTAGAATTTAGCTGTGAATTTGTCTAGTCTTAGGCATTTTTTTTTTTTTTTTTGGTTCGTAGGCTGTTTATTGGTGCCTCAATTTCAAAACTTGTTGTCGGTCTGTTTAGGAATTCAGCTTCTTCCTTGTTCAGCCTTTGGAGGGTGTAGGTGTCCAGAAATGTATTCATTTCTTCTAGATTTTCTAGGTTATGTGCATGGAGGTGTTGATAATATACCCTGATGGTTGTTTCTATTTCTGTGGGGTCAGTAATAATATCCATTTTGTTATTTTTCATTGTATTTATTTAAATCCTCTCTCTTTTATTCTTTATTAGTCTAGCTAGCAATCTATTTTGTTAATTTTTTTCAAAAAAATAGCTCCTGGTTTCATTGATATTTTGAATGGTATTTCATGTCTCTAACTCAGTTCAGCTCTGATTTTGGTTATTTCTTGTCTTCTGCTAGCTTTGAATTTGTTGCTTTGGTTCTCTAGTTTTTTTAGTTGTTTTAGTTGATCTGTCTAATATTGTCAGTGGGGGTTTAAAGTCTCCCACTATTATTGTGTGGGAGTCTATGTCTCTTTGAAGGTTCCTGAGAACTTGCTTTATAAATCTGGGTGCTTCTGTGTTGGGTGCATATATATTTAGGATAGTTAGATTTTCTTTATGAATTGAACCCTTTACCATTATGTATGCTCTACTTTGTCTTTTATGATCTTTGCTTGTTTAAAGTCTGTTTTGTCAGAAAGCAGGATTGCAACCCCTGCTTTTCTCTGTTTTCCATCTGCATGGTAGATTTTTCCTCTATCGCTTTATTATGGACCTATGTTTGTCACTGCCTGTGAAATAGGTCTCTTGAAGACAGTATACTATCTTGGTCTTTATCCAACAATAATAACAAAATTTCAGAAAAAATCATTAAAAATAAGTGAGACTTGAACAGATATTTCAGACACAAAAATAATCAAATAATCACTAATTTAAATCACAAGATGTTAAACAGTAGATGCAGACCAAAGAGACCAAAATGAAAAAGACTGACAATACTAAGTCTTGAGAAGGTTATAACTGGAACTATATATTCCGCTGCTAGTTTGAGGATAAATTTATGAAACAACTTAGAAAATATTTTGAAATTTCCTATTAAAAGTAAACATGCCTATGCCTTATAACTAAGCAGTTCCACTCTTTAATATAAAATTCAACAAAATAAGTGTATATAACCATGAAAAAATACACATATAGAAATAATTAACTTTATTAATAATAGCCAAAAACTTGGGGAAAAAATTTAAAAATGGATAACTATTTTTTGGTTTATTCATACAGTGGGTTATGATAAAACGATGAAGAACATGCTACTAAAATGAGTAAGAACGCAACCTAATCATGCAGACAAAATGTTGAATAAATTGAGTTGGAAACAAAATACTGCATACAGTATAATTCTCTTTATATGAAGGCAGAACTAATCTATGGTAGTGGAGGTCAAAATAATGGTTAACATGGTGGGGGTTACTGATTGGAAGGGAATCATAAAGGGTTCTCAGACATATGTTGTTCTGGGTTGTGGTTACATAGGTGTATCCATTTGTAAAAGACATATTGATTGTTACAAGTCAGACTTATTCAACACACTGTATGTGTTGTATTGTAATAAAAACAAATACCTTTAAAAATGTACACCATCCAGAGTAGTGAAATAAGGCCAGCTATGTAGCCAAAGTTCACTCCAAGCATATAGGAAATGGGCCACACCTGAGGAGAGAATGTATGAGATAATAAAACAACAAATGTTTTGTTATTACTTGAGTACAAGTAAAGTGTAATGCAAATATTTTACTATTAAAGCTTTACGTGCTTTCTCTAGAAAAATATAGAGCAGATAGGATTTACTAATAAATTAAACTGAGGCTTCTAATAAATCAAAGATCATTTCAAAGTTTTTGCCATTAGTAAATGGAAAAATGAAGTTGTTGTCTATTGAAGAAGATTGAAGGAAGAGCAGGTTGAATTCGGGTAAAGAGATTTAATCATGCTAATTTGGGAATATCTATTACATATTCTATGTAGAGAGTTAGCAGCTGGATATATATAAGTTTTGAGTTTGGTGAGCAGTCCAGACTTAAGGTAAGTTTTGCAGGATTATCACTGTTTTAGTAAGGGTTCTCAAGAGACACAAAACCAATAGGATGTTTGTATACACCCACACAAATACAAACACATATTTATATTTATAGATTTATATATTATAATATGTTTGTATTAAAAGGAATTAGTTCACATGATTATAGAGGCTAAAAAGCCCTCAGATACGCAGTGGCAAGCTGGAGACTCAGGAGAGCCAATGATATGTAATTTCATTCTGAGTCCAAAGGTCTGAGAACCAGAAGAGCCAGTGGTCTAAAATCCAACCCCAAAACCAGTTAGCTCAAGATACAAGAAGAATCAATGTTTCAGTCCAAGTTTGAAGGCTAGAAAACACCAGTGTTCCAGATCAAAGAATTAGGCAGAAGGAGTTTCCACTTACTCAATCTTTTTCTTCTATTCAAGTTTTCAGTTGATTAGATGAGGGTTGCCTATATTAGAAAGGGCAATTTACTTATATATAGTCTACCAATTCAAATAGTAATATCATCCAAAAACATCCTCACAGATACATTTAGAATAATGTTTAACCAAATATCTGGGCACTATCATGATCACCAAAGATTTAAGTTCATGAGAGTGGGTGATGTCTCCCAAAAAGTGATGCAAGAACTAAGCCCTGGACACTCTAATGTTTGAAGGCTCAAAAAATTAGCAATATTCAACTAAAGAAGTTTAGAAGGTGTGGCCAGTAAAGCAGCAGGAAATCTGAGAAAATGATATACAAGAGGGCAAGTGAAGTATTTCAAAAAGTTGAGATACAGCAACTTTGCCAAAAATAGTGGATGAGTGGAATGCAATGAGGCCAGAGATTTAACGCTTAGTTCACAGAGTTGGTTCAAGAAATGATCAAAGCCCTTTAATTTTGGCCATAATGGAATAATTTGAGGGGGCTTACAGGACTTAAGTCCATAAAGTACTAAAAATCTCGGTAAAATGTATAAAATAATTGTTTTCAAACATTGAATAACAGGAATCAGAGGACTATAGTTCCTTTAAAAAAAGGAAGTAAACTAAATGAATCCTATTCTACTGGCTTTCTGCCTTAAGGCCCTCCCTTTTCAGATAAAAATGAGAGGAGGGGAAACTCAAGCAGAGCTGAGATAGATTGGAATCCAGAAAAGCAGAGGCAGCTGGAACTGTGAACAGATACCAGTGACGAAGATGCTACCCAGAGAAAGACATAGAGAAATCTATAAAGGATTGAATCTGTCACTGAATAAAAACCCATACATAAGTAGCGTGGAATGTCTCAAGTCATAGCAAAGAATTATCAGAGAGCTGGAAACTGAACATTATCCAAAGATTGGGTGGTACATAGAGCTTGGAATGTTTGAGCTACAACCAGCCAGAATGAGAAGTCTTCAATGAACACCTGAAGCATTCGGTATATACCTCTGAAATGTACATTCTTAGCAGGAAAACTAAGCTGGCCCTAGTGTGAAAACTACTGTAAATGCTCTTCTACTGCCTTTCATGTCCCATTTGAATTGCTCTCTTAGCTGACTCTAACCGAAACCTGCAGCACTCAGCTTTAGTCAGAAGCAGTAGAGGCAAATGGAACACACATCATTCAGCACAAATAACACAAGTGACTTTCTTAGTGACACAAAATTCTTTAATGTAGTGTTTAATAGGTGACGAAACCATGATTATGTGTATACAGGAAAATAACATAGTATAAGACTAGTTACCTGTGGAAGGGTATTATTTACGTAGAGACCTTGTGGTAGTTATATAAGACTTCTAACATGGGACATGTAAAGGGCTTTTATCTGATTTAAAAGACAGAAGCAGCACCAAAAATACAGTAGAAGAAAAAGGGAAGGTAATAATAATTAGCTCATTTATTATACTGCTATATGTCAGTCACTATTCCAAATCTACTATGCATATTGACTCCCTTAAGTCTAACAGTAATCTATAAAAGTAAGTATTTTTATTCTCATTTTAAACACCACAAAAACTCTAGCACAGAGACACTAAGGAAATTGTCCAAAGTCACACAACTAATAAATGGCTGTATTAGTCCATTTTGCATTGCTGTAAAGGAATACCTGAGACTGGGTAGTTTATTTTTAAAAAAGATATTTATTTAGCTCACAGTTCTGAAGGCTGTACAAGAAGCATGGCACCAGCATCTGCCTCTGTTGAGGCCTCAGGAAGCTTTTACTTTTTTTACTTTTTTGCGGAAGGCAAAGGGGAGTCAGCATATCACATGACAAGAGAGGGAGCAAGACAGAGAGCAAGTAGTAGTTCTTTTTGACAATCAGGTCTTGCCATAACTAATAGACCAAGAACTCAATACCATGGGAGGGCACTGAACCATTCATGATGGATCTGTATCTAAGACCCAAACATCTCCTAGCAGAGTCCACCTCCAACTTTGGGGATCACATTTCAGCATGAGATTTGGAGAAGACAAATATCCAAACTATATCAATGGCTAAGCAAGGATTTGAACCCAGAAAGTACAGCTTCAGAATTTGTGGACTTAAAAATGATGACAAACTGTTAAACAGTGAAGGATATTGTAAAAGAGGAAACTGTGAGGCAAGCAGGTAAATCAACCATCAAAATAAAAAATGAACTCATTTTTATTTGTATTGAGGAGTTAATGGCTAATTTGAAAACAAATAGAGAATTTTTATAACATTTTGAAAAGAAATTAAATACACTTTTGGATTTCCAAGCTTAAAATATGTTTCTAATGATGAAATTATAGGTTGGCCATAAGTGTTTTTACAGAAATAGGAAATTTGGAAACTATTATAATTGTCTAAGTACATGTAAGATTCATCAGTGAGAATATTTAGGCATTATGTTCTTTAGGAAGAAGAAACAATATTTAAATATCCATTAAATACTTAGGCCTTTGCGTCTTTGAACATTTGCCCTAATCCTGCTGACTGGAACCCGCTCCCCATCCTTGGACTTAAAATCAACCACAAATCAGCTTCCCCTTCACTAAGCCTTTCCTTTTCCATTCAATAGATTCAGCCATTCTCTTTTTTTAACCACTTAATTGAGGTGTAACTGACATACAAAATTTATATAATTTTATGTGTTTGGGCATAAGTATGCACCCATTAAAACATCATCCCTAGCTATGCCATAAACACATTCATAATCTCCAGAAGTTTTCTCCTTCCATTTTTATTGCTTGTGTTACAAAAACACTTACCATAAGATCTACTCTTTTAGCAAAATTTTAAGTATACATTGTAGTATTATTAACTGTAGACAATTTGTGTACTGTACAGTAGATCACTAGGATTTTACTCACCTTGAAAAGCCAAAACTTTGTACTCTGATAACTCCTGTTTCCTCTGAGTCTTCACAGTAAGTACTTTGCTAACACCTCTATGTTAGTCGGTATCATTATATTGATATTATTTTTTAAATGTGTGCAGTGGATGCTGTGGTGCACTACCCTAGTATCCCTTTAGGACTGAGAGATTCATTCTCACAGTTGCAGGAATGTTTGCTTGTTGACAACTTGCAACTGTGTCCCTCTCTCAGAATTGCTTTCAGCTGAAAGAAACTGCCTTGCCCTCTGCCCGAGGGAATCCTACATCCAATAACTGTTTGATGCAGAAGTACAAAGGCCTGGCCCATTGGCTCCAATTGGGTATGACTCTGAAGGGGCATCCAAGCTTCAGAACTCCCTGGGGGATTAACTGAGTTTGCTGTTGCAACTGTACTATACTATAGTTCAGTGTCACCTTCTGCACAATGCAGCTTCATGGTTCTAACAAGAGCATTATCTGAGAAATCTGATGCATACAAAACTAAGGTGGCCTAAAGAAATTATCTTAGCCATGTGTCTGTCTTTACCATTAGACCCTGTTATTGGAAGGAAAAGACAATTTCCATTTTTTTTCCATGGAATAACTCATATCTAGCTAATATTTATTGGGTCCTTGCTATGGCTTAGGCATCATGATCTATAATTCTTCATACCAGTTCTTGAGATAGGTAATACCATATTTCAATGATGCTAAAACCCACTGATTATATAATGATTTATCAATTTGTAATTAGGGATGAGAGTGAAACAATTACATAACATATCACAGCACATAATCCTTATAAGCACATAAGAATATGTACTTTAGTTCACCTTTTTTTACATTTAGTGCTTCTCTATGGTCAGTAGAAGGAATCGTCTGAATATGTTCACCTCTTAGAAATCATCAGTATAGGTGGAGCCAAGATGGCAGAATAGGAACAGCTCCCGTCTACAGCTCCCAGCGTGAGGGACACAGAAGACGGGTGATTTCTGCATTTCCATCTGAGGTACCGGGTTCATCTCACTAGGGAGTGCCAGATAGTGGATGCAGGACAGTGGGTGCAGCGCACCATGCACGAACTGAAGCAGGGTGAGGCACTGCCTCTCAGGAAGTGCAAGGGGTCAGGGAGTTCCCTTTCCTAGTCAAAGAAAGGGGTGACAGACGGCACCTGGAAAATCGGGTCACTCCCACCCTAATACTGCGCTTTTCCAACAGGCTTAAAAAATGGCACACCAGGAGATTAAATCCTGCACCTGGCTCGGAGGGTCCTATGCCCATGGAGTCTCCCTGATTGCCAGCCCAGCAGTCTGAGATCAAACTGCAAGGCGGCAGCAAGGCTGGGGGAGGGGCACCTGCCATTGCCCAGGCTTGCTTAGGTAAACAGAGCAGCCAGGAAGCTGGAACTGGGTGGAGCCCACCACAGCTCAAGGAGGCCTGCCTGCCTCTGTAGGCTCCACCTCTGGGGGCAGGGCACAGACAAACAAAAAGACAGCAGTAAACTCTGCACACTTAAATATCCCTGTCTGACAACTTTGAAGAGAGTAGTGGTTCTCCCAGCAGGCAGCTGGAGATCTGAGAACGGACAGACTGCCTCCTCAAGTGGGTCCCTGACCCCCGAGCAGCCTAACTGGGAGGCACCCCCCAGTAGGGGCAGACTGACACCTCACACGGCTGGGTACTCCTCTGAGACAAAACTTCCAGAGGAACAATCAGGCAGAAGCATTTGAGGGTCACCAAAATCCGCTGTTCTACAGCCACCACTGTTCTGCAGCCACTGCTGCTGACACCCAGGCAAACGGTCAGGAGTGGACCTCTAGCAAACTCCAACAGACCTGCAGCTGAGGGTCCTGCCTGTTAGAAGGAAAACTAACAAACAGAAATGACATACACACCAAAAACCCATCTGTATGTCACCATCATCAAAGACCAAAAGTAGATAAAACCACAAAGATGGGGGAAAAACAGAGCAGAAAAACTGGAAACTCTAAAAACAGAGCGCCTCTCCTCCTCCAAAGGAACGCAGCTCCTCACCAGCAACGGAACAAAGCTGGATGGAGAATGACTTTGACGAGTTGAGAGAAAAAGGCTTCAGACGATCAAACCACTCCAAGCTACAGGAGGAAATTCAAACCAATGGCAAAGAAGTTAGAAACTTTGAAAAAAAATTAGACAAATGGATAACTAGAATAACCAATGCAGAGAAGTCCTTAAAGGAGCTGATGGAGCTGAAAGCCATGGCTTGAGAACTACGTGAAAAGTGCAGAAGCCTCAGGAGCCGATACGATCAACTGGAAGAAAGGGTATCAGTGATGGAAGATGAAATGAATGAAATGAAGCGAGAAGGGAAGTTTAGAGAAAAAAGAATAAAAAGAAATGAACAAAGCCTCCAAGAAATATGGGACTATGTGAAAAGACCAAATCTATGTCTGATTGGTGTACCTGAAAATGACAGGGAGAATGGAACCAAGCTGGAAAACACTCTGCAGGATATTATCCAGGAGAACTTCCCCAATCTAGCAAGGCAGGCCAACATTCAGATTCAGGAAATACAGAGAATGCCACAAAGATACTCCTCGAGAAGAGCAACTCGAAGACACATAATTGTCAGATTCACCAAAGTGGAAATGAAGGAAAAAATGTTAAGGACAGCCAGAGAGAAAGGTAGGGTTACCCACAAAGGGAAGCCCATCGGACTAACAGCGAATCTCTCAGCAGAAACTCTACAAGCCAGAAGAGAGTGGGGGCCAATATTCAACATTCTTAAAGAAAAGAATTTTCAACCCAGAATTTAATATCCAGTCAAACAAAGCTTCATAAATGAAGGAGAAATAAAATACTTTACAGACAAACAAATGCTGAGAGATTTTGTCACCACCAGGCCTGCCCTAAAAGAGCTCCTGAAGGAAGCACTAAACATGGAAAAGAACAACCGGTACCAGCCACTGCAAAAACATGCCACAATGTAAAGACCATCAAGGCTAGGAAGAAACTGCATCAACTAACGAGCAAAATAACCAGCTAACATCATAATGACAGGATCAAATTCACACATAACAATATTAACTTTAAGTGTAAATGGGCTAAATTCTCCAATTAAAAGACACAGACTGGCAAATTGGATAAAGAGTCAAGACCCATTAGTGTGCTGTATTCAGGAAACCCATCTCCCATGCAGAGACACACATAGGCTCAAAATAAAGGGATGGAGGAAGATCTACCAAGCCAATGGAAAACAAAAAAAGGCAGGGGTTGCAATCCTAGTCTCTGATAAAACAGACTTTAAACCAACAAAGATCAAAAGAGACAAAGAAGGCCATTACATAATGGTAAAGGGATCAATTCAACAAGAAGAGCTAACTATCCTAAATATATATGCACAATACAGGAGCACCCAGATTCATAAAGCAAGTCCTTAGTGACCTACAAAGAGACTTAGACTCCCACACAATAATAATGGGAGACTTTAACACCCCACTGTCAACATTAGACAGATCAACGAGACAGAAAGTTAACAAAGATACCCAGGAATTGAACTCAGCTCTGCACCAAGCGGACCTAATAGACATCTACAGAACTCTCCACCCCAAATCAACAGAATATACCACCACACCACACCTATTCCAAAATTGACCACATAGTTGGAAGTAAATCACTCCTCAGTAAATGTAAAAGAACAGAAATTATAACACTGTCTCTCAGACCACAGTGCAATCAAACTAGAACTCAGGATTAAGAAACTCACTCAAAACCGCTTAACTACATGGAAACTGAACAACATGCTTCTGAATGACTACTGGGTACATAACGAAATGAAGGCAGAAATAAAGATGTTCTTTGAAACCAACGAGAACAAAGACACAACATACCAGAATCTCTGGGACACATTCAAAGCAGTGTGTAGAGAGAAATGTATAGCACTAAATGCCCACAAGAGAAAGCAGGAAAGATCCAAAATTGACACCCTAACATCACAATTAAAAGAACTAGAAAAGCAAGAGCAAACACATTCAAAAGCTAGCAGAAGGCAAGAAATAACTAAAATCAGAGCAGAACTGAAGGAAATAGAGACATAAAAAACTCTTCAAAAAATTAATGAATCCAGGAGCTGATTTTTTGAAAAGATCAACAAAATTGATAGACCACTAGCAAGACTAATAAAGAAGAAAACAGAGAAGAATCAAATAGATGCAATAAAAAATGATAAAGGGGATATCACCACTGATCCCACAGAAATACAAACTACCATCAGAGAATAGTACAAACACCTCTATGCAAATAAACTAGAAAATCTAGAAGAAATAGATAAATTCCTCGACACATACACCCTCCCAAGACTAAACCAAGAAGAAGTTGAATCTTTGAATAGACCAATAACAGGCTCTGAAATTCTGGCAATAATCAATAGCTTACCAACAAAAAAAGTCCAAGACCAGATGGATTCACAGCCAAATTCTACCAGAGGTACCAGGAGGAGCTGATACCATTCCTTCTGAAAATTTCCAATCAATAGAAAAAGAGGGAATCCTCCCTAACTCATTTTATGAGGCCAGCATCATCCTGATACCAAAGCTGGGCAGAGACACAAACAAAAAAGATAATTTTAGACCAATGTCCTTGATGAACATTAATGCAAAAATCCTCAATAAAATACCAGCAAACCGAATCCAGCAGCACATCAAAAAGCTTGTCCACCATGATCAAGTGGGCTTCATCCCTGGGATGCAAGGCTGGTTCAACATTCGCAAATCAATAAATGTAATCCATCATATAAACTTAACCAAAGACAAAAACCACATGATTATCTCAATAGATGCAGAAAAGGCCTTTGAAAAAATTCAACAGCCCTTCATGCTAAAAACTCTCAATAAATTAGGTACTGATGGGACATATCTCAAAATAATAAGAGCTATCTATGACAAACCCACAGCCAATATCATACTGAACGGGCAAAAACTGGAAGCATTCCCTTTGAAAACTGGCACAAGACAGGGATGCCCTCTCTCACCACTCCTATTCAACATAGTGTTGGAAGTTCTGGCCAGGGCAATTAGGCAGGAGAAGGAAATAAAGGGTATTCAATTAGGAAAAGAGAAAGTCAAATTGTCCCTGTTTGCAGGTGACATGATTGCATATCTAGAAAATCCCATCGTCTCAGCCCAAAATCTCCTTAAGCTGATAAGCAACTTCAGCAAAGTCTCAGGATACAAAGTCAATGTGCAAAAATCACAAGCATTCTTATACACCAACAACAGACAAACAGAGAGCCAAATCATGAGTGAACTCCCATTCACAATTGCTTCAAAGAGAATAAAAAACCTAGGGATCCAACTTACAAGGGATGTGAAGGACCTCTTCAAGGAGAACTACAAACCACTGCTCAAGGAAATCAAAGAGGATACAAACAAATGGAAGAACATTCCATGCTCATGGTTAGGCAGAATCAATATCATGAAAATGGCCATACTGTCCAAGGTAATTTATAGATTCAATGCCATCCTCATCAAGCTACCAATGACTTTCTTCACAGAATTGGAAAAAACTACTTTAAATTTCATATGGAACCAAAAAAGAGACAGCATCGCCAAGTCAATCCTTAGCCAAAAGAACAAAGCTGGAGGCATCACACTACCTGACTTCAAACTATACTACAAGGCTACAGTAACCAAAACAGCATGGTACTGGTACCAAAACAGAGATATAGATCAATGGAACAGAACAGAGCCCTCAGAAATAATGCCGCATGTCTACAACCATTTGATCTTTGACAAACCTGAGAAGAACAAGGAATGGGGAAAGGATTCCCTTTTTAATCAATGGTGCTGGGAAAACTGGCTAGCCATATGTAGAAAGCTGAAACTGGATCCCTTCCTTACACCTTATACAAAAATTAATTCAAGATGGATTAAAGACTTACATGTTAGACCTAAAACCGTAAAAACCCTAGAAGAAAACCTAGGCAATTCCATTCAGGACATAGGCATGGGCAAGGACTTCATGTCTAAAACACCAAAAGCAATGGCAACAAAAGACAAAATTGACAAATGGGATCTATTTAAACTAAGGAGCTTCTGCACAGCAAAAGAAACTACCATCAGAGTGAACAGGCAACCTACAGAATGGGAGAAAATTTTTGCAACCTTCCCATCTGACAAAGGGCTAATATCCAGAATCTACAATGAACTGCAACAAATTTACAAGAAAAAAACAAACAACCCCATCAAAAAGTGGGCGAAGAATATGAACAGACACTTCTCAAAAGAAGACATTTATGCAGCCAAAAAACACATGAAAAAATGCTAACCATCACTGGCCATCAGAGAAATGCAAATCAAAAGCACAATGAGATACCATGTCACACCAGTTACAATGGCGATCATTAAAAAGTCAGGAAACAACAGGTGCTGGAGAGGATGTGGAGAAATAGGAACACTTTGACACTGTTGGTGGGACTGTAAACTAGTTCAACCATTGTGGAAGTCAGTGTGGTGATTCCTCAGGGATCTAGAACTAGAAATACCATTTGACCCAGCCATCCCATTACTGGGTATATACCCAAAGGATTATAAATCATGCTGCTATAAAGACACATGCACACGTATGTTTATGGTGGCACTATTCACAATAGCAAAGACTTGGAACCAACCCAAATGTCCAACAACGATAGACTGGATTAAGAAAATGTGGCACATATACACCATGGAATACTATGCAGCCATAAAAAATGATGAGTTCATGTCCTTTGTTGGGACATGGATGAAACTGGAAACCATCATTCTCAGCAAACTATCGCAAGGACAAAAAACCAAACACCGCGTGTTCTCACTCATAGGTGGGAATTGAACAATGAGAACACATGGACACAGGAAGGGGAACATCACACTCCGGGGACTGTTGTGGGGTGGGGGGAGGGGGGAGGGATAGCATTAGGAGATATACCTAATGTTAAATGACAAGTTAATGGGTGCAGCACACCAACATGATACATGTATACATATGTAACAAACCTGCACATTGTGCACATGTACCCTAAAACTTAAAGTGTAATAATAATAAAATTTTAAGAAAAGAAATCATCAGTATACACTTATATTCATAATTCAGCCTTATGACTTTGACTGATTTGGCATTATTCAAATTACCACCAAAACTCAAAATCACATCTAAAACACAGGGGATTTCTACTGCATTTTCTATATTGTGAAATTAATACAAGGTATTCCTTAATTAAAATTATGCTTTCCTAAAATTTAAACAGCACATCTAAAAAGTTAGCAGGAAATTTGAACAGATAGATATGCAACAACTCAATGATAGTTTCTTGTAATGCTTAAATCAACCACAACAACCTCTCTTATGTTAGAAAATTATAGGATATATTTTAAGTGTTCTGCCCATTTTTGCTCTAATTATACTACTTGGTATGTAATATTTATTACTCAAAACACACACAAGGACCCCCATTTCAGTGCTAAATTACTGTGTTATCATTTTGAGGATATTTAAAATAATAATTAGGAATTTAAATTTAAGTAAAACTTGTTTTGATGACATGTGCTGATATCAATGTAAATAAGTAAAATGAAATAGCAGTTGGATGAACAGGTTTTTTCTGTGTTTGGTTGTTTGCACACGTATGAGCAATAGCCAATACAGCAAAATTTGGACAAAATGTCAATTTTCACCTACTCTGACAGATGTATTTCAGCATTCAATTGACATTACTGTTAGATGCACCTTGATTTCAAAAAATTAAAATGTGAACATATTTTATAAGATGAAATGGGACATTGTTAGGAGGAGATTGAAGTTTGGAGAGTTTAAGTAATCTAAAATCTATATTATTGAATGGCAAAGCTGACATTTGAATGAGATCAGTCTGATCTTGATGTCAATGTTCTGAAGCCCTCTGAAAACTTATATTGGATCAATGAATAAATAAATACATTGATAATATAAACTTGATGGATTCAAGACAAAATATGATCTAAACATATTTCAGACCAATCTGTTGTGTTGTTTAAATTCAACTCCCTGTAATATTAAAAGAAAAATGGAACCTTGGAAAACTAGATAATTGACACTAGTCTGTTGATATAACGAAGAGAATAAAGGGTAATAACTGAAAGATAGCATTTGAGACATTGAGAAATGTGGGCTGAACCAAGAACAATTTGACAAGCTAAATGAAATTTTGTGGAATAAGATATATTGAGATCTATTTGCAAGTCTGTGTGCATTTTTTCTAAGATACGAAAATTAGCATTTTCACTCGGTAACTTTGTAGGTCAGGTAATTTTATAAGTATTTTTTTTAAAACATTGGTCATATCTAAAAAAAAATAAAACAATCATCAGAGACTTACATGAATTACTTCTGGAAATTTAAAGGTTAGCTATTTCAGCAAGAAACTCATGGACAAGATTCCTTAGGCAATGACTTGTTTCAAAGTGTGGCAGATTATATTGCTAGCATTAATCAGGCATGTGTATCATGATGTCTTACACAACTGCTTAAGGCCATCAGGCTTTATTTAGAAAATATATACGTGCATTTGGTTGTTTTCTTTTTTTTTAACTTAAGTGCATATAACTAAAGGGACATAGTCTTTTAGTAGAATTTTTTCTATTTTAGCATGAATGTTACTAGTGATTTTTAAAAACAAGATATGGTTTTATGATTCCCAGGAGTACAATGAAATTAGCTTTGTAATCTTGTCCAACTCTATTCATAAACTTTGGATTCAAAATCAATCTAAACATTTTCCAGAAAAGACCTCTTGATAATATTTGTCAAAAAATTGCTTTGTCAGGAATGTTGCACAGGAACCATATGTTTCCTTGGAGTAAGAAATGGTGTTAAATGTATTATTATACTATGAACAAAAGATATATCTGGATACTATTGTTTACCCTTATCCATACTTTTAGTTTAAACAGGTAAAAATGTCAACTCAAAATAGTACTATTTTTTATAACTACATGTAAATTAATTTAGCAAAGTATAAAGTAAAAAAAAGTCAATAAAACAAAATCACTTCCCTCTTCAACTTTTAGCAGTTCTCACTCACTCTGTAGAATATGAGAGTTATATTAATTGATTCTGTATTCCTAAATCTATCTAACATCTGCTGGATTTTAGGAGATAGTTTCGTGAGCAGACAAGTGCAAACTAGTGGGTAAGTTAAAGCAAATCATTTTAGCTTCACTTGGATTGGGAGGAAAAACTATCTGATTTTATAATTTTAAAGAATGATTCAAAGTCCATTTTATTTTTTGTCAGAACTTTTCAGATTGTAAAATTAATATTTGTAAACAAATGCTAAATGAATACATTTGAATCAGTTTGTTCCTTAGAAATAAGAGGAGTATGACTCACTGAAGGTTATATTGAGGGCTTGCTATCTGCTACCCCTTTATATGATGAGGAAAAAGGCTGCCTGTCTGTGCTTAATCATCATGTTATACAACTAAGGAAACATCATCATCACATCATCACCATCATCATCAACCTAGCAATAAAATCATTCCATAAAGGAGAATTTCCAAAAGGCTATATGTCTACTCTCAATGTCAAATACTGATTTGCAGAGGCTGAAGAAAGCATCTTGAATCTTTCACCTTTATACTTTTTTAAGGCTGAATTATAGATATGATGCGAGCCTTCTTCAGCATTACCTAGTGTCCACAAATAACCTCACTGCCTAGGAAAATACCAAGGTTATGTAGAATCCAAATGTAGTATAATTACATGAGAAAGTACTATCATAATAATAATTGGAAAACACAAGCTGTCTGGGTATTAACCAATACACATCTGTATAACTCATTGTCAGAATAATTTAAAACAGAAGATAGATATCTATTTTCCCTAGCTTTATTGAGATAAAATTGACAAAAAAATAATAATGCTATATTTTCACTATACAAATGTATTGATTTTATGTTAGTTTCAAAAGATCAGGAACGTTCCATTAGAAGAAATTACAACTGGTTAATATTTCATCATTGCCAAAGCATAATTTGCCAACTCTTTGATATATTTTTGAGTCTTGAAATACGTTCGCATATACATAGACTGAGTTTTAGGTACATAGCTTTTTCAAAAACTCTATATTGAATGAAAGTGTAAAACAAATTAAAGTCAACTTAAAGTTAATTATAGTTACTTGAAGCTTTTTTTTTAAAGACATGGGTGATGTACATTTGAGGACAATTATTTTATAGCTGTTTTAATGCCAATAGCTATAACCAATCTCTTTTGTTGATGGAATAAAAACAGCATGGAATAACAAAATAATCAGAGTGATTATATAACAATATGTCCTATATAAGTATGAAAAAAGCAGTGAAAGTTTATTGCTTATACAAATTAAATTAATGAACAATTATTTAATTAGCTGTTACTACCAGATGGGAAATATAATGGCAGGATGCCCAGACAATGTTAAGAAAGAGAAGCTCCATTTGAGTTAAAATTCACTGTACACTAACATTGTCCTGTATTTTCAGCATAGTACCCATGCAAAATATATATTTTTGTATTTATTACAACACTTAGATATATTTCTCTAAGGACATAAAAATGTATTCCACAGATGTAACAGATTCTTTAAGAGACAAGAAGGCATTTAGAAGCAGCAATAGTTTCTTTCTTTATTTTTATTTCTTAATTTTTTACTTCAGTGGCTTTTTGGGGTACAAGTGGTTTTGATTACATGGACGAATTGTATAGTGGTGAAGTGTGAGATTTTAGTGCACCTATTACCCTAGCAGTGTACATTGTTCCTAATATGTAGAGAAAGCTTGAAATTCCCGTTTTTAAAACCATCAGATTTCGTGAGGCCCATTCACTGTCACAAGAACAGTAGGAAAAAGACCCACCCCTATGATTCAATCATCTCCCACTAGGTCCCTCCCACATCACATGGGATTATGAGAGCTAGAAGATGAGATTTGGATGGGGACACAGAGCCAAAGCATATCGGATGTGGTGAAAAAGTAACACTTATACACTGCTGATGGGAAAGTAAATTAGCATAACCTCTACAGAAAACAGTATGGAGATTTCTTGAAGAACTAAAAGTAGACCTATCTACCCAAAGGAAAATAAGTCATTGTATATATATTAAAAAAAAATTCTACCTGCACATGCATGTTTATTGCAGCACAATCCACAGTTGCAAACATATGGAATCAACCTAAGTGTCCATCAACTGATGAGTGGATAAAGAAAATGTAGTACATATATGTCACTGAATACTACTCAGCCATGAAAAGAAATGAAATAATGTTTTTTGCAGCAATTTGACTGGAGCTGGAGGCCATTATTCCAAGTGAAATAACACAGGAATTGGAAACCAAGTACGTATATTCTCACTTAAAAGTTGGAACTAAGCGATGGGTAAACAAAAGTATACATTGTAATATAAAGAACAGTAATGACTGAGAAGTGAGGAGAGTGGGAGGTGATGAGAGATTAGGGTTTTGGGGAACAGGTGGTATTTGGCTACATAAGTAAGCTAAGTGGCAATTTGTGAGGTTTTGCTGCACCCATCACCCGAGCAGTGTGCACTGACCACAATTTGTAGTCTTTTATCCCTCACCCCCCACCCACCCTTTCCCCCAAGTCCCCAAAGTCCATTGTATCATTCTTATAACTTTGTATCCTCATAGTTTAGCTCCCACTTATGAGTGAGAACATACAATGTTTGATTTTCAATTCCTGACTTACTTCACTTAGAATAATAGTCTCCTATCCGGTTTGCTGTGAATGCCATTAATTCATTCCTTTTTATGGCTGAGTAGTATTCTACTGTATATACACAGCACAATTTCTTTTTCCACTCATTGATTGATGGGCATTTGGGCTGGTCCCGTATTTTTGCAATTGCAAATCGTGCTGCCATAAATATGCATGCACAAGTATCTTTTTTGTATAATGACTTAATTTCCTCTGGATAGATACCCGGTACTGGGATGACTGGATCAAATGGTAGTTCTACTTTTAGTTCTTTAAGGAATATCCATACTGTTTTCCATAGTGGTTGTACTAGTTTACTTTCCCACTGGCAGTGTAGAAGTGCTCTCTTTTCAGTGCATCCATGCCAACATCTATTATTTTTTGATTTTTTTTGATTACAGCCATTCTTGCAGGAGTAAGCTGGTATCATCACATTGTGATTTTGATTTGCATTTCCCCAGTTGTTAGTTATGTTGAGCATTTTTTCATATGTTTGTTGGCCATTGGGTATATCTTCTTTTGAGAATTGTCTATTCATATCCTTAGCCCTCTTTTTGATGGGATTGTTTTCTTCTTGCTAATTCGTTTGTCCACTTCTTATTAGGGTTGTTTGTTTTCTTATTGTTGAATTGTTTGAGTTCCTTGCAAATAAGTATGTTTACGTTGCTGTAAAACAGATCTGAACTTTTTTATCTTGCAAATTTAAAACTCTAAATCCATTAAACAACTCC
Organism: Homo sapiens; assembly: GCF_000001405.40. Lineage (NCBI taxonomy): Eukaryota > Metazoa > Chordata > Mammalia > Primates > Hominidae > Homo > Homo sapiens. The sequence goes on along the minus strand of NC_000004.12, from coordinate 104,316,069 downwards.
CTTTCTCTCCCTCCTCCCAAACCCGATAACTACCATTCTGCTTTTGTCTCCACAGACTTGACTTAGACACATCCTATAAAGTGCAGCCATACTTTATATGTATTTTACTGTTTGACTTATTTCATTTAGCATAATACTCTCAAGATTCATTCATGTAATAGTATGTGAAAAAAATCCTTCATTTTAAAAAATGAATTTTTTATGTACAGTCCCCAACTTACATTTTTTGACATTATAATATAATGGTGCAAAAGTGATATACATTTTATAGACACTATACTTTGACTATCCATATGACCATTCTGTTTCTCAATTTCAGTACAGTATTCAATAAAATTACATGAGATACTCAACACCTTATCATAAGACAGGCTTTGTGTTAGATTATTTTGCTGAAATGTAGGCTTGTCTACATTTTTATAAGTTTTCTGAGCACATTTAAGATAGACCAGGCTAAGGTATGATTTTCAATATGTTAGATATATCACGTGTATTTTCGACTTACAATACCCTCGAAATGATAGACTTGTTGGGCGATAACCCCATAATAAGTTGAGGAGCATTTGTATGTACTACATTTTGTTTATCTGTTTATCCATCTGTGAACATTTGGGTTGCTTATACCACTAGGCTATCATGAATGGTGCTGCCGTAAATACAGGGGTGATAATTGAGTTTACGCAGTGTTCTGTTTTAATTTCCTTGTCATTTCTTCTTCTGTACATTTTTGAGATTTTTTTACTTGCTAATATATTGATTATAATTAACATTCTAAATTCATAGCAATCTAATTTAAATTGATACAACTTAGTTGAAATAGCATAGACAAACTATGCTCCTTTGCTACCCTTTATATTGTTATTATTATTACTCATGATGTGTTTATATGTTATTTTATGATTAACATAGATTGAAATACATTTTTTGATTTTTTTTTAAATTATAAAAAATTTAAAAAGGAGTTATACACCAAAAATACAATAATTCTGGCCTTAATGTTTACTTTAACTTTTGCCTTACTAAAGTTCTCTATTTCTTTATGTGGCTTTAAATTACTACTTAGTGTCCTTTTACTTCAACCTGAAGAGCTCCCTTTAGCATTTTTCATCAGATAGATTTTATAAGCAACAAATTATGTCAAAAATAGTTACTCTCACATTTTTGAAAGATAGTTTTGCTGGATATAGAAATCCTGATAGTTTTTTTCTTTTCAGTTCTTTAAAAATATTACCCCTTGCTTCCTGGTCTCTGTTGTTTATAATGAGAAATATATTTTTATCTTGTAGTTGAATATACTTTGTATATGATAAGTTGCCTGTATCTTGTTGCTTCCATAATTCTTTAAATTTTGCCTTTGACACTTTGGAAATAATGTGTCTCAATGTGAAAATTAGTGTTTTTATTTTATTTTATTTATTTATTTATTTTGGAGCTTGTAAAGCTCCATGGATGTGTAGATTTGTAACCATTATCAATTTTTTTTTTGGGGGGGGATGGAGTCTCACTTGTTGCCCAGGCTGGAGTGCAGTGGCGTGATCTTGGCTCACTGCAAGCTCCGCCTCCCAGGTTCACGCCATTCTCCTACCTCAGCCTCCAGAGTAGCTGGGACTACAGGCACCTGCCACCATGCCCGGCTAATTTTTTGTATTTTTAGTAGAGATGGGGTTTCACCGTGTTAGCCAGAATGGTCTCGATCTCCTGACCTCATGATCTGCCCACCTCGGCCTCCCAAAGTGCTGGGATTACAGGCTTGAGCCACCGCGCCTGGTCTTCTTTTATGAAATGTGTAAAAATTTTGCTTTTATTTCTTCAAATATTAATTTCGTTCATTTATTCTCTCCAATTTATTTTTTAATTTTTGTGGGTGCATAGTAGGTGTATATATTTATGGGGTACATAAGATGCTTTGATACCGGCATGTAATGCATAATAATCAGGTTTTGGAGAATGGGGTATCCATTCCCTCAAGCATTTATCCTTAGTGTTACAAACGATTCAGTTAGGCTCTTCTAGTTATTTAAAAAATACAATTAAATTATTATTGACAAGTGTCACTCTGTTGTGCTATTACGTAGTAGGTTTTTTTAATTCTTTCTAATTCTTTTTTTTGTTGTTTGTAGCCAACAACCATCCCCACCTCTTCCCCAACCTGACACTATGCTTCTCAGCCTCTGGTAACCATCCTTCCACTTCTTATCTCCATAAATTCAATTGTTTTGATTTTTAGATCCCATAAACAAACGAGAATATGTGATATCTGGATTTCTGCTTTCTGTGCTTGGCTTATTTCACTTAACATAATGATCTCTAGCTTCATCCATGTGCTACAAAAACCATGAGGATGCAGATATCTCTTTAATAAACTGATTTTCTTTCTTTTGGATATATAACCAGAAGTGAGACTGATGGATTACATGGTAGCTCTATTTTCAGTTTTTTTCTGGAATCCCCAAACTGTTCTCCATAGTGGTTGTATTAATCTACACTTCCAACAACAGTGTACAAGGGTTCCCTTTTCTCCACATCCCTGACAGCATTTGTTATTTCCTGTCTTTTGGATATAAGCCATTTTAAGATGAGATGATATCTTATTGCAGTTTTGATTTGCATTTCCCTAATGATTAATGATGTTGAGCACCTTTTCATATACTGTATGCCATTTGTATGTATTCTTTTGAGAAATATGTATTCAAATCTTTTGTCCATTTTTTAACCAGATTATTAGGTTCTTTTCTTATAGAGTTGTCTGAGCTCCTTATATTCTGGTTATTTAACCCTTGTCAGATAGATAGTTTGCAAATATTTTCTCTCACTGTTGACTGTATCCTGCACTGTGCAAAACTTTTTTTTAACTTGATGTGATCCCATTTGTCCATTTTTGCTTTGGTTGTCTGTGCATGTGGGTTATTACCCAAGAAATATTTTCCAGACCAATGTCCTGGAGAAATTCCTCAATGTTTTCTTGTAGAAGTTTCACAGTTTGAGGTCTTAGATTTATGTCTTTAATTCATTTTGATTTGATTTTTGTAAATGGTGAGAGATAAAGGTCTAGTTTCAATCTTTTGCATGTTCATTTGAAGTTTTTCTTCATTTTTGATGTAGACACTTATAGCTATAAACCTCCCTCTTAGTTCTGCTTTTTCTGTATCCCATAGATTTAGGTATATTGTTTTCAAAATCATTTGTTTCAAGAAATTTTACAATTTCCTCCTAATTTCTTTATTGACCCATTTGTCAATCAGGAACATATGGTTTAATTTCCATTTGTTTAGGTCATCTCCAAAATTCCTTTCATTATTTATTTCTAGCTTTATTTCATTGTGGTTAGAGAAGATCCTTGCTGTTATTTAAATATTTTGAATGTTTTAAGACTTGTTTTATGACCTAATATATGATCTATCCTTGAGAATGATCCATGTGTTGAGGAAAAGAATGTGTATTCTTTACTCATCAGATGAAATGTTCTAAATACCTATTAGATCCATTTGGTTTATAGTGCAGATTTAGTACTCTGTTTCTTTGTTGATTTTCTGCCTAGAAGATCTGTTTAATGCTGCAAGTAAGGTGTTGAAGTCTCTAGCTATTATTATATTGGAGTCTCTCTCTTTAGCTCTAATAATATTTGCTTTATATATCTGGATGTTCCAGTGTTGGGTGCATATATACTTAAAATTGTTACATCCTCTTGCCAAATTGACCCATTTATCATTATATACTGTCTGGGAGCTAGGACCTAGAACAGGGTTCTCATGGCTCTGACTAGTGTCCTATCCTGCAGTAGGTGAGCTGGTCTCCAAGGTGCAATGCAAAGTCCTTTCCACTCTTCTCTCTCCACTCCTCAGGAAGAAGAATGGGGTCTCTTTTGAAGCTGTGAACTGTGCAGTCTGGTGTTAGGGTAGGGGTGATGCCAGCACTTCCTTAGCTACCCTGGCTGGTGTCTCAAGTACGTCATATGTTCCCATTCCCCTTACTCCCCATCCCATCACCAATGCACTGGCACTGGACCTGGACCAAGTTCGGCACTCAGACTCACTGAGCAGTTGCATTCTTTGTGGCGTAGACTACCATTCACCTTTAGTTAGAGCCCCAGAACACTGTAACCCATAGTGGTGAGGTTTGTGAGAACCCAGGTTCCAGTCACTGAGATCGGTGATTCTCCTGTGGCTAGGGCTGGTTTAAGTGCTCCCTCTGTGAATGAACATCAGCTGAGTTTGGTCTGGTTTTGTTTTCTGTTATAATAGGGCAGCACTGAGTTCAGTGCTTCATATTTGCTGCACTCTCCCTCTCCCAAGTCAAAGAAAGGCTCTGTGTGCCATGCCAACACTGCCAGATGATGGGGCAAGGTGGGAATCTGTGATTTAAATTTTTTTTTCCTACCTCTTCAGTGCCTCTTTCAGTGATATGAAGTGAAAATCAGGTACTGTGAGTACTCACCTGATTTTTTATTCTTATGAAGATGCATTTTCTGTGTAGATAGTTGTTAAATTGGTGTCCTTGCCGGGGGAATAATAAGTGGAACCTTCTATTTCACCATCTACCTCCCGCATATTTTTTACCCATTTTTTGCAGGTTTTCAGAGGGAATAATTTAAACTGACCTATTTTCCAAGTTTTCTGATTTGTTTTTCTGCCTGCTTAAAATTTCTACTGTTTTAAATTTCAGTTATTGCTCCTTTTAGTATCAGAATTTTCATTTGATTCCTTTTTATAATTTTATTTTCTTTGCTAATATTCACTGTTTTTATATCATTCTTCTATTTTACTTTATCTGTGGTTTCCCTTACTCTTTGAGCATATTTAGTATGGTTGATTGTAGTTTTTGTGTAGTAAGTCCAATGTCTACAATTTCTCAGGGGCAGTCATTTGTGCATAGCCTATACTTTCTTTTTAATTTGCATGCTTCATTTTGTGTGTGTGTTTGAAGACTGAACATATTGAGTATTATAGGGGGTATATCTAAAAGTTAGATCCTTCTCTTTACCCAGGATGTGTTTCGTTGCTTCATGTGTGCTATAGCTCTTTGTTTAATGTATTTTGGTGAAGCCAAGTTTTTTTTTTCTTTTTTTATGTATGACCTCTGAAGTTTTTGTTTCTTTAGGTTGTGCAATGCTTTTGATTTCAGAGATTGGCTTGACCTTCAAAAGCCCCTCTTCCCCAAAGAAATTGGAGAAGAAAAAGAGAGAAAATAGAGATGGGGAGAAAGAGAGAATAAAGAATAAAAGAAAGAAAAAAAAGAAAATTATCCCAATCTTTGCATGTTGCAGGTTGACTCTCTGCCGGATCACTTCTTCAATGCTTAACTAGGTTGTTTAAAAATTAGTGTTTGCCCTCATTTCCAACTTGTTTTGAGTCTACAGAAAGTCAGAGGGAAATCTCAGGATCTTCTCAGGCCTTTTCTGAGCATTCATTTTGTGTTAGGTAGGTGCATTGCTTTCTAACTTCCTCCGTATATGCAGGCACTTTTTGAATAACCTAATTTTCCAAAGAAAAGTCTCTCCATAGCTTATCCTTCAGGATTTCATTGCCCTCTTGTTTGACACATTGTAATCTTTTGCCATAGGCAGCTGCTGGATGTTTCTTTGTCTTATGTTGGTTTTGAGGAATGCCTCCCACTTTTCTGCCCTTAATGAGTTTTGAGTTAGCCAACACAAGGTAAGGGCTTGCAGCAGTCCTTCAAGTAGCCCTGACAGTTAAGATCAGATAAGCATAGTTCTTTGAGAATAAAGTCTGGTCTGTTCCTTCTGGAACCAGATACCAGTGTCCTATAGCAGGGACACAGCTTACCATCTTCATGACTGTTATTGTGCCAGAAGGTGGGGTGGGGCGGGGGGACACAAGGGCAAGTAAAAATGCCACAAGGCTTTCCTGATGTTTTCAAGTTGTATTTTTCTTGATTAAGCATTCTTGGTTGCTATGTTTTACCATAGTTCCAGCAAAGTTGATTCTGACAGTTTTTGCTTCAATTTTTCATCTTTCTGTGGAAAGACGGACTCTTGGACTTCTTTACTCTGCCGTCTTTGCTGACATGGATTTATGTATTTTAAATAGCTATGTTCTATTTGTAGTGGATCTGTGGTTTGTTACACAAATGCTCCCACCAAAACCATGACACTTACTTCTCAGATCTCAAGGTGTTTACTGCAGATGAGTCAGACCTAAATCCTTTCCTCAAAATTTCTCTCAGCTGAAGTACAACATCTGTCTTAAGTTTATACCTCACTGCGGGGGTGCTCATATTTAATGATTGGTCAGTAAAAACGAACAAAAACTTGATCCTTTTGCCAAGACATCTGACAATCCAGAAATTCAGGAAAACTGAGAATATACCATGCCTTCAAATTATGAGATTGCTGAGCTTTTCTTACCCTTTTATGGATATTGTTCACTTCCCAATAACTTTTAGACCAAAATGAAGTCTCAGCTGCTACTTCCTGGCACATATGAGATAAAGCAATACTTGCATTCAAACGTTAAATTTAAAAACCTGAGGAAAATAAATTCCGTTCATGTTAATTTGCACATTTTGCATTCCTCTTTACATCTGGCCATTATCCATTATTTTTCTAACTTCTTACAAAATTTAATGTTTTAACAAAAATCTTCTAGGCTAGTTGTCAAGTTTTATTGTTTATATTACTTATATTTTCCCTTATTGAAAATCAGAGAGATTTACCTGTATATATTCTTTATAAATTTATTTCAAATTTTTTCGTTGATAATGTATGCATGCTGTTCTCATGATAGTGAGTTCTTGAGAGATCTGGTTGTTTAAAAGTGTGTAGCAGCTCCCTGTTTTCTCCTGCTCCCACTCTGTGAGACACCTTGCTCTCCTTTCGCCTTTTGTTATGAGTGGAAGCTTCCTGAGGCTTCCCTAGAAGGACAAGCTGCCATGCTTCTTGTATAAGCCTGCAGAACTCTGAGCCAATTAAATCTCTTTGCTTTATAAATTACTCGGTCTCAGGTATTTCTTTACAGCAATGTGAGAATGAGCTAATACACATATCATATTATATAGCCTAGATTTTTGTCATTACAAATTCTATAACACTTTCTCTCTCTCCAAAACAGAGAGATCTCTGGTTTTTCCAGCAAATTCCTGCAAACACACCAACTACACAAAGCTTATGTCATCTTTGAAAACAATCTTTTCATTTTAGAATGGTTTTAAACTTATGGAGAAATTGTGAAGGTAGTACAGAGAATTACCACATATCCTACCACCAGTTTTACCTATTAATGTGTAGTATTAGTATGGTATATGTTTCAAAACTAATGAATCCAATATGGATATACTATTATTAACTAAAGTTTATATTTTATTCAGAATTCTATAGTTTCTTCCTATTGTCTTTTCTGTTCTAGGATCCCATCATAGATACCACTTTGCATTTACGCATTATGTCTCAGGCTCCTCTTGTCTGTGATAGTTTCTAAGACTACTTATGTTTGAAGACCTTGACAGTTTTCAGGAGTACTAGGCAGGTATTTTGTAGAATGTCTCTCAGTTGGGATTTGTCTGATGTTTCTCTCATGATTAGATGGAGGTTATGTGGTTTTAGAAGGAAGACCACAGAGATAAAGTGCCAGTCTCTTCATATCATATAAAGGGTATATACTATGAACATGACATATCACTGTTGATATTAACTTTGATCATCTTGCTTGAGGTAGCATTTGGCAAGTTTCCCTACAGTAAATTTACTCTTTCTCTCTTTTTCCATATTGTATTCTGTGGAAGGAAATCACTCTAGCAACTCACACATAATGAGAAAAAAGCTATGCTGCCAATATGGGAGATCTACATGAATTCTTTGGAATTCTTCATAAGACAATTGTCAATTCTCTCTGCACTTATTTATTAATGTAATTATTTTTGTATAAGTATGAACTCAAGGGTATAGAATCTATGCTTTGAGTTATGATGTGGTACTAAGTTATTCTGTGGCTCAAATTTTTCCAGCTTTAGCCGTTGGGATTATTTCAACTGGAAATTAGATTACGTATTTCTTTGCCTACCCATCATTGTGGGTGTTATTGTGTTGGTTTTTTTTTTTTTTTTTTTTTTAGTACTTTCTCACTCTCTGGAATTATAAGATTCTCCAGACTCATCTCGTACATTTCCTCTCACAGTTCATTTCTCCAAGGAACACTAGTTCCTTTCAATGAAGCATGCTATTAAAACTAAGATCTGAGTACTGGTTGTGCTTGATACTACAAGGGTGTTGTTGCTTCTAGATCTCTCAATACATTGAGTGGATAATATGTGTGAATATATATAATATGTGTGAAAATATATATATGCAAGTAAAAATTCCACAATTCTTTCCTAATGTTTTCAAGTTGCATTTTTCTTGATTAATCATTCTCTTGATTGCTATACATTATTTACTATAGTTCTGGCAAAGTTGATTCTGACAGTTTTTGCTTCAATTTTTCATCTTTCTTTGGAAAGACAGACCCTTGGACTTCTTTACTCTGCCATTTTTGCTGACATCTGATTTATGTATTTTAAATAAATATGTTCTATTTGTAGTGGATCTGTTGTGTGTATATATATATATATATATATATGTACACACACACATATATATACACACACCCACACACATATATATATATATGGGTTGGTATTCATACATGTTATCCCCTCAATGTGTTGAGAGATCTAGAAGCAACAACACCCTAGTAGTATCAAGCACATGTATAATATATATATATAGTGTAAATATTTCTGCATTCTACCATCTGCACTGGTATTAAACTAAAAATAAGTTCATTTTGATGCAATCAACCGTAATTTATTACCACCTAGATATTCTAGCTTTCTCTCCTTGTTTATCTGTAACTTCTAAATCCAATAGTGAGAAAACTGGCTCCCACCATTTTTTGTACATTTTCTAAATTGTTCGATTTCAGTAAACTTACATTGTGGTTTCAGAGTTGTCTACCCACACCACATGGGAAACAATGTTAATCAACTAGAGTACAGTCCTTATATACAGTTCCTTTTGAATTTAGTTTTGCAGATTAAACTCATTTTCAAAGTTACTTAGGTCGGAACCTGATTTCTCTACCTCCGTCAGTGAGGTGTTTAATAACTCTGTCATCCACTTAGATTTTCTTGTCACGTTCTGCATCCCATTTGGGGTTTCCCAAATCTCCTAAATAATTTTTTAATTTGCATAAATTAAACTATGTCTTTTATGTTATGTCTATGAGATTTGGCAAATAATTAAAATTTTAAACTTACCATATCAATACCATAGAGAATACTTTCACTACTCTAAGAAACTCCCCTGTACTTCAGCTATTCAACCACTCCCCTTTCCCTGAAACTGGCAACCACAATTTTTACCTTCTGTAGAGTGTCATCTTTTCCAGGATGTCATATGATTGGAATCATAAAATATTTAGCATCTTCGGACTTTTTTCTTGCACTTAATATATACATTTAAAAATTATCCATAGCTTCTGCACAGCAAAAGAAATATCAGCAGAGTAAACACACAACCCACAGAGTGAGAGAAAGTCTTTTTAATCTATACATCCAAACAAAGGACTACTATTCAAAACCTGTAAGGCACTCAAACAAATGAGCAAGAATAAAAACAATCCCATAAAAAAGTGAGTTGAGGACATGAATAGACAATTCTCAAAAGAAGATGTACAAATGGCCAAGAAACATGAAAAAATGCTCAACATCACTATCAGGGAATCAAAACCACAATGTGATACCACCTCACTCTTACAAGAATGGCCATAATAAAAGAAAAAAATAAAACAGTTGTTGGCATGGATGTGGTGAAAAGGGAACACTTTTATACTGCTGGTGGAATGTAAACTAGTACAACCACTATGGAAAACATTATGGAGATTCCTTCAAGAACTAAAAGTAGATCTACCATTTGATCCAGCAATCCTACTCCTGGGTATCTACCTAGAGGGAAAGAAGTCATATATAAAAAAGATACTTGTACATGCATGTTTATAGCATACAATTTGCAATTGCAAAATTATGAAACCAGCACAAATGCCTATCAATCAATAAGTAGATAAAGAAAATGTGGTACATATATACACCATGGAATACTACTCAGTCATGAAAAATAATGAAATAATGGCATTCACAGCAACCTGGATGGAATTGGAGACCGTTATTTTAAGTGAAGTAATTTAGGAATGTAAAACCAAACATCTTATGTTCTCATTTGTAAGTGGGAGATAAGCTATGAGGATGCAAAGGCATAAGAATAATACAATGGACTTTGGAAACTCAGCGGAAAGGGTGGGAAGGTGATGAGGGATAAAAGTCTACACATTGGGTATAGTGTACACTGCACTTCAGGTACAAAATTTCAGAAATTACCACTAAAGAACTTATTCATGTAAACAAACACCACCTGTTCCCCCCAAAACCTATTATCCATATCTGTATGTTACTTTATTTCTTTTTATTTTAAAACAATATTCCACTGTAAGATATGCCACATTTTGCTTATTCATTCACTTATTGAAGTACAACTTGATTGCTTCTAGTTTTTTGGTAACTATGAATAAAGGTGCTCTAAATTTGCATGCAGTTTTTTTTATTACTGTTGAGTTTTATGAGTTTATTTGTATTTTGTATACACATTCTTTGTTACATATGTGTTTTGCAAATATTTTATCCCAATCTGTGCTTGTCTTTTTACTAACAGTGTCTTTTGCAAAGCGAAACTTTTTAATTTTAATAAAGTTTAACTTAACAAATATTTGTTTCCTTCATGAATCATGCTATTGGAATTTTACTTTAAAAGTTCATCAACAAACTCAAGGTCACATAGATTTTTCTAGTATGTTTTCTTTATAAATTTTGTTAGTTTTGCATTTCACATATAGGACTATAATACAATCTGAATTAATTTTTGTATAAAATGTAAAGGTTTATGTCCAGTTTTTTTTTCTTTTTTTTTTGAATATACAACCATTTGTTTTCACTCTTTGTTAAAAAGACTATTCTTCCTCCATTGAAATCAGTGCCACTACTTAATTGTCACAGAGCAGTTGATTATACTTGTGTTGTTATATTTACAGTTGTTCTACTCTTTGCCACCTCACCAATGTGTCTATTCTTTCATCAATTCCAGAATGTCTTGATTATTGTAACCTTATAGTAAGTCTTAAAATCGGCTGCATAAGACCTCCAACTTTGTCTTTTTCTTCTATATGGTATTTGCTATTCTAGGTCTTTTGCCATTTTATTTTAAATTTAGAATTGGTATGTTGATACCTACAAAATAGCTTGCCAGCATTTTGGATGGAATTGTGTTAAATATATATTACAAACTAGAAAGAATTGACATCTTAACAACATAAGTCTTTCAATCTATGAACAAACAATGTCTCTTCATTTGTTTACAATCTTTGATTTCTTTCATTAGAGGTTGGAGGTTTTTTGCACTCACATTTTGTATATATTCTGTTATACTTATCACTAGGTATTTCTTTACTTTTGGTATTATTTTAAATAGTATTAAAATCAAGTGCCAAGTGTTTATTGCTGGCATATAGAATATAAAATCACTTTTGTGTATTAATATTATATCCTATAGCCTTACTCTACTCAATTATTAGTTCCAGGAGATTTTTTTTCAGTTATTTAGAATTTTCTACATAGAAAATTATGTCATCTGTGAATAGAGACAATTTTACTTTTTCCATCTTAATCCATATATATGTGTGTGTCTCATCTTACTGTATTTGTCTCATCTTACTGTATTAGCCAAGACTGACAGTATGATGTTAAATAAGAATTGTGAGAGAGAATATTTTTACATTTTTTCCTTGTTCCCAATGTCCTTGGGAAAGTTTCTATTTTTCCACCATTAAGTATGATGTTAGAAGTGGATATTGTGTAAGTTTTATCTATCAAGTTGAGGAAGTTTCCTTCTACTACTTGTTTGCTGGGAGGTTTCTTTTAATCATGAGGGAGTGTGGGATTTTAATTTTTTTAAACAATTGATATGATCGTATAAGTTTTCTTCTGTAGTCTATTGATTTGGTGGATTACATTGTTTGATTTTCAAAGGGTCCCAGCCTTGCATACCTGGAATCAATCCAACTTTATTGTGTATCATGGTGTATAATTATTTTTATAATGTAAAGGGTCAAGTTTAGTAATATTTTGTTGATAATTTTGCATATATCATCATGAGAGATATTGATATGTGGTTTTCCTTCTTGCAATGTTTTGATATTAGAGTTAATAATAACCTCAATGAATGAGTTAGAAAGTGTTCTTTATTTTTTGCATAATTTGACATACTTTCTTCTTTATTTATTGATATAATTTTTCAGGTGAAACTATTTAGCCCTTGTGTGATTTTTTTAGGAAGTTGTTAATTATTGACTTAATTTCTTTAGTAGATAGATATAACACTATCTAGGTTATCTGTTTCCCCTTGTGTGATTTTTGGTAATTATGTCTTTTGAGTAATTGGTCCATTTCATTGGAATAATCAAATAATGAGCATAGAGTTTTTCATAGTACCCTATTATTCTTTTCATATCCATGAGATTATAGAACATAGTTTGTATGATTTCTATTTCTGTTAATGTGTGCTTTATGACCCAGAATGCAGCCTATTTTGGGCAAATGGTCTGAGCTTGAGAAGCATACATGTAGTGGTGTTGTTGCATAAAATATTCTGTAAATATTAATTGGATAAAGTTGATTTGAGTGCTCTTCAGGTCAACTATACCCCTATTTATTTTGTTGCTCTTGATCTATCAGTTACGGAGAGGAAAGAGTTAAGTATTCAATTATAATTGTGGGTTTTTCTTTTTTCTTTTTTTTCTTTAGCTCTGTAAGATTTTGTTTCACATATTTTGAGGATCTGTGTCTAGATGTACATGCATTTTGGCTATGAACAAAACTTCTCTGAAAAGGAATTTAGAGAAAGAGACTTTATTTCAGTAAACAATTTGCAAATCAGAGAGACACAGCTTTTGGTGTAAAACAATAGTGTGCTCCAGTGAACAAAGGGAGAGTCTGTCTTTTATACAAAGCTCCAGTGTAGGTTTCCATATGCAAATGAAAGATTCAAATTTGCTTAGTTCTGATTGGTTGATAGTTTTGAGCTCTGATTTGTTGATGTTTGCCAAATTCTGATTAGTCAATGTAGGTCGTAGCTTATTGGTTGGTTCAGGTGGCATAAATAGAAACAGCTAGCTAAGAAAGTCCCAAAGATAAGGAGGCATGTGGGTTCTCTAGGAACTCAGAGCATGTGTGTAACCTCTTGTCAACAAATGGTCATTTGCCTGTCATTTGATTTTAGGCCCAGTTAGCCACTCAGAATACCTCTTGAGGGATTGAGGGACTGTCTCTTTCAGGGTTCACGCTATTCAAGCATTTAAAAAATTAGTTTCAACTTGCTATATCTTTCTCCAGCCCTTTACTTTTAGTCTACCTGAGTCTGTATGTTAAAAGTGGGGTTGTGGTAAACAGCATACTATAGTTGAGTCTTGTTTTTTAATCCACTCTGACAATCTTTGTTATTTTATTGATATTTTTAGACAATTCATATTTAAAGGGATTATTGATATGTATGAAGCAATGTTAACAATGTTTATGTTTTCTATTCATTACTAGAGGTTTTACTTATTTATTTATTTTCATGCTTTCTCCAAATTTAATGAAACCTTTTATATAATCCCACTTTATATTATCTTTTAGTTTATCAATTATACTTATTTTATAAATATTTTAATGGTTATAATTTATATATTCCATATATTTTAGCTAATCTATTTTAAAACAACACTATAAAATATTTTGTTTTACCTTCATTTATTCCATCCTGAATACTAGTCCATTCTTTAGTCCTGTTTTTGGTGCATATTAATTATCTTCTTTCTTTAGAAAATATTTTAAATTTTTCTCTATTACCTTTAATATTTTTATCATGACATTAAAAATTCTTATTTTCTGTTAAAAAAACTTTTTTATCTTTTTTTGCGGAGCAAGTCTGCTGTTGATAAATTTCCTCAGTTTTTGTTTCTCTGAGAAAATTTTAATTTCTCTTTTACTTTTGAGGAACAATTTCAGTCGATATGGAATTCTGGCTTGGTAGGTTTTTCTTTCAACAATACATATTTCACTTCATTTTTAATTCTTAAGCTCATAAATATTATTCAGAAGGTAACATATTCTGTTTTTCCCCAGATTTATTGAGGTATAAATGACAAATATAATTTTATATATTTAAGATGCACAATGTGATGTTGTAATATACATATACATTGTGGAATAATTACCAAAATCAAGCTGATTAACATATTTATCATCTCATAGAGTTTCCTTTTTTATAATTGTGAGAATACTTAAGATCTACTCTATTAGCAAATTTCAAGTATACATTATCATTAATTATAGTTACCATACTATACATTAGGTCTTCAGAACGTATTTATCTTATAACTGTAAGTTTGTACCACATGGCCAGCATCTCACTATTTTCTTCACCCCCTTACTCCTGTTAATGATTTTCTACTCTCTCATTCTATGAGTTTGACTTTTGAATATTTCACATATAAGTGAGATCATGCAGTATCTGCCTTTATGTGCCTGGTTTATTTCACTTAACATAATGTCCATCAGGTTGATTCATCTTGTTGCAATTATCAGGATTTTCTTCTATTTAAGGAAAAATTATATTACATCACACACACACACACACACACACACACACTACATTTTCTTTATCCATTCATTCCTTAGCACTTAGTTTGTGTCCATATGTCATATGTTGGCTATTATAAATGATGCTGCAATGAATATGATAATGCAGATAACTCTTTGAGTTAGTAATTATATTTATTTTGTGATATATAACAGAAGTGAAATTACTTGATCACATACTAGTTATCTTTTTAATTTTCTGAGGAAACTTCATACTGTTTTCTATAATGGCTATGCCAATTTACATTCCTACCAAGTAAGGGCTCCCTTTTTCCACACCTTCACCAACACTTGTTATCATTTGACATTTTGAAAATAGCCATTGAAATACATGTGAGGTGATATCTTGTTGTGGTTTTGCTTTGCATTTCCCTGATGATTATTGATGCTGAGCATTTTTTTCATATACCTTTTGGCCATTTGTATGTCTTCTTTTGAAAAAATGTCTATTCATATCCTTTGACCGTTTTTTCATTGGCTTATTTTTAATTAAGTTGTACAAATTACTTAACTGTTTTTTTTCTCACATGTTTTCTTTGGATAAATCTGCTGTAATTTTTATCCCTTTTCCTCTATAGGTATGGTTTTATCTTTTCCTCTGGCTTCCTTTAAGATTTTATCTTTGTCTTTGGATTCCTACAGTTTGAATTTTCTATGCCTTGGGGTGTGCATATGTTTGTGTGGTTTGTTTTTTGTTTGTTTGTTGATATTTATCCAGCCTGATGATCCCTTTCTTAATTTGGGTTTTTGGTTTGTCATTTTTTGAAAAGTTCTTGGCTGTCATTGCCTTAAATATTTCTACTCCATTCTCTCTTTTCCTTCTGGTATTCGATAATGAATACATTATATCTTTTGAAATTGTCTCATAGTTTGTTAATCTTCTGTCCTGGGGGTGTGTGTGTGTGTGTGTGTGTGTGTGTGTGTTTGTGTGTGTGTGTTCTCTTTTCTTCCTTTTCCTCTTTACCATTCAATTTCAGTGTGTCTATTAACAAATCATCATACTCACTGAATCTTTCCTTAGCTATGCCAAATTTACTGAATAACTCACTGAAGGTGTTCTTCATTTCTGTTATAGTGTTATCTTTTTTTGTTTTGTTTTCTAGCTCTTCCTTTTAACTGTTAGACTTTTCATCTCTCTGTTTACATCATCCTTTTGTTTTTCCACGTTGCTTACCTTCCTATTACATCACTTGACATTATTTATTAAGTTATTTTTTATTGTTTCTGATAACTGTAATATCTGTGCTGTATCTGAGTTTTGTTTTTGTGATTTTTCTATTGTGACTGTGTTTTTGTCTTTTGGCTTACCTCGAAGTTTCTGTTGTTTTATTGCAAAAGTTTATGACTCCAAGGTTTCTGTCTAGGTAGGCAAATCTCTTCTGTGGTTTAGCTATGAACCTGTCTCTAAATATTTTGATGTGGTAGTTTCTTTCTGCAACATCAGTTCTTTGATTGATCCAACAAAAGTCATTTATTTCATGTTTTTCCAGTGTTTTCTCATAATGGTAGGAATGATGACTTTCAATTGTTTTATATATTATAGTTGAAACTGGAAATTCTTCATGCCTTTGTAGACCCATAATCATTTTCTCCTATGACCTGTACTTTAACTTTTACCCCTTCATATTTGCCCATTTTGTCTTATACAGCTTCAATTCCATAGACAGACAGCTATTATAATCACTCTTAAGCATAAACCATGAATATCTTAGACCCATTATTTTCTGCTCATTTGGGCAACCTCAATTCTTCTTCTTGAATCCAACTCTGCCTACTTGATGCAGCAATTCATGTTCAATTCATGTCGAATTGAATACGTTTAGACATTAACATGACATTCTGTTACCTTATCTCATTTTAAATGCATTACTAATGCTTTCAAATGGATCTAATATTACCCATTATATTTCCTCCAGTCCATTCACTCTCTGATACTCCTGAGTAAAAACTTAGTGCTTTCTTTCCCTAGCCTCATCCCTCAAAGCTGCCATGTCTTCTTTTTATTTTTAGTTCCAGCAATATAAAGAGGATTTTCATGAGGTTCCCTCCACAACATCTAATCACTTACTCCCATCTGAACTTACATACTCTGCCTTCTCTCTAGATGATATGGATAAACTTTAGTGCTAGAAAAGGGCAAAACCTCTCTATGCACAGGGTACCATTCCTGCAGAACTATGTAATTACTCCAACAATTTTATCTGCTTGTCCCTGCGTCATCTCTTTTCCTCTTTCTACCAAAAAAATTATCATTAGCATAAATTCAGTCATATGTTGCTTCTCCTATGTTAATTAAAAAAAAAAAACCTTTTCTTGATTCTACCTTGTTCTCTAAGTGTCTCTCCGTGATCATTTACTTCTTGAGTTTTGTTTTACCACAAAACTCAAATATAGAGTTTTATTGCTCTCTTGTCATGAAGTCTTCCCTCATAATCTACTGCCACCAGATTATTGTTTCCACCATGAATCTGAAAGTGTTCTTGTCAAAGTGACAAAAGACTTTTAACTTGCAAAATTGTTAATCCTTGAATCGTTTTGATTTATCACCATTATTTGATGGAATTGATCTCTTTCTCTTCCGAGAAATACTTTCATAAACTGGCATTCAGAACACCTCATTTTCTTGATTTTCTTTTTGCCTCATTGATCCATGCTTGTCTATTTTCTTTTCTTTTCTCTTAACATCTCTCAACCTCCTAACTCTAGAAGGTTTAGTCCTTCCACATGTTTTAGTATGTATCTATTCTCTTCCTGTTTCCATTCATTCAATGAAAATTTCCAAATTTGTATTTCCATCTCAACCTCACCTAATATATTACTTGGACATTTAATTATTACCTTAAAATTTAAATTTCCAAAATGATGTATGGCTCTTCTTCTGAAAACACAGATAACCCTAAAACCTGAAGTCATGACTAACTCATTCTTTTTTGTATTCTAATCTATCATAAAATCATTTTATTTCCTTAAGTATATACCCAGAACCCAGTGTTTTTTAATACTGCAATTGCCATCCAAGTTTCAAAACATCATTCATTTCTATTTCTCTTTCTCCAACAGCTCTTTATACTGGTTTTGTGTCTCCCTTTCCTACCCTCTGCTCTGCACAAAAGCTAGTTTTCCTGTTAAGTGTAAACAAGATGATGTTGCTCTTCATCTCAAAAAAATTTCAGTGATATCTATTCTCATTCAGTCTAAACCCATGGTTCTTAAGGTAGCTTACATGATATCTAAGACCTCATATCCTATTATTTTTATCCTTACTCATCACAGCCCAGCCATAGTGGCTCAGTTGACATTTCTCAAATATTCCAATCATTGTCCTCCTCAAATATTTGGAGCTTACTTCTGTTATCCATCTGGATTTCTTCTTCCAGTAGTTGTACAAGTGCCACCATCATTTCTCTTTGAGAGTTACCCTCTTTACATTATTTAAAGTTGCCAAGGCTCCCCAGCCTCCAAAATGTTTAATTATGATGGCAATGGGTTAATTTTCTTCATAATAACTTATCATATAAATAGCATATATTTTATTTTATTTATTATATTTCTCACCAAAGTAGGCTGTAAGCTCCCTAAGAGGAAGGAATTTTTTAAAAATGTCTTCTTTACTTCTGTATTTATTTCACCAAATACAATGCACTCATAGATGCTCAATAAATATCTTTTTGCAATTGTAACAAAAGGAAAAATTGACAAATGAGATCTAATTAAGCTAAAGAACTTCTATACAGCAAAAGATACTATAAATAGACAACTTAGAAAGTGGGATAAAATTTTTGCAAACAGTGCATCTGAAAAAGGACTAATATCCACTCTCTATAAGAAACTTAAATAAATTTACAAGGAAAAACAACCCACCCCATTAACAAGTGGGCAAAGAACATGAACAGATACTTTTTAAAAAAGAAGGCATACATGTGGCCAAGCATATGCAAAAAATCTCAGCACCACTGATCATTAGAGAAATGGAAATAAAAACCACAATGAGATACCATCTCACACAAGTCAGAATGGTTACTATTAAAAAGGAAAAAATAACAGATGCTGGTGAGTTTGCAGAGAAAAAGGAAAGCTTATACACTATTGGTTGGAGTGTAATTTAGATCAACCACTGTGGAAAGCAGTGAGATGATTTCTCAAAGAGCTAAAAACAGAATTATAATTTAACCTAGCAACCCAAAGGAATATAAATCATTCTGTCATGAAGACATATACACATATATGTTCAATGAAGCACCATGCACAGTAGCAAAGACAAGGAATCAATCTAAATGCCCATCAATCTGAATGCCTATTTAAATGTGGTATGTATACACCATGGAATACTATGCAGCCATAAAAAGAATGATATCATGTCCTTTGCAGGAACATGGATGGAACTGGAGGCCATAATCCTTAGCAAACTAACAGGAACAGAAAACCAAATACTGCATGTTCTCACTTATAAGTGGGAGCTAAATGATAAGAACACATGGACACATAGAGGGGAAAAGCAGACACTAGGGCCTACCAGATGCTGGAGGATGGGAGGTGGGAGAGGATCAAGAATAATAATAATAATGATGAGTACTAGACTTAATGCCTGGCTGACAAAAAATTCTGTACAACAAACCCCCATGTCACAGGTTTACCTATATAACCTGTACATGTACCCCTGAACTGAAAATAAAAGTTAAAAAATAAAATAAATAAATAGCTTTTTGAATAAATGAACCACAGGGAAATGAAAACAAATGTGTACAAATTATTAGAAGTGCAAGTTGAAAAATTATTTTTTTAAGTTTTGCACATATATATTTTAATACATGTGCAAATGAGTTATCAAAGTCAACAGTTTTGATATCTTTTAGTCATAGTCTATGTAAATTAACTTGGTTACAATAATGATAATTTACATTCTCATAGCAGTTTATAATTTGCAAAGCACTTTCCATATAGTATTTCATATGATCATTGCCTCCACTGATATTATTGCTATAATTCTTCTTCTCATGTGAGGGGACCAAGACCCAGTTTCCAGTGAGTGTCAAAGCCTGAAGAGTACTCCAGGTATTATTATATCAAGTCTATCTTCCTTCCTCAAACATACTGCCCCTGTGAATCCTCATTACTTGTCATGATTATAATTATGCAGTAAATTTCTATCAACCACACACGATTAGTTGAAATCTATCATATACAGAAAGACAAAATGATCAAGCAAGTAAGTATGACTGATATACTTAGTAACTAGAAGTTTTTATCAATGAAAAAGCTTATATACTCAGAGATTCCATCAATGCCTTTAGTATGAGCTTTGCTCAGTGTCCTTAAGACTAAAACTTGTATAAATGATGCTGTAGTAGCTCCTCCAAATAAATATTAGTAGTAGTAGTATACCTCACTATGTTTGCTGTTTTCACCTTTTTAGTTGTTGGAATCACTTTCCACCTAATCACCAAAATAAGAAACTTGAGATATGTGCTTAGTTCCTAATTTTTCCAGCCTCACCACTATAACCAATTAGTGATAAAATCCAATAAATTTTAATTAGCAAATATTTCTAGACTATATGCACTGTCCAGTGCTATTCTCACTGCAGTAATTCAGGTTCTCCTTATCTTCCACTTGGCCTCTAGTGACAACCTCTTCACTTTTCTTCTTTAAACAGTCTCAGGCAAGTCTCCAATATATCCTCCATGGAATGGTACATCTGTACCCCAACCTAATTGTATCCTCTTCAGTAAGGGAACAGATAATATGTATTTTAGGCTTTGGGCCATATGGGCTCTGTCATAAGAACTAAACTCTGCCATTATAGTATAAACCATACATAGACAATATATAAATAAATGAGTGTGACTATGTTTCTACTACATTTTATTAGAAAAAGATTGTGGGTCAAATTTGGCCCATAGGCCATAGTTGCCAATGCCTGTTCTCAGATAATAGAGACCTTGTTTTCATCTATACCATCAGCATCTAGAAGCATATAATAGGAGCTGTACAATAGTTAGAGCTTTACATAGTAGAGGCATTACAATAAAGTAAAAATTTATTGAAAAATTAATTACTAATTCCAAAAAAGGAATAGATAGTGGATGACCAAAAGTCAAATGTCATCCCCAAGAACCTTTATGTATAAACTGAGATATTAAGTTATTCATTCACTAGGAAAGAAATCGTCCAAAAGAAAAAAAATTATAATCTTCATATTGTATATAATAAGTTTAAATTCTCTGTAAGGTAGCTTGAGTGTTTGATAGGCTCTGTGCTGGAGTTGTAAATTTTGGAGTCAGTAGCATAATAGTCATATGCACTGAGGGAGTCAATGAGTAAAATCCAAATGCATGAGTAAAAAGTACCAGGAATGGCTGGGCATGGTGACTCATGCCTGTAATCCCAGCACATTGTGAGGCCAAGTCAGGTGGATCACTTGAGGTTAGGAGTTTGAGACCAGCCTGGCTAGCATGGTGAAACCTCGTCTCTCCTAAAAATACAAAAATTAGAAGGGCATGGTGGCAGGCACCTGTAATCCCAGCTACTCAGGAAGCTGAGGCAGGAGAATCGCTTGAAGCCGGGAGGCAGAGGTTGCAGTGAGTGGAGATCTGCAGGGAGGGGAGATCACACCACTGCACTCCAGCCTGGGTAACAGAGCAAGACACTGTCAAAAAAAAAACAAAAAAAAAAGTACCAGGAATATAAGGAGAATACCTACTTCCAAAGAGCTACAATGAAACTAAATTCTATGTAGAGAGGTCTGAGGGATAGGCAAAAATGAAAGAAACAATTTTGAATAAAATAATTTAATAAGAGTCAAGGGTGAAAATATTTGAAAGAGTAAAGAAGTCAGCAACAAAGGTAAATGCCACCAAAATATTAAGTTAATCTGATGAAAGTACTCATGAACTTAGAATTAAGAAGTCATGAAACACCTTAATTTAGTACAATAAAAGGAAAAACCAAATGGTGATACTGAATAAGAGATAAGAAAGTAAAGGTGGTGAGGGTGCAGTATTTTAAAACAAAGAAAAAGAGAACTGAGTTATTATAACTTGCAATATTGTCAAAGAATTTGCTTAATTCTTTTCTTGGCTTATTTATGAGTTTCTATAAAATAGAAAAGTACTGTGCATGTGTAAAGGGTTAGAATAAGTCAATACATAAGAATAAATCAAATATTTCACAAAATTAGGGGAAATGATAGATAAAGTTTTCAAAACAGAAAATGGGGAAAATAGCTATAACAACGTTGTCCTAAGACAGCAGAAGAAACACAACTTCATCTGAAACTGTCAGGAGAAGGTAAAGATAGAAGTAAAGATATATGTTAAAGGTTAATAAGAAGCCAAAAAGTCAGACAATAGTCTTGACTTTTCATGTAGAAAAAGAAAATAATAAAGTAAGCTTAATAGCTGAGGAAAAGAGAGAAAAGAGGAATTATTTAGAGCTCAAGGAAATGTATGTTTCAAATACATTTTGAGGTAAATGGGAAATGTTAATCATTAAATATATGTAATAAGATTGCAGAATAGTATGGAGGGCACAGTTATGAGTAAATCATAAATCTCTAATGACACAACTTGCAATGTTAGGAGATTTTATTTCACATCGTTCAGCAGCAAGATATAGTTTCTGAGAAATATGTTTAAAATTACCCATGATTGGGCATTTGGAAGGTATATAAAATCAAAGAGCAACAAGGTAAAGGAAGGAGGTTTCTGCCAATAAATAGTAGCTGAAATGATGCTGCGTAGTTGCCAGTGTCATAGTGATAGAATCAAAGCTGCAAGACAGCTGGTTAAAGTGGACATCAAGGACTGCAGATCACTATGAAGCTAGGGATGTATCTCATAGAAATGAACAATAATATCAGAAGGATAAATTACTTTCAGAAATGAAATACTGAAATATTTACCTCAAAAGCAGAAACATATGGTCAATGATGAAGATGAACTTGTAGCTATAATTATTGATGACTGATGTAGGGTGCAGGTAAAGGTAAGCAAAACTCAGGACATCAAAAAAAAAAAAAAAAAAAAAAGGTGAGGCTAGGGTGTTATAATTGCAATCTACTGAAGCAGACCCTGCAGTGTCCGGTGCTGCCCCATTACCCTTACCAATTACTAGCCTTTTGCTTTTAACTTTTAACTGCTATCTTTTGCACATTATTTGTTTGAGGGTTTTTCCTAGCTTCTGGAGCTTGCTTTGTTACCTATAAGGTAGGATGGAAATGCTGGGAAATTAGTGCCCTTCTTCTCCCTAAAGCTCTTAAACAGTGAGAGACCAGCTCCCTCACCCCTTCAGTGGGTGTAACTTATCTTGGCTAGCAAGATTTCTCTGGTAGAAATGAGTTTCAGTCTTCAGTGATAAGCTAGCTTGAACACAAACCCATTACAGGTTCTGTTCTCTTCCTTGACTAAGTTGTTTCTCTTCCCTCACATTCTTATCTTAAAGTTCTGTTTTAGTCAGAAGGTAACTTCAATGAGGAGTGTTAAATGGTATATATTTATACATGTGGGTTGAAATAGAACAATTTGAAAAGCAAATTGATAACTATAAAAATGGTTGATACAACCCTTTTTCCTAATGACATCAATACATGCCAATTATCCATTGGAGAAGAATGAAGGAAACATGGCTCAAAGAACAAGCCCATGGTCACTCATTCAGCAGATACTTATTGAATATCTACTAGGTACCGGCAATAGTCTAGGTTTCAGAGACACAAAAATAAGTAAGATAGAATTTATGTTCTGAATGTTTTTGCAGGCTATTACATGAGTTAAACCTATAATCAGAAATTTCTGATGAATTATAAAAGGAATGACTAAAACACTAATAGTGAATTGGCATAGAGGAAACATATCTTAAAATCTAGGAGAGTCAGAGGAGACTTCATGAAAAGGGTGTTAAACAAAACCAGGGCCACCCAGAAATTAAAGGAGTGCAGATAAATTTTATCATTAAAAACTATTGCAATAAGGGGAAAAATTTATGGTAGAGAACTTAACTCATTCATAAATACATCAGGCACAAGTAGGAATGTATAGACAATGAGCAGAATGGGAGTCAGAGTATGGAAAATTACTAAGAGGAAGTATCAGGTCAGTAATTGAAGGTGATCGGATATCAAGCATTGGGGATTCTTTCTAAACCAACTTAGCAAGATTCTTGCCTAAACTGGGTGGTGCAGGCCTAGTAAAGACAGATGCCAAGGTTGAGACCTAGACAGCTCAGAAGAGCCTGATCAAAGTTTAGTCAAGGAGAGAATGAATCTTAGTCGGAGGTGACCTCTAAATTAAGTTTCACAATAAAGTGATGTTGACCAGGTGAAGGGGTAGAGGTAAAAGGGGTGGCTATTTTAGGAAGAGAGGAAAGATAATGCCACATAGGCTAAAAATGGCAGGTTAAGTGCCAGAAATTACAAGAGGTTTAGTGCTTCTGGAATTTAGACAGAAGAAAAGATAAATACATTTTGGGAAGCCAAGTAGGGTGCAAAATTATTCATTACATGTCAGTTCATGGAGTTTGTGAATGTATTTCAGGCAATGAGGTTTCAATGATGAAATTTGAATAAACAAAGGAACCACCTCTATTAGGTGTGTGTGTTTGAGTGTGCATGTGTATGTGAGAAAGAGAGAGAAGATAATAAATGTACCAATACATTTATAAGTAAGGAAAATAGCAGAGATTGGTATAGAACATATATTTGGTGAAGTGATAATATATGGGTGAATTCTTTAGATGTTTTGGTTTAGTAAACCAACCTTGTAAAAGAAGAATTTCAGGAGATATTTAAGTGATAAGAAGAAGCCAGTTATTTGAAGATACAGAATATGACATTAAAAGCCAGAGAGAACAGCTAGTGCAAAGGGCCTGTGGTGGATTTATTTTGCTTTGTCAGAAGAAAAGGAATAAAGACAAGACAGCTGGAAGATATTGGGTAGGAGAGGGAGTAAAAAGAGATGTAGTTGGGTAGTAGGAACATTCTAGTTCAAAAACGGTTTTAGAAGCCAGAGTAAGTAGTTTTGTATCTTATTTTAACTGGGATCTATTTGAGGCAGAATAATGAGCCCCCAAAGAGGTATACACCTTAATCCCTGTAACCTGTAAATATGAAACATTACATTGCAAAGGGGAGTTAAAGTTTATAACCTGCTAATCTCAAAATAGATCACCCTGGATTATTTGTGTAGGCCCAATGTAATCACAAGCATCTTTAAAAATGAAGAGGAAACAAAAAGAGAGGGTCAATGGAAAATATGAGTATGAAAGAAGGGCACAGAGAGATGTAATGTTGCTGGATTTCAAGGTGGAGAAAGGGCCATGAGCCAGGACTATGGCTGGTCACTAGAAGCTAGAAAAGAGAAGGAAACGAGGATGTCCCTTAGAGCCTCTGGTATACAACAAAGCTTTGCTGGCAGCTTAACTTAGGTTCAGGAGACCTAGGTTAAACTTCTCATCCAGTACTGTAAGATAAATTTGTGTTTCTTCAATCTACTAATTTTGTGGTAATTTGTTACAGCAGTAATAAAGTAATACTGTTAACAAGCAAGGGGATTGCAATATCTGCATATGGTTTTGAAACTCCTTGTGCTTAACTATATGGGCAGTGGATCTTGGTACAAAAACAGCAAGAGCAAGGAGGCCAGTTATGAGTTGTCTACTGTAGTTCAAGTATAAAATGGACAAGTCGAACAAGAATATTCAGAAAACACATAAAGAGAAGTGGATGTGTTTGGGATATAATTTGGAATTAGAATTGAGATAACTTCTTCATTGATTGCATTTGGGGAGTGAAATAAAAATAAATATCCAGGAAAATGCATACATTTTAACATTACACATTTTGGTATATTTTATAGAAGTGGAGAAGAAAGTGCAAGGGCAAGTTTAGGAAGTAAATTTGAGAATCATAAGTATACAGATGTTTTAAAAGCCATAGGTCTGGATTAAGACAAGAAGGGAGAATATTTTTCAAGAGAAAAGAAGGAGATGCAGTTCATAGCCATGGGACACTTCAAAAATTAACAGTAAAAGGCAAGACAAGAAAGTGAGGTACCTAGAAAGAGTGGTCAGGGACATAAGAAGACAATAAGAGTTACATGACACCGAGTGTTTCTAGAAAAATATGGTCTCAAATACTGCTAAGAAGTTGATGAGATGAGATAAAACCATTGCATAGAGGTCATTAGGGATCTTGACAAAAATTTCAGTGAAGCGGTGGGAACAAGAACCCAACTAAAGTCAGCTGAGAATAGACTGAGAGACCACAAAGAGTAGAAAGTGATTTATTGGCAATCATGTCAATAAATCAGGCTATAAAGGGAAACATCAATATGACATAATAATTATAGTAAGGTGTCAACAAAATAATTCTCCTGAAACACAAATGAAGAATTTTATACGTTAATTTTTCTATTCCCATCCTACACAGAAACACAGCCCTTAACTTGTTGTTCACCTCAAGTACATTTATTAATTATTCAGTCATTTATTTATTTACTCATGAATTTCCAATAAATGTTTATTGAGCACATATAGATAGTACTGAGTTATTATCTAGAGAGAGGTCAGATATCTAAGTTTACATTTAGATGTCATAAGCATAAAGAAGACATATGTAAAATATATAGAGAATTTTACAGTTTCAGGTCTTACATTGATGTCTTTTGTCTATTTTGAGTTGATCTTTATGTATGGTGTGAAAAAAGGGTCCACTTTCATTTTTATGCATGTGGGTATCCAGTTTTTGCAGCACCATTTATTAAAGTGAGTGTCCTTTTCCCATTGTATTTTCTTGGTGCCGTTGTTGAAAATCAATTGACTAAAACCTTGGTTTTATTTCTAGACTTTCTATCCTGTTCCATGGGTCTTTGTGTCTTTTTTTTTATGCCGTACCATACCCTTTTGGTTACAATAGCTTCATCATATATTTTGAAATCAGAGAATGTGATGTCTCCAGCTTTGTTATTTTTGCTCGAGATGGCTTTGACTATTCATGTTCTTTTCTAGTTTAGTAAAAAATTAGGACTGTTTTCCTATTTTGACAATGAAATTTTTAAAGGAATTGCATTGACTATGCAGATCACTTTGGCTAGTATAGACATTTTAACAATATTAATTTTTAAAATCCATAAACATGGAATATCTTTCCATTTATTTGGTTTTTATTCAGTTTCTTTCCTCAATATTTCACAGTTTCCAGTGTATAAATATTTTACCTCCTTGGTAAAATTTACATTAAGTATTTAATGTTTTTATACTCTTACAAATTAAATTTTCTTAATTTCTTTTTCAGATAATTCACTGTTAGTGTTTAGAAAGACTAATGATTTCTGTAAGTTGATTGTGTAACCTGTGACTTTATCAGTTCAAA
Source organism: Homo sapiens (assembly GCF_000001405.40). Classification (NCBI taxonomy): domain Eukaryota; kingdom Metazoa; phylum Chordata; class Mammalia; order Primates; family Hominidae; genus Homo; species Homo sapiens. The sequence continues at coordinate 104,288,987 of NC_000004.12, read as the reverse complement.
ATTTTTTTGTGTGTATGGAGTCTTTAGGGTTTTCTGTACCTAAGATTATATCATCAGCAAACAGAGGCAATTTAACTTCTGCCTATCCTATGTGGATGCCTTTTATTTGTTCTTCTTGCCTAATTGCTCTGGATAGAACTTCCAGTACTATGTTGAATAGAAGTAGCTAGGGTGGGTATGCTTGCTTTGTTCCTGATCTTAGAGAAAAAGTTTTCAAGTTTTCACCATTAAATATGCTGTTAGCTGTGAGCTGGTTATATATGGCCTTTAGTGTGTTGAAGTACATTTCTTCTATACTTATATTTTTGAAAGTTTTAATAATAAATGTTGCATGTTGTCTAATGCTTCTTAGGCATCTTTTGAGATGATCATGTGAGTTTTATCCTTTATATTGTTGATATGATGTCTCACATTTATTGACTTATTTAAGTTGAACCATTCTTGCATCCCTGGGATAAATCTAACTTGATCATGATAAATAATCTTTTTAATGTGGTGTTGAATTCAATTCACCCATATTTTGTTGAGGATTTTTTCATCTTTGCTCATCAGGGCTACTGGTTTGTTAGTTTTCTTTTCCTGTAGCATCCTTGTCTGGCTTTAATACCAGGGTAATGCTGGCCTTGAAAAAATCAGTTTGAAAGAAAACATAGGGGACAAGCTCCATAACATTGGACTGGGCAATAGTTTCTTGACTAGAAATCCCAAAGCACAGGCAACTAAAGGAAAAATAGACAAATGCAATTGCATTAAAGTAAAAACATTCTGTAGAACAAATAAAACAATAGATTGAAGAGACAACAGATTGGGAGAAAGTATGTGCAAACCATACATCTGATAAGGGGCTAATATCCAAAATATATAGAAAATGAAAAACAAATTACCAAACTAAAATGAGTAAAAGATCTAAACAGAGATTCTCAAAAGAAGAGACATAATTGGCCAACAGATACATTAAAAATAATCAACATCTCTAATAATCAGAGAAATGCCAATTTATACCCCAATACAATATCACCTCACTCCTATTAAAGTGGCTATTATAAAAAAATTGAATAATAATAAGTGTTGCTCAGAATATGAAGAAAAAGGAACTCTTTTACACTATTGCTGAGAATATAAATTAGTGCAGCAATTTTGGAAAATAGTATGGAATTACCTCAAAGAACTAAAAATAGAATCACTGTATGATTCAGCAATCCCACTTCTGGATATACATCCAAAGGAATTGAAATTGATATGTCAAAGAAATATCTGCATTCCCATGTTTATTTCAGCATTATTCAGAATAGCCAAGATTTGAGAGCAAAATAAGTGCCTATAAACAGATGAATAGATTTAAAAATGTTATACACACACACACACACACACACACACACACAATGGAATACTCCACAGCCTTAAAAAGGAAGTTCTATCATTTGTGACAGCATGGATAAAACTGGAGGATATTACGCTAAGTGAAATAAGTTAGGCACAGAAGGATAAATATTGTAAGATCTCACACGCGGAATCTAAAAAGTCAATCTCCTACAAATGGAGAGTAGAAAAGTGATTCCTGAGATTGGGGGGAAGGGTTGTGGAAAGGGAAGATGTAGATAAAAGGATATAAAATCTTAGATAGGAGGAAGAAATTTTCATGATCTTTTGCACTGCATGGTGACCATGGTTAATAATAATATATCATATATTTCAAAATTGCTAAAATAATAGATTATTCACAATCTAACTACAAAAAAGTGATACATTGGTGAGATGATGGATATATTAATAAGATTGATTGAATCTTTCTACAGTGTATGTAGAGATAAAAAATTACATTGTATCCTACAAATATATGCAATTATTATTTGTCCATTAAAACAAATACATACATTTTTTAAAAAGATATATATGACATCTGGTTTCTAAGAATGATAACTCAGCAATTTCTTTGGATTATAATGCTTCATATATTAAAAATATTAATTGCCCAAAACCATTGTTATAAACTATTAATAGCTCTGTTCAAAATTTTATAGTTTCCAGTATATAAATATTTTACCTCCTTGGTAAAATATACTCTAAGTATTTAAAACTACTTTGTACAACTACTTCTTTTTAATGGACTGACTTTATGGCTCTCTTTAACACATACTTCGTATTTTTATCTATCAGTGCTCTGCCTTTGCCTTAAGAGCTGTGTATGCATCAGCTCCACCCACAGAAAGAGTAGCCATAGAAATTTAAGCCCTTACTCAATATTTTATATCTTCCAGAAGTCTTCTGCATAATCACGTATTTAGCCAGAAAAAAAATATCTTTTTGCTTTGAATTTTTGCCTCAGTTCTTGTATGTACTGTATGCATGAGTTTATCATATTGTTTGCCTTGCTTTGTGGGAAAGGAGATCATACCTGTTTTTTTGTTTGTTTTTGTTTGTTTTGTTTTTTTGAACTATGCTCTTGAAAGTATCTTTCCAGAGTGTTTAAACTTAGGAACTTTTGATGACTCTACATTAAATATATATTCTGCAGTGCCTCATGGAATAATTAGGGAAAGGCAACACAAAACCGAGCTCTCAACGTACTGAGATTATAGATTTGGACCATATTCTAACTGCTGTATTTACTAGTGGCTACATACAAACAAATCCCTCCAAATCTAACTTAACGAAATAAGATTCTACAAATTCTCAAAGACACTTATAACCAATGTGTTATTCAATGAATGCTATCTGATTTCATTTAGTATTCAGTTGATAGAAGAATAACATGAATTCATATAGGTCCATTCAGATCTTCTTTTCACCTCTTTATAGTCAAGTGTCATGACAGGTCCAGTAAGTTGAACTTAAAATTTGAGAATTTATGTTAAATAAAGAAAAACTTCATCAGCACTTTTCTTTATCAACAATAGATTATTTTAGATATTGAAATGTCAAAATTACTCTTAAAAGTTAGAAAAAATCCCCATAACTTCTTAAGATGATTTAAATTGGAGTAATTCTGAGTTTCATTTTGGAGAAAATTGCAAATGATCAGACTTTTCCCATAGGAGTTATAGTACTTACAGGTTTGGGTTTAAATTATAAATACCTCAGAAATTGCCTTACTCATGGTGTTTCAAATTATTCCCAGTTGTCTCCTACTGAAACAAAGAAGCATGACTATACCTGTATGTAGTGATGGGAAAAAACTGTTCTACTGTTGGAAAGGTTACATTTAGTTCAAGTTTGGATCTGGCCTTTACATGTGCTAAACTAGTTTTTCAATAATTACAAAAAGGGAAGGATTCAGTTACTCTTGCTCTGTGTGCATGTTTTGTTACATTTGAAATTTACTTCACAGTTTCTTAGCATTTTGGAGGGGAGGGTATCCATCTAAATGTACAAAAGTGTCATTAAGACAAATGACAAACATTTCTCCATTATAGCACATATCACAGTTTCAGAATCAGCATTATGACATCTTATTAAAATTAAAATTTTTGTATACTATGACAGTATGTGGAACCCTAATAAATTATTTCACATTTTTAAATCTTCAAAATGTATATTACATATTAAATTGTTGCATATCATATACTAAATTAAGAAAAGTGGGCATTCAAAAAAGAGTGGCTAGAGACAAGTTAAATAATGAGAGTCACATTAGAAAAAAAGAGAAATTAATTTGAATTCCATTTAGAATTTCCAGATACTCTTTGAAAGAAGAATCAATTCATTACAAAGAAGTATTTCATAGCAACTAGGCAATATGTTTTCAGCCTGAACCCCGCAGGCACTGTCTCCGCCCTTCTTGGTGGCAGGTAAAATAGAATTTGGCAAAAGAAAAATCATCTGCTTTATGCATAGATTAATAAACGGTGTTAGCTAGATGTCAAAAAAATCAGCTTTATTTTGTAAGCACTAGAAAATCACAACCTTGAGTTTTTAGTTTCTTTACACATTTCAACCTCCTACTTATGTAGCTATTCATTATTATTTTTTTGATTTATAAAATGCAAAATATTCATTTCCTTCTTAAATTTTCTAAAATTATAAAAATAAATTCAAATGTAAATGATCAATAACTGTATATCTTGCAATAAGTAATACAAATTGAACTGTTTTTATGAAGTCCAGACTAAAAATGTTAGAATATAAATGCTGGAGATTATACGGCAGTTCGTTACATATAATTAGTTGTCTCATTCCCAATTCCACAAGAAGAAAAACTTAAGAAGCTATGGTTTCCTACAAAATTTGTAATAGGTGGAATGATTTTCAGGACACAGAACAAGTATTGTAGCCCAAAGATAAATTTTTATCCCTAATTCATACAGTGATCTACTCTTGTTTCTGGTACCTCCTGCTGGTGATTAAGAGTCTTAAGAAGGTCCAACACATGGACCTTGAAAACATGAGGCCCACTGAAAGATGATAGTCACAAAAGAGCACACATTGTATAATTCCATTTATACAAGCTGTTGAGAATAGGCAAATTTGTGGAGACAGAAGTTAAACTAGTAGTTGCCCGGGGGAATGGGGAATGACTGCTAATGAGCAAGAAATTTCTTTTTGGGGAGATTAAAATGCTCTAAAATTAGACATTAGGGATGGTTGCACAACTTTATGAATATACTAAAAACAAAATGACTGAAATGTACAGGTAAAAGGGTAAATTTTGTGGTTGGCAAATTGTATCTTGATACAACTTTGGAAATTTGGGGGTATGCAAGTCATTATTTAATTTGGTCTTTAATTTGCCAACTAGACTATCCAGGTTTAATACTATTGATTATTTTTAAAATAGTCTTTCACACAATGTTTTACAGAACACATAGCTCTTTTATATACATTATCTTTCTTAAACCCACAATAGACCTATTACTGAAATCTCATTTTAAGGAAGTATCATTTTAAGGAAGAAGATTTTAAGGTCAGGAGAAATTGAATGATTTGTCCAGTGTTAACGATCTAGTGAGCTACATGTTTAGGAGTTTTCTCACATCAAATCCCATGATCTTTCCTGACATCACAGATGACTCCTTGAAGATTTTACTTAGAGCAGTGCACAAATCAATAGGAATGAAATAGAAAGAGTCAGAATTCCAGAGAGGACTGCTTTGGTCATAACTGCTATTTCTAGAGAAAAATGTGGATGGTGCAGAATGAGAAGTCAGTTGCAATTTGTTGTTTCATTCCATGTTCTCAGCACCCTTGTAGAAAGAAACTTCTGAGTATGGAGTTATGATTAGACAAGGGATGTTTTTTCATAAGAAGAGTGAGAACAGAATTGATCCAGTAAAATGTAAAATAGAATAGGCAAATACATGGGAAGAAATGGAGCTGAACTTTTCTAGAAAGTTTATTATTATTAGAGCTATGAAATAAACTTTAGTAATCATCAAATATCCTATGTTTCTGTATAAGAATCATTTAACTAGTTGTGTCAAGGAAATGTGAGCAAGAGTAAAGAATATAATTTCTACACAGAGGAAGTGAAAACCTGATGTACCACCTTCATTTTTCTAGGTCTTGCTTGACTCATCTCTGCTGTGGTGACCTTGGAGGCTTCATATTCCAGATTGCACAGCCATAAGATGAAAGAAGACTTCTCACTCACATTAGACTCTGAGGTGAGAGAGAAAAAATATATTTTTCTACCAAGACAGTAAGATTTTAAAGTTTATTTCTTATTGCAGAATAGCTTATTCTATCCTTGCTAACTTAAAGTTAAGTGATGCCTTACTTTTATCCTTCATATGGTGTTGGTGTAGCAGTTGGCTAAAGCACTGGAGAAACCAATTAGAATCTCAAAAATTGGCAACCCATATTAGATCCAGGCCAAAGAGTAATATTGTGGCCTGATATAATGGGGCGGCAGGCTGTTTGTGTGTTGACTACTGTTGGTTGTGTTTGGCAGATTAATAATATAGAAACATAATTAGGAAACAACCAAGTCATAAACAAAAATGGAAAGACACAGAATCCCTCAATTTAGAGGTTTGATCAATTGGAAAATGTTTCCAGGTATGGGATAAAACATTTGAGCAATAAAGTCCCAATAAACTTAATTAATGCAGAACAAGAACCCAATTAAGGGCACAGTCTTTTCTTTCAAGCCTGATAGCCTTAATGTAGCTATCATGAAAGAGGTGGGGGGTATGAGGGTAAGAAAGCAAAAATTAATAAATAATAAGAAAGACAGATCTGAAACCAGTTGTCTCAAAAAGAACTTCTTTGGAAAGGGTTATTGACACATGGAACTGACTGGAAGAAAAATAGATTAGAACCTGAGATGTGCTATCAATAAAATATCTTCGAGGATTTAAGACCTAAAATAATGCCCTTGGACTTTCGATCACTCTCAAGCTGAAATTCAACTTAGAAAGCTGTGCATCCACCAAAAAGAGGATATTCACTAACTCTCACTTTTAAAATAGTGATAATAGAAAGGGAAGAAACTTTTGGGAAGAGAATCCAGGAGCTAAAGAAAAATGTGAATTTAAGAGTTCCTAGCAGAAAGCAGAATTATGAACCAATGAACACAAATTTCTCGAATTCCCTGGGTAGGGGCCTTCACAGTGTTTGCTATATATCTCCCGTTGTCGTATTTCCTGGAAAATAGTTTTATTATGGTTGCAAACTTGTGCTATCATTTTTTTATTTTGAATGCCTTTAGAAGAACACCTAACTTGTGTTGTTAATTCATAAGGCACCACATCAGTAGGAAACACATTTGGACTTGATGGAGAGAACCATGTGGATAAGCTCTCCTTGATTTTTTTCCTAGGGAAATGGAGGAAAACAGACATTGGGAGGCAACTAGTTGTGTCAACCCTTTGTGTGACAACAATAAATTTGTCACAGAAAGTAATACCCAAGGAAGTCATCCACTTTTGGCCATTTTATACTGAAATTTATTTTTAAAAAAGGGTAACAAGAGGGTTGGATCCATATTCTACCCATTTAGATGGGAAATATTTATCAGTTTCTACTTCTTATATGCTGCTTTTATTGTTTTGTTTTGTTTTTGAATGGCGGTAGTATGTGGACATATGGGAAACTCTAAAATAGTGCATCTAGGGTTACATTTTTCTCTTTCAGCTACCTTTAGTTTATATATAATCATTATCCATCTTCTGGTAACAGACCTCTCCTCAATGGCCATATTTGTGGGCATATGGCACAAAGTCAAATATATTACTTTAGCTTTCTTCATCATAATGACTATCTCAGGAACTGAGCACATGGGTCCCAATAATTGCATTTTACATGACACTAGCCAGTGGTCATGAGACTGTAAGAAAGTAAATCCAGATCTTTAGGTGCTAGTATTACCCTGCTTTGTGGATAAACTGGATTTGATATAATGATGTTAATACATGAAGAAGAACCAGATTTTTTAAGAGGCAGAAGGAGGAAATTCTCCATTTATTTAAGTTTCTATGATTTACTGGGGCTAATACACACTTGCTCTTTCTAGTGATAAATTTGTGTATTAATGGAAGCAATATTCCTCTTTTAATTTACCTTAGTTTGACTTGGATTTTGACACTGTCATTCAAAATTACTTCTAATTAATTTACTTATAGCTGTATTACTAAATGGTAAATGGTCACAACATTTTCCTGTGTATTTTTCCAGAAAATTTCCATCCATGTATATACTTGTCTATCTAGATATAACATGTAGTGTATTGAGTATTTTTGTGCAACTTAATTTTTACTTAATAGAAAATTGTCTATTACACTTTGTTTATATATCCTATAATTTATTTCATGTGGTTCCAGCCCAGTTCGGTTTACTGTAGTGGAAAAAAAATATTAAAAAACCCACTCCTTTCAATAAACTTAGATTATCAGACCTAGGAAAATATTATTTCAGCGTGGCCCAGAATGATCCTCACCAAGGGGAATTGCATTTAGAATGGCCTTTGCAAAGGCTCTAGGTTGAATATGCTTAGTGTACTGGAGTAAAGCTGATGCTATGATGGAAAGTGATGAGTTGAAGTCACAGAGGTTTTGGAAGTTCCTATGGGTTATGGGAATTCCTGAAGCACTTTTAGTAGAGGACAGAAAAGATCTAATTTAAGTGTTAAAAACAATACCTGGGCATCTGTAAAGAAAATTGATCAGAGAACCACATGCAATACAGAAACCAATTGGGAAGTAATTGCCATAGAAAAGGCAAGAGATGATGGTGACAGTGTTGAAAAGAGATTTAATTCTGGAAATGTTTTAAAGGAAGTTGTGGGAAGATTTGGATGGATTGACTGGAGGTTAAGATAAAAAGAGAAGAGTCTGACTTCTAAGATAATAACCCAAAGATGAGAAGAATGGAGCTGCCATTTATTGAATAGGAAAAGATGGGGAGAGGAGATAAATTTGTGCAAGCAGTGAGTGGCAATCAAAACGCTAATTTTGGAAATATTAATTTTGAGATGTTGAGAGTATATGAGCCTGGAGTATAGGGGATTTGAACTGGAGAAATCAATTTAAGAATTGTAAGATAAGATTCTCTAGGCAATAAGCAGAGATAAAAAAGGAAGTTGTCCAAAGATTGAATTCAGAGAAACATCAATATTAGAAGTTAGTTAAAAAGTAGACAAAGAAGTAGAATCCATTTAGATGGGGTAGAAACCTGGCAAAATAAGGTAAGCAAGTGTTCAAAAAGAAGGAAGTGATAAAAAAATCAAATGCCATTGCTAAGTTGAATAAAATCCAGACAGAGAATTGACCATGTATTGGTAAAAGTGAAGCCCATGGGTGATCTTGTCATGTGGAGTTTCAGTGAAAAGGTGAAGACAAGTCTGACTGGAATGAATTCAGGAGGGCAAAGGATGAAAATAAGTGGAGGCACAAAGTATTGACAAATATTTTCAGTGTTTCCCTTTAAAAAAAAAAGTGAAAAAAAAAAAAGGTTGCTGTAGAGCAATGAAGTGCCTGGGTTTTTTAAAAAAGATTGAGTATAATAGGGCATGATGGCAATTATTTGGTTTGAATGGAAAAAAATGAGATGCAGAAAACAGAAAAGAGGACAATTGTCTTTTAGTGACCAAAGACAATGCAATCCATTGTGTAAACGAAGGTTTTGGCAAAACAACGGAACAAAATCCACGGAAAAAGTGAAATGAGCACACGGACTGGTAGCTTTGTAGATATTTGTGCGATAATGTTTAGAATTCCTCTTGAAAGTATTACTTTTTAAAGCAAAATAAAAAACAAGGGTATCATCTAAAAATAAAAAAAATGAGAGAAAATATTACTGAAAGTTTGGGAAGTGAGGATAGAGTAGATATAGTTATTGAGGTCTGGGGAAAAAAGTGTGCAGGGGTTACTTGACAGCACTAACAGACCACCTGAGGTTTGTGATAAACAATACAAGCTATGGTGTAAGTTAGTATGGTTTTGAATTCTGCTTCAGTTACATTGCAGGTTGTAGATGCTGAATGAACAGATAATTGAATTTATCTAGATTTGAGGTTTTAGCAGCTATATGCACTGAAGAAAGTGCCAAGGGAATAGGGTGAAAAGCAAAGGGGCAATTCTAATGATGGATCATGAAATCTAAGCTGGAAAATGATGGAAAAAAGCACACGAAATGGGTGAAGGGCAGAAAAATATAGCAGGTCAATGGCAGGGCAATCCCAGTGATGTGGATAAATTTTTGAAATGAGGGAATTCAGGAATTGATCTAGAAATTTGCAAATGAGAAGCCTGAAATTGTTACTACAAAGCGGTATACGATTATTAGAAATGTAGGTCTTAAGTTTATGAGATAAAAATAAGATAAAAAAGAGGGTTACATGAAGAGACATCACTGTGGATATTGAAATTATTAAGAACTATGATAGAAGAAGTATTGGAGAGAGAAAATGAGGCAGAGAAAGGTGAGAATAGGAAGGAAGGGAAACGAAAGAAAGAGTGCTCTGTCTTCAGATATTCAAGAAATATACGGGAGTCACACAAAGTGTGTAACTGGCTCTTACAAATTGGGGTAATTTGTGGTAATTATATGATGAAAAAATTAGTCTCAAGAAGCCTCCCCTTCCTTTGCAATGGCTGCATAGAAAACATTGTATAAACATATAACAATCTGTGTAGCCAGTACCTGATTAAAAAGAATCATAGAAATTGCTAATTCAAAATATACTTCTTTAAATTTTGGAAATTTTTTTCCAACTGATCTCTCAAAAGTTTTTTGAATATCGCTGAGTTCACAGCATCTTTTCATAGCATCTAAATATTTTCTATAACAAATACATCTTTGCCAATCAGATATATTTTAAAAAGTCTCATTTCTTTTTAAAAAGCAGGTTTATGGAGATGTAATTAAGTAACCTACAATTCACCGATTTAAAGTACACAATTCAATTCAATTTAATATATTCCCAGATTTGTGCAACCAATTGCCATAATCAATTTCAGAACCTTTTATCATCTTAAAATAAAATCTTATTCCCACTAGCAGTTGCAACCCATTTGTCTTCAAACTCCATTGCCTAAAATATTACTAATGCACTTTCTGTCTGTATAGCTTTTCTTATTCTGTACATATAAATTGAATAGGACAATATGTGGCCTTTTGTGACTGGCTTATTTCACTTACAATGATGTTCTCAAGGTTCTTCCACGGTGTAGCATGTGTCATTATTTGGTTTATTTTTATGGGTGAATAATATTTCATTGTAAGGATATACCACATTTATTTATCCATTCATCAATTGATGGACGTTTAAATGGTTTTCACTTTTTGGCTGTTATATATAATGCTGCTAAGGACATATAAGTTTTTTGTGTGTTGACAAATGTTTTCATTCCTCTTTACTATTAGGTTGGTGCAAAAGTAATCGTGGTTTTTGCCATTGAAAATGATGGCAAAGAACCGCAGTTACTTTTGCATCAACTTAATAGATAACTAGGAGTGGAATGGCTGTGTTCTATGACAATTCTATGTTTAACATTTTGAGGAACTGCCAAACTGTTACCGAAGGCAGATGTATCATTTTACATTCTCAACAGCAATATATGAAGTTTCCAATTTCTCCGTTTCATTGAAAAACATGTTATTTTCTATCTTTCTGATAATAGCCATTCTAGTAGCTGTGAAGTACATCATTGTAGTTTTGATTTGCAGCCACTTGATCTTAATGACTAATGATGTTAAGCATCTTTACATGTGCTTCTTGGTCATTTGTATATTTTTGGAGAATGTCTAAAACCTTTGCCCATTTAGTATTTTTTTTTATTATTGACTTATCGGAGTTAGTTACATACTCTAGATACAATTTATATGATTTGCAAATATTTTCTTCTAAAGGTTGTCTTTTTTTCTTTCTGAAATTTTATTCGTTTAATGCTATTATAAATGGAATTGTTTTCTTAATTTTGTCTTGAAGCTGTTAATCTTTGATGTATGAAAATACAATTTATTTTATGTATTGATCTTATACCCTGAAATGTTGCTGTACTTGCTTATTAGTTCTAATAGTTTTTTGGTATGGATTTCTTATGGTTTTCTATATGTAAATAGTATTACTTCTTCTTTTCTTATCTGAATATCTTTTATTTCATTTTTTCTTTTCTTCCTTCCCTCCCCTCCCCTCCAGTTCCTTCCTCTCCCTTTCCCTCCCTCCTTTCCTTCCTTCCTTCCTTCTTTCCTTCCTTCCTTCCTTCCACACTGGCTAGAATCTCCAGTGTTGAATAGAATTGGCAAGTTTACACATCTTTGTCTTCTCCTGACCTTAGGGGACAGCATTCACTTTTTCACCACTAAGTATATTAACTCCTGGTTGTTTCGTTTTGGTTTTTGTAGATGCCAATATCAAATTAAGGAAGTTCTCTTCTCGTACTAGTTTGCTGAATACTTTTTTCATAACACAGTGTTGTATTTCTTAAAAAGCTTCTTATGTATCTGTTGAGATGCTTATGTATAATAATATCCTTTTATTCAATTGACATGGTGTAACATATTAATTAATTTTTAGATGTTAGATCAACCTTGGATTCGTGGGATAAATCCCAATTAGTTATGGTATATAATCCTTTTTATATGTTTATGGATTTGATTTTGATTTTGTTGAGGTCTCATTTCCTTTTGTTCTCAATTCATGTTTATAAATCAATCTTAGCTTTTTGTATTTTGTTGAATCTTCTGCTTATATGCTATGCTAATTGTGAATTATTTGACTCTTTCTTATATAATATTAAGATACATCTGTATATTACAGACTTTTGTTTATAATTATAATTTTGATTACTATGTATATGCCAAATTATATTTCATCATAAAATTGTATAGATTTTACAGGCTTTTTTATTGCAAAGGATATGTACAAATATGTTCTGATTTATTAATTTTCTTCATTGGTTCTGGATAAAAAGGTGTATCCTCCAGATATTATATTTTAACTCATTCTTTATTTAAGCATTTTTGAGCTTTAATTTTTAAATTTATAAATTTAATTTGTTTCAACTATTTTGCCATGAGAATTGTAGTAAGAATCCAGTTTTACATTTTTTACTCCTGACTACCACTTTTCCTAAGCTAACTTCATTTTGTTTTCCACTCTATTTAGAGAGCCTAATCAATGCCTACTAAACCATAGGCTGTCAGTAGGAATTTGTTGAATTAAGCAGTGAAAGAAAACAGATTATTACATTATATATTACTCTATTATGTCTAAAATGAATAAAACAAATGAACAAAACTTGGTACATTATTTGATGTTTCCTAAAAATGTCAGAATATTTTTGTGTATATTTGTGTGTCTGTGTCTGAGAAAAAGAGACAGTGAGAAAGAATATCTTTGGGTTATCTTCACTGATCTTATGAATTTTTATCATTAATTTATGAATAGTTTTTACTAAAAAGTCTTGCTTACACATAAATAGTGACTTTTCAGGCCTATGTTATAAAAATGACCAGTCTACGAAAAGGCTAAACAAACTACAAGGAAACATTAAATGTGTATTAGGAAAATAGACATAAAATGTGGGCAGCAGCAAACATTCATAATAAAAAGACATAAGTTATTCATAGAAAGATTTTACTGAAAGAATAAATGTTTGAACATAGTTTGAATAGGAAATTGAAACAGGCCTCTGACAAAGAAGTAACATGGTTTCAACCTGCAAAAATTAAGGGGGAAGTTTGGGAATATAAGTAGAAGAATACTGAACATAATTGAAAGAGAGGGCAATACGTTTTTATTTTTATTTTAGTTTTAGCTTTAGAGACAGGATCTCGCCCTGTTGACTAGGCTGGAGTGCAGTGGTATGAATCATGCCTTGCTAATTTTTTAATTTTTTGTAGACACAGGGTCTTATTATGTTGCCCAGGCTGGTCTTGAAATTCTGGCATCAAGAGATCCTCCTGCCTCAGCCTCCTATAAGTGCTGGGATTACAGGTGTGAGCCACCACACCTGGAGTTAAATTCTGAGAGGAATAGCTTATATAACTGTAGGACTGGAAAGAGATGAGAGAATTCCTATCCTTTTTCCTCAAAGGATCTTTATCTTCACCCATATGAGTAGTTTGAAAATTTTACAGAATGCTCTTCTTTATCTATATTTATTTTTGGTTGAGGTAAGCTAATTCTGTGTTCAAGTTAGAAATTAACTGATCTTAAATAAATTCATCTCTCTTTTCTGAAAGTCCATCTCTTTGAGACCTCAAAATATAATGAAGTAAGTAACAGAAAATGGATTCAATTACCTCAGATTAATTTTCATAAAATAAATATGAGGGCCCAACACCCATTTACAATGAATGTTGGAGCTCTTGTTTTAAAGAATTCAACACTAATCTACATCATACTTGTTTTGGAATGTTGGTATAAAGTTTAGGCCATTCAAACTTGTATAATCATTATAAGGTCTAATGCTAGATTGTTTATTAGGTGCTGCTAAGTATGACAACCAAATTTTGTTGTTGTTGTTGTTTTATTTTATTTTTTATGACAATTTTCAGTTTAGAAAAATTTGAAGTAAAATTTTCTTAATGGTACAGTGTAGTAGTTTAGAGTCTAGAAGAGCCTACATTCAGAGCCCACATTCAGAGCCCAGAGGTTAGATTCTGGGTTTTCTCCTCAATGGGTACTTTGGCAGGTTAGCTAATCAATCTGTGTATCATACAATTTGCCAGGGTGATTATGACATAGAGTTTTATGAGCATAAAATGACTTAAAAATTCTAAGGCACTCAAAATTATGTCTGAGACATAATAAGCAAATAATAAATAATTCATCTATGTCTGTCAGACTTTAAAAAATAATGCTGTAGATTGCCTGCTTGCCATAGAAAAAGACATCTCTAGAACTAACGGAAAAAAAATCTGGTTGCTTTTTATGTGTATGTGGCAACCAATCAAGCATCACTTTTTTTTAAATGAACCCAACTAATGAGAAAAATTTTCTCTTGTTTCTTAAACAAGAGCATTAATATAATCACATATATAAATATTAATGCTCAGAATCATCTTCCTAACCAAGTTGATACATGTTTACATTATATAGTTCAGAGTTTAAACAAATTATATGTTATTTAAAAATATTTACAAATTAAAATTCCAATTTATTTTGGACTCCTGAGTTAATATTCCTTCTTTTTCTCCTCCTTCTCAAAATAGAGTTTATGAGATCCCTTAATGAAAGGAAACTTTAAAGATCAATATTTTTTTCTATTATTTTTATAATACTAGTTTGTTTTAATGTTTTAAGCATTCTATATGAATTATGGTATTCTCTCACTATCCCCTCTTTCCCACTTCTGATTTTTTTCCCCTTCTTTGGGCATTTCTTCTTGAAAAAATTTAAGTAATTCAATATATTTTCTGAAGCCTTTCTAAATATTGTCATTTAAACACTTCCCAGGGACAAAGGCAGAATGCTCTGTTCTAGTCCCTACCATAAAAGGAAGGATTTGTACTGTTCACTAAATTTTTCTGAAAGGAGTTTAACAATTTAAGACCAAATGACTTAGATTCCTTTTTCTGTATCCATTAAAAGCCAATATTTTATTTCCGATTCTCAACTTTTTGTACTCCTTCACAAACACTTCTGAGATTTAAATATCCTGAGTGTACTGAGATCCCAGTGGATTCGAGAAAGTTTTGAGCTATAAATGGAAGACATTTCCACAACCTCATGGCAGAAACCTAGCAGAGTGAACATAGATTTCTCTGATGGATACTAAGGTCTCCTCATAAAGCTAGGCAGTCCTGACTGTCCCCTGGCTAGTGGGATGCTCATCAGTGCTGTGATGAAGTCAGTGTGGCACACAGGGGACTTAGATATTCCTCAATGAATCACAGCCCCGATACTTGATGCATATATGACCTGGGGCAAGCTGATCAAAGTGTCTATGATTTTGCTTAGTTCTTTGTTTGCATAATGCTGCCCCTGAAACAACTCCACATTAACTCTCTTTCCTAGGAACTTGTAAAACCAGTCTTGAATTAAAAGATTAAAAAAGGGAACCAAGGAAAGGACTTGCAAAAACCTGAAAGAAATAGCAGATACAAGAAAGAAAAAGGCTTGAAAGACGTTGCCAGAAAATCAAATTATTTTTCTCCCTAAAGCTTGCCTTTTTTCAAATGTGTAATTGTCTTGATGGGCTCAGAGCATAAAGACTATTCCTGCAGAAGAGCTGTTTGTTGGAGAGTAAGTGCCTGCATAGAATAATCATTTAAAATAAAACAAGAATATTGCAGTGAAGGACCAACACAAAATGTTAGAGTGAAGCTGTATATATAATTGGGCACAAATAAATAATTTCCAACTCTTGAAATCCAAGCAGTATTTCCAAAATAATATGGCTTGAAAATGATGGCATACCCACTTTTTTTGACTTGCAAAACAGCCAGTATTTGGCAACAGTAATTTCTGTAATGCTCTAACTTGGAGAAAAGAGAGCTACAAACGTTGCTGTCATCAGTAGCGTTCAATAAGGCAGTTGCTAAGACTGAATAATTTGTAGTGCTTACTTTTTTCTTGAGGTTGACAATTAGATTTAATAATCTTACAGATTTTACTTGTTGTTTAAGTATTATGTAAACATACCCTGAAAGTCTGTGATTAATACCTTAAGTTACTACATGCCTTCACTACTTTTTGCTACCTACTCATTGTGCAATGATTTTGAATGAACATGTTTTTAAATTTAAAATTATATCAAGATTATTGAATAATGAGTTTTTTGTAATATATAGAGTAAAATAATTACAATCAAGTAATGTACTTCATATGCAAAATTTATGTTATTTCATTATGGAGTTTTTCACCCCGTGGTATGGTTTGGATTTGTGTTCCTGTCCAAATCTCATGTCCAATTTTAATCCCCAATGCTGGAGGTGGGGCTTGGTTGGAGGTGATTGGATCATGAGGATGGTTTCTCATGAATGGTTTAGCTCCATCCATTAGTACTGCTTTTTTTGATGGTGAGTGCGTTATCGTGAGATCTGGTTGTTTAAAAGTGTGCAGCACCTCCCCCTTCTCTCTCTCTTCCTCCTGCTTTTGCCATGTAAGGCGCCTAACCCTTCTTGGCCTTCTGCCATGATTAGAAGCTCCATGAGGCCTCCCAGTAGAAGATGCTCCCATGCTTTCTGTACAGTCTGGTGAACCACCAGCCAATTAAACGTGTTTTCTTTACAAAATACCCAGTCTTGGATATTTCTTTATAGCTATGCAAAAATGGGCTAATACACCCCATCAAATATATTCATATAATTACAGTGTAATTAATTAAGCTACCACTCTATGCTGTTTATAATTTTTAAATTCCTAAACATTTTATTATGAATTATATCTCCCAGAGTATTTTATTAGAACTAAAATAACACTATAAATTATAACTGTGAATCCTTTTTATTTAATAATTTTAGTATTTTTGTAGATAACATTATTAATGTAAAATTAAAGTTACTATAAATTGAATATCACCTACTAGAAAGATAAGACTATCATAATCTCTCTAATTATTCACTATCTACATGATGCATACATGATTATACTGCTAATTGTTATAATCTGTTCAATGGGCCAGGTATAATATACCTTATTATTTAGTCAAAATAGCTTCTCACTACTATCTTGATCAGAAGAAGCCCTGGATACTACTGTGAAACATGCACACAAAAACACAAATATACACAATATCCTGGGCTCATGCCATTCCTCATGCCCCAATCATACAGTATATCCAGTTATCTCTAGGCTACATACCCTGAAAGTTCTATGGTTTTAATTATAGACTGGGAGAGGAATTCTCTACTGTTAAGATATCAGATATATCAAATTTGATGAATCAAAAGGCCATTACACAGTTTTAAATTAACAAAACATTTGACTTACTAATCACTCTTCTATTCAATTCCAATTCTTTGTCATGATTTTTTAAATTCTATTTAATTGTATTTGTTTTATTTTGCTTATTAGTATCTCATGATTAGGGGAAATTAATAAGGGTTATCATCTCTTTACTACTTGAAAGGTTTACTTAAAGAAGATTTTTTAAAATATTAACTAAAACCACAGTTAGTGTTTTTATTTTTCTTCTCATTTTTAATAAAATAGATTACAAAGCTACTATAATTAAAATGGTTTTTTTGAGACTCTGAGTTTTTTCACATGCCTGTGTCAAATTTGTATGATTTAATAGACTGTATAGAGAGCTTTACAGTGAGAATATAACCTCTTATTTCCAGAAATCCGGGGAACTATAACCTCTAAAAATCCTACCCATTGGAGAAAAAAAAAAAAGATTCTGTATAAAACTTGCTTTCTAATGGATTGTGGGGGTGATAAGTAAGAATAATCTTTCAAATTTATGAACAAATAATAATTTAATAAAACAATGATATTTGAGCTATTATCTGTGTAGAAGTCCTGCATCTAGGGCACACTTGAATGGTAGCAAAAGCTTATACCTGCTAATAAGCCTTGGTCATTTTCCTCAATGTGCCAAATAAACTCCAATATTTAGGAAGAAGCTAAATTGACTGCAGATTGATTGTATCTTTTGGCTCTTTGAATATACAAATCTAGACCCTTTTATCTGAAAAATGAATGTGTAATTTTACCCTCAAGATTTTTATCAGTTATGACCAATCAAATTAAACTTTCAATCAAGGATCATAAACACATATAAAAACAAACAAGACACTAAAATCCAAGAATTTCAGACATTGGAATTATTATATAATACACAATATAAAACAAGTACAAAATGGTGAAATAAATCGATAAAATCACAAAATGAAAAAGAAAAATATGACTATAAAAGTTATACCTAACTTTTTGAACTGACGTTCAAAAGGAGACAATAGAGGAAATAGAAGAGAAGTGATATTTATAGTTGAGAATGTGCCAAAAGTTAAAGAAGCTATTAATCCATGAATAGAGGCAGCACAACATATATTAGAATGTCATAAACTAATTAACTCCATGCTTAGGCATATCTCAGTGAAACTTTGGAACAACAAGTACAATATGAAGATTAAAATCACATTCAAAATGAAAAATTATATCTCTTACAAAGGAAAGGAAACTGGGCTGAGAACCTGCTACTCATAGCAATAATAGAAACCAGAGAGCATAGTCTAAAATCATTGTGCTATAGAGAGGAAATAACCAACTTAGAACTATATAACTAACAATGATGTTTCAATAAATGGGAAGAAATTAAAACATTTAAAAAACTGAGAGAGTTTACCAATACAGCATTTCTACAAGAATGTATACAGAATAAATCAAGAAGAAGAAAGAAGGTTCCACAGGAATGTCTGATATGTAAAAAGAGAGGATTAACAAACACATTTATAAATAGGATGGCAAACAAACGTCTATTTAAATGAATACGTATAATAATGAGTGTCTTAAAAAGAGACACAATTGAGGCCGGGCGCGGTGGCTCACGCCTGTAATCCCAGCACTTTGGGACGCTGAGGTGGGCGGATCACCTAAGGTCGGGAATTCGAGACCAGCCTGACAAACATGGAGAAACCCCGTCTCTACTAAAAATACAAAATCAGCCAGGCGTGGTGGCGCATGCCTGTAATCCCAGCTACTCAGGAGGCTGAGATAGGAGAATCACTTGAACCTGGGAGGCAGAGGTTGCAGTGAGCCGCGATCTTGCCATTGCACTCCAGCCTGGGCAACAAGGGTGGAACTCCGTCTCAGGAAAGGAAAGGAAAGGAAAGGAAAGGAAAGGAAAAAGGAAAGGAAAAAGGAAAGGAAAAAGGAAAGGAAAAAGGAAAGGAAAGGAAAGGAAAGGAAAGGAAAGGAAAGGAAAGGAAAGGAAAGGGACACAATTAAAGCACTATATACTAATAACATAGCAATTCAAATTGCAAGGATTATTGTCAGTGGTAAAGGTCCCTGAACTGTTTAGAAAGAGAGTTCAGATATAGATTAAAATAATTTTAAGGCTAAAAAAATAGTTTTGCAACTAAACCCCCAAAAGTTTAAAACTATATAATAAAAATACAAATATTTCTATCTTTTCAATAGAGAAAAATAGAATAATACAAAGTACAAAACAAAACCCAAACGTCAATCAAAAGCAAAGCAAGAAAAAAATGCATAACAAAAGTGGACAATTTGACAGTTAAATACTGGAACAAGGACAAATATAACATAAATCAAAATAATAATAAGTTCAATTGACATAGTTGTATAATAAGTCATACTTGACTAAAACACTACTAACTCTACTTTTTCTAATATTAAAATACCAAAATACCTAAAACTTCAGGGTATAGATTATTAAAAGTAAAAATCTGGAAAACCTTATATTGTACAAGTTTTAATAAAAGGAAAAGAGAGATAGCTATATTAATGTCAGGATAAATAGAATTAAAAGTAATACCATTTTCATACATTGATAACAAGGCTCAAATTATCATGAATATATATATTTTTCTAATCGTGTGTACCAATGAAATTGGCTGATCATATATCAAGTAAGTCTTAATAAAACTATAAAGATAAATGCACAAGTCTATCATTATGATGGGAAAATTTAATGTAACTTTTTCCATTTATGTTAGTTTAAGAAAAAATGGATGTAAAAATTAGAACAAGAAATTTAATAAATATATTAGAACTCTGAGCCCTACAATTTGAAAATATAAAGTTGATAGTATAGCACATATGGATGATTTGCCAATATGGGTCATATAATAGGCCAAAAGAAAGCCTCAATGAATTTCAGAGAATTGGTATCTTGGAAATTATGTTGTTTAGCACAATAAAATAAAATTAAAAGTTATTGACAGAAAGCTATACTAAAATTCCCTAAATTGGTAGATTTAAAAAGATTACTGTTAAATGATTTTTGACCTAAAAAAGCATATCCAAGATTAGAAATAATTAGAACTAAAAAAACCCAAAAATGCCACATATTCAAATTTGTGAAGCAACAAAAATGACAAATTGAAGGAAATTTAAATCATTACATGTTCTTATAAGAAAGACTAAAAATTAATGAGCACAGCAACCATCTAAAAATGTTAGAAAAAAGAGAATAACCCAAAGAAATCAGAATGAGATAACAAAAAGCTAAAATTATTTAAATAGAAAAAAGAAAAATAATCTATTAATTACTAAATGATACAAATAAAATATAAATCAAGAAAAAGAGAAATAAAACAAAAATGAAAAATAAAATTAAAGACATAGTGAATTTTAATAATAATAATTGTAAAAGTATAATATGGAAATTTTTGTATTAAGAATAAATGTAAAAACCTGGACAAATTAGATAAACTCTTAGAAAAATGTAACGAACATCATCTGGAAGAAAACTACAGGACAGTTTTCCAGATAGTCTTTGACCAATCCAGTTCTCTTTTTCTCACTTGTTATCTGGTCTTCCAGTCATATACAGGAGTTTCAAAGAATAACTGTAAAGTGTGCTAGGCAGGCAACATCCTGAGATAAGGGGGAGTTGACTGGAATAGCCCAGGCCCTGTTCTCGTCCCCCTAGAAACAGGACGTCCTTAGTGATTTTTACCCTATGGCACTTTGGGTATAAAATCTAGGGTGGGTTGGTTTTTGCAGTCCGTCAGCTGTGGGGTAAGTTGTGTATGCATAGATAATATTCCAGCCACCTTGGGTGGTTTTCCAGACCCTTGGGGGATGGGGTTGCCATGAATCTTTAGCTTCTGTTGTCCCTTGCTGCCTATCTGTAAGTAACAAGTCCACTGCATGTAACCTGTTGTGTGTGTAAGTGTTCTGTCTCACTGGACTCAGGCAAGAAGTAAAGGTGCAGACCAAGATGCAGTGTGCTGAGATGGGGACCAGCACATCATGAACCTGCTTCACAAGTTCAATAATCTCAAAAGACAATATATCTGAGTAA
Source organism: Homo sapiens (assembly GCF_000001405.40). NCBI lineage: Eukaryota > Metazoa > Chordata > Mammalia > Primates > Hominidae > Homo > Homo sapiens. The sequence goes on along the minus strand of NC_000004.12, from coordinate 104,267,661 downwards.
ATTGTCTTCCCTCAAAGAAAACACTAATTCTTTGCTATTTTACAGGATAGTCCCACAAAACCAGATCATTTCACTATTACAAGAACCCTTCCAAAGTATATGAAAGAGAAGTAATTCTTCAGTCATCTTACATATTTAAGTCTGATAACAAAACAAGACAAAGACAGTACAAGAATGGAAAATCTGAGGCCTCATTAACTCATGATACTATATATAATAAAAATATTAGCAAACAGAGTCCGGTAATTTCTATAAATTGATATATCATGACGAAGATGGACTTAGTCTAGAAATTCAACAGATATAACATTAGTAAATTGATAACTTTATTTTACTATGTTACAGAAGGAAGAAAATATGATTCTTATTAGATATCATAAAATGCATTTTATATAATACAAAGTCCACTAATAAAAAGCTATTTAGAAAATACAAATATTGGGGAAGTTTCTCTCAGGATAAATTATATTTGCCATAAACCTACAGAAACTATCGTTTTACTGGTGAAATATCAAAAGCATTACCTTTTCTATAAAGAGCTATATGAGGGTTTCTGTTATCATGTCATCACTCTTACATTCAAAGTGTATAGAGGACCTTTCTGTACTCCGAAAGACTAAAACAAAGATATGAAAAATTGAATTCATTACTGTATATGCAGAAAACCAGAGTATCTACAGATAGGTTGTTAGAAAAAATGAGTTTAGCTAAGTGGTAGGAGATAGAATAAATACATAAAAAATGATTTAGTCTTATATTTTTATATACTGACAACTACCAATAAGAAATAATAATAATAGGAAACATCTGTGAACATACTTAATTAAATTTTCAAAGAAAATATGGAAACTTTTATAAGATCTTCTTGAAGGAGATTTTTTAAAGACTTAAATAAAAGGAGAGAGATATCATGTCCATTGAGAAGAAGTAATATTATCAAGATGTTCTTTCTCCCTTAATTGACCCATACATTGAATGCAATTTTTTCATCCTTCCTACAGGGGTGTGTGTGTGTGTGTGTGTGTGTGTGTGTGTGTGTGTCTGTGTGTCTGACTTGGCAAGCTAATTCTAATATTTTTATGGAGGAGTGCAAGAGCAAGTGATCATACTAGCCAAAATAGTTCAAAGCAGAACTTTTCCTATGAGACATTAAATCTTGCTATACATATATAATAAATAAGGTATTGTAAAATTGATTCAGGGTTAAAAATATTTACAAATGCAGCAGACTAGAGAGATCCAAAACCAGCTCAATTACGAACACAGAAATTTTTCTCACTGCGCTATTTCTAGCACCTAAAGCGTAACTGACATATAGTAAGTGCTCATTAAATATTTCCTTAATGGATTTTGCATACTGTCTGCCATATGTGGCACTGCTAATAAGTGGGAGAAAGATGTAACTGTTCCATGAATTATTCTGGGATTGTTGGTTACTTCTGTGTAACAAACTCATTATCAAATTCTATATATAAAAATAAATTCAAATTGCCTTGAATATTTACAATTTTAAAAATTATAATTTTAGGTTTAAAAATATGGAACATATAGATACCACATTAAAGAATGTTTAAACTGGAAACAAGTGCTTAAAAATTCGAAGTTTAAAAATTAATTGAACATATTGATATTAAGATATCCTACTCATCAATAGGCACTATGTGGCAAGATAACAAACTATACACTGCAGAAAGTATTTGAAACATATGAAACTGAGAAAAATAATTATACAGAATATATAAAGAACACTTATACGTCAATAAGAAATAGATAACCCAATATAAGAATGGGCAAATAATATAAATAGGCAATGTTTATAAAAACCAAATGGTAAACAAATACGTAAAAACAGGCTCACTCTTTTTAGTAATCAGATAATCAGTAATTAATGCTGCAATGATATACCATGTTATTTATATTGGCCAGAATGGTGAAATTTGGACGGACAATAAATAAACACAAAATTTTGTTGAGCATATGAGTTCATGAGAACCTTTGATTACTGCTATCAGGAGTGTGAATTAGTACAATCCTTTCAGAAAATAGTTTGGCATTATATTTTAGGTTTGAACATTCTCATTCTCTACGACACAGCAGTTCCACTTCTAGGTACATATCATAGAGAATTATTACAAATGTGTACCACAAAATCTACACAAAAATATTCATTGTACCTAGCTCTTAAAGGCAATAACTTTAAACAACTGCAACATGTATCAACAGGAGAATTGATAAAATGTAGAATAATCTCAGAATGAAATGTTAGATCACAGTGAAATTAAATTACAGCCATATGCAACCACATGAATGAATTTAAAAATGCTGCTGAGTGATATGTCTTCAAACTATTTTTTAAAGTAAAAAAAAATCGTTAATAGAAACTTCAGGGGGGTGTTACTTATGTTGGAAAGACAGAAGAGTGGGACTGAGGAGACACATACCCGTTGAAGCCACACCATTGGTTATGCTCTATTTCATAAGTAGATGGTGGGACTGTAAGTGTGTTTTCTTTCTTTATGACTTATAACCCAGGGGTTCCCAACCTGTTTGGCACCAGGGACTGGTTTCATGGAAGACAATTTTTCCAAAAATTGGTCAGGAGATGTTTTCAGGAGGAAACTCTTTCACCTCAGATCATGAGGCACTAGATTCTCATAAGGAGCACACCACCTAGATCCCTCATACACTCAGTTCACAGTAGGGTTCATGCTCATAGAAGAATCTAATGCTGTGGCTGATCTGACAGGAGGCAGAGCTCAGGTGGTAATGTTGGCTTGCCCACTGCTCTCCTACTGCAATGCAGCCCAGTTCCTAACAGGCCATGGACCATTACCAATCTGTGGCCCGGGGGTTGAGGAACTCTGTAATATAACCCACTTAAATCTGTATCAAATGTTACATAATTAAAGCCATTTTAGAGTACTCACTAAATCTACACATAAGGACAAACATAAAGTGATCTAATAGAGCGTAAATTATTAACTATTATACGAACAGCACACATTACTTCTTTAATTCTAAATTTGTGATAAAAATATTAACTGCCTTTCTATATTGTTTTGAAAAGAAAATTTTATCTGTAAGTAACAATAATATAATTTTAAGTTCATATCGATATATTCCTGCCTCATATGTTTCCTTCTGAGACAAATGTCCTGGTAATTAATACTTATCAAATCTATAAGGAAACAACTTGGGAAAGTGGAAGAGAGGAATCTTCGTGATAGTGTTAAAATGGAACATGCTTTTGCAATAGCTCCATTTCAGAAGAGCACAGTGAATGAGGGCTTTCAAATGGAATGCTTTGGCCTCTAGGATATTATAATTATTTTCTCTGAAAATATGTTTGAACATCACTGAATTCTAATTCAACTGTAAGAAAAAGATAAATGTAGACATTGTTTTATTCCAAAGAAATTAAGCCAAATTTTTATAAATGGAAAACTTTGAACAATACTAAGATTTAACCATTGTAAAAAGATTGAACAACTTCCTTTTACAATGACTTCTATGTATTTTTTTCTTATTTTTCCTTCATAGACTCTTATAGTTCTCTAGCATAGATTTATTTTTAGTATCTTAGTCTTATGTTCAATAAATGCTCAGTTAAATCTCTGTTGATATTATGATTTCAATTATGTAAGCATGCAGCTGGAAAAAGTCTTGGACATTTTTCTCCATAATGAAACATAACTCAGATACTCTTCAGCTTCATGATGTCATCCTCGATCTCTAACCCTGACTCACAATTTAGCAATTATGCTCCATCATTTAATCAGAAGCGTGGTTTATCTGTTCTCATCCATGAGCACATTTTCTAAACATAAATCCCAAGAGAAATCCATTAATGGATAATACAGCAGATTTTACTACTAAAAGAATTAAAGAGAGGAGGGAAGAAGAGAAGATACCAGTTTCTGATTTGGGCACTTCAGTGGTGTTACCGTTCACTGTGAGGAAAATAGATGAAACTAGATGAAAGAAAGTTTTCATGGGGATGTCATAACTTCGGTTTGAGTATAAAATATCTCTGAGACAAACCAGAAGGTGATACCTGGTGCTCAAACATGACCCCCACGCTGGAGATACATTAAGAGGCATTGATATATAGCTGAAGCATAGGTGTAGAGGAGACTTCCCAGGGAGAGAGTTAAAAATGAAAAGAGGCCTAAAGAGAATTGTAAAGAGCACAGATAAAGATTTAATTTAAAAGGCTGGCTCCTGATTTCTGCCTCACAGAGAATTTTATTTAGTAGGTCTAGGGCGAAATCCAGAAACTCGTTTTTGTCAAGCAGATGTCCTCTGGACTACATCTAAGGAGAGGCTAAATAACAAGGGAGGACTACTCTTTTGCTGACTGTGTATTAATTGTATACTTGCATGGTATCACATTTTATTTCTAAAGTAATTTCATACAACTTTATTACATGAACGAGGAAGTCTTGAATGAACATGATGACACACAACAGGGTTTGTAAACATTTTCAACTATGAAAGAATGCACAGTGTAAAAGAAAACTATACCTACCTATTCAATTGAAAATTGCTAATTTAAATTCAGCATAATTATTTGTAACTACAAAAAAATTGGGAAAATATGCGTTCCCTATATAGAAATTACCTCTATGAGCATTTAGTGTATCTCTGAATGTTGTGGTAAGAAAGATCCGTCCAGTTTATGAAAAGCAACTCTGTGGCAAAACACAAGATCATTTGTTTAGATGAATTACAATAGGATTGCATGACTAAATGATCAGCTTATCCATTCATCTGATTTTTGTGAATCTAAGTCATTCCAGAACAATCTAGCAGAAAGAATCTCCTCTAAAGGATAATGCCAAAAATACTGTTATTGAACAGTATACTAGTCAACTGTGCTCCACTTGGCTTGGAATTTAAGTATTTTGAATGTATCAGTTTTACCAAGACTGATGCTTCATTTAAGAGAAAATCACAGTATTCCTGATCTTGATGTCATTATGAACTTGGATTTTCTTATTGGAAAAAAATTGTATGTTCATGTTGTCATTCTTGTGTTGTTAATAATATGAAAGAAATAGAATGATGAAGTATAACGAGTATTGAATTCAAAGCCAAGTAATAAGAAATCGTACTGAGAATAAAATACCAATAGAGAATAGATGGATTGTAGCTAGATTTTTCATTTTCCTAAGAAACAGTTATAAATCTGATGTATTTTAGAAAAATCCTTGACTAAAGCATTGAAAATTACAAAGGACACTTTTTTTTAACCTTGTCCCATAATAAGATGAAGACAAGGAGATACTTGATAAAAATAAGGAGCAGTAAATTCAGAACAAATTGAGGTAAATAATGCCTTATGAATGTGTATAGTCAACCTGTGAAATTCATTGACTGAAGAGGTCACTGAGTCAAATACGATGGTTGAATTTAAAAAACAGCTGAGTAATCTTATGACCACTAATAGCTTTGGGAGCTCTTTTCAGCAAGCGAATAATGATAAGGGTAATCAAATCTCTTGTTTCAGGATGTAAGTTACCAATGGGGGGTTGTTCAATTCCACACCTTACTTTTATCCTCTGGCCACTTCTCATAAACACCCACCTTCAGGGAAGTACAATGATGGACACAAATGTTATTCAGCACTTTTATACTGACATTTATAGATGGCTGGCTGTTCTTTCACCTTCATCTGAAGTATCAGCCTCTGAAACATAGGAGCTAGGATAACTCTGATTTGGGAAATAATGTCCTCCATAATGATAATCAAGATAATCAATCATTTATGCTTTTAGTGGGTGCCCTAGAATATCATTCTCAGAATTTCTGAATTTATCAAACCAAAATAATTTGAAAGTTAGCAATAATTACATTTTGGGGGGAAGAGGGCTTAATAGTGCCAATTTTGTATACCATTATATAAAGTGGTATTAGTAAAGTTACTATTTTTTAACACTTCATTCTAAATGCGTCAAAAATTTTAAAATAACATGTCATTGAGTGTTAAACTGTGTTTCACATTTTACTATTAATTGAATTGCGATACCCCTTATGTCCAATCAGTGTGGCAGATTAAGTCTTTTTATATTTATTTATTTATGTATTTATTTATTTATTTATTATTTTTTGTTTTTTTGAAACAGAGTCTGGCCCTGTTGCTCAGGCTGGAGTGCGGTGGCATGATCTCAGCTCACTGCAACTTCCGCCTCCTGGGTTCAAGTGATTCTCCCTGTCTCAGCCTCCCGAGTAGTTGGGATTACAGGCATCTGCCACCATGCCTGGCTAATTTTTGTATTTTTAATAGAGACGGGTTTTCACCATGTTGGTCAGGCTGATCTTGAACTCCTGACCTAAGGTGATCTGCCTGCCTCAGCCTCCCAAAGTGCTGAAATTACAGGTGTGAGCCACCGTACCCGGCCAAGTCTTTTTATTTTTAATCAAGGTCAAAATTCAAATTTTATTGTTTGAATCAGTATGTTACCAAAATAGAAAACTTTACAAAAAACACAAAACGACTTGTGATCTTAAAATACAGGACAACTATTGCTGTATGTATATATATCTGCCTATATACAATCATTTATGTGTTTTTTGCTAGTTTGGATGTATAAAGTTTGGATTCTGCTATGTGTACTATTCTATAACATCCTTTTGATAACAATTCTTCATGAATAATTTTCTATGTAATTAAATATTTTTGAAGCCTGTATACCATACTAATGTACTAGAATTTATTTTGCCAAATTTGTTTTTGAACATTTTGGTGGTCTATAGTTTTTACTACCATAACTCTAAAGATGTATGATTATTTATTATTTGCTGGTTCGAAGTAAATGCACTTTATGTTTAAGTATTTTGATTGATACTGCCAAATTATTTTCCAGAATAAATTTCATTATTTTACACACTGATTATCAATTTATGACAGTATAATTTCCTCCACATAAACAATGTAAAATACATATATACACATATATATATTTATTTAACCTTTAATATTGTCACTATATAAAAAGAAGACTCTCATTAGTAATTAAATTTTCACACTTTTGATCACTTGCAGTTTTAACTCTTTTTCATAAGTTTATTAATCATTATATTTCATTTTTTTTGTGAATTGCCAGTTCATCTTATTTTGCTACTTTTAAAATTTGGATGTTTAACTTTTTCCTTCTATATAGACATCCTGTTTTTAAGGACAATAATAATTATCAGCTTAGATTTCCAATTTTTGGTTTACTTTTGATTTTATTTATGACACATTATACAATAATTTTATATTCTTCTACAGCCATAACTATTAATTTGCTATTTCTGCATATGAATATATATCTATACTATTAATATTTATCTCTACTTTCTTCTGATACTAGGTATAATAGAGTAAGGTGATTCTGCTTTTTTCCTTCAATACATATTTCCAGATTAATAAAGTATCTTTTCCTTCCCTTGCTGGTTTAAATAATATTTTATTGTGTATCCTATTAATACCAATAATTTAACTGACCTCTAAAATTTTTGTTGATTTCATATTTATTCCTGCGTTCTTTATAAAATATTCAATTTTATATTTAAATGTTTGAGAAAAATATCTTTCAATTATTTTCTCAAAATGTTTAATTCAATCAATTTGTTTTTTAATGAAATTTGGTTATTTTATTTATTTTAAGAATGAATTAAGAAACAAATTATTTTAAATTATTCTCATACCTCATCTTGTTAATTTATGAGTGAACATATTAAGGTAGCTGTTTTATTTTGTATATTTTAATAAATTTTATAGGTATATCATGTTATTTCTGCACATTTTTGATGTTTATTACTGGATGTCTTGTATTTTTGTATTGTCAAAATTCCTGAATAAAATGCATTTCTCCTGTATTTTCTAATTGGATATTGGTGGTATATAGACAAATTATTTTAGCTTATTTTAAAATAACTTCTTTTCATGAGTGATTGAAATCTAAATTTTAAAATGTGTTTTATCAATATTATAGGCAGGATATACTATCATCTGAATATATATATTCATATTTATGATATATATAATGATGCTATAAGCATATGTATTTGAACATAATATATTTAGATGAAAGTATGTATATATACACACACACACACATTTTTTTTAGAGCAGTTTTACCTTCACACCAAAGTTGATAGAGCAGAAACCACAGGGTTCCTCTATACTCTCTGACCCTGCTATCAACATCCTGTACTAGAGTGGTATACACTTGTTACAATTGATGAACCTAAAGTGATACATCATTATCACTCAAAGTCCACAGTTTACATTAAGGGGTTCACTCTTGGTGTTTTACAGTCTATGGGTTTTGACAAATGTATAATGACAAGTTCCACCATTATAATATTATACAGAGTAGTTTCGTTCTGCCCTAAAAATCCTCTGTGTTCTGCCTATTCATACTTCACTCCCCCACAACCCCTGGCAGCCACTGGTATCTTTTCTGTCCTCACAGATTTGTCTTTCTCAGATGTAGTTGGAATCATATATTATTTAGCCTATTCAATTTGACTTCTTTCACCTAGTAATGAGTGAAAATTTCCTCCACATCTTCTCATGCCTTAAAAGCTCATTTCTTTTCACCATTGAATAAAATTCCATTGTGAGGATGTTCCACAGTTTATGTGTCTATTCATCTATTAAAGGAAATCTTGGCTGCTTTCAAGTTTTGGTAATTACAAATAAAAGTGCTATAAGCATGCAAGTTTTCGGGTGAAAGTTTTCAGCTCATTTGAGTAAATACCAAGGAACACAATGGCTGGATTATTGGTAAAAGTTTAGTTTTGTCAACACCTGAAAACTGTCCTCCAAAGTGGCTGTACCATTTTGGATTCTCACCAGCAATGAATGAGACTTCCTGTTGCTGTACATCCTCATTAGCATTTGGTTTTGTCAGTGTTTGAATTTTCACCACTCTAATGATATGTAGTAGTATCTCTTGGTTACTTTAATCTGCACTACCCTAATGACAGATGATATTGAGCATCTTTTCATATGCTTATTTGCTATCTATATATTTTCTTTGGTAAGGTGTCTGTTTGGATTCTTTTTCCATTTTTAAAGCAGGTTGTTTGTTTCATACTGTTGAGTTTTAAGAGTTCTTTGTATATTTTAAATGAGAATCCTTTATCAGATATTATTTCTGCAAATATTTCTTTCCAGTCTGTGGCTTGTCTTCTTTTTCTCCTAACAATGGCTTATCAGAGTGGAAGGTTTTAATTTCAATGAAGTTCAGCTTGTCCATTAGTACTTTCGTGGATTGTGCCTTTAGGGTTGTATCTAAAAAGTCATTCCCATATTCAATGTCATCTTGATATTCTATGTTATCTTCAACAAGTTTTATAGTTCTGCATTTTACACCTATGTCTATAATTCATTTTGAGTTAATTTTTGTGAAAGGTGTAAGGTCTCTGTCTAGATTCACTTTTTTGCAATGAAAAGTTCTAGTTTCCAATACTATTTTTTAAAAGACTCTTTTTACCATTATATTACCATTGTTCTTTTGCCAAAAGAGCAGTTTTGGCACAGTCAGTTGACTCTGTCTTTGTGGGTCTATTTCGGGGCTATCTACTCTGTTCCATTAATCTATTTGTCTATTTTTTTCAGCAATATTGCACTGCCTTTAATACTGTGGATATATAGTAAGTCTTGATGTTGAGTAGTGTCGATCCTTCAGCTGTGCGTTTTGGCTTCATTATTGTGTTGATTATTCTGATTCTTTTGCCTCTCCCTATAAACATTAGAATCCATTTGTTGATATTCAAAAAATAACTTGCTGACATTTTGATGGGGATTATGTTGAAGCTATAGGCCAAGAGAAGAAGTGACATTGTGACAATATTGTGTCTTCTTGTCTGATTTCTTCCATCACAGGTTTGTAGTTTTTCTCATATAGATTCTCTTCATATTTCTTTTCATTTTACCCCCAAGTATTTAATTTTGGGGGATGTTAATATAAATTGTATTGTGTTTTAAACTTAAGATTCCAAGTACTCATTGCTGGTATGTAACAAAGAGATTGAATTTTGTATATTAACCTCATATCCTGCAACCTTTATGTAATAATTTATTATTTCCAGGAGTATCTGTCTATTATTCTGAATAGCCTACATAGACAATTATGTCAACTGTGAACAAAGACAGTTTTACTTTTCCTTCCCAATCTGTATACATTGTCTCTTCTTTTTAAAAAAAAAAACCTATTTTTTAATTTTCCTGGGTCCTAACTAGGTATACATATTTATGGCATATATGAGATATTTTAATACAGTCATGTAATATGAAATAAGCACATCATGAAGAATGAGGTATTCATCCCCTTAAACATTTATCCATTGAGTTGCAAACAACCCAAATACACTTATAATTTAAAAATTTGCAGTTATTTTGAGAAGTGTTTGTTCATATCCTTCACCCACTTTTTGATGGGGTTGTTTGTTTTTTTCTTGTAAATTTGTTTAAGTTCCTTATATATTCTGGATATTAGCCCTTTGTCAGATGGAGAGATTGCAAAAATTTTCTCCCATTCTGTGGGTTGCCTTTTCACTCTGGTGCTAGTTTCTTTTGCTGTGCAGAAGCTCTTTAGTTTAATTAGATCCCATTTGTCAATTTTGGCTTTTGTTGCAATTGCTTTTGGTGTTTAATCATGAAGTCTTTTCCCATGCCTATGTCCTGAATGGTATTGCTTAGGTTTTTTCTAGTGTTTTTATGGTTTTTGGTCTTATGTTTAAGTATTTAATCCATCTTGAGTTAATTTGTGAATAGGGTGTAAGGAATGGTTCCAGTTTCAGTTTTCTGCATATGGCTAGCCAGTTTTCCCATCACCATTTATTAAATAGGGAATCATTTCCCAATTGCTTGTTTTTGTCAGGTTTGTCAAAGATCAGTTGGTTGTAGATGTGTGATGTTATTTCTGAGGCCTCTGTTCTGTTTCACTGGTCTATATATCTGTTTTGGTACTAGTACCATGCTGTTTTAATTACTGTAGCCTTGTAGTATAGTTTGAAGTCAGGTAGCATGATGCCTCCAGCTTTGTTCTTTTTGCTTAGGATTATCTTGCCTATATGGACTCTTTTTGGTCCCATAAGAAATTTAAAGTAGTTTTTTTCTAATTCTGTGAAGAAAGTCAATGGTAGCTTGATGGGAATAGCATTGAATCTATAAATTACTTTGGGCAATATGGCCATTTTCATGATATTGATTCTTCCTATCCATGAACATGGAATGTTTTTCCATTGTTTATGTCCTCTCTTATTTCCTTGAGCAGTGGTTTGTAGTTCTTCTTGAAGAGGTCCTTCACATCCCATGTAAATTGTATTCCTAGGTATTTTATTCTCTTAGTAGCAATTGTGAATGGGAATTCACTAATGATATGGCTCTCTGTTTGTCTATTATTTGTGTATAGGAATGCTTGTGATTTTTGCACATTGATTTTGTATCCTGAGACTGCTGAAGTTGTTTATCAGCTTAAGGAGTTTTTGGCCTGAGACAATGGGGTTTTCTAAATATGGAATCATGTCATCTGCACACAGAGATAATTTAACTTCCTCTCTTCCTATTTGAATATCCATTGTTTCTTTCTCTTGCCTGATTGTCCTGGCCAGAACTTCCAATACTATGTTGAATAGGAGTGGTGAGAGACGGTATCCTTTTCTTGTGCTGGTTTTCAAAGGGAATCCAGCTTTTACCCATTCAGTATGATATTGGCTTTGGGTTTGTCATAAGCAGCTGTTATTATTTTGAGATATGTTCCATCAATACCTAGTTTATCGAGTGTTTTTAGCATGAAGGGGTGTTGAATTTTATTGAAGGATTTATCTGCATCTATTGAGATAATCATGTGGTTTTTGTCATTGGTACTGTTTATGTGATGGATTACATTTATTGATTGCATATATTGAACCAGCCTTGCATTCCAAGGATGAAGCTGACTGATGGTGGTAAATAAGCTTTTTGATGTGCTGCTGGACTTGGCTTGCCAGTATTTTATTGAGAATTTTCTCATCGATGTTCATCAGGGATATTGGCCTGAAATTTCTTTTTTTGTTGTGTCTCTGCCAGGTTTTGGTATCATGGTGATGCTGGCCTCATAAAATTAGTTAGGGAGATGTTTCTCTTTTTCTGTTGTTTGGAATCATTTCACAAGGAATGGTACCAGCTCTTCTTTGTAACTCTGGTAGAATTCGCTGTGAATCTGTCTGGTCCTGGACTTTATTTGGTTGGGAGGCTATTAATTACTGCCTGAATTTCAGAACTTATTATTCCATTCAGGGATTCGACTTCTTCCTAGTTTAGCCTTAGGAGGGTGTATGTGTCCAGGAAGTTATCCATTTCCTCTGGATTTTCTGGTTTATTTGCATAGAGGTGTTTATAGTATTCTCTGATGGTAGTTTGTATTTCTGTGGGATCAGTGGTGATATCCCCTTTATCATTTTTAATTGTGTCTCTTTGATTCTTCTCTCTTTTCTTATTAGTCTCGCTAGCAGTCTACCTATTTTGTTGATCTTTTCAAAAAACCAGCTCCTGGATTCATTCATTTTTTGAAGGATTTTTTGTGTCTCTATCTCCTTCAGTTCTGCTCTGATCTTAGTTATTTCTTGTCTCCTGCTAGCTTTTGAATTTGTTTGTCCTTGCTTCTCTATTTCTTTTAATTGTGACATTAGTGTGTCTATTTTAGATCTTTCCTGTTTTCTCATGTGGGTATTTAGTGCTACAAATTTCCCTCTGACCACTGCTTTAGCTGTGTCCCAGAGATTCTGGTACATTGTGTCTTGTTCTCATTGGTTTCAAAAAATTTATTTATTTCTGCCTTAATTTGGTTATTTACCCAGTAGTCATTCAGGAGCAGCTTGTTCAGTTTCCATGTAGTTGTTTGGTTTTGAGTGAGTTCCTTAATCCTCAGTTCTAATTTGATTGCACTATGGTCTGAGAGATTGTTTGTTGTGATTTCAGTTCTTTTGCATTTGCTGAGGATTGTTTTACTTCTAATTATCTGGTCAATATTAGAATAAGTGCTATGTGTTCTTACTAGAATGTATATTCTGTTGATTTGGGGTGGAGGGTTCTGTAGATGTCTATTAGGTCCACTTGATCCAGAGCTGAGTTCAAATCCTGAATACCCTTGTTAATTATCTGTCTCATTGATCTGTCTAATATTGACAGTGGGGTGTTAAAGTCTCCCACTATTATTGTGTGAGAGTCTAAGTCTCTTTATAGGTCTCTAAGAACTTGCTTTATGAATCTGGGTGCTTCTGTATTGGGTGAATATATATTTAGGCTAGTAGCTCTTCCTGTTGCATTGATCCCTTTACCATTACATAATGCCCTTCTTTGTCTTTTTTGATCTTTGTTGGTTTAAAGTCTGTTTTATCAGAGACTAGAATTGTAACCCCTGCTTTTTTATTTCCTTTCCATTTGCTTAGTCAATATTCCTCCTTCCCTTTATTTTGAGTCTATGTGTGTCTTTGCACATGAGATGGGTCTCCTGAATACAGCATACCAATGGGTCTTGACTCTATCCAATTTGCCATTCTGTGTCTTTAACTGGGGCATTTAGCCCATTTACATTTAAGGTTAACATTGTTACGTATAAATTTGATTCTGTCATTATGATGCTAGCTGGTTATTTTTCACATAGTTAATGCAGTGTCAATGTTGTTTACATTTTGGTGTGTTTTTGCAGTGGCTGGTACTGGTTTTTCCTATCCATATTTAGTGCTTCCTTCAGGAGCTCTTGTAAGGCAGGCCTGGTGGTGACAAAATCTCTCAGCATTTGCTTGTCTATAAAGGATTTTATTTCTCCTTCACTTATGAAACTTAGTTTGGCTGAACATGAAATTCTGGGTTGAAAATTCTTTAAGAATGTTGAATATTGACTCCCACTCTCTTCTGCCTTGTAGGGTTTCTGCCAAGAGATCTGCTGTTAGTCTGATGGGCTTCCCTTTGAGGGTAACCTGACCTTTCTTTCTGGCTGCCCTTAATATTTTTCCTCATTTCAACCTTGGTGAATCTGATGATTATGAGCCTTGGGATTGTTCTTCTCGAGGAGTATCATAGTAGTTTTCTCTGTATTTCCTGAATTTGAATGTAGACCTGTCTTTCTAGGTTGAGGAAGTTCTCCTGGATAATATCCTGAAGTGTATTTTCCAACTTATTTCCATTCTCTCCGTCACTTTCAGGTACACCAAGCAAATGTAGGTTTGGTCTTTTCACATAGTCCCATATTTCTTGGAGGCTTTGTTCATTCATTTTCACTCCTTTTTATATAAATTTGTCTTCATGCTTTATTTCATTAAGTTGATCTTCAATCTCTGATATCATTTCTTCCATTTGATTGATTCAGCTATTGATACTTGTGTATGTTTCATGAAAGTTCTAATGCTGTGTTTTTCAGCTCCATAAGGTCATTTATGTTCTTCTCTAAACTGGTTGTTCTAGTTAGCAGTTCCTGTAACCTTTTATCAAGGTTGTTAGCTTCCTTGCACTGGTTTAGAACATGTTCCTTTAGCTCAGAGGAGTTTGTTATTACCCACCTTCTGAAACCTACTTCTGTCAGTTCATCAAACCCATTCTCTGTCCAGTTTTGTTCCTTGGTGGCTAGGAGTTGTGATCCTTTGGAGGAGAAGAGGCATTCTGGTTTTTGGAATTTTCAGCATTTTTGTGCTGGTTTTTCCTCATCTTCATGGATTTATCTACCTTTGGTCTTTGATGCTGATGACCTTTGGATGGGGTTTTTGCATCAGCGTCCTTTTTGTTGATGTTGATGTTATTGCTTTCCATTTGTTAGTTTTCCTTCTAACAGTTGGGGACCTTTTCTGCAGGTCTGCTGGAGTTTGCTGGAGTTCCACCCCAGACCCTGTTTGCCTGTGTATCACCAGCGGAGGCTACAGAAGAGCAAAGATTGCTGCCTGCTCCTTCCTCTGGAAGCTTGGTCCCAGAGGGCACCCCCCAGATGCCAGCTGGAGCTCTCCTGTATGAGGTGTCTGTGGACCCCTGCTGGGAGATGTCTCCCAGTTAGGAGGCATGGGTGTCAGGGACCCACCTGAGGAGGCAGTCTGTCCCTTAGCAGGATTGACCACCTTTTCATATGTCTTTTTGCCACTTGTATGTCTTCTTAAGAGAAATGTGTATTCAAATCTTTTGCCCATCTTTTGATTGGATTATTAAATTTTCCTATAGAGCTGTTTGAGCTCCTTATATATTATCCTTATTGATCCCTTGTCAGATGGGTAGTTTGCAAATATTTTTTCCCATTTTGTGGGTTTTCTTTTTGATTTGTTGATTGTATTCTTTGCTGTGCAGAAGCCTTTTAACTTGATGTGATCCAATTTGTTCATCTTTACTTTGGTTGCCTGTGCTTGTGGGGTATTGCTCAAAAAATTTTTGCCCAGAACAATGTCCTGGAGGATTCCCTCAATATTTTAGTAGCTTCATAGTTTGAGATCTTAGATTTAAGTCTTTAATTCATTTTTATTTGTTTTTTGGTATGCTAAGAAATAGAGGTCTAGTTTTATTCTTCTGCATATGGATATCCAGTGTTCCCAGTACCATTTATTGAAGAGACTGTCTTTTTCCCAGTGTATGTTCTTGACACATTTGTTGAAAATCCAGTGTGTGGATTTTTTTCTGGGTTCTCTATTCTGTTTCATTGGTCTATGTGTCTGTTTTTATGCAAGTACCATGCTGTTTTTGTTACTGTAGCTCTGTAGTATAATTTGAAGTCTGGTAATGTTTTTCCTCCATTTTTTCTCTTTTTGCTCAGAAAAAAAATTGGTTATTTTGAGTCTTTTGTAGTGTCATATAAATTTGAAGATTGTTTTTTCTATTTCTGTGAAGAATGTCATCGCTATTTTGTAAGAACTGCATTGAATCTGTAGATTGCTATGGGTAGTATGGACATTTTAACAATATTGACTCTTGCAATCCATGAATATGAAATATTTTTCCATTTGTTGCTGTCTTCTTCAATTTCTTTCAGCAGTGTTTTATAGTTTTCACTATAGAAATCTTTCACTTCTTTTGTTAATTGCTAGATATTTAACTTTATGTGTGGCTATTGTAAATGGGATTTCAAATTTATTTATTTCTGCTCTCATCTTTATATTTCTTTTCTTCTACTAATTTTGGGTTTGGTTTGCTCTTGCTTTTCTTGTCCTTTAAGATGAATCATTAGATTGCTTATTTGAAGTTTTCCCTCTTTTTTTGATGGGATACAGCAAAAGTAGTAGATGTGCCTGGATCTTTATCTGTGATCTGTTTGTGGTTATTTGTAGCCATTTTTCTTTAGACTAAGTTTTCCAGATATTTGAAAGGAGTTGGATGTTTTTAATCTAAGCTGTATCTGCTTAAGGGGACATCCCACACCTAGTAATGCTGTGGTTCTTGCAGACTCATAGAGTTATCATCTTGTTGGTCTTGTACAAAATCCAAGAGAATTCACTGGATCACCAGGCAGAGACTCTTGTTCTCTTCCCTTATTTTCTCCCAAACATACAGAGTCCTTATTCTAATCTTAGTAGGAAATCTTCTAGTTTCTTATCATTACATATGTTGTTAGCTATAGGTTTTTTGTAGATATTCTTTATCAAGTTGAGAATGTTCTCCTCCTTAGTTTGCTGAGAGTTTGTATCATGGGTAAATGTTAGATTGTTTCAAATGCTTTTTCTGCATCTACTGATATGATTATGTTTTTTTCTTCAGCCTTTTGTGTGATGAATTGTATTAGTTACTTTTCAAATGTTGACCCAACCTTGAATATCTGGGATAAATTCCAACTGGTCTTGGTGCCTATTTTTTTTTTTTTATAGAATGTTACATTTGATTGGCTTTGTATGAGGATTTTTGCACCTATGCTTATGATGGGATTGGTTTGTAGTTTTTTAAAATATCTTTGTTTGCTTTTGTTATTAAAGTATTACCGGCTTTACAGAGTTAGAAATCATTACTTTTGCTTTTGTTTTCAAGAATTAGCATGATTTATTTCTCAAATGTTTGGTAGAATTCACCAGTAAACACATCTGAGCCTGTTTATTTCTCTTTTGAAAGTTCTAAAATTATTATTTTCATTTATTTAAGCTATAGACCAGTTCAGATTGTTTATTTCTTCTTGTATGACTTTTAGTAGATTGTATCTTTCAAGGAATTGGTCCATTTTATCTAAGTTATCAAATTTGTGTGCATATAGTGCTCATAGTGTTCCTTTATTATTCTTTCCATGCCCATGAGATTCACAGTGATGTCCTCTCTTGCATTTCTGGTTTTGTGATTTGTGATTTCCTTTCTTTTTATTTAATTTGTCTGGATAAAGGTTCACCAATTTTTTCAGATAATGATATTTTGGTTCATTGATTTTCTCTATCAATTTACTGCTTTCAATTTTATTAATTTTGTTTTTATTTGTATTGTTTATTTTCCCCTTTAGTTTGAATTTCATTGTCTCTTGCTTTTCTAGTTTCTTAAGGTAGAAGCTTAAATTTTTGATTTTGGATCTTCTTTTCCTATATAAATTAAATGCTATAAATTTCTCAGTAAGCACTGATTTTGCTGCATTACAGATTTCTGACAGGTTGTATTCTTATTTTCATTTAGTTCAAAAATTTTTTAAATTTTTTGTGCAATTTCTTCTTTAAGCCACATGTTATTTAGAAAGGTATTGTTTAACCCCTAAGTTTTGGAATTTTTCCACCTATCTTCCTGTTATTGATTTCCAGTTTAATTCCATTGTGGTCTGAGAGCAGACATATCATTTCTATTTTTAAAAATTTGTGCAAGATGGCTGACTAGACACAACTAGGAGGAATAGCTCGCACTGATCAAGATCAAACCAGGCCATTGGGAAGACTGGCACACCCCAAGCAGATCTTTGGAGAGAAGACATTTAGAGTGGACGGAAAGAGGACACAGATCCTAAGCTGAAGAGAGGAAACTGGGAACACTTCACAGAGCTGCCAAGCAATGGGACTTGTTCCTGGTCCCCAGCAGCTCCTGCAGAAGAGGTGACTTGAACAGGGAAGGAGTGGCCCACTCTCACCACAGCCTCCCAGAATCCTAGCTACAGGAGACCCCGTGGTCCCCAAGAAGACTTGAGCTGACAAGAAGAGCTGTTTAGATATGTAGCAGGTACAGGACTCCAGCTTGTGCAGACCCCAGAGGGTTTGGCCTGGGAATTGCTTCAGTGGAACATGGTCAGGGACACCCACCTATCACCAAAGCTCACCATGCTCCTCTAAGTGGCATTAGCATTTGATGACTGCTGGACCTGGACAGAACAGAGTAGCCTTACCTGTTGGATGGGATCTGTCTGATCTTGGTGCCTTCCTGTCCGCCAGCATCTCCTGGGGCCTCAGCCTTGCTGTTACTGGTTGCAGAGAAGCCTTGGATGCAGGGGTCATCATCATAGCTCCTGTCCCCCACCAATGTGCAGCCACCAAGCCGCAGCATCCTCCCGCCACAGCCTCCTCTCATAACTTTGCCAATATACGCTCCACATGGAAACCCCTCCGACTGTGTGCTGACACATGTATGCAGGTGCACCTTGCCTCTCCTCCCCCACCAGTATACCCATACACAAACAACATTGCTCTGCCCCCACCAGCAACCTGCCCTTGCCAGTGCCCCACACCCACTGCTACACAGGAATTGTGTTTTGCAGCTGCCAGCACAAGAACATGCATGACAATAGCACTCTGCCTCCACTGGTGCCCCACCCCTGTCAACTCACATGCACCCTGCTGCACAGCTGTTCCTGCTGACACATGCGAACAGGCATGGACCCCACTGCCACAGCCCCAGTGTAGCACTGTGACTGGCACTCTCCATGAGAGTTGTTGCCAAAGACCTGGGAATACCTCAGCCCTCCCAGTGTGGGAGGTTTCTTACATTGAGGAGCCAGAGAACAAAGCTAGGGACCCAGGACCAGCCTCCTGGAGCTAGAGCACACAGCCCAGGAGTGATGAGCTAATAAGACTTTACCCCCAGAAGTCTTCCAGAAACAAAGCCAGTCAACTGAACCCATTTTATACCACAATGAAGCCATAAAGGACATCAAAGAATATGAAGGCAAAACAAAACCATCCAAAGACAGCAAGTTCAAAGACTTAAGAAACATCAGCCCACACAGATGAGAACCAATGTAAGAACTCTGACAAGCAAAAAGCCAGAGTGTCTTCTTACCTCAAAAGGATCATAATAGTTCCCCAACAGTGCTTCTTAACTAGAATAAAATGGCTGCAGTGGCACAAATACAATTCAGAATATGATTAGAGACAAAGATCATTGATATTCAGGAGAAAGTTGAAAGTCAATTCAGGGAACCTAAGTAATAAAATAAAATGATACAAGAGATGAAAGATAAAATAGACATTTTAAGAAAGAACCAAATTGAAATGATAGATCTGAAACACTCACTACAAGAGTTTTATAATACACTTGCAAAAACTTACAGCAGACCAAGCTGAAGAAAGAATCTCAGAGCTTGAAGACCGTTTCTTCAACTCAGTCAGACAAAAAGAAAGAAAAAAGAATGAACAAAACTTCTGAGAAATGTGGATTATGTAACGAAACCAAACGTGTGACTTATTGACATCCTTCAGAGAGACAAAGAGGAAGCAAGCAACCTGGAAAACATTTGTGCAGATATTTTCCATGACAATTTCCCCAACCCTGCCAACATTCAAATTCAGGAAATGCAGAGAATTCCTGTGAGATACTACACAAGATGACCATCCCCAAGATACATAGTCATGAGATTATTGAAGATAAACATGAAAACAAAAATATTAAAGGCACCTAGAGAGAAGGGGCAGGTCACCTACAAAGGGAACCCCATAAGGCTAACAGCAGACCTTTCAGCAGAAATCCCACAAGCCAAAAGAGATTGGGACCCTATATACAGTATCCTTAAAGGAAAAAAATTCCAACCAAGAACTGTATATACAGCCAAACTAAGTTCCATGAGCAAAGGAGAAATAAGATCCTTTTCAGAGAAGCAAATGCTAAGTGAATTCATTATTATTATCAGACTTGCCTTACAAGAGGTATTTAAGGGAGTGCTAAACATAGAAACAAAATCCCATTACAGGCCACCAAGAAAACACACTTAAACACATACCAATGACACTACAAAGCAACTATACAATCAAGTTTGCATAATAACCAGCTAACATCATGATGGCAAGATCAAATGTGCACATATCAATATTAACTTTGAACATAAATGGGCTAAATGCCCCCACTTAAAAGGCACAAAAGTTGGATAATAAAAAAAAGAACCAAAAATATATTGTCTTCAAGAGACCCATCTCACAGGCTGTGACACCCATAGGCTCAAAGTAAAGAGATGGAGAAGAATCTACCAAGCAAATGGAAAACAGCAAAAAATGCAGAGGTTGCTTTCAGACAATTTTCAGACAAAACAAACTTTATACCAACAATCATCAAAAAGAAATGAATAAAGGCATTACATAATGATAAAACTTATTTTCAACGGGAAGACTTAACTATCCTAAATATATATGTACCCAACACAGGAGCACCAGATTCATAAAAGAAGTTCTTGGGATCTACAAAGAGTCTTAGGTAAACAGATAATAATAATGGGAGATCTTAACACCCCCACAGACAGTATAAGACAGAACACTGAGGCTGAAAACTAACAAGGATACTTAGGACCTGAACTCAACATTTGACCAAATGTACCTAACAGACATCTGTAGAACTCTCTATTCAAAAACAACAGAATACACATTCTTCCTACTTGCACATGGCACTTACTCTAAAATTGACTACACAGTTGGCCATAAGACAATCCTTAGCAAATTAAAAAAAAATCATACCAAACACACTTCCAGAGCACAGTGAAATGAAAGTGGAAATTAATACTAAGATCACTCAGTACTATACAATTACATGGAAATTAAACAACCTGCTCCTGAATGACTTTTGGGTAAATAATAAAATGAAGGCAGAAATCAAGACAGTCTTTGAAACTAATGAGAATAAAGATACTACATACTAGAATCTCTGGAACACAGCTAAAGCAGTAGTAAGAGGAAAGTTTATAGCACTAAATGCCTACATCAAAAGTTAGATCTCAAATTAACAGCCTAACTTCACACCCAGAGAAACTGGAAATTCAAGAGGAAACCAACCCCAAAGGTAGGAGAAGATAAGAAATAACCAAAATCAGAATGGAACTGAAGGAAATAGAAACTTAAAAAGCATACAAAAATCAACGAAACTAGAATTAGTTATTTGAAAGGATAAATAAGATTGATAGATTGCTAGCTAGACTAATAAAGAAAGAAAGAGAAAGGATCCAAATAAATATAATCAGAAATGACAAAGAGGACATTACAACCAACCCCACAGAAATACAGAAACTCTCAGAGATTATTATGAACACATCTATGCAGACAAACTAGAAAAACTAACAAGAAAGCTATAAATTCCTGGAAACATACAAACTCTGATGATTGAATCAGGAAGAAATTGAAACCCTGAACAGACCAATAACAAATTCTGAAGTTGAATCAGTAATAAAAAGCCTACCAGCCAGAAAAACCTCTAGACCAGATAGTTTCACAGCCAATTTCTACCACATGTATAAAGAAGAGCTGGAACAAATCCTGCTGAAAGTATTACAAATAACTGAGGAGAAGTGAGTCTCTCTAAATCTTTCTGTAAGGTCAGCATCATTCTGATACTAAAACTTGCCAGACGTACAATGAAAAAAGAAAACATTGACCAATATCCTTCATGAACAGAGATGTGAAAATCCTCAACAAAATACTGGCAGACCAAATTCAGCAACACATCAAAAAGCTAATCCACCGTGATCAAGTAGGATTTATCCTGGGATGCAAGGTTGGTTCAACATACAAAAATCAATAATTGTGATTCATCACATGAACAGAACTAAAAACAAAAGCCAAATGAGTATCTCAATAGAGCAGAAAAGGCTTTCAATAAAATTTCATATCCCTTTATCTTAAAAACCCTCAGCAAACTGGACATTGAAAGAACATACTTTAAAATAATAAGAGCCATCTATGACAAACATACAGCCAATATCTTACTAAATGGGCAAAAGCTAGAAGCATTCACCTTGAGAACTGGACCAAGACAAGGATCTCCACTCTCAGCACTTCTATTCAATGTAGTACTGGAAGTCCTAGCCAGAGAAATCAGACAAGAAAAGGAAATAGAGGGCATCAAAATAGGAAGAGAGGAAATAAAACTATCCCTCTTTGCAGAGAATACGATTTTATTCTGAGAAAACACCATAGTTTCTTCCCCAAACCTCCTAGATCTGCAAAGACTTTTAGCAATGTTTCAGGACATAAAATTTATGTACAAAAATCAGTAGCATTTTTATGCACCAACAACATCCAAGCTTACAACTAACTCAAGAATCCCATCCCACTCACAATAATCATAAAGAAAAAAAACACACCTAGGAATATAGCTAACCAGGGATGTGTCATATCTCTACAATAAGAATTACAAGCACTTTGGGAGGCCGAGGCGGGTGGATCATGAGGTCAGGAGATCGAGACCATCCTGGCTAACAAGGTGAAACCCCATCTCTACTAAAAATACAAAAAAAAATTAGCCGGGCGCGGTGGCGGGGCGCCTGTAGTCCCAGCTACTCGGGAGGCTGAGGCAGGAGAATGGCGTGAACCCGGGAAGCGGAGCTTGCAGTGAGCCGAGATTGCGCCACTGCAGTCCGCAGTCCGGCCTGGGCGACAGAGCGAGACTCCGTCTCAAAAAAAAAAAAAAAAAAAAAAAAGAATTACAAAACACTGCTGAAAGAAATCAGGGATGACATAAACAAACGGAAAATCATTCCATGCTCATGGATAGGAAGAAGCAATACTGTTAAAATGGCCATACTGCTCAAAGTAATTTACAGATTCAATGATATTTCTATCAAAGTATCAATGTCATTTTTCACAGAATTAGAAAAACCTATTCTAAAATTCATACACAGCAAAAAAAAAAAAAAAAAAAAAAAAAAAAAAAAAAAAGCCTAATAACCAAAGCAAAGCAATTCTAAGCAAAAAGAAAAAGAAAACAAAGCTGGAGGTATCATATTACCTGACTTCAAACTATACCATAAGGCTACAGTAGCCAAAATAGCATAATACTGGTACAAAAATAGACATATAGACCAATGGAATGGAATAGAGAGCCCAGAAATAAAGCCCCACACCTAGAACCACCTAATGTTCTACAAAGTTGGCAAAAGCAATAGAAGAAGGACTCCCTATTCAATAAATGGTGCTGGGATAACTGGCTAACCATATGCAGAAGATTGAAGCTAGACACTTTCTTTACACTATATAAAAAATGATCTCAAGAATGGATTAAATACTTAATTGTCAAACCTAAAACTATAAAACCACTGAAGAAAACTGAAGAAATACCATTTGGAATGGGCAAAGATTTCATGACAAAGACACCAAAAGCAATTGTAAGAAAAACAAAAATTGACGAATGAGACCTAATAAACTAAGAGCTTCTGCAAAATGAAAGCAATTATCAACAGAGTAATCAGAAAACCTACAGAATGGAAAAAAATTGTAAAGTATGCATCAAAGATCTAATATCCAGAATCTATAAGCAACTCAAATTAACAAAAAGCAAACAACCCCATTAAAATTGGGCCAAGAACATCCACAGACACTTTTCAGAAGAATATATACTGCAGCCAACAAGAATATGAAAAAATTATCGACATCACTAATCATCAGAGAAAAATGCAAATCAAACCTGCAATGAGATACCATGTTATACCAGTCAGAGTGGCTATTATTAAAAAGTAAAAAAGTAACAGTTGCTGGTGAGGTTGCAGAGAAAAGAGAATGCTTATACACTGTTAGTAGGAATATAAATTAGTTCAATCACTGTGGAAAGCAGTTTGACAATTTCTCAAAGAACATCAAACAGAACTAGCATTCAATCCAGCAATTCAATTACCGGGAATATAAATATTACCCAAAGAAATATAAATCATTCTACCATAAAGACACATGCACGCCAATGTTCATTGCTTTGTCATTGACAACAGCAAATATATGGATCAAATCAAATGACCATCAACAGTAGACTGTATAAAAAAAATGGTACATGTTCACCATGGAATACTATGAAGCCATAAAAATAGAATGAGTTCCTATCCTTTGTAGTAACATGAATAGAGCTGGAGGCCTTTATCCTAAGTGAATTAATGCAGGAACAGAAAACCAAATAGTGCATGCTGTCAGTTACAAGTAGGAGCCAAACATTGAGTATACATGGACATAAAGAAGGGAACAATAGACACTCAGGCCTACCTGAGGATGGAGAGTAGGAGGAGCTTGAGGATCAAAAAACGACCTATTGGGTACTATGTTTATTACCTGGATTAAAAAATAAATCTGTATAACAAACCCCTGTGGAACAAAATTTACCTATATAACAAACCTGCATATGTACCCCTGAACCTAAAATAAAAGTCTAAAACAAAACTAAATTTGTTATCTTGTGCTTTATATCCCAGTGAAAGACACAATTTAAAACTCTCCTTTTAATGTTAATAACTTTGTTTTTTCTTTTTTTTCTTTCCTTTCCAGTTTTCCTTTCTTTTGTTTTAGAATTATTTCTCTCTTTATTTTATTATTTCGTCTGTTCTTACTGTTCTTTGTATTTATTTACTTATTTAGCAAATCTAACAATTATTCAAATCAGTCTCCAACTGTGAATTCTGTTTCCAAATATTTAAACATGTCATAGTTATTGAAGTCTGTGAGGCTAACTGATGAATATGATAACAAATACTTTCATCAGCTAAAGATATTTGCTTCAGTAGTTCAGTTCTTTGTTAATTTACTGGAGGTGCTTGAGCAAGATTGTAATTCCATTTCATTGTACTCTGAATTTTTTCCTCAAAATATTGTTAATTTTCTTCTAGAAATGGGTAAGCAAACATTTATACTAAAGAAAGTGAATTCTATTATTTTGTGTTATAGTTTATGGCACTTTATGAATTTCATACTAATTTCCTAGATTCAAAGAGAGTAAAATCATAAATACACTAATTTTGTTGTTCACAAGCATTCAGCTATGTTTGTGCAGACATTTCCCCCATGTAATTATTGAAAGATTCAGCTTTCATCAAGTCCATCAGTTTGTGGTTTTAGGAAATTTCAGCAAATGTTGGTATGGCTATGATTGCATTTCTACACTGCTCTTTGGGGAATCTCTTACCTTTGAGAATCATTCATTTGGGAACTTTTAGCTGGGTTTAGCATCAGAATGTGTAAGGCAAATTTTTATGCCTAGATATGGTTTCCCCAGCAGAAATTGAATTATCTGGCTTGGTAAGAGGATAGGACAGCATAGCAGGCCCCTTTCTGTCCCTCTACAATATCTGCAAACATAAATTCTCAATATGAGGGTGGTTGTTGTTGTTTGGTACATTGTTAATCACTCCATAGGCTGCATACATCAGGATAAAAGTTAATTTAGTTATTACCCATTTTAGAGTTGATGGGTCTAAGGCAAAACTAAATGAGTTTTATATTTTGCACCTTTACCCAATATAATTTTAAATATACATTATTATTTATATATGTCTCTCATTAAATGATGTTGGATTATTCATAGCCAAAGTCACTTCCTCAGTTCCATCTGAAATTCCCTTACTCTTCTAGAACAATAATAATTTAACTTTTGTTTGTTTCTGAGAGAAATCCTAGATGGGTAATGTGAGGTACTACGGTGGAGATATGAATTAGTCTGGTTGAATTTGTATCTAATATATGTCTACTACAAAAATCCAATTTCTAATTTCCTGGTAATCTGGGAGGAAAATGAGTTATTTGAAAGTGTGTACTACATATTTTATCAAATGATATTATTTTCTATGATGCAAAAGTCGATTTTCATTAGGCTTACTCAGTGTCAAGTGTATATTTTGAGGAAAGGAATATTCCCTCTTAACACTACCAGAAATGTTTTTATCAATGAACAAAATCTTCAGGAAGTACAGCTAATGAATGAGGTAAAATGTAACACTAAGAAATGAATAAGCAGGATCTGCTGATCTAGGAACACAATGAAAAGGAAATAAAAATAAAATTCAATTAGGATACGGTAGTTTATACTCAAATCTTGCTTGTACTTTTTCAACTTCAATATTCTTTAGATCACTTCTGGTTTCCACAGTGAAACCATGGTTGGTAAGCAACACTAAAGGAATACTATTGAGGTCATGTCTGTTCCATAAACATTTAAAATTTTCCATAAGCCCCAAGAATCTAGAGGTTAGTATGGAAATAACTCTTGGGAAAATATGTTTACTAATTAGTATGTAAATATCAACTAACTGTGGCTTTCATTTTCTTTTTTATGTCACAATGGCATCTGGATTGAATGAGTTGCTGTGAGTAGAGCTATGTATACTTTTCTAATGAATCTCTAGTCAAAAAATGTTTCCTTGATTTTCTGTTTTTAATAACAACAAAACCATCACCACTACCACCACTATGAGCAGCACCAACACTACCAAATCCACTACTCCCTACTACTGATAATAACAAGGCAGTCTGCATGATTTCTATCTTTCAGCCTCTGTAATAATAACCATTTATGTGTCAATCATCATGGAATCCCTATGATGTAGGTCTTCAAATATTTTGGAATAATTGAGAGGACAGGTAGATTGTAGCTATATGGACTCTGCATATTTAACAAACATGTATTATATAATAGAAAATTTTTAAATGAAAATACCTCTCTGGTGTCTCAAACAGTAACAGGGATGATGTGAGAAACAAGTTCTTTGACTTCGCCCCATAGTTATGTTGGGATGCTTTCAGAGCAGAAATTATATATATGCACATTCCAAAGAGTAATTACCTTTCCTCTAGCACATCAGAACTGTGGGATTTTGTGTAAGAAATAATTAGTTCTTCCCATGTTTCAGAGAGACAGATTTAAGGGTGGGAAATTTAGGTGTAAGAGCCCAGAAGAGACAAGATAGCAACTTTTGGGGGATGGGCTGCTGAAGGGCCTTAGGTGGCTGTGGAGCACACAGCCTTGGTTGAGAAATGGCAGTGAACGAGCAAGTAATAATGAGCGCAGTGAACCTATACATGACATTGTAATGGATAAACCAAATGAAATGGGAGAAGCTTGGAAGACGGTTGGTGTGAAGAAAAGCAGCAGCAGTGCCTGGACAGAGTATAACTGGATTTAAAAGGGAATAACTGGAAAGATAAATTGTAGGAAAATTTATATATATATATATGTGTGTGTGTGTGTGTGTGTGTGTGTGTAAAATAATGTGACAAAAAGATTAATTGTATGAGTACTTGGTGACAGGGACAAAAATCCAGAATTCATAGCATGTGCACTAATCATTGCTAATCCTTAGGACTTAATATATGCAAGGCACTGTGTTAAGGACTCCAAATAGATTATTTAGTTCTATAAGTAGAGACTAACAGTGATCAAATAAGAAAAACAAAGTACATAGTGACAATCTTCCCACTGCCAAGCGCCTTGTAAAAAAGGTAGACCTAGAATCAAACCATGGCTCTCGGACTCCAGAACAAGTGGTCATACCACTACACATGAACTGCATCTCTCTCTCTCTCTCTCTCTCACACACACACACACACACACACACACACACACACAGAGAGAGAGAGAGAGAGAGAGAGAGAGAGAAAGTTACAGGGAAAAAAGCATAAAACTAACCCAGACAGGAAGACTTACCCGGAGCCCTGTCTGTCTCTAACTAAAGAACGTTTGTCAACTCCAACTTGCCATTATTCACCAATAACCATCCTCTTCCAGAAAGAGTGGAAGTGGCTCTCTGAGAGGGTGCCAGGAAGGATGACAATAAAGCCATATAGAATTTAGTTACAGATAATGCTCTCTATTCAGTAAATTTCATGATTTAGTCATTGGATGTGTCCTGAGCAAATACTTGTTATTGACTACACTAAAAATGTTTACTTCAAAAATCCCAGGTAGAAAATTTTATCATATGGCCGTTGAAATAATGCCCATACAGAGATGCACATCCCCACTGGTTATGTGGTACCAAACTCCCAAGCCTCCCTAATATGGGAGAAATAAGAGTAGTTAGATTCAGACAACTGAAGCACATAACAAAGTTTTTTGTTGTTGTTTTTTGTTTGTTTGTTTGTTTGGAGACAGAGTCTCACTCTGTCGCCCAGGCTGGAGTGCAGTGGCGCGATCTGGGCTCACTGCAAGCTCCGCCTCCAGGGTTCACCCCATTCTCCTCCCTCAGCCTCCGGAGTAGCTGGGACCACAGGCGCCCACCACCACGCCCGGCTAATTTTTTGTATTTTTAGTAGAGATGGGGTTTCACCACGTTAGCCAGGATGGTCTCGATCTCCTGAGCTCATGATCCACCCGCCTCGGCCTCCCAAAGTGCTGGGATTACAGAACAAAGTTGTTTTACCCAGGTATTTGATGCTCATATGGCAGATCAGATGTTTCTGTAACTGGAAGTTATCAAAGTTCTATACAGAAAATGAAATTTACAACTGCTAAACAAATGGCTCAAATTGGTTGAATTTGAGTTTAGATAACACTTACATCATTTTCCTGGGAAGATCAAGCTATTGAAAACTTACCAGCCAGGAAGACCTTGGCAGACACAAATGTCTCTCATAAGTAAGAAAAATTATCTGTTTTCACTGTATTGCCTGGCTCAAAATTATATTAAATTACCTACAAAATGTTTAGGACCACTTAAGTAATGACTCATTTATCCATTTTAAATCTATACAAGCAAAGTATTTTTTAAAAAAATTTAAAGGTGTTATTTTTCCTTTATATTAGATTTATCTGTTTTATTTTAGCATAGTAAATATAAATCGCAATACGATTTTGAGGTTGTCTTTTCCAAAAGAAGAGCCTTTTGGGGTTGTCTTTTAAGCAGATGATGATGGAGGAATGGATGTCCCATTACCTGATTTTTCAATGGAAAATGGCTAGTTTAGTAACATACTTTCTCCATTCAACTCAAGAGATTTTTCTTGAGGAACTTTTGTATTATAGGCCTTGGAGATACAGAGGTGAGTAGAGTCAACATCTTTCTTTCACTTATTGAGCTTACATTCTAAGCAGCAAAATATATTTTAAGCAAATGTGTTCACAAATTTACCATTTTTATTACATTATTGTACATAGTATAGAGGAGAAGTACAAGATGTTTTTGATGTCAGTAGAGACTGATCTAGATTGATCAGTGGGATGGAGTGTAATATAAGGCTTTTCTAAGGAAGGAATATTCAGGGCAAACTGCGAAGGATGAGTATCTAAGTGCCAAAAATGGGAGGAGCAGTCAGAGCCTGAGAAAATAGTACATGCAATGGTGAAGAAGCCTAGCAGGGACCCAAAGAGGTCAGTGATGCTGGAGCACACAAAGCAAGGGAGAAAGTGACAAGGGAAGAAACTGGTGGGCAGGTAGCATTATACAATAATCACATAGAGTTATTAGTAATCCAAAAGTAGAAAAAAGTTAGTCTTTGAGTTAAAGACCCCCTGATGATCTTAGAAGCAAAAATACTTTATTATTCATCCATTGACTGCCAGGAAAAATTATTGTCCTTTTAGATTCCATTTCTATTTTACTGTTGATGATGCTAGGATTGAACTTGGAACCGAAAAAGAAAATTTAGATGCTAACTTTATTAAGTTTTCGAAGGGGTCAATTTATATAAAGTACTTGAAGGGACCTAGAAAATGATACACTTTTCAACTGGTAGAGTTGGAGACATATTTCTTATAACAAAAGGGATTAAAATTAGAGGGCTAAAACCTTCTGAAATGAGTACAAGTTTGCCAGCATACCAGTTGCTAAGGTTTATAAATAGTATTAAGTGAAGAGTAGCTTAAAGAAATATAGTTATTTAAATTAGGATGCACCAGTAGGCTTCAAGATTTTAGTGGCTTTTTTTTCATTAAAAAATATTTAAGTGATGAAGGTAAAAAGTGAATCTTACCACAAAAAGTAGCTTTTACTTTACTTTTGTCCTGAGAGTATAACAAATGGTTCAAATTGCGTTAATCTGTCCTGCCAACGAAAATGTGCTCGAAATTTTATTCCATCATGGTTAGGTATTATTTCAAGTAAATCCAAAACCCTTTTAGGCTTGGCACTGGGCAAAAAGGATATGTATTAAAACACTGATTTGTTGAAAATGTGCTGAGTACCTTCTATGTATTGATTATTTCTAGTTGGCTATAGATATATACAAAAGACAGTTTCTACCCCTAAGACATTTCGGGAAGACTTACGTTTCCTATATGTAAAATATAAAACATGGCAGGATACAACAGATGCAATAAAAAATGTTATACTAGATCACAAGAAGGAAAGCTCAAGAGAAATGAAAAACAAAATAGAGAAGCCTCACTGAGTGAATGGCATCAGAATCACCATTAAAGAATGCACTGAAAAATTAATAATAATGTCAAAACCATATAAGAGGAGCTGACTTTGTTGACTATCATGCCCCTGCCTCTATGCTAAGAGTTTTGTATGCATTTCACCATTCATGCCTCACAAGAATTCTTTGCAATGGGGTTGTTATCCCCATTTTACTGTTGAAAAAATTGAGGGCCAGAGAAATAAAGCAACTTGTCTTAGGTTATAGGAAGTACATTTGAATTCAGGTATGTCTTAGAATAAAGCTTGCCCATTATTTATTTTGCATCTCAGCCGGAGGGTCAACCAAAGAATAAAGATACAAAAAGTTCAAATCATATTCTGAAAGACCAGTATTCTTATTTGGCAATGTAGAGTATAGATAAAAAGGCGGTGTTCTTTACAGCTGGAAAAATAAGCTGAAGCTAGATTTTTGAGGGCTTTGAATGCAAAGCTATGGAATTGAACTGTATTTGATAGTTCATGGGGGAAATTACAAAATCTCTAATTAGAAGAGTCATATAATAAATGTAGCATTTACTAGGATTAGCCTAGCCAGTTATGAAAAGAGAATTAGAACACAAACAGAACAGAGAAAGTAAAGAGATCAAGATCACTTTAATTGTCCAGGAGAATGATACTCAAAGGGTAAGTTTAGGGTAGTGGCAATGGGAATAGGAAGAGAAAAAATAGACATGAGAGACAAGGAAAAAATAAAAGAGAAATGGAAGTGAGAAGCTTTGAAAGGTTTTTAATTCAGAAACGCATTATTTTTTAATGTTTTGGGAGACATAAAAGGCCTCTAAGCACAAAAAAAAAAAAAAAAGAGAGAAAAAGAAAAAAGAAAAAAATTATCTTTGAGAGTTTTCCTATCTAAAGATTTTCAATTTACAGGGTAGTCCACTTTTATTTGGGGGGAAATGCCGAGTGCTGTGCATGCCGGGTTTGTGCTGGGCTACCTCATTATTGCTTCAGCCTTTGTGCCTTGGATTTTCAGATGGATGGCTTTTTCCATCATATATCATCACCATGACAGCACAGGGATGATCTACTACTGCAAGTGCTGTAACCCTGATATGTGGACGGTAGTAATAACACAGCCTCCTCAGGGGAAGAAAACGGCAGTGTGTTTTTTTTCTTAAAGGTAAACTGGAAAGGTAGAAAGGGGAAAAGTAAACTAAAAAATTAAACACTGACTTTTCAAAGATTCAAAAATAACTACTGTAGTGTTAGCAAAGGCCAGTATGATAAGGCAGAGAGCATGGAAAAATAGAATGCTTTGGATACTGCTGAAATTCACTCTGAGCATCACAGACATAGAAATCAATTTTAAGATTAAAAAATTGAATTGGTAATTTTGACCCATACTGTGATTGAATTATGTGGGTCTTGGATGTTAATTAGAGTCACATGCCCATCAAGTAAAACCCTCGGGAACGTCTGAACTAAAAATATCATTTAAACACATTTTTAAATGAAAGGGAAGACCCTGAATCTGACATGAGAAAATTATCTTTCTAAAATTATCTTCATCTTAGTTTTTATTTTTCAGACCTTGAGAACATTCTGTCCTGATTTTCTATTAATAAATTAAATATTGTGTAGCATCCAAGATGAACATTAATAAGGAAAATTAATAATAGTATGGGTCTCAATTTTTTATTTGAAATATTGACAAAAGTCAGATTAATATTTTAGAAAATGGCTGAGCTCTTTAATTCAGTATCCCTACATATCTCCTAAGCAGATTCAGCCTCTCCTTTAGCTAAACATTCTGGATTACTTAATTTTCAGATTTACAGCTGTAGCTTGTAAAGAGTTTCTCTTCCCTCCCTTATACACAGATCAATTCCCCCTGGGTACTGGTATCTTAATCATATAATCATTTGGGTTGGAAGGACCTATGCTGGGGCACTAATCTATCCCTGTGGATCACAGCAGGATTGATTTTATTATTACTAAGTCATTCCTGATCGATGGGTTTGGGGATTCAGCCTTGAATCTCTCCAATGATAACAATTCCACAATCTCCCCTGGCAGCTGGTGCCATTCCCAACTATTCATATTGTTATAAAGTTAGTCCTTATATTTAACTCGAATTTTCCCTTCTGGAATTGAAGCCTATTACTTCTTGTTCTGTCCTCATTGACTAATGAGAATTGGTCCCTCTGCCCTTTATAACATCCCTTAACGAATTTGCAGACAGTTATGTGTCTCCCCAGTCTTGTTTTCTCCAGACAGAAGATGCCCATTTGCCTTAACCTTTCCACATAGGTCTTATTTCCTAAGCCCTTTATCATCTTTGTGGCTCTCCTCTGAACTCTCTCTATTATGTCTATGTCTTTTTTGAAATGTGATGCTACAGCCTAAATGCAGGATTTCACTGGAGGCCAAAACCACAGAGGGGAGAGCAGAAAAATAGCTTTTTGCTGCTCTGCATGAAACTTACATTAACTACTTTACTGCCATTTAGTAGAACTTGCAGAAATTGAATGTATGTAAGTAGAATCTCACCAAGGTCCTGCTAAATGCATAAGCTCAAGTAATAGCAAATCTGTTAGCACTTGCTTCTGTGGTTTCTTGAAGAGGTCATTAATGACAAACTCAAGCTTCTCCAAACTTGAATTCTTTTTTTTTTCTTTTTTTAAATTATACTTTAAGTTCTAGGGTACATGTGCACAATGTGCAGGTTTGTTACATATGTATACCTGTGTCATGTTGGTGTGCTGCACCCATTAACTCGTCATTTACATTAGGTATATCTCCTAATGCTATCCTTCCCCCCACCCCACTACTAGCCATATGTAGAAAGCTGAAACTGGATTCTTTTAAATAATCAACTGCCCTTCCACTACCAATGTCAGCAATAAACAGTAACAAAATAAAATGCTCAATAGATTAAAGGTCTTAATTATCACTCACTTTTATCATACTTCTTAGTTCTGCCTTTAACTACACAGGATCAAGGAACCTTAAAAATAAACCACACAAGGAAATGGGTAAAACAAAACAAAATACTATATTATTTTTTAAAAGGTAAAATGTTTTAAGTTTATACTTTTCAGCTGGCTATGTAGGTGTCACTTAGAGGTAGACTTAGAAACTCACAATTTGATATGATGACAATTTCCCCCAAGTGTCACTGTATGAAACAATAGCGTAATTCACAGAATCTGGAAAGAAGTCTTAAAATAACCTTCTTAGTAAACATTTAATAAAACTTTAAACCCAGAGAGAAAAAGTGAGTTAAGATTGACTTTTAAGATTGATTTATTATTTAATTTATTTAACAAAAATGTAATCATATGCCTCTTAAGTTTCAGTGGAGGATCTCAGCATAAGAAATACAAAATCAAATATAAGGTATGTCTTACCCTTAAACAGCTAGTTAGTTGAAATTCCAGAACCAGAATCAGAATCCTTGCCTCCTGATTCTCACAATTTATTTTTCTGTTATAAAAACTTGTTTCTCATTGTTACCATGATATTACATTCCTTTCAGAGTATTAGAGGATTAGATTGCCAATGCTAAAATTCCGAATAAACATTTCCTCACTTGTGTCTGAAGAGAATCAGTTGAAAAAGGTAGTAGAACTTTGGAAGCTGTTAATAATTATGTACTTCCACTACAATTAAAAGACTAAATCTCATTTGGTGCCACATAGTTCAGTCTTTCTATAGATTTAGGGCTGTGCATTTAGAGTCATATGATTTAGCATGCCTTTATAGTCTAGTGTGCACTCTGTAATTTATGCCTGGTAGTTATATCTGTCAAAAGAAAACTATTTTTTGAGGGAGTATGGGATAAGAAGGGAAATCCATACTATAAAATTAATGTGCACACATAAAACCCAGGGATTTTGCCAAAATACAGGTTATAATCAAGAAGGTCTGGGAAGGGCCTGAAATTCTGCATTTCTAAGAGGTTTGTAGGTGATAACAATGCTGCTGATCTTCAGGTCGCATTTAAAATATCAAAATATCAACATTTTAGAGAGAATTACTTTAAGATCTATTTTACTGGGCTGGATTCCAACTAGTGAAAGTATCAGTGCCCTGAGACAAAGTAACTAGAATGATACAATGCCTTCAGAGGTCTTTCAAAGATATTCACATGGTATCTTTTCTAGCTTAATATATGGCTTCAAAATTGTGGCTAAATAGGGAGTATGAATAAAATGTGGCTGTTATTACATTTGCCTTAAGAGAAAACTAAAATAGTACATACCCTTTTCTTATCCAAGTACAATAAACCAGGCATAGCAAAGCTTGACTTATTTAATGATTGGCTCATTCAGGATTTAATAAGGATAACGTTTATATATCCCATATTGAGGCTAGTTATTGATATATATTTTAAATGTGTTGCTAAGTCTTATAATTCTTGTCCTTATTACTTTTAATTTCATTGGTTTTGTCCCGTGAAAGTTACTTCATGATTTTATGTAATTTGTTACCTTTGTTTTTAAGATGAAAAACAAAACAGTCAATTTGGTCAATTCAGTCAACAAACCACTTGGGTAAAAAAATGGATCAATATAATGTCCCATATTCTCAATTTCCAAGGCATTTTCCTAAGTTTATAAACTGATTTAGTTAGATTATTATCTATTCAGTGGACTCTGATACAACAGAATATGCTGTTCTCTGGAGCAAGATATTCATGTAAAGATTGGATTGCCTTCTCCTAAAAGAATTTCCCAAAATGCCTGATTTATTCTCATTTATCTACTTATTTGTCAAATATAATGGTAGGAGTACAAGATTTATTTTAGTTTTAGTAAAAAAAACAAATGGAAATTTAAAAATTGTTCTGTAGAGAGTTGAACTTACTGGGAAAATATATATTTATTATGGGAGAATCATTTTAATTTTAATGAGACAGTTTTTGGCTTCACAAAAGCTAAGGGCTTCAATTTTGAGAGCACATAGAATCCTGGCAATTTTCTCACATCTCCAACCATTGGGATACAGAAACATCTGTAAAAGAACTAATGAGTTAAATGATAGGAAGTAAATTCTAATGCCTATTGCTCATTTCATGAATTCTGTTAGATAATTTTTTAGATTATTAATTAAATAACCAATTTTCAAATTACAATCAAATGCTATGAAGTAAGCATATACTTTAGTAATCCTACACTATCTTAGGATAGTTTTATTTTTAAGTCTGGATTGAATTCCACATTTGAGAACTAATATCCAAAAGATCATACATTCTTAAGTAGACATCATGGTCTTCTTTGCCTAATACAATGTCTAAGTCCTAGCACATACAGACATACAAGAAAAATGGTTGTTGAATGGATTAATAATTTCCTGTGTCAATTTATTGCCAATTGAAAGTTTCAGGCTTGCCATAGAAAATATTTATGGTTCTGTTTTAATATAGTAGGTTCAAAATATTTAGGAGTAAAAGGCTGAAGTAAAGTAGATCTAGGATGTCTAAGACAATATTCCAAAAGTTGGAAAAATAAATGGAATTGGCAGGATGGGAAAATGGATGTCTTTTTTGTTTCTTTTTCTTCAGTACTAGGTACTATAAGAAACATTGATTCATATTCTTAGATTCATCACTGATATAAAGAAGACGTTTTAATCAGGAAAACATACATTTAAGAATGAATATTTATTAACATATATTTATATGTATATAAATATGTATATAAACATGTGCACAGGAAACAGATATATAATGTGTATATATACACACAAAATATATGTTTGTGTATATATATATTTCCAATTTATTCATACCAGATTATTATAAGAATCAGTGATAAAAAAGGAAGTTTCGGTTGTGATATCTAGTTATTTTTCAGTTTCCACAGCATACTCCCCCTTTACCCCAACTCTGGAAAAAGTTGATATCTCTACGTACCATCCCAATTTTGTCACAATTTGTCATAATTCTTAAATTTTGTAGAAAATATTTTAGTAGCCTAAATCAACACTACTGTGAGCATTAAGGCATTCTTGCTTGTTGTACCCTATAGCTGTGAAGATTAGTACCAATCATTGGACTTTTGTCTTGCTTTGAGACATAACTAAATATTTATATTCCATGACATTTGTTTAAAATATTCTTAAATGTATGTTTTCCTGATTATATCATAATACATGTAAATCATAGAAAATAATAAAATATGTGCAAATGTATAAATAGAAAATTAAAATCACTTGTTATTCTGGAAATTATGCCCACACTTGTTTCTTACGCTTTGATATATCTTGATAACTAGACTAATGTTTTAGTAATGCTAATAATGGAATATTGCCTTTTCTTAGTGCCTGAGAATGACTCTGTATTTAATACCTAATCTTTGATTCCTAATTCCCATTAAAATAATTCTCTAAATTTGCTTACCTATATCCCTGAGTATAAACTGATTTTAGATTCTCCATCTTCAGATTAAGTTTGTGATATCTCTCTTAATTTTTACAGCTCTTCAATATTGCCATTCTAGATTTCCACGGCATTCTAGTAATGTTGCTTATTAACATATTATTCTTTCTTCTGGGTTGAATAAGCCAGAATAAACAATGAATAGAGCCTGTCCTATTTCTTTGGTAGTGCTTCCATCTATTAGAATCCTAGCAGGGGAGAGGAATTTATCCATTGATCTGAACAGCAAATTGGAGTATTTAAAGTAGATACTAAGCATATTCTAAAGAATACAGGAATCGAAGGTATATGGAGTAACCATAACCCACAGGGCTGTTGCAGAGCACCCAAGTAAGAACATGTCTGGAAGAGGCATGACATCCAGGGCTGAGGTCCAGACCTCTTTATAGAGGATCTCTTTGATGGGGGAGAAGTTACTGAAGTGCCACCTCTTTAGATTCACTGGAAAGCTACCCATGGAGAAGTGTCACAGTGCAAGACCCATTGTGAAGTCATCCAGTGAGATGCTGGGGGAAGCCATCCATGGGAAGGTACCACTGGGAGTGGAACTCACTGGGAAACTACTCTATGGAATGGCAGGAGAAGCTCTCCACAGGGATGTTTGGAAATTTGCTAAGAAAAATCACACAATAGAGTACCTACTCATAATGAAGCTTCCATCATGCCAGCTAGTGAGAAGTAAATGTTCTAGTATCACAAGTAGACAATGAAGAGTGAATTTGGAGTAGAAAGAAAAAAGATTAATAAATGAGACACCATTCAAATGCTTGACTCTCAATCTGTTGGCTATTTCTTAAGATATGAAAAAGATAACAGAATAATAAAAAGTACAAAGCTTAGAAAACATTAAACTATATTAGTTATTACTATATATCTAAGATTTATCTAATATTAATATTATTTATCAAATTTTAGCATGTACTGCATTATATTTGCTTTATTTCTACCTTTAGTTTATATATTTTCTTTTGTTTCCTTTTCGCATGTTTTGATTTTCTATAAGTTTTTTAGTGTTTTTAAAATATAAAAGGAATAAAATAAGTACATATTATTTATGTACTTATAGGAATACTATAAGTACCTATAGTAAATTATTTCAAATGAAATCAAAATAAATGTTATTTTCAAATTAATCTTTAATAGAAATTTCCTAAAATCTCATAATGTAAAAATTAATTTTCCACATGTAATGTTGAAATATAGTTGTTATTCATGTTGTTTTCAGTTGAGATTTTTGATGCTTGTCTAAAAATTTGTAATAAATATGAACAAATAAAAAGTTAATTTTTTGATATATAAAAATCCCAGCAATCCCACTACTGAGTATATACCCAAAAGAATATAATTTTTCCTAGCATAAAGACATATGGTCATTGCAGCATTATTCACAATAGCAAAGACATGAACTCAACCTAAATACCTATCAACAGTAGGCTTGATAAAATGTGATACATATACACCATGGAATACTATGCAGCCATAAAAAAGAATGAGATTGTGTCCTTTGCAGGAACGTTAATGAAACTGAAGGCTATTATCCTTAGCAAACTAACATAGGAACAGAAAACAAAATACTGCACATTCTCACTTTTAAGTGAGAGTTAAATAATGAGGACACGTGGACAGAAAGAAAAGAACAACAGACACTGGGGCCTACTTGAGGGTAGAGGTGGGGGAAGAGGGAGAGGTTCAGAAAAAAAAAAAACTATCAAGTACTATGCTGAATACCTGAGTAATGAAATAATCCATAGACCAAACCCCTGAGTCACAAGTTTATCTATATGCCAATCCTATACATGTACCCCTGAACCTAAAATAAAAGTTAAAATATTAAAAAAGAAAAAAATAGATTGGTGCATCAAAATATCACAAATCACCACGAAAGAACTGACTCATGTAACCAAATATCACCTATTCCCCAAAACCTATGGAAATAATTTTTTAATGTAAAAATTTTAAAAAAATTAAGAAGAATAGAAAATTAGTAGAAATGTTGGGAATATTGTGATGGTGAAATGTTGGATTTTAATTTCTTTATATATTTTCATAAACACCAGACAAAACAACTATTTTGGAAACTAAATACCCATAAATCCAATTCTGCTTCCAGTTAGTGTGTAATAATAATAATAATAACATACTACTCTTGTTTGTATCCTAAGAATGATAGCAAGATAGACAAGGTAAAATTATTTGGCTTTTTATCTTTTTGTTTGATTTTTGTTTTTCTTTATCATAACTGAGCAGAATAAGCAAAGACACTAAAAAAACATCCTAGAAGATGCAGAAAGTTATGAATCTTTCCTACAAGAGGAGAAGCCCATGACTGCTTTCAGGCAGGAAGAAAAGGAGTTCTCTACGGATGAGTTAAGAAAAAACTAGCCACACTTTTAGCAATACAAGAAGCCTGGCATGAAGGATTAACATCTGGAAGAGCCTGGTAATATAAGTCTGCATTCACCCACCAGCAAGTTCCGCAGACGTTCATTGGATGAACAAAGGATAGTGCATTTAAGCCCGGGTGGGGAGGAAGGAGAGTCTAAATAAAGCCCTTTGTCTTGGTGTATTTCAAGTACATACATGGGACAGGTTAAGAGATAAGGAAAATCTCTCTGGGGTACATGGCACTGAATAAAATGTAACATACCTCTACAGGCTGGGGACTCAACAGGAGCCCTGAGAAAAATTCCTCTGAAGCCACTGAGCCTTCACCAAGAACACAGAAATGGCTCTCCAAAGCCTAGGGGAAGGGTGACAGAGTGAAGAGAGTCCTTCCAAGGCAATAAATAAATAAAGCCCAGGAGAGGTCACAGGAACAAAGATAATTCACCAGTAGAACAAACAAACAAACAAACAAACCAAAACACAAAAACTGGTGGGTAGCCTATAGAGAAATGTGTCCTACCAGTATGAAGGGTGGTTGCTGATCTTGCGTACAAAGAGATAGGCAAAGTCTTACAAGTGCTGAGAGTCAAAGCTCTACTGAAAATAAAATTCTGATTGTGCCCTCAAAGTATTTGAAGCATGTGGTGAATTGACTCTAACTAAATCTCTGTCAAAGCTCAGACCCAGCTCAAAAGCAGCTTATGTTGACTCAGCCCCCTGGTACTAGCAATGTGTCAGGAAAAGGGCCATGTGCTTTTCTGCCATGTCCTTTTCTGGGATAGATAGTATTTTCTTCACTCTTTTGTTTTTTATACACTGTCTAGCATAGTATCAAA
The DNA here is from genome assembly GCF_000001405.40 of Homo sapiens. NCBI lineage: Eukaryota > Metazoa > Chordata > Mammalia > Primates > Hominidae > Homo > Homo sapiens. The sequence goes on along the minus strand of NC_000004.12, from coordinate 104,227,579 downwards.
TTATGGTGCATGCAAAGAGGCAAGAATATATGGCCTCAATTTAAGATAAAATTAACAGTTAATAGAAAGACACCCAGAGAGCCCTAGGTATTGGAATAGACAAAGACTTTAATATAACTAAGACATATATGTTAAAGGAACTAGTAAAACACTGAACAAAATGTTTAAATAGATTAGAAATTCCAGCAGAGATACTATAGAAATGATGAAAGAGGGATGGAGTTTTGTTTCTTTTGTAGGGCCATGATTTCCTGAAAAACTGACCTTTCTATAACTTCTGGCAAAACACAAATCCATTACTGGAGGGCTCTGGAAAAGTTATTGAAGCATGTAGACTTTGAAGAAAAATTAAAAGACAGATAAAATGAATAATATAGAGTGAGTTATTTATTTTTGTGGGCTTTCCCATGTGGTGATGGTAGAGTCAAGCTGAAACTCCAATAGAATACATATTTCTGGATGGAAGATTAGTGAAGTTATCATATGATGAAGATAATACTGGAAAGGCAAAGCCATAAAGGGGGATACCACATTCTGTATAAGAAGAATGCTTATGTCTCTCACTGACTCCTGGGCCATGCATGAGTAGAGCAGACTGAAATAATTCTTAAATGAAATATGAGCAACCACCAAAGCAAGCATGAAAATATCAACACTCACTGGAAGAATAGTACAAAATCCAGAGTCTGTAGAACATAACATTCACAATATCAATTCAAAATTATCCAACATGAAAAAATGGAAGATGTAAACCATTCTTCATGGAAAAAATAATCAACAGGTACCAATCTCAAGGTAATCTAAACATTAGAATGATAATAAAATGATTTTAAAACAGTTAATGTATCTGTGCTCAATAAAGTTAAAGAATATATTTATAATAAACAAAAAGGCCATATCAGTGAAGAAGCAGAATATTTTAAAATGTAAATTTTTTAAAAATATAATATCTGAAATAAAAAATCCACTAGATAAAACTAATAGAATGATGCAGATTATGAAATACTCAGGGAAATATATGATAGATTCAAATACATTATTTAACATAAAAAGAGGCAAGAAACACCTTAAAATATGAACAGAACCTCAGGGATTGAGAAATAATCTTATTGAAAGGTACATAAGAGTAAGTGAAACCACAGAAAAAGAAAAAAAAAGGTTTAAAAACACAGAATTAATATTTGAAGAACTAATTACAATACCAGAAATCTTCCCAAATGTGATGACAGACTGAAATGAACACATTCAAGAAATTTAGTGAATCCAAGACAGCATAAACTCAAATATCACTTTAGCTCATCATATCAAACTATTGAAAACCAAAAATAAAGAATATATTTGATAGTACCCAAACAAAAAATGACCCATTACATACAAGGAAGCAGTGATTCAACTGAATGAAAACTTCTCATTAGATATGTCAAGGCCAAAAATTAATAGAACGTATAAAGTGCTGAAGAACTGTAAAACTTACCACCTGCACAAGAATGCAAATAATCCACTATGATTTTCTGAGGTGTTTGGATTGGCATCTTGTCTACCTTACATGCTAAGCTTCTGAGTGTAGTAAATGTATGAAGATAAACCTGCACATTAACTGGAATCAGCTTTCCAACTTGTAAATTCTTATGTCCGTATTCCTTGCTTCCAGTTCCATGAGACCTACTACCTACTATTCATTCGTCATTTTAAATTAGCTGTTTATATGGATTTCTCATAAAAGAGTGGCTTGTGTCACTGCACAGTTCTTCCTTCCTCAGACTTTGTTCTCCTTAATTCTTGGTTTCCTTAGTAGCTCTCCAGTGTCTTCAATTTTTAGTGAAACAATTTTTTTAAAAATTGTTTTAGTCATACTTGTTCTCAATGGGAACATCTGAATGTTCAAACTACTCCATTCTTCACCAAATTGTTGTTATAAAATCATACAATTTTATTGAGTGAAATTTAAGAATAAATAAATGGAGATATATATCATAATCATAAATTGAAGAATTCAATATTACAAAGATTTCAGCTCTTCCTAAATTCATATTTGATTTCTAAAATATGTGCAGAGGTCAAATAAGGTCAAAGGTCAAAACACTATTAAAGAAATAGGACAAGATGAAAGATATCAACACATGACATAATATAAGCTATAGTTACAAAGGCAGTGTAATATTTGGAAATAGACTGATGAAACAAAATATTAACTATAAATATCCTCTTACACATATATGGGAACTCAATATGTAACAGAGGGCTTATTGAAAGATCAGTCAGAAAGAGTAGGCTTTTCAGTAAATACTATGACAAAATTGAAAACTTATATGCAAATTAATGGTATTGAAATCTTGCCTTAGACGATACCTTAAAAGCAAGTCAAGGTAAATTAGTCTTAATATGAAAGTCAAAATTACTCATCTTTCAGAATATGACATGGAATAATATATTAATATCCTCTGCCTAAGTATGTTTTCTTAAAAATAAACACAAAAAGTTCCAGATGAAGATTTTTTAAAATCAATACATACCATACAGAGTGATAAAAGACAAGCTACATGTAGAAGAAGATATTTAAGACACATATAATTGACACAGGACTAGTGTTCACAATTCTATGAAGAAAGACAGACAATAATGGAAAATTGGGCCAAATGTATTAGTAAATATTTACAGAAAAAAGTTTAAATACTTAGTGAACATAGGAAAAGGTGATCACTCAATCTCATTAGAAATTCAGAAAGTGCTAATTAAAGCCCACAAGTAGAATTTATTTTACAACTATTAAAATTGCATATAAACAGTATCTAACATTAACAAGTATTAAGGAGCATAGAGCAATAAGAATATTTCAAAATTGATTTGAAATTCCAGAAGAATTGCTTATTATTGTATAATAAATATGAAAATCTGCAATTCTCTATGTCTAGGCAATTTTCTCATAGATATGACTCAGAAAAATATTTGCCCCTGTTCACCTGGATACATACACAATATTATGCACATTAACATATTTTATAATAGAAGAAAAGAAAGTGTAAAAACCCTCAGCCATCAACATAGAATAGCTAAATCAATCACAGTGTAGAGAATGCTATGCAACAAAAATGACTAAGTTGTGATTAAATACCATGACATGGAGGAATCTTACCAACAAATTTGAGGGAAAACAGAAGGTTACAAAAGAAAACAAATGAATGATTATATTAAGTTAAAATATAAATACAGTTATAAGTAACTATAAAATAATTATTACAAATATCAAGATGGCAGTTACCTTTAGGGGGATGGGAGGAAGGCAAAGGGATGCTAGCCATTTTATTTCTTGATATAGGTGTTTATTAAATAAATAAGCCAAAATACATCAAGTTTTCACCATGCTCCTTCTATGAAAGTATTCCAAGAACTAGGAAAGGATTAAAGGTAAGGAGAACTTGGTTGGTGATAGGTTCCTGAAATAGGGTTTTGTGGCTGCAACATTTTCTATCTGATGAAATTTCTAGGCATGTTTAGCAATCTTAGGATGGAAATGATCTATTAGCCATTTCCAGGCAAGATCCCAAAAAAGCAAAATCTCTATCAGCTTCTCATGTTTAACATGGTAGAAAAATAAATAAATTATTGAGTAAAAATAGGCCTAGGAAAGTCTTGAAGCATTTCTTATGACCTTAGCATGAGATAGGATCAGTAGTAAGTTTCTCATTACTGATTCATTTATTCACTCACTCATTAATTCATTCAAAGTATATTTCTTGAAGGCCTGCTACCTATATTCTAGACATATTACAGGAACTTGAGAAAATAGTAATGAATAAAATTACCTTCATAGAACTTAAACTGTAGTGTTTGAAATGGACAGCAAAAACAATAAAAATAAAATACACATGATATTAGTGAAAATTTCTAAGGAATATATAAAATATTGCTAGAATAAGAACAAAAGCTCAGATAGAGCAACTGTGGAGAGCCTTATTGAGAAAATGACTTTAAAATAAACACCTGAAAGACATCTGTGTGAAGAGCATGGTAGGCAGAAGGAACAAAAGGACAGTAGAATGGCTGGTCTTATGGTGGAAGCATGCCTGGTGGGGTCACAGAACTGGCAGGAGACTAGTGGGGCAAAGCAGAGTAAGAAGCAGAAAGTGCCAGAAGATTAGTCATATTGGTAGAGACCAAATTACAGGGCCTTGCAGGTCATTAAAAGCACTTGGACTGTGCTTAGGTGAGGCAGGAATACACTGGAGGGCTTTAAGCAGAAGACTGACATAATTCGGCTCATGTTTTAGATCACTGTGACTGACATGTGAAACAGACTGTGTGGGAAATAGAAGTAACAGGAGAATGGCTAAGAGATTATTGCAATTATTTAGGTGAGATACATCCTCCAAAAGAGAAGGGATATGACATAGAGAACAAGTGGAAATAAAAAGATCTTGGAATTGAAAATGAGGGAGGACATGGTAATAATCTCAATGAAATGAAAATCAAAGACTGGATGGAAATTTGGGTCCACTTTTGGGTTAGCTTAGGTGACAGCACTCAGGTCCCACTCCTGATACCTTGACAAGTTTCCTAGACCTAAAACATGACCCTAGAGAAAGGGGTATGAAACCCACAACAAATGGAGATTAGGTTTCTAATTGGGACATTATGTAAAGTTTGACATTTGTGATAGAAAAATTAAAGTTAATTTTCTCATAGACCTGAATTTGCAAATGGAGTTTTATATGTAATGTATTTATATTTTTGTGGTATGTGCCTAGGACTCTAAAAAAGATCAGAAGTATACCAACCAGGCCGGGCACGGTGGCTCATGCCTGTAATCCCAGCACTTTGGGAGGCTGAGGTAGGCAGATCACCGGAGGTTGGGAGTTTGAAACCAGCCTGTCTAACATGGTGAAACCCTGTCTCTATTAAAAATACAAAATTATCTAAGCGTGGTGGTGTGCACCAGTAATCCCAGCTACTCGGGAGGCTGAGGCAGGAGAATCACTTGAACCCGGGAAGTGGAAGCTGCAGTGAGCCAGGATTGCACCATTGCACTCCAACCTGGGGAACAAGAACAAAATTTTGTCTAAAAAAAAAAAAAAGAAGTATACCCACCAAACTGTCAATAATGGCTACCTGAGGAGTAGACAGTGATAAAAGAGAGTTTTTATTTTTTACTATATTCTTATAAGGCTTATGTAAGAGTTTTCTGATTTAAAAATAAGAAAGAACAGTTTAAAAATTAACTATAGTTTTCCAGAATGTGTTGTAATGATTCTATTGTTAGATTTGCCTTTCTAAAAATTAATATTCTACAGTGAATATTATATACTCTGCTGATTTGAATACATTCCAAGCTACTGAGATATTTTTTAAACTAAATATGGTTCAAATTCTGCCCAGTTACATGTTTTTCTCATTAACTCTTATTGCCCTGAGCATTCCTTTTCTATTATAATTGTCAATGAGTGAAGTAAAGTAGCTATTAGGAGTTCCAACCCTCACCTTGTCAAACATTACTTTTTCTCCTGCCCCTGAGAAGTAGTAAGCCCACCTTCCCACTGTGTGCTTTGATTTCCTAATCATTTGTAATCTGTGACAGGCTTCCTTTTATATCATTTGCTGATGGTAACCCATTATAGCCTGGCTGTTTTATATGTCCCCTGAATGCTTTTACTGATTATTTTTTCTCGGAGAATCATTTCTCTTAAAAAACTCATACGTTCCTTTTAGACAACTGCCTTTTTTTCTGTTGCCTTTTCAAATCGACTCCTTAAGTAGAGAGAAAATTTTTAAATAATAAAGATCAGACATTTTCCAAGAATAATTGTTTTTCTGCTTTGTTTCCTCAATTATAAAATGTAGATATATAGTTTTCTTGAAGGGAAGGCTACTTTTATTTTGCATTGTCTTTCAAGTCACTATGATATAATTATCTCCTTTTGAATCCCTCACGTTCTTGTGACTTAAAAATGAAAAGGAAATGCTCATAGGATGCTCAAAGGAACCATAGTTTTTTTGCAAATGAAAACAAAGATAAAACTATGAAAAATTCGAATTTTTGAGTTGCCTGTTAATCTAGTATAAAATGTGTATTTCCATTCAAAATATCCTCTCGGATTCTATCCTATTCTTTTGGAGGAAAATAAAGAAGGGAAAAGAAAAATGATCCTGGGAGAAGCTGGTAGATAAAGGGAATTCTATCATATAGCCACAATGAACAAAACTGAGTAGCGTCTGAGGAATTGGAAGAATTCAAACAACTTAAATAGATTAAAATTTAATATTTTAAATTAAATTTTAAAGGGGATTGAAAACCTTCCTATGTAACTGGCAAATATACATTCTTATCCAGATAACATTTTCTGATTTTCTGTGTGTGTGTGTGTGTGTGTGTTTAACCTCTCTGCAGTTATTTGTTTTTATTTGGAGGCTTCTGAAAAAACTGTGCTTTAACTTTAATGAATAATATTCAATAGTGAAAATACAAATACTACAGGAGGTCAAGTAAGAAGACGTTTTGTAGAATGAATATTTTTATTAGAGCTTCTAAAACTACATTTATTTGTTTATTTTTCTCAGTATTTAGAGTGTGACCTTCTAGTAAATAGACACATCTTTGTCAGTGTGGATGCACGGGGAGAACAAGTGGTATGCTAGTCATGGCTCTTCAGATAAACAGAACCAATAGGGTGTGTGTGTGTGTGTGTTGTGTGTGTGTGTGTGTGTGTGTGATGATATTTATTATAAGAATTGGTTCACACAATTATGGAGGCTGACAAGTCCCATGATTTGCCATCTACAAACTGGGGAACCAGGAAAGTCAGTGATCTATTTCAGTCTGAGTCTTAAGGCCTGAGAGTCAGAAGAGCTAATGGTGTAACTCTTGTGGTCCAAAGCCCTAAGAACCAAGATGTCCAGGGCAGAAGAAGGTGGATGTCACAGTTCAAGGAGACAGATAGATATATAGAGAGAGACTTCTTCATTTCTCTGCCTTTTTGTTTGATCTGGCCCCTCAACGGCTTGGTTGATGCCCATCCACATTGGTGAGGGTGGCTTTTTACTTAATCTACTGATACAAATGCTAAGCTCTTCGCGAAGTACCCTCACAGACATACTCTGAAATAATGTTTTGCCAGCACTCTGGGCGTCCCTTACCAAATACAATTAAATATCACAAGTGGCACAGTTACACATGTGAGAACAGCAACAGCATCCATGCTGGTGAAGAAGCTGTGGCATAGGTTAGCAATGTCGAATAGAAAACATGAACACCTAAATGTGACCAAATAAAAACACTCATCCATGCTGACTTTTCTCATATTAAATTCATCACCACAAACTTCAGGTGGGCCCATGATACTCCTGGACCATTCCATTACAATTCTCTAAAAAAAGGAATGTCTCTGTCACTCTCCTAGGTGAATATTATTTATATCTTCTCCTCTCTCCTCAAACTCCCAGCACAATTTCGTGTTCTTCATTCTCAGCTGAGGACTTCTTAGTTCCCTGACAGCTTAGAAACAACCAAGAAAGAAATTTCACATGCTCCCATTACCAAATATAACACCAACCTTCATCTGAATGCATATAATCTAAATTTCTGTCAGTTTCCCTGGTGATTTGTCTATGCTTGCATATAAGGCCACATTCTCCTTTGGGCACTAGAGCTTCTTTCCAATATTTAAGGACTTTGCTTCTATATGTGTCCTCTCTCTCTTCTGAATCATCAGATATTCCCACTCTGATGAATCTTTCCAATTAGCACACATAACATATTATTTCCCATATTAAAATAACAAAACAAAACAAAGCTCCTTAACCAAATATTCTATTTCAGCTACTGCTCCAATCTACAGAAAATTCTTAAGAGTATTATTAACAGTAATGGTCAGTGCCACATTTCTCTTCTTTCATTCTCTCTTGAACTTACTCCAAATCCAAGTTTTAGCCCTTCAATTTCACCAAAAATATTCTTATCGGGTCAATGACTTCTACAATGGCAAAACTAATGGTCAAAACTCAGTCCTCTTATTGCATAAACTGTGCTCATTTGACACAGCTACTTAATGCTTTCTGGACTTGGCTTCTGGATTACAACTCTCTCTTGGGTTTCCTCTTACCTTACATTACTCTTCAGTCTCTTTTTGCTGGTTGTCTTATACCCATCAAACCTCTAAACATTTTAGTTCCCTACATCAAGAATCTATTCCCTTTTGAATAAATACTCACTTTTTTGTTGGCAGTCTTGTCCATCCCCATGATGTAAAATAAAATTATATTGTGAGAACTCCTGAATTTATATTTTAGCTAGGACCTGTGATCAAAACTCTAGATTTTATATTCAACTTCTTGTTAACATCTCCACCTGGATATCTAATCATCATTTTCAACTTAACTTGTCTATTGATTAAGTGTTTATTCTCTCCTCACTTATTTCAAACTGTTTCTCCACTAGTCTCTAGCATCTCATTAAATAGTAACTCCATTTCCCAGATGATTAAGACAAAATTCTTGGAGTTGTCTTTGCACCCTCCCTTTTCCTCAATTTTTTATCCAATCTGCTGGACAATCTTGTCAACTACTTTAAAAATATAGTCTCAACATTACAATTTCTCACCATCTACTCTTACTACTCTAGTAATAATATTATTTATCAGGCACTTGTAGGTACTTGTCTCACTGTTTTATTACATGAGTTGTACTTAATTCTCATAACAAACCTATGAAATATTTGCCCTTATTTTCATCAACATTTTATGGATGAGAAAATGGAGCCACAAAAAATTAAAGTATTTTACCAAAGTCACACAGATTGAGTGTGGAAGAGGCTTTATTTAGACCCTGAAAATTATGCCTCAAAGATCTTGCTCATATATCTCCATTTGGGAAGGCATATCAAACTGGAACCGTTCAAAACTGAACTCTTGATTCCTACCCCAAAACAAATCATCTTCTTCTACTTTTCATTTTCCAGTAACTAGATTACTACATGTAGCTCTATGGCAGCTTAGGCTAATGAATGTATCATTGACCTGTAATTTTTCTATTTATAATTACATAGCATTTTCTATATTGAGATAGCTTTTTACTAACAACAATGTGTTGAGAAGAAAATTGTATTTGTAGTTTTACCTCTATTCTTGAAAGCAAAACCTTTTGATTGCTACATGTGAAAAATATTCGTTTCTGGAGAACTTTTAGATGTGTAAATCCATGGTGCAAAGTCATATATCTATAGATCATTTTCTTTATTAAATTTCCATAAAATGAGCTTTCCAATCATTCTCAGGCTAAAATAAAGCTTTGTCTCACCACTGACTCATGTCTGTGTTGCATAATTCAGGTTTATATGTTTTCAGTAATGTATATTTTTTCTTACAAAATAAAAGTGACTTAGGGAATATACCTACATCTCTGTCTCTCTCTCTATCTATCATCTATCCATCTATCTATCTATCTATCTATCTATCTATCTATCTATCTATCTGTCTCTCTATTTATCTATCTATCTATCTCCAAAAATTTAAATCATGTTATCCAGTCTGCATTATCACTTTGCTATTGGCTCTTTTCTCAAGTAGAACCTGTCACTTTCATGATCACAAAATTGTTGCAATCAACTCTAGCCTTATGTAATATCTTTCAGGATGAGAAAGAAGAAAAAGTGAAATAAAAAGAAATATTACTTACTGTTTCTCCAACGAAAGTCTAGAAATTTAGTCTCAGACTCTGATTACTCTGTCTTGAATTTTGTGCCCATTTCTGAAACACTCACTGTGGCAAGGATATGCAATGCTGCCTTCAATTGCCTGGATATATATATACACTTAAAGTAAACTACATTGAAATTCATGGACTAAGAATGCATGGCTGTGGTCCCAAGGGAAACCATGTGTTTTTACCAGAAAGAGTAATGTAAGTAACAGATGCTCATACACTTACCTTCAGTACACTGCATATTGAACATTATTTCTCAACTTGTAAGGAGCTCACTAGAATTCTCATTCTACCCACATGCCTTTACTATCTCTTCATTTATTTATGGGAATGACACATCTGATAATAGGTCAAAGATATGTAATGTAAAGATGAGGATGGAGAAGTGAGAGAATTAGCAATATGAGTTCCTCAATATCACAGCCCTTGGTTAGTAAAGGAACCATGGCCATCATTTTTGCTAGTTACATTTCTGTGTGAATTAAGAACATATAGGGAGGAACTAAATGTTTTTATAAAGACTTTTATACCACAAATTTAAGTAATGGAAATTTAATCCTGAACCCTAGTGTGGTACTGTCCAACAATTGATTTTAATCATTGCTGGGTATGCTTAGCAGACAAACTGATGGCAAAAGCCTTATAAAAGTATGTTTTCTCTCTCCCTTTGCCTGTTCTTTTTCTATTTCCTTCACTTTCCTTTTTTGCATTTCTTTAAATTATACTTTTAAGTTCTGGGGTACATGTGCAGAATGTGCAGCTTTGTTACATAGGTATACCCGTGTCATGGCTGTTTGCTGCACTCATCAACTTGTCATCTACATTAGGTATTTCTCCTAATGCTATCCCTCCCCTAGCCCCCAACCCGCTGACAGGCCCCAGTGTGTGATGTTCTCCTCTCTGTGTCCATGTGTTCTCATTGATCAACTCCCACTCTCATTCATAGAACATGCGGTGTTTGGTTTTCTGTTCTTGTGTTAGTTTGCTGAAAATGATGGTTTCCAGCGTCATCCATGTCCCTGCAAAGGACATGACCTCATCCTTGGCTGCATAGTATTTCATGGCGTATATGTGCCACATTTTCTTTATCCAGTCTATCGTCAATGGGCATTGGGGTTGGTTCCAAGTGTTTGCTGTTGTGAACAGTGCCGCAATAAACATACATGTGCATGTGTCTTTATAGCAGAATGATTTATAATCCTTTGGGTATATTCCCAGTATGGGGTTGCTGGGTCAAATGGTATTTCTAGTTTTCTAGTTCTAGATCCTTGAGGAATCGCCACACTGTCTTCCACAATGGTTGAACTAATTTACACTGTTAATGGGAGTGTAAATTAGTATTTCCTTCGCTTTCTAAACAATTTAGGTCTAAAGTAATTAGGTGAGCAAGTGGGTGGTGGGGGGTGAAAGGGACAGATACAATAGCCTAAAGAAGAGTATCGGACCCCAAATTGTATGAGGAGGGTATCCACACAGGGAAGGAGGCAGTGGCCAACGTGAGAGATTGATTACATACTGGAGAACTGACCAAGTAAATAACTAGAAATGGAATAAGTTCTCTCACTATCGAAAAAATGTGAACAAATATCTAAAGGGAGAAAACCAAAATGAAGCTTTTGCTGGTAGATAGGAAATGAAAGTATTATGGTATCAGTTCCCATGGTGTCTATGGATGGGTGGATAGGAGCTAGAGGAACATATAGATAGAAAGATAGGTAGATAAAAATAAAAATAAATGTAAATGTGTGTGTGTGCGTATACACACATTTATTTCCCAACTTCTGTCTACTGAGAGATATGCTTAGAGGCATATATACTGCTTAGATGCTGGCTTCAAAATATCATTTCTCTTTCTCTTTAAAAGGAATCAAGAATACTTAGATATGGCTGATTTCAGTGCTTGAACAGACAAGTAGACAATAAATATAGAATATTTTATTGTGACAGAAAGTGAGCGAAATTTTCCCATTTTGAAGAATTTGTTTTGACTGTGTAGTAGAATGTTTTTATAAAAAATAAATGGTTAAGAAATTTTGGGACACAGGGCATCAAGTCAACAACTTATTCTCAAATCATTTGTGGGGGGGATTTCCTTGCATTGTGTTTTGAATTTTTTGTTTGTATCTTTGTAAAGTCAGTAATCATTTTTAAAGTATTGAAAATAAACAAATGTGGTTGTATGAGAGCTAAAAAGGATATTAAAAATAATCCAAGCTTTTTCCACTCTTGGGAATAACTGAGACACTGGTAGCAAAATCAAACAGAACTATTGTAGCAAATTCCCCTTAGTCATGAAAGGATTTTTTCCTAAGAGAAGAAAGAGCAGGGGAGAACTGGAGGAGGTATCCCAAGAGTAGAATGATGCCTGTTACTTGAATCAATTTCCCTAGCCTCTTGGTTCAATTGTCTCAAAACCTAAGAAAGTAAGGACTACAATGAAACAATTTAAAAAGTAGTTTCTGTGAAACTGAGAAAACTGTTGATGCCACTAGCTCTACTGTTTTTATTCCTTTACTAGAACTCAGTTAAAATATGGGAGTCATACTTGATTCTCCTCTCTTTGGCCATATATTCAGCTACCATGTCCTGTTAAATATTTCTGTTTTCAAAAAAATCTTTCTATATTTTTTCTATCCCTACTCTTTTTACTCACTTGTGAAAAGCTTCAATCATCTCTCACCTGCATCTTCTTCTCCTTCTTCCTTTTCCTCCCCCTCTTCTTCCTCCTGCTCCTCTTTTTCTCCTGCTTCTACTTCTTTTTTGCAATAGCTTCTTAACTATGCTTTCTCTGTTCAGTCTTGACCCCCTGCCAAATTATTCTACACACTGTGTCCAAAAAGTTATTTCAAACATCTCATCACTTCAACCTCTCAATGGCGTTCAACCTCCTTGGAATGAAGATGTAAATATTTACCATGATTTATAATATCATTTATAATCTGGAGCTTATTTACCTTTTATATTCATCAGTCTCCAGTTACACTGGACCTCATTTGGTTACTAGAATTCAGAAAAACTATGTTTATTCTCTCGTGTCAGGGACTTTGTATAGACTATTCCATATGTCAAAAATAAGACTCTCCTAGAGGTTCTTCTATGGCTCTGTATTCTGTTGACCTCTATTTAAATGCCATTCCTTTCTCCAATTCCTCAGCTTAGATTATTTACCCTGCCATAAAATTCTCTAATTTCTTTATTTCTCTCCTAAAATATGTAAGTTCTGTGGAGGTATGAATTAGGACTAAGATGTTTACTTATATATTGTTTTATTGTTCACTTTATGGGTTTAATTAAAACTAGTGGAATAAATTTTAAAATTAATAAACTCAAGAGGCAAATGTAGTAATCATTTTTCTTTGCTGTGGACTACCATACAGCTTCAATACAATAAGGGTCATTTATGCTGCATCAGTGATGCTGAGTAGCAACATCCTCTTCTGCAGTTCTAAGAAGCTGTGGTAACTGGATGCTGAAGCACAAGAAAGAGTATTTGGTGGGGACATCAATTCATAGTGAACCAGCAATCCCAACTGCAGTGCCAGATGAAGTAACTGTGTAAGTCACAGAAAGTAGGAGTAGTATCTGGCACAAACCACCACATTCAATATGATTAGCAGTCATGACAAGGTACATGAGCTTAATCCTGAACAGATATCTGAGTACTCAGTTCATAACTTGGGACTACTTTGAAAAGACTGGAACAACGCAGTATGTAGACACAAGAACCAACACTGTTTGAATTATTACTGATAATATGACCTCATGTGAATGCAGAAAAAAATTATTCTAATATTATCTCTGTAAATGGAAGAGCTAACTTATACCAGCCCATTTACCTTACAGTTATTAAAAATGAGCTTTTTCCCAGATTCTGACAATGGGTTGACTGTCATTTATAGATCCTAGTTTTCTGGGTTATAAGTTCTTTTAAACTTTGTTTAAATATCATTGCCATTTTAGGTGAAAGTTGGAGAAATTGAATTTGACCTGACTAAAGGATTATTATTTTTTATTTATTCAGTTGACAAGCAGTACAGGCTCAATGTAGAAATTTATAGAATGAAAAAAAATGAAGAGGAAATAAGAATAATCTCTAATCCAATCATCAATGACTGCCATTCTCAATATTTTATTCCACTTCTTTTTCTGCATATTTACAGTAGAGACTTGGAGAATATGTTTATAAAAGGTATATATTACAAAATATTGTTACCCAAAATATACAAAGTACTCTGGAAACTCAAAAATATGAAAACAAATAACCTGATTTTAACATGGATGAAGGGCTTGAATAGAAGCTTCAACAAAAAAATATTTACAGATATCAAACAACCATATGAAAAGATGCTCGGCATCACATGTCATTAGAGAATTACAAACTGAAATAATAAGATACCACAACACACCTATTAAAATGATCAAAATCCAAAACACTGATAACAACATATGCTAGTGAGGATGAGGAGCAACAGAAATAATCATTTATTGCTGGTAGTGATACAGAAAGGCACAGCTATTTTAAAGAATGGTTTGGCAGTTTCCTAACAAAACTAAACATATACTTACCATATAATCTGCCAATTATATTATTTGCTATTCAGATGAATTGAAAACTTATGCTCACACAAAAACCTGCATACAAATGTTTATAGCAGCCTCATTTGTAACTGTCAAAATTGGAGTAACCAAGATATTTGTCAGTAGGTAAATGTAGAAGTGAACTGTGGTACATCCATGACATAAAATATTGTTCAGCAATAAAAAGAAACGTGCTATCCTATTTACAAGAGCAAAGACATGGAATCAACTTAAATGCCCATCAGTGATAGATCAGATAAAGAAAATGTGGCCCATATACATCATGGAATATTATGCAGCCATAAAAAAGAATGAGATCATGTCCTTTGCAGACATGGATGGAGCTGGATGCCATTACTCTTAACGGGCTAATTCAGGAACAGAAAAACAAATACTACATGTTCTCACTTATGAGTGGGAGCTAAATGATGACAACACCTGGGCACATAGAGGGGAATAACACACACTGGGGCCTATCAGAGGGTGGAGGGTGGAAGGAGGGAGAAAATCAAAAAAAATAACTAATTAGCACTAGGCTTAATACCTGGGTGATGAAACAATTTGTACAAAAACCCCCTATGACACAAGTTTTCCAATGTAACAAACCTGCACTTGTACTTCAAACTTAAAATAAAAGCTTTAAAAGAAATAAAGACAGGAATTGAAATCAGAAAAAAAATGTGGTGTCAAGCCATGAAAATACATGCAGGAGCCTTTAATTTTTATGACTATGTTAAAAGAGGCAGTCTCAAAAGGTTACATAGTATATGATTCCAACTACATAATATTCTGAAAAGGCAAAACTATTGAGACAGTTATTTCCCATAAATTTGTACAGTTATTACATGTCAATTAAAAATGTATTCCATAAAAAGATCAGCTGTTTCCAGGGTTGAGGGGGAGAAGGATAAATAGAGTTCAGAGAATTTTTAGGGTAGTGAAATTATTCTTTGTGATACTACAGTGGTGGGTACATGCCATTATACAATTGTTCAACCCATATAATGTACAACACCAAGAGTGGCCCCTAATACAGTATATGCTATGGACTTAGAGTGATAGTGATATGTTAATGTAAGTTTATCAATTGTAACAAATGTACCCCTGTGATACAGGATGTTGATAGTGAGGGAGGCTGTGGGTATGTAGTATAGTGGGGAGTTGTATATTGAAAATCTCCGTATTTTCATTCAATTTTGCTCTGAATATAGAAATACCCTAAAATAATAACAATAAAAAAGTTGAAGTTCTGATAAAGGCTACAACAAGAATAAGCCTTGAAAACCTTCTACTAATTGAAAAAAGATTACTATTGTATAATTCCACTTATATAAAATATCTAAATAGGAAAATTTTTAGGGATAGAGAGTAGATCAGAGGTTACCAGAGATTGAGGGGACATGTGAAAGAGAAGTTACTGATTAATGAATATAGATTTTCTGTCTGGAGTGGTAAAAATGATTTGAAAATAGTGGTGATGATTACGCAACACTGTGAATGTAATTAATGCCATTAAATTGTTTGGCCTTTCACATGCAACATAAAATTATTCAGCAAGACAACGCCATAAGGAAAGGTGACTCTTTCCTTAGAGGATTTTGAATTCTCTTTCTCATGTGTACTCTTATTTTGATATAACTTTTTAAGTGCACAGTTTGATAAATTTTGACAAACATATTTATGCTGTCCATCACTCCAATCAAAATATATAATATTTATTCTAAATATTTATATTAAAAAATCCTTTCTGCAACTTTCCGGTCAATATTTTTCCTCTACCAGAAGCAACCATGATTGTTTTTATCAACAACACTGTAAATTCATTTTAACAATATTCATTAGCATACCAACCACAAGTTTTGTGGGTTTATTGATTAGAATTCTCCTGTATGGATTTGAAGTTACACTTAATAGGCCATGAAAGCAAGATCAAGTCAGGAATTAAAAAATAATAAGGTGGCCAGGAGCAGTGGCTCACGCCTGTAATCCCAGCACTTTCGAAGGCTGAGGCGGGTGGATCACCTGAGGTCAGGAATTTGAGACCAGTCTGGCCAACATGGCGAAACCCCGTTATCTACTAAAAATACAAAAATTAGCTGGGTGTGGTGGAGCGTGTCTGTAATCCCAGCTACTCGGGAGGCTGAGGCAGTAGAATCTCTTGAACTCGGGAGGCAGAGGTGGCAGTGGGCCGAGATCGCACCACTACACTCCAGCCTGGGAGACAAAGCGAGACTCCATCTCAAAATAATAATAATAATAATAATGTGTAAAAGAAGTACAAGAATATTCTACCTACCTCTTGATAGTTCAGAGGAAATATGGGCCTGGGTGGTTGCATATTAAAATAAACTTGGCATAAGAGTGAGGTCAAGGAGAAAAAAGCACTGAAATTAGCTCTCCTAATTTACTATGATATATGACTACGTGTCATATATAAGACCCAGAGACAGCTCAGAGTCTGGTATGCTTGTCAAATGTGCAATAATGGAATGACGTGTATCTGTATAAAAGGGGCCGCTTAAAGGACTACAAAAGCCAAGGGAAAAAATGGGAGCCAAGGGATACAAGTCTTTTGATCAGAAAGAGATCTACAGGGCTACCTGGTATCAACATGACGCTAAGGAGGGCCAGAGAAAGCATGATTCAAGCCAAGGGAAATCAGCACACAAGGTATAGAGTTACAGGCTTCAATAACAAATGGCAATAGAGCAGACTGTCTCTCCAGTGAGGAGGGTCCTTTGCCTCCTGCCGACATATACCTAAAGAAAAGCATTCTGTCTTTGGGAAAGAGACACTTCTACCCTGTGCCACAAATTCACATAAGAGTTTCTCTCATTTCAATCAGCAAGATATCTTTTAGGGTAAGAAGTTACAAAGACATAAATCTGAGACCTGAAGGCTTGTTTAAATCAGCAGCTGCAGGTTAGATACTTAGTTTAATTATCTCCCCTGCTAACCAGTAATCTGGGGGGAGGATTGGAACGAAAACCAGATTAGTTATTGACAACAAATAAAAGAGTTATATTTTCTGTAAATGTCTGAGTAGCTATACATATTAAATTTATGGGCTGCTGCCATTTCATTTAAAGGCCAGGTTGAATACAGATTATGAACTGTATCTTAAAAATTAGAACCATATCTAGCAAAAGTGACATCATCAAACTGTAAATTATTTTTGTGCTCTTTTCTAGACTAGTGTTTGTAGAATTTATGTGCAGTCATACCATTCTTAGGTTTATACCCTGATTATTTTCACTTAACATTATGCAATAAAACTTTTACATGTTTAAAAATTCTCTAAAATGTTTTTAATATCTGTACGAAATTCAAATGGATTTACTGAAACGTGTTTACATACTCTCCTGTATTTGCATACGAAATCTAGTTTTGCAATTAATAGAAATAATATAAATGTATAAGCTGTTTGGACTATATCTCTAAATACTAATTCAGTATGTTTTTCCTAAGATTGAAATTTGTGAGTCAAAATAGATGAAGATTTTAAAAGTTAGCATATACTGCCAAATTGCTTTCCAAAAGCTCTGTGAAAATTTACACAGCTACTAGGAGGGAAGAAGGTGCCAATCATAAAGAGTACACTTGCCAAGCTTATATAATATCATTATGAATCTTTGATAATTTGATAGGTCAAACATTGTATAATCTTTCATCAGAATTTTTTATTATCTTTGAGTGGTATGATAGATGGCTATTGGAAGGCATTCATAAAGACATAGTCTCTGAACCTGGGAAAAATAAGGTTGTTATTTAAAATGGGGTTACAGTTTCTGGATTTTTATTTAATATTGTTCTAGGGCTCTCTTTCCTTAGAAGAACATATTGTGGTCAAATTTTGTAAAATATGCTATTTTTTCTTCCCAAGTCTAACATTCATTGCTCCAAATTCTGTCTTCAAGTAATGCATTTTATAAGTGGGGCTTAATTTTTTGAATTATATATATTTTTGAAATAGTTTTAATATTACTATTCCTTAATTCAGAAAATCATTTTTGTTTGTTTGTTTTTAAATATCAGCTGTGTGTCAGGCACTATGGTATATGTGAAATATCAGACATGATCTCTGTTTTCAAGAAATTCACAATTTTGGGGGTAGGAGGAAACAGGAGACCTATGAAGGAGTCATCTATAATATAATTCTATTAATATTTATTAGAAGTAAAGAGAGAGTTCTATATAAGAATTTATAATTGAACGCTGTACTTTGAACTTCAATAGGGCAATTTAGTACTATGTCCCCAGTACTTAGCAAATTTCCTGGTACACAGACAGCACCACACAGGACATGATGTCTGATCGCATAGCATTTGCCAACAATAGGGACAAATATCAAGCATTTAATAGCATTTTCAAAAATAACAGTTTTGTATATTTTTTGTATATACATAAATAATAATAATTCTTATAGGTAGCCACAATGTTCATTATTAGTATGCAGGCAAATAATAGTATTTGCTATCACATCCATCAGGTGATCTCCTCCCAAATGACCATTGAGAAAATCTAAACACAATTTTTAAGGCACAACTTTATCAATTTTTAGAGCTGTTTACATAGAGAGAGAGACTTAAAGACTCATAAACTACAAAAATAATGTTTATTTACAAATATTGCCTTTTCCACTTATATTTTATGAAACAAGCTTATTCACCCATTCACAATTATCTCCAATATTAGTATCTTTTAAAAAAATCTCTGTGGTAGTAGGTGTTATGGTTCTATAACCAAATACTTAATACTGGGTAACTTACAAAGAACAGAAATTTATCTTCTCACAGTTCTTGAGGCTGAGAGTCCAAGATCATGGCACTGCCAATTTTGGTGTCCAGTTAAGGCACCATCTCTACTTCCAAGATGGCACCTTGAGCACTGCATCCTACGACGGATAGGAACACTGTGCCCTCATGTAATAGAAGGCAGAGGGGAAACAGAGAATGAACTCCCTTGGTCAAGCTCTTTTACGGTAGCATTAAGGCATTCATCCATTCATGCAGGTGGAGCCCTTATGACCTAAACACCTCTCCAAAACTTCCACATCCCAAAGTGTTGCTTTTAGGATTAAGTTTTAATATGAGTTTTTGGAAGGGACAAAAATATTCAAACCATAGCCATCACCAAAGTTATGTTTGGCATCTCATCTAATAGATTATTCAGAACACTTTGCTTTTGCTTCTAATTTGCTTCGACAATCTTTGAATTTGTCTGAACTTTCATTGCTGAAAACTTTATCATAGGCCACAGGTAACCATTTTCATTGCTTTGTGGAAGTTTGCTTTTTAATTTTTCTATAGGTATATACTTATGATTTATCCAACCATATCACTTATTGCATCATTTATTTCATGGTTTTTTAAAAAAGGTATCCAACTCTTGTAATTTTAGATCATATCTTAAGATAAAAGGAAAAACAACTAAATTTATATTAAATTTCATGGCTTCCTTTTTGTCATGTATTTCATAGGGTATGGAGGCAGGAGGGTTCTATAAGCATCTGACACTCATTAATTGTTCAACTTTTCAACTAAGTTGTCTTCAGCAAATAAGGCTTTATTTTTAAGATAAAGTAAATAAGAGCATGCCCTGTAATACTAAAGACTTTGTGAGGATTTTAGTATCACAAGATTTTGTAACATAATAATTTGGGAAAAATTGTGCCTTACATTAAGATGTAAAATATTGTGCTAGCTAGGAAGATAAAATCGAAATTGGCCTTAAAGTATAGAGTAAGCAGGATTTTTTTCAGATAGGTAATAGGCTGTTTAGCAACAGAGGTTTGTACATTTTTGTTCTGTTAAAGTACTAGAACTAGTCAAACACGGGGAGAAGGCATGGGATTTAGGGTTACTTGGTGCTATATAAGACTTACAGTGTTATTAGGGACAATGCAAAGGATATTGAAGTTTGTCAACTAACTTTTCTCAAAAAAAATTTACATTTTAACAATGAAAATTATGGACAAAGTCTTGTTACAAACTCTAGACTGTGAGAAAGAGAAAGATATGTAACCGCACCAAACCAATCTGGCTCAACTTTTATGGAACAAAACTGTGAGTTGATTTTCAGTTGCCATGGACCCCCAGGTTGAAGGTTACATAACCTCGTAAGCATTCCCAGGTGAACCAAGTGTGCATCCACAGGTGGAACCTAAATCCTTGGACCAAGAAACTGGGACTAAATTAAAAAGTGAACACCAAATGGCAGGATCCAGCTGGCATCATCCCATGAAAGGATCCAGGCAGATCATGTCTCCTGGCAACTCCTCATGAAAATATCCAATCAGATCATGCTTCATCATCCTCTGTGTATAAAACCTGCCCCAGACTCCAGGTCTGGAAAACAGATTTGAGTGTTTTCTCCTGTCTCTTTGCCAGTTGATTTGAAATAAAGCTATTTGTTTTCTCAAAAGCCAGTGGCATTGTATTGTCTTCTATACACATTGGGCAACAAGCCCATTTATTGCTTGGTAACAGAAGGAGCCCCACTTATGTAACACTGTCGAATTGATAAATTAATTAGATGCTATAGTGTCCTCTTTTTTGTTTCTTTGTTTGTTTCTCTGACAAGGTTCTAAATGTTACAGATACATATTTCCCCCCAAACTTTAAACCTCATACTCTCACATCAGTGGAGAGTGAATGTGCCCGCCCAATATCTTCTTCTATGTATTTTAAAGCCCTTAAGCCCATAACCTATGTGCTCAATCAAGAATGTTAATTGCATGAAAATGGGAAAATATCATTTTATTGAGCCAACATCCCATTAGATCTTAGTGAGTATGAATGGAGAGGGTAGAAAATGATCTAAAAATGTAGATTAGATTTTTCTGGAAAGGCAATAAACTTCTAAGTGAGCATAAGATAAATTCTGATTTCTAATAAAAATGGAAACGAGCCAGGTTTCAGTTCTCATTACCAAAATTTTGCATGGCTCTAATCTTTACTCATTTCATGCTGTAACCATTCTATTCTGACAGATCTTCGTATCTCCTGATTTAAAAAATAAATATCCCTAAACTTTATATATTCTGTCATAGGAAATTTAGAAAAGACTAGCTTTATCATATCTTAATTATCTCTAATTTCTGTTTGTATTTTCAGCACCTGAATCCACAAAAGATACATGTTTGCTGAATATACAAAATGAGTAATTCTGCATATGATTTTACTATGTATAGTGCTATTCAAATCACAGTAAATATAATTTTTAATTTTTAAACACTTAAGGACACTAATATGAATAAAACAATTCAAAGTTTAGATAAATGTTGGTAAACAATAAAAATTATCCTTTCAAATAAAGTTTAGTAGACGTTTATATATTAATATCTTTAAAGAATACATAAAAACATACTGCAACATATACTAATGAAAATAATACTTTAGTGGAGCTGCAGTTAAGAACTTATATTAGTCAAGCAATATTTAACAATGAATATCATGAAGTACTAGTGCAACCTTATAACTTGGACAGTATTATAGAGTTTATTGTTTATGAAAATTGAAATTAACTTTCTCCCAAAGGACTTTGAGATTAAGATCAAGATATTAATACATGATGTAGTAGCTAGAATGATTTTCCCTCAAGGTTTTACTGGTTCTTGAAGGAAAGTGGGAGACTCTCCCACCAAAAATCATAGTAAGATTCCTCTGAACCTAAATCTCCATGCATTGCCTTGTTATACTGGATTCCTCAGCACCTATGATTGAGCCTCATAATCGCAGAAAGCTAAGATTGCTGCTGTATGATGATTGCAGAGAAGAGTGTGTCTAGACTGTGGAGATTCACTGGATCCTCTCTTGTTGCTTTTGTGCCCAGTGATTAACAGGAAGGACTATTATAGAAATCATGGCCCAATAAGGGCAAGGCAAGCAAGGGCTCAGACCTTCAGGGATGAAGATATGGTTTACCACATTATAAGCAACCTAGCCTAGTTGAAGGGCTGGCTGAGTGGGAAATCTGATCCTATGGTAAAGGGAGTTGGGTAATAAGTGTCAATTATGGCCTCAGAACCAGTTACCATAATAAGACTATACCTTTACTGACTAATCTTCCTGTCATATGTCTTTTGTTTTCTTTTTATACAGATTTGGACCAGCCATAATCTTGAAGTGTCAGTAACAAAATAGGTTTAATGTACAACATGAATAGATCTGAACAATGCAAGGAATTGACTGTCACAAATACATGTTCTTATATAAAAAAAGAAAAGAAACAAATGACATTCCTCATGAAGCTTACACTTTAGTAGAGAAAGTCATGCTTATTATTATTATTACCATTCTTTTTTTATTATACTTTAAGTTCTGGGATACCTGTGCAGAACATGCAGGTTTGTTACATAGGTATACGTGTGCCATGGTGGTTTGCTGCACCCATCAACCAGTCATCTACATTAGGTATTTCTCCTAATGCTATCCCTCCCCTTGCCCCCTACCCCCAAGAGGCCCCAGTGTGTGATGTTCCGCTCCCTGTGCCCACATGTTCTCATTGTTCAACTCCCACTTATGAGTGAGAGCATGTGGTGTTTGGTTTTCTGTTCCTGTGTTAGTTTGCTGAGAATGATGGTTTCCAGCTTCATCCGTGTCCCTGCAAATGAAATGAACTCATTATTTTTTATGGCTGGATATGACATATTTTCTTTATCCAGTCTAACATTGATGGGCATTTGGGTTGGTTCCAAGTCTTTGCTATTGTGAGTAGTGCTGCAGTAAATGTATGTGTTCATGTGTCTTTATAGTAGCATGATTTATAATCCCTTGAATATATACCCAGTAATGGGATTGCTGGGTCAAATGGTATTTCTAGTTATAGATTCTTGAGGAATTGCCACACTGTCTTCCACAATGACTGAAGTAATTTACACTCCCACCAACAGTGTAAAGGTGTTCCTATTTCTCCACGTCCTCTCTAGCATCTGTTGTTTCCTGACTTTTTAATGACCACCATTCTAACTGGCGTGAGATGGTATCTCATTGTGGTTTTGATTTGCATTTCTCTGATGACCAGTGATGATGAGCATTTTTTTTTAAAGTTTGTTGGCTGCATAAATGTCTTCTTTTGAAAAGTGTCTGTTCATATACTTCACCCACTTTTTGATGGGGTTGTTTGTTTTTTTCTTGTAAATTTGTTTAAGTTCCTTGCAGATTCTGGAGATTAGCCCTTTGTCAGATGAATAGATTGCAAAAATTTTCTCCCATTCTGTAGGTTGCCTGTTCACTCTGATGGTAGTTTCTTTTGCTGTGCAGAAACTCTTTAGTTTAATTAGATCCCATTTGTCAATTTTGGCTTTTGTTGCCATTGCTTTTGGTGTTTTAGTCATGAAGTATTTGCTCATACCTATGTCCTGAAAGGTATTGCCTAGGTTTTTTCTAGGTTTTTTATGGTTTTAGGTCTTACATTTAAGTCTTTAATCCATCTTGAGTTAATTTTGGTATAAGATGTAAACAAGAGGTCCAGTTTCAGCTTTCTCCATATTGCTAACCAGTTTTCCCAACACCATTTATTAAACAGGGAATCCGTTCCCCATTGTTTGTTTTTGTCAGGTTTGTCAAATATCAGATGGTCGTCTATATGTGGTATTATTTCTGAGGGCTTTGTTCTGTTCCATTGGTCTATATATTGGTTTTGATGGCAGTACCATGCTGTTTTGGTTACTGTAGCCTTATAGTATAGTTTAAAGTCAGGTAGTGTGAGGCCTCCAGCTTTGTTCTTTTTGCTTAGAATTGTCTTTGTTTTGCAGGTTCTTTTTGTCTTCCATATGAAATTTAAACTAGTTTTTTCCAATTCTGTGAAGAAGGTCAGTGGTAGCCTGGAGGGAATAGCCTTGAACCTATAAATTACTTTGGGCAGTATGGCCATTTTAAGATATTGATTCTTCCTACCCATGAGCATGGATTTTTTTTTTCACTTTTTTGTGTCCTCTCTTGTTTCCTTGAGCAGTGGTTTGTAGTTCTCCTTGAAGAGGTCCTTCAGATCCCTTGTAATTTGTATTCCTAGGTATTTTATTCCTTTGTAGCAATTGTGAATGGGAGTTCATTATGATTTGGCTCTCTGTTTGTCTGTTATTGGTGTATAGAAATGCTTGTGATTTTTGCACATTGATTTTGTATCCTGAGACTTTGCTGAAGTTGCTTATCAGCTTAAGGAGATATTGGGCTGAGACAATGGGGTTTTCTAAATATACAATCATGTCATCTGCAAAGAGAGACAATTTGACTTCCTCTCTTCCTATTTTAATCCCTTTATTGCTTTCTCTTGCCTGATTGCCCTGATCAGAACTTTCAATACTACATTGAATAGGAGTGGTAAAAGAGGGCATCCTTGTCTTGTGCCAGTTTTCAAAGGGAATGCTTCCAGTTTTTGCCATTCAGTATGATATTGGCTGTTGGTTTGTCATAAATAGCTCTTATTATTTTGAGATATGTTCCATCAATACCTAGTTTATTGAGAGTTTTTAGCATGAAGGGCTATTGAATAACAAACTCCTCCAAGCGACACAAGCATGTTCTAACCCAATGCAAGGAAGGTAAGAACCTTGAAAAAAGGTTAGATGAAATGCTATCTAGAATAACCAGTTTAGAGAAGAACATAAATGACCTGATGAAGATGAAAAATACAGCATGAGAACTTCGTGAAGCATACACAAGTATCAATAGCTGAATTGATCAAGTAGAAGAAAGGATATCAGAGATTGAATATCAACTAATGATATAAGGCAAGAAGACAAGATTAGAGAAAAAAGAGAGAACAGAAATGAACAAAGCCTCCAAGAAATATGGGACTATGTGGAAAGATCAAATCAGCTGGGTGTGGTGGCTCATGCCTGTAATCCCAGCACTTTGGGAGTCTGAGGTGGGTGGATCACGAGGTCAGGAGTTGGAGACCAGCCTGGCCAATATGGTGAAACCCTATTTATACTAAAAAAAAAAAAAAAAAAACAAAAATTAGCCGGGCTTGGTGAAGCATGCCTGTAGTCCCAGCTACTCAGGAGGCTGAGGCAAAAGAATCGCTGGAACCCGGGAGGCGGAGGTTGCAGTGAGACGAGATTGTTGCACCACTGCACTCCAGCCTGGGTGACAGAGAGAGACGTCATCCAAAAAAAAAAAAAGAAAGAAAAGAAAAGAAAAAAAAAAGAAAAAAGACCAAAGCTACATTTGGTTGTTGTACCTGAAAGTGAGGGGAAGAATGGTACCAAGGTGAAAAACACTATTCAGGATATGATGCAGGAGAAATTCCCCAACGTAGCAAGGCAGGCCAACATTCAAATTCAGAAAATACAAAGAACACCACAAAGATACTCCTCGAGAAGAACAACCCCAAGACACATAATCGTCAGATTCACCAAGGTTGAAATGAAGGAAAAATGTTAAGGGCAGCCAGAGAGAAAGATCAGGCTACACACAGACTGCCAACAAATCTCTTGGCAGGAAACCTAAAAGCCAGAAGAGAGTGGGGGTCAATATTCAACATTCTTAAAGAAAAGAATTTTCAATCCAGAATTTCATATCCAGCCAAACTAAGCTTCATAAGCAAAGGAGAAATAAAATTCATTACAGACAAGCAAATGTGGAGAGATTTTGTCACCACCAGGCCTGCCTTACAAGAGCTCCTTAAGGAAGTATGAAATATGGAAAGGAACAACCAGTACCAGCCACTGTAAAAACATAGCAATTGTAAAGACCATTGACACTATGAAGAAACTGTATCAATTAACAGGCAAAATATCCAACTAGCATCATAATGGCAGGAGCAAATTCACACATAATAATATTAACCTTAAATGTAAACAGGCTAACTGCCCCAATTAAAAGACACGAGGGGCATATTGCATAAAGAGTCAAAGACCCATCAGTGTGCTGCATTCAGGAGACCCATCTCATGTGCAAAGACACACATAGGCTCAAAATAAAGGGATGGAGGAATATTTACCAAGCAAATGGAAAGCAAAAAAAAGCAAGGGTTGCAATCCTAGTCTCCGATAAAATAGACTTTAAACCAACAAAGATCAAAAGAGACAAAGAATGGCATTACATAATAAGTGGATCAATGCAACAAGAAGAGCTTACTAGCCTAAATGTATATGCACCCAATACAGGAGCACCCAGATTCATAAAGCAAGTTCTTAGAGACCTACAAAGAGACTTAGACTCCCACACAATAATAGTGGGAGACTTTAACACCCCACTGTCAGTATTAGACAGAACAATGAGACAGAAAATTAACAAGGATATCGAGGACTTGAACTCAGCTCTGGATCAAGTGGACCTAATAAACATCGGCAGAACTCTCCACCCCAAATCAACAGACTATGCATTCTTCTCAGCACCACATTGCACTTATTCTAAAATTGACCACATAATTGGAAGTAAAACACTCCTCAGCAAATGTAAAAGAACAGAAATCATAACAAACAGTCTCTCAGACCACAGTGCAATCAAATTGGAACTCAGGATAAAGAAACTCACTCAAAACTGCACAACTGCATGGAAACTGAACAAGCTGCTCCTGAATGACTACTGGGTAAATAACAAAATTAAGGCAGAAATAAAGATGTTCTTTGAAACCAATGAGAACAAAGAGACAACATACCAGAATCTCTGGGACATATTTAAAACAGTGTGTAGAGGGAAACTGATAGCACTAAATGCCCACAAGAGAAAGCAGGAAAGATCTAAAATTGACACCCTAACATCACAATTAAAAGAACTAGAGAAGCAAGAACAAACAAATTCAAAAGCTAGCAGAAGACAAGAAATAACTAAGATCAGAGCAGAACTGAAGGAGATAGAGATACTAAAAACCCTTTAAAAATCAATAAATCCAGGAGCTGGTTTTTCTTTTAAAGATCAACAAAATAGTTAGATGTCTAGCCAGAATAATATAGAAGAAAATAGAGAAGAATCAAATAGACACAATAAAAAATGATAAAGGGGATATCACCAACAATCCCACAAAAATACAAATTACCTTCAGATAATACTATAAACACCTCTACCCAAATAAACTAGAAAATCTAAAAGAAATGGATAAATTTCTGGACACATACACCCTCCCAAGACTAAACCAAGAAGAAGTTGAATCCCTGAATAGACCAATAACAAGTTCTGAAATTGAGGTAGTAATTAATAGCCTACCAACTAAAGGAAGTACAGGACCAGATGGATTCACAGCCGAATTCTACCAGAGGTGCAAAGAGGAGCTGGTACCATTCCTTCTGAAACTATTCCAATCAATAGAAAAGGAAGGAATCCTCCCTAACTCATTTTACATGGCCAGCATCATCCTGATACCAAAACCTGGCAGAGACACAACAAAAAAAGAAAATTTCAGGCCAATATCCCTGATTAACATCGATATGAAAATCCTCAATAAAATACTGGCAAACCAAATCCAGTAGCACATCAAAAAGCTTATCCACCATGATCAAGTGGGCTTCATCCCTGGGATACAAGGCTGGTTCAACATACACAAATCAATAAATGTAATCCATCACATAAACGGAACCAATGACAAAAACCACATGATTATCTCAATAGATGCAGAAAGCCATGCTTATTATTTGCTGTTTGTATTTCTCTGCTAAAATGTATGCTTTATGGAAGAGAATTTTTTTCTGCTTTTCCCCCCCATTAGATCTAAATATGGCATGTAGTTGTCACTTAATATATTTTGAATAAATAAATATTGACACATTTCTACTTATAACTTTCCCATAGCTTTATATTATTTAAAAATAAAATCACTAACTCGTACCTATAGTGCAGGAGGCCTTAAATAATCTAGCGTCTGCTTCATTTTTCAAAATAATTTATCTATCTCACTGATTGTTATTGTTCAGCCATATTATCCTTTAAAAATTTTAAGTACATCACACTTGTTGCAAACTGAAAGACCTTATGCTGAAATTTAATATTATGTGTGAAGATATGTCATATTCCCTATAAATGCTAATTCACAATAATGGAATTACTACAAAATACTGCTTATGAAAGATAGTGTTGAGATTAACAGTGTGAAACACTTACAAGAGGAAATGTCTTATCGAGAGTAATGTGGTTTTCGAAAATGGTGAATAAGTGTTAGTGATATTAAAAAAAAGTGTTTCCCTTGATTTGTAAGGCACTGCCATTCCTGTAAAATTAAATAAATAAATAAATATTAAATCCATGCAAGGATACATTGAGTTTATATGTAAAATGGCATTAGGTTCCTGGTTAAGATTGACTACTAGGCTCAGATAAATATGAACAGGAATTTTTCTACAGATACGTCCTATGGAGCATTTTAAAGTCATGAGGAATGTAACATTTATTTATTGTGCAGGCCGCTCATACATTGCAAAGTGACCATAATGCCAGGGCCCTCTCCATTCAATCAAATAATACTGTTCTCCAATAACGGTGATGAACATAGATGCAAAAATCTTCAACAAAATAGTAGCTAACTGAATCCAACAGCATATCAAAAAGATAATCCACCTGGATCAAGTGGGTTTCATACCAGGGATTTAACATATGTAAGGCAATAAATGTGATATACCACATAAACAGAATTAAAAATAAAACTCACACGATTATCTCAATAGATGCAGAAAAAGCATTTGATAAAACCCAGTATCAGCTTTAGGACTAAAACTCTCAGCAAAATCATCATACAACGGAAATACCTTAGGTAATAAAGGCCATCTCTGACAAACCCACAGCCATTATACTGAATGGGGAAAAGTTGAAAGCATCCCCGCTGAGATCTGAAACAAGACAAAGATGCCCACTTTCATCACTTCTATTCAACACAGTACTGGAAGTCCTAGCCAAAGCAATCAGACAAGAGAAAGAAATAAAGGGCATCCAAATTGGTAAAGAGGAAGTCAAACTGTTGTTGTTTGCTGATGACAAGATTGTATACCTAGAAAACCCTAAAGACTCATCCCAAAAGCTCCCAGAACTGGTAAATTTATTCAGCAAAATTTCGGGATACAAAATTCATGTGCACAAATCAGTAGCACTGCTATACACCAACAGCGACCAAGCTGAGAATCAAGTCAAGAACTCAAGCCCTTTCATGATAGCTGCAAAAAATAAAACAAAATACTTAGGAATATACTTAACCAAGGAGGGGAAAGACCTCTACAAGGAAAACTACAAAACACTGCTGAAAGTAGTCATAGATAACACAAACATATGTAAACACATCCTATGCTATTAGATGGGCAGAATCAATACTGTGAAAATGACTCTACTGCCAAAAGCAATCTAAAAATTCAATGCAATTCCTATCAAAATAGCACCATCATTCTTCACAGAACTAGAAAAAAAAATCCTAAAAATCACATGGAACCAAAAAGAGCCCACATAGCCAAAGCAAGACTAAGCAAAAAGAAAAAATCTGGAGGTATTTCATTATCTGAATTCATACTATACTATAAGGCCATAGTCACCGAAACAGCATGGCACTGGTATAAAAATAGGCACATACACCAATGGGACAGAAAAGAGAACCCATAAATAAACCCAAATATTTACAGTCAACTGATCTTCCGCAAAGCAAACAAACACATAAAATGGGGAAAGGACACCCTGATCAACAAATGGTGCTGAGCTAATTGGCAAGCCACGTGTAGAAGAATAAAACTGGATCCACATCTCTCACCCTATACAAAAATCAATTCAAGTTGGAGCAAAGACTTAAGTCTAAGACCTGAAACCACAAAAAATCTAGAAGATAACATCAGAAAACCTCTTCATGACCAAGAACCCCAAAACAAATGCAATAAAAACAAAGATAAATAGATGGGACTTAATTAAACTAAAAGCCTTTTGCACAGCAAAAGAAATAATCAGCAGAGTTAACAGACAATCCACAGAGTGGGAGAAAAACCAATCTATACATCTGACAAAAGACTAATATCCAGAATCTACAAGGAACTCAGACAAATCAGCAACAAAAACGCAAACAATCCCATCAAAAAGTGGATTAAGGACACGAATAGAAAATTCTCAAAAGATGATGTACAGATGGCCAATGAACATATGAAAAAATGCTGAACATCACTAATGGTCAGGGAAATGCAAACCAAGACTAAAATGCAATACCACCTTATTCTTGCAAGACTGGCCACAATAAAAAAAATCAAAATATAATAGATGTTGGTGTGGGTATGGTGAAAAGGGAACACTTTTACACTGTTGGTAGAAATGTAAACTAGTAAACCACTATGGAAAACAGTGTGGAAATTCCTTAAAGAACCAAAAATAAATCTACTATTCAATCCAGCAATTCCACTCCTAGGCATCTACCCAGAGGAAAAGAAGTCATTGTACAAAAAAAAGATACTCACACATACATGTTTATAGCAGCTCAATTTGCAATTACAAAAATATGAAACCAGCCCAAATACCCATCAATTGAATGGAATACTACTCAGCCACAAAAAGGAATGCAATAATGGCATTTGCAGCAACCTGGATAGAATTGGAGACCATTATTTTAAGTGAAGTAACTCAGGAATGGAAAACCAACCATCGCATGTTCTCACTCACATGTGGGAGCTAAGCTATGAAGACGCAAAGTATAAGAATTATGCAAGGAATTTTGAGGACTCGGGAAAAGGGTCAGAGGGTGGTGAGGGATAAAAGACTGCACACTGGGTACAGTGTACACTGCTCAGGTAATGGGTGCAACAAAATCTCAGAAATAACAAAGAAGTTATTCATGTAATTAAATGTCACCTGTTCCCCAAAAATTATTGAAATAAAAAAGTGTATATATGAGAAAAGAAGGGAAAGTAAATATACAAAATAATAAAAAATCTTATAATATGGTAAATAAGTCCCTTATAGATTTTATTTATTGATCATAGTTTATCTAAAAATCCCAATGAACAAATAGAATGAGACAAACTAACTTAAAATATTATACTAGCCATTGATAAAAACAAACCAGTAACTTATATGACCTGAAATGTATAAAATAATAATGCACTGTGTAAATACAGGATTAAGGAGATATGGTTTAACAATAGTCCATGAGCTGGAAAAATATGGATTATAAATACCTGATTAATATAAAACAAGTAAGTTACATGACTAAAAAAAATCCCTAATGTTAATAGCTTTCTTGAAAATTAGAGGGGCTACTTTTTTTAAATTTAACCGTATCTAGAGATCAATTCTGAGTTTTACGTGCCATATTTTAACAAAAACATGAACAAAACAGAAATCAATAACAGAAATGTAACCAAAATGATGAAGAATTTAAGAAGCCATTTATTCACACATTCATACAACAAATGTGTATTAGCTCTTAACAATGTGTCAGGGAATGCTCCAGGCAACAGATTTATAAAAATAAAACAAACAAAGTCTAACTAAAATTTTAAAGGAGGATAGAGACAAAAAATAAAGAAGATGCCAAGCATAAAGTGAGATAATAATGAGTCCATAAGCGGCTGAAAGAAGAGCAAGGTGATGGAGTGTTCATTAAATATAGCAGTCAGTTCAGTATGACTGTTTCTCTGTTCAGTATGATGTTTGCTGTGGGTTTGTTGAATGCAGCATTTATTGTTTTGAGGTATATTCCCTCTATGCCTAGTTTTTTGAGGATTTTTACCATGAAACAATGCTAAATTTTATCCAATACTTTTTCATCATCTACTGAAATGATCATGTGATTTTTTTCTTTACTCTATTAATGTGCTGTGTCACATTTATTGCTTTGCATATGTTGAACCATCCTTGCATCCCTGCTATAAAATCCACTTGATCATGGTGCATTATCTTTTTGATGTGTGTTGGATTCTGTTTACTAGTATTTTGTTAATGATTCTGGTGTCTATTTTCATCAGGGATATTGGTCTCTAGTTTTCTTTGCAGCATACTTGTCTGGTTTTGGTATCAGAGTGATACTGGCTTCATAGGATGATTAGGCAAAAATCCCTCCTTGATTGTTTAAAACAGTTTCAGGAGGATTGATATTAGTTCTTTTTTGTATGGCTGGTAGAAGTTGCCTATGAATCTGTCTGGTCCTGGGCTTTGCTGTGTTGGGATTTATTTATTTATTTATTTATTTTATTTTATTTTTTTGAGACAGAGTCACGCTGTGTCGCCCAGGCTGGAGTATAGTGGCACAATTTCGGCTCACTGCAACTTCTGCCTCTCAGGTTCAAGCAATTCTCCTGCCTCAGTCTCCTGAGTAGCTGGGATTACAGGGGCCCGCCACCATGCCTGGCTAATTTTGTTCATATTTTAGTAGAGACAGGGTTTCACCATGTTAGTCGGGCTGGTCTCGAGCTCCTGACCTTGTGATCCACCTGCCTTGGCCTCCCAAAATGCTGCGATTACCTGGGATTTTTTTTTAATTACTAATACAATCTTACTACTTGTTTTTGGTCCCTTCAGGCTTTCTATTTCTGGTTCAGTCTTGGAAGGTTGTATGTTACCAGGAATTGATTCATTTTCTCTAGGTCTTGTAGTGTTTCAGCATGTATTTGTTCATGATAGTCTCTAATGATCTTTTGTATTTCTGTGGTATCAGTCTCCTTTTCATTTCTGATTTTATTTGGGTCTTCTCTCTTCTTGGTTAGTTTTGCTCTGACCTTTGTCATTTCTTGTTTTCTGTAATTTTGGGTTTAGTTTGCTCTTGCTTTTTCTAGTTCCTTGAGGTGCATCATTTGGTTGTTAAATTGTAACCTTTCTACTTTTTTGATGTAGACATTTAGTGCCGTAAACTTCCCAGTTAACAATACTTTTGCTGTTTTCCACAGGCTTTGGTATGTCGTATTTCAGTTTTCATTTATTTTAATTATTTTACATTTCCATCTTAATTTCATCACTGACCCACTGATCATTCACGAGCATGTTTAAGGATTCACAATTTCACCAATCCTGTTCATAGTATTAGAAATCCTAGCCAGAGCAATCAGGAAAGATCAAAAAAGAAAAGACATCCAAATTGAAAAGAAGTTCAGATGGTTGTAGATGTCCAGTCTTATTTCTGAATTCTCTATTCTGTTCCATTGGTCTATGTGTCTGTTTGCAACATAGATGGAGCTGGAAGCCATTATCCTCAGAAAACTAAGGCAGGAACAGAAAACCAGACACTGCATGTTCTCACTTATAACGGTAGCTGAATAATGAGAACACATGGACACAGGGAGGGGAACAATACACACTGGGGCCTGTCAAGAGGTGGGCTGGGGGGAAGGAGAGCATTAGGAAAAATAGCTAATTCATGCTGGGCTTAATACCTAGGTGTGATGGGTTGATAGGTGCAGCAAACCACCATGGCACACGTTTACCTATGTAACAACCCTGCACATCCTGCACATGTATCCCAGAATGTAAAATAAAAATTAAAAGAAAAAAGAAAAAGAAAAACAGAGTAGAAGAAGTAAAGTTACCTCTGTTTGTTAATAATGTGATCTTGTATTTAGAAAAAAAGCTAAAGATTCCACCAAAAAACTCTTAGATTTAATACATGAATTTAGCAAAGTTGCAGGATAAAAAAATTAATGCACAAAAATTATTAGCACTTCTATATACCAATATTGATCTAGGTGAGAATGAAATCAAGAAGTCAATCTTATTTATAATAAATCCAAAAAATTAAATATCTAGGAATACATTTTACCAAGGAAGTGGAAGATCTCCTCATGGAAAACTACCAAACACTGATGAAAAAAATTGTAGATGACACAAACAAATGAAAAAACATGCTCACACATTGCAAAACATTAATATTATTAAAATGACCACACTGCCGAAAGCAATCTATAGATTTAATACAATCCCTATCAAAATACCAGTGTCGCTTTTAACAGAATTAGAGAAAATCATCCAAAAATTCATATGGAAAAAAACAAGGGCCTTGATAGCCAAAGCAATCTTAAGCAAAAAGAACTAAACTTGAGGCATTACATTACCTGACTTCAGATTATATTTCACAGGCTTATAATAATAAAAACAGAATGACACTGGTATAAAAATAGACACCAAGAGCAGTGGAACAGAATAGAGAACCTGGAAATAAAGCCAAATATTTACAGACAACTGATTTTTGGGAGCCAACAAGAACATACATTGGGTGAAGGACACTCATTTCAACAAATGCTTCTGGGATAACTGGATTGACACATGCAGAAAAATGAAACCAGACCCTTAGCTGTCACCATATACAAAAAAAAAAAAAAACAACTCAAGGTGGATTAAAGACTTAAACATAGTACCCAAACCTATAAAAATACTAGAAGAAAACCTAGGAAAAACTCTTTTGGAAATTCATCTTGGAAAATAATTTATCGCTAAGACCTCAAAATCACAGACAACAAAACAAAAATAGATAAAAGTGACTTAAATAAACTAAAATATTTCTGCACAGCAAAATAAATAATCAGGAGAGTAAACAGACAACTCGCAAAATGGGAGAAAATATTTTCAAACTCTTCATCCAACAAGGAACTAATATCCAGAACATACAAGGAACTCTAACTATTCAACAGGAAAAAATATCTTAATCCCATTAAAAATTGGGCAAAAACATACATAGACATGAATAGACATTTTTTTCTGAAGAAAACACACAAATTACCAAAAGGCATAAGAAAAAATTTTCAACATCATTAATAATCAGAGAAGTGCCAATTAAAACAATATGAGATATCACCTTATCTCAGTCAGAATAATGATTATGAAAAAGATTTTTTAAAAATAACAGATGTCAGAATACAGAGAAACACTTGTAAACTGCTGGGAGGAATGTAAATTAGTACAACCTCTATGGAAAATAGTATTTAGCTCTCAAGGAACTAAAAATAGAACTACCATTCCATCCAGCAGTCCCACTACTGGGTATCTCCCCAAATGAAAGGAAATCAATATATCAAAAAGATACCTGCACTCAAATGTTTATTGCAGCACTATAAACAATAGCAGAGATATGGAATCAAGTTAAGTGTCCATCAACAGATAGACAGATGTGTGTATATACATTAACATCTATGTGTGTGTGTATATACATATACACACTGAATATCCCATTCATATATATATACACACACACTGAATATCCCATTCATACACACACACACACACACACACACACACACACACACTAGAATACTATCCAGTTACAAAAATAGTAAAATCATTTCTTTTTGCAGCAACATGAATGGAACTGGAGGAAATTAAGTGAAACAAGCTAGACATGGAAAGACAAATATTGCATGTTCTCACCATAAGTAGGTGTTACAAAAGATGTACATATGGATGTAGAGAGTGTCTGTATCAGACAATGGAGACTCAGAAGGGTGAGGATGAGAAACTACTTAATGGATGCAATACACATTATTCAGGTGATGGATGCCCTGAAAGCCATGACTTGACCATAACACATGTAACAAAATTGCACTTGTGCCCGGTAAATTTATGTACAATAAATAAATAAATATAGTGGGCAGGTAGTGTCTCTGGTGATGTTATAATTGAGTGTAAGTCTACAGAAAGAGATTGCATGGCATATACAGATGTTTGTGGAAAGAGAGTTTCAAGCAGAGAAAACTATAAATGGAAAGTCCCTGAAGTAGAAGTGTTCTTAGAATGTTCTAAAAATAGAAAGGAAGCTTATTTGGCTGCAATTGATTGAGCAAGGGAAGAAAAAATGGCTGAAGGAATCTACCATTTAGGCAGGGTACAGATATTATAGGCCCATTCAGACTAGGCAAAGAACCTTAGATTTTATTTTAAATATCAGTATAGGGTATTAGATGGTTGTATATATGTGTGTGCATATTTTACTGCATTATATCACAATGATCTTGCACTTAGCTGTAACAGAAATCTGACAACCTGGACGTATGAAAGTAGGGGTGTGACTTTCTTAAGTAATCTGAAATGCAGACTTACACTGTTGAAGACTGATGTAGCAATTTGAATTTAACATGTCTCTCCAGCTTCTTCTATCTTTCCACTCTGCCATCATTAATGTGTAGCTTTTGTCCTCATGTTTGCCTCCTGTTACGAAGTGCGTGATTGTGTATACCTAAAGTTCATATGTTCAAATCCTAACTCCCAATGTGATGGTATTAGAAGGCAGGATCTTTGGAGTCGATTACATCATAAGGGTGGAGAACTTATGAATGGAATTAGTGCCCCTACAAAAGAGACTAGAGAGCCTTGTCCCTTCTACCATGTGAGGATACTAAAAGAGGGTGGCTAAGACCCAGGAAGCATGCCCTCACTAGACACTGAATCTGCAGACTCCTTGGTCTTGACCTTCTCAACCTCCAGAACTCTGAGAAATACATCTTTAAGCCACCCAATTTGTGGTAGTTTGTCATAACAGCCCAAACAGACGAAGATAACCTCCTCATGGTCACAAAATAGCTACTCCTTTTTCAACTTTACATTTCTTTTCAAAGCAGGAAAGGTAAAGACATAAATGGGTAAAGAAAAATAAACCAAAGAGTGATGTGTGAAAAGGGTATTATCTTTCACAAAAAATTTCTGTTACTCTACATGACAACTTCCTCTCACATTTTATTGATTTGAACTGGATCACATGGCTCCCTGCAGCTGCAATTGAAATTGTAGAGATGATAATTTTATCTGGATATATTTTCATACTAAATAATGTTCTTTTAGTAATAAAGAAGGGGAGAATGTATATTTTGTAAACTATGCATAGTATCTAACTAGTCTGCTGTAGGAGATTACAGGAGACTATTGCAAGAGTCCAGTCAAGAATTAATGGTGGCTAAGACAAAGATGGTAGTGAGGAAGTAAGGAATGATTAGAATAGGGCTAGATTTTTGGGTGGGTGCGGTGGCTCAAGCCTGTAATCCTAGCACTTTGGGAGGCTGAGACAGACTGACCGCCTGAGCTCAGGAGTTCCAGACCAGCCTGGGCAACGTGGTGAAACCCCGTCTCTACTAAAAATACAAAAAATTAGCCGGGTATGGTGGTGCGTGCCTGTAATCCCAGCTAGTTGGGAGGCTGAGGTACGAGAATCACCTGAATCCAGGAGGTGGAGGTTGCAGTGAGCCGAGATCTCATGACTGCACTCCAGCCTGGGCGACAGAGTGAGACTCTGTCTCAATAAAAAATAAAATAATAATAATAAAGGCCAGTCGCGGTGGCTCATGCCTGTAATCCCAGCACTTCGAGAGGCCGAGGCGGGCGGAATGCCAGAGGTCAGGAGTTCAAGACTAGCCTGGCCAACATGGTGAAACCCCGTCTCTACTAAAAATACAAAAATTAGCCGGGTGTGGTGGCAGGCGCCCATAATCCCAGCTACTTGGGAGGCTGAGGTAA
Organism: Homo sapiens; assembly: GCF_000001405.40. Classification (NCBI taxonomy): domain Eukaryota; kingdom Metazoa; phylum Chordata; class Mammalia; order Primates; family Hominidae; genus Homo; species Homo sapiens. The sequence continues at coordinate 104,189,990 of NC_000004.12, read as the reverse complement.
GAGAATCATTTGAACCCGGGAGGCAGAGGTTGCAGTGAGCTGAGATCGTACCATTGCACTCCAGCCTGGGTGACAAGAGCGAGACTTCGTCTCATAAAAATAAAAATAGAGATAGATTTTCAAGGTAGAAACTACAGAGCCCATTGATGAGTGTGCTTGGTGGGAAATAATAAATTAACAAAAATGCATTAAAAGAATTTGGCAATTTAAGCCTTATAAATGGTTAATTGTTGTGACATACAATTTACTTAAATGTATATCCCTAGAGAACTATGTTTTGGAAGTAAGGAGAAAACAAAGATTTCAATTGGGATATGTTATCCTGACATTCTATTAGATATTTAAGTAGAGAATCAGAATTTAAGATTTGCTGGGACTAGATGTATTAATTTTGGGACAAATAGCCATTAGCAGAATTTATAAAGCAATGAGATATGAAAAAAATTACCAGGGTTGTGAGACTAATTTAAAAAAATAATCGGTCCAAGGAATGAGACATCAGGCACATGTCTATAAGAAAAGATTGAAAAGAGGAGGGCTTTGCAAAAGAGACTGAGGAAGAGTATCTGGTCAAATAGAAAGAAAACCAGTAATGCATGATACACCATACCAAAACAAAATAATAATCTAAGAAAGAGTAATTAATTTAGTCAAATGCTGTTGATAGGTTAAGTAAAAAAAAACTAAACATTGGCCACTGGTTTTCACAAAATCGGGGTCATTGGTGACCCCCAAAATATGATACAGACACAAACAATAACTATTTTAATGAGTGAATTATCTAATAAAATGTTCTAAACCACTTTTTTTTTGTGGTTCTAGAGGAAATAACCAAGGAGTAAAAAATATATAGCTCAGTGGTAATTAGATATTCTTACAAATAAAAATAGAAGATCTGGCTCATAAGAAGGCGACTTTATCATAATTACAAGTATAGCAGATTTCATAAACTTCATGACAGGGACAAAGATGGGAGGGTTTCCTTAGAGAGTCAGATTAGAAGACACAAGTTATACTCTGAGCTTTTATGATTAATTTGTGCCAGTGCCTCATGTTTCTGCCATGTCTCCTTCAAAAAAAATAATTACTCTCCCTCTGTCACTCTGCTTTAGATAGAGAATGTCTTTTATCGTTTACAATTAAAGCATAATGTATACATTAGTCCAAATTAAAAAAAAAATGTGTTAAGAAAAAACAGCTCAAATATACACACACAGAGAGAAAAAAAAGTCACCAAAGTGTTACAGATATGAAAACTTAAAATGGTCTTGGGGAATTTTTACCAGTTTCAAGTGCAAAAATAATTTGCTAAAAATGCAGAAGCCTTTATTTATTTCAAAAGAAGTGATGAGATTGAGGGAGAAGAAGAGAGAAAGAAAGCAAAGGGGATAGGCTGAATGCTGCTTTTAGCCTTGACAATTTCTCTGCAGGGTGTGGGTCAGAATTTTATCTATTTAAACTGCATGGTAAGTCACTCTGGGGAAGATCTGTGATGCATAACACGTTGTAAATCCTCCACCTGCTGCCTAGAAAAATATAACCTAATAAAAACTGCTTGATACATAATTTGGCACCCCATTGCTTAATTGCAGATAAAGGATAAATGGATAGGAGCAGATTACTATTATTTAACATTTATTAAGCACCCACAGTGTACCTGGTATTCTATAAAACACAGATGAATACACCACTTCCTACTTTCAAACTTTGATTTCAAGCATAATCATGTATACACAGAGATTTCTTAAAATATCACCTCATGCTCCATACTTAAGTTTCTCTCGTTCATGTATCTATGTATATATACATACCATACATTTTTATGTATTGATATATACATACTTATGTATATATGTATATTCAGAGATACATTTTAAAATATTACCTCCAGATATATGCTTAAGCCCCTCTCTAATACACACCCACAACACACACACACACCCACAACACACACACACACACATAAACACACACACATTTTTGCCTTTATGTAGAAAATGCAAAAATAAATGGTAGAAAGTATAGGTAATTTGAACTGAGAAAGCCAATAGCATAAAGTAGCTGAAGTTGGGAGATATGAGAGGAAGGAGTACAGAAAACATGTGTCTCTGCAAACAACTATAATCAAATTAATATAAATTAATTCCCCAAGCTTCCATGGGACTCTGTGTGTATGTGTATGCATATATAATATTTCATTTTGTGTTAGAAAAAGTAGTGTAATGTAGAAAGAACAAACGGAATTTAAAATGACAAGATTAAGGGGTGATAATTTATTCAAGAGTTTAGGTAACATGTATGAGAGAAAGTGATTGGAGTGATAAAAATTGGAAGGAAAAGGGATTAAAATGATTTAAAAAACACAGCAAAACAGTGTAACATAAGTGAAATCTCTCCTCTGCCTTCATATTTCTGCTGTGAGAATTCTCTTCCTATTATTAATATTTCCTTTGTTTCTTCATCATCATCATTATTGCCATTACAATAAATGATGCTGTAGCTGCAGACCTATGTGGTATGTCGTTGGTCACGACACACTGTCGAAAACCATGCATGTGAAAACACAAACACACACCGAAACATGTGCACATTATCATTTAGATTTTCAGCACTTTATTTTTCTTGAAGGGGTTTTGTTTCACATTAATTCCAACAGCGACAGTTCAATATTTGCTGAACACTTACATTGTACCACATGTTGATGAGGCTCTTAAGATGTGAAGAAGAATATGTAAAAAAGGATACAAAGACCCCAGCCAGTAGAAATTTATAGTCTAAAAGAGGACACAGAAATAGTGACAGAAGATCTGAGAAGTACCATGGTAAAAGTATGTTTAAAGTGTTTGGGGCGACAAAAGTGAACACTTAATTCTACCCAGGGTTTGGGGGAAAGATTCTCCTCTGATTATATAAATCAAATCTATCCTCATTGAGCAGTGAAGGAGCAAGAAATGAAGCTCTCTTAGATAATATTTGTATACAGACTATTTGGCAACTGATGATAGATTATTTTGTGGATATTTCTTGCATTATTATTTTGTGTGGTTTGCTGGTTTGGACTGTTTTTATGCTGTAGTTCCCAACTCTGTAGCAAGCTCCTTGTGCCTTGCATACAGATATTTGTCTAATGACAATTTCAGTTGTAAAACAGAAAGACATTGATATAAAGCCTGTGTCTTCATTCACCCCATTCCCAACTAGGCACTTCCTTGTCTGAGATTCTAAAGTGCTTTGTAATACCCCTAAGAAGAACTTGTCATTTTTATTTTTAAATTCAGGTTTATATATCTGACACACCCAGGCTAAGCTCCTTGATGCAATGGACTGGGTTTTATGCTTGGCACCTAGGGTAGGGTTGCAGATTTAGAAATTCAGTATACAGGATGCCCAGTTAAATTTGAAGTTAAATAATACTAATTTTTAATATATATATATATCTCCAAAACATTACATGGATATACTTATGTATTACACTAATATTTAAACCAATGCTTATATATTTCTAGTCATACTGAAAATATTTATTGCTTACTAAAATTCAAATTTAACCGTATTTAATTTGGCAACCCTATGTAAGGATAACCGCAAAAGTATCACTGTGGTAGATGAAAATATTTTTCTTCCTTTTTGTGCTTTGTTCAGGCTGCTCATCATGTCTCTCTGAATTGGAGCGTGAGGCAGATCATGACACTATGGTCACTCTGCTGTCGAAAGGGATTTTGGATTTATAGCTGTGCAAATTCCACTGGAAAGCTTGGGGTTATATCCACAGTAAACCACAGGGATGCTGCACTGACTGTGTGCTTCCTATAGTACTATGGGCTCAGTGTGACCATTGGCTCAGAACCATGAGGGCAGCTCTAAAAGATCATGGGGAGGCAGAGGACTGGGGATAGCTTTCAGCTTTGGAGAGAGCAAGGGAGACTTTTCAGACTAAAGAAACCCTTTGATAACCATCTTCTCTCTTTAGGGAGAGGTTTTTATAGTTCAGTTTTACTATTTAGAAATCACCTCAAGTTCCACTCTAATGTGATGTTAAATTTGATAATTTAAAAGGGAATGTGATACAGTGAACAACAAATACAGTACTGGACTCAAACAGAAATGGGTGTGAGCTCCAGCACTGCTCAGATTAGCTGTGACGGCAGTCTCAAGAGGACACAAGGTAGCTTTAGCTTGACCCCACAGATAACTGCATTCACCATTCTCTCATTCTTTAATATTATCTAGGGAATTACATACTGTGCAGTTGCAGGCCCCATCTTCCAACTAGGCTTGACACTTACAATACAGAATTCTGGAGCCACCACTGATGTTACGAGTTCCTGAGCCTAGTCATCCTCTATGAAGCTTCCACATTTGTACATTGAATACATTATCACATATAGTGTGGAACTATTGTATAGCTTCAAGATAATAGATGTGATACACCTGCCACACACCAGGAACTTAACAAGTGTTGATTCTTATTATTATGTTTGTACCCTTATAGCATCTAGCTTTCTTTTTGTTTCTTCTCCATTTATGTGAGCTTCTTTTCACTATAGGTTCCTCTGCCATTGCAGCCCAGTGTGTCACAATGATTCTTCTCTTCAAGGGTTCAGTTTATATCTTCAGAAAGCCTAGTATATATTTCCCCATGTGTGAGCAGAAGCTCTTTCAATTTCAGAAAGAAAGAAGAGATTAGTGCTAGGCATCTAATTGCATGGATTCAGAGAGCAATAGAAAGTGAATGGTTTCTGATAAGATAACTGTAGCTGGCTACATATACACACACACACATAAAAAATGCTGCCAATACATGACATTGCAGTGTTATTTTTGCATCTTTTAAGGGGGAATTCACATTATATAGTGTTACAAATATGCTTTTGGTATGTAACTGGTATTCATTGTCTCAGGTAAGACAAGGTATCAACATCAGAGATAAAAATAAGACAATTCTACAAGGTAGAAAAAAATCTACCACTTAATAAATGCTAGTGTAATAATCATCTCGATGGATGAGGTGCTGGTGGGTTTCTCATCATATTTCATGAATCAGTATGTTGCTCCAGCTGTGGAGCTGTTTCTGAAATCAGCAGGCATTTTATAACCATCTTTTTTTTTATTATTATTATTATACTTTAAGTTTTAGGGTACATGTGCACAATATGCAGGTTAGTTACATATGTATGCATGTGCCATGCTGGTGTGCTGCACCCATTAACTCGTCTTTTAGCATTAGGTATATCTCCTAATGCTATCCCTCCCCGCTCCCCCCACCCCACAACAGTCCCCAGAGTGTGATGTTCCCCTTCCTGTGTCCATGTGTTCTCATTGTTCAATTCCCACCTATGAGTGAGAACATGCGGTGTTTGGTTTTTTGTCCTTGTGATAGTTTACTGAGAATGATGATTTCCAATTTCATCCATGTCCCTACAAAGGACATGAACTCATCATTTTTTATGGCTGCATAGTATTCCATGGTGTATATGTGCCACATTTTCTTAATCCAGTCTGTCATTGTTGGACATTTGGGTTGGTTCCAAGTCTTTGCTATTGTGAATAGTGCCGCAATAAACATACGTGTGCATGTGTCTTTATAGCAGCATGATTTATAGTCCTTTGGGCATATACCCAGTAACGAGATGGCTGGGTCAAATGGTATTTCTAGTTCTAGATCCCTGAGGAATCACCACACTGACTTCCACAATGGTTCAACTAGTTTACAGTCCCACCAACAGTGTCAAAGTGTTCCTATTTCTCCACATCCTCTCCAGCACCTGTTGTTTCCTGACTTTTTGATGATCGCCATTCTAACTGGTGTGAGATGGTATCTCATTGCGGTTTTGATTTGCATTTCTCTGATGGCCAGTGATGATGAGCATTTATGCATGTGTCTTTTGGCTGCATAAATGTCTTCTTTTGAGAAGTGTCTGTTCATATCCTTTGCCCACTTTTTGATGGGGTTGTTTGTTTTTCTCTTGTAAATTTGTTTGAGTTCATTGTAGATTCTGGATATTAGCCCTTTGTCAGATGAGTAAGTTGTGAAAATTTTCTCCCATTTTGTAAGTTGCCTGTTCACTCTGATGGTAGTTTCTTTTGCTGTGCAGAAGCTCTTTAGTTTAATTAGATCCCATTTGTCAATTTTGGCTTTTGTTGCCGTTGCTTTTGGTGTTTTTGACATGAAGTCCTTGCTCATGCCTATGTCCTGAATGGTATTGCCTAGGTTTTCTTCTAGGGTTTTTATGGTTTTAGGTCTAACATGTAAGTCTTTAATCCATCTTGAATTAATTTTTGTATAAAGTATAAGGAAGGGATCCAGTTTCAGCTTTCTACATATGGCTAGCCAGTTTTCCCAGCACCATTTATTAAATAGGGAATCCTTTCCCCATTGCTTGTTTTTGTCAGGTTTGTCAAAGATCAGATAGTTGTAGATATGCAGCCTTATTTCTGAGGGCTCTGTTCTGTTCCATTGATCTATATCTCTGTTTTGTTACCAGTACCATGCTGTTTTGGTTACTGTAGCCTTGTAGTATAGTTTGAAGTCAGGTAGCGTGATGCCTCCAGCTTTGTTCTTTTGGCTTAGGATTGACTTGGTGATGCCGGCTCTTTTTTGGTTCCATATGAACTTTAAAGTAGTTTTTTTCCAATTCTGTGAAGAAAGTCATTGGTAGCTTGATGGCGATGGCATTGAATCTATAAATTACCTTGGGCAGTATGGCCATTTTCACGATATTGATTCTTCCTACCCATGAGCATGGAATGTTCTTCCATTTGTTTGAAGCAACTTTTTTTTTTTAAGAGATGGAAACCCTGGGGTTAAACACCATTTGACTTGTGAGTGGGTTTCACAGAGTGAATAGTCTTACATTTTAGTTTTGGGACAACCATTCCAGTGTGGATTATAGGAAAAGATACCTAAACTTTTTATGAGAAAATTTCCATTCTCATTAAATAATAGAGAAATGAATGTTGTTTGCCATATGAGTGATAACTTTTGATGTGCTGTATACATGCAAATTTCTTAGATGATTAAATATAAGGGATTTCAACATTCTGTTCATCTCTTAAATTTCAGCCATGAAGAGGAATCTAAAGTAATGTGGTTAACCACTTATTTTCACTGTTTTTGAAGGGGCCACATTTGTGGGTTTCTTTTAGCTCCTCTTGATACATTTATTGATCTCCACATCATTAATTAGAAATCAACATGTGAATGCAACACATGAATATTTATCACGATTTATTTAATTAATATTACCAAACAGAAAACATATGAAACTTTCAATAAGTGAAGCTTTCTCCATCTTGGAAAATGATCTTGTGTTGTAGGTTACTTATATTACTTAATGAGTTTAAATGAGTACTTCACAATTTATTTGACCTATTATAAGTCAATTATAATATGTCAAATTTATAATTGATATAATTTATAATATTTATATAAGTCAATATAACTGATGTATATACATGTATGTGCATATGTATTTATAAATAGATATACATTTATATATTAATATGCCTATACATAAATTTTTATATTACCTATACATCTATTTTTCTTCTAGAAGAAGTTCACATAACTAGAATAAGTTAGGAAGAAAACCTTTCCTCCAGAAAGAAAATTTCCTAGAAGAAAAATAGATGATGAGAAAGTTGAGTTAAATATAAATATATATGTATATGTAATATACACATGCACACACACAAGTTCACACTTGTTTCTTCTGTGAAATAGAACAATTCTGCATTTCATTTTTCTCATCTATAAATTTAGTGTTATAGTAGCATATATCATATTAAATAAATATTAAGTAAAAATTAAATTGTTTAAAACCTGTAAAGAATATAGAATAGTGCATGGCACATATTAAAACAACACAATTTTAGCTGTTTCTCCATCTAGTAAAGTTTACTTGGTTCATGCCATCCAGGTGAAATGTGTCTTTTCCTTTAATATGACACAGATGATCCCAGCTTCCCTGGAGCTCCTTCAGCAATTCCTACCAGTCACATGGCACTTTTAATAATTCTCTATATTGTAGTAATTTGTGTATAAGTTCTGTCCTATCTCTCTTGATCTCTATGATGGTAGGTCTATGTATTAATAATTTCAGTACTCTTTAACAATTATTTTGGATGTATACCCAGAAGTTGAATTGCTGGATCATATGGTAATTCTATTTTCAGTTTTTTGAGGAACGTCCATACTATTTTCTATAATGGTTGTACTAATTTACACTCTGACCACCAGTGTGCAAAGATTCCCTCTTCACATCCCCACCAACATTTGTTATCTTTTGGCTCTTTTATATTGACCATTCTCACAAGTGTGAGGTGATCTCATTGTGGTTTTGATTTGCATTTTTTTGATGATTCCTGATGTTGAGCATTTTTTCATATACCTGTTGGCTAGTTATCTGTCCTCTTTTGAGAAATGTCTATTCAGGTTCTTTGTCTATTTTTTAATTGGATGATTTGTTGTCTTGCTATTGAGTTGTTTAAGTTTCTAATATATTGTGGATATTACCCTTTGTCAACTGTATGATTTGCAAATATTTTGTCCCATTCTGAAAGTTGCTTTTTGTTCTCTTAAGTGTTCCTTTTGTTGTGCAGAAGATTTTTTAGTATGATGTAATTCCACTTGCCTATTTTTCTATTGTGCTTCGGGGTCACGTTAAAAAATTATTGTCTAGATCAATGTCATGGACCTCTTCTCCTATGTTTTCTTCTAGTGGGTTTATAGTTTCAGGTCCTACTTACATTCAAATCTGTAATCTGTTTTGATAGAATTTTTATATATTATGTGGGATAAGGGTCTAATTTCATTCTTCTGCATGTGAATATCCATTTGTTTTAGCATCATTTATTGAAGAGACTGTCCTTGCCCCATGTGTGCCGTTGGCGCCTTTGTTGAAAATCAATTGCCCATAAATGTGCAGTTTTATTTCTGGGTCTTCAATTCTGCTTTATTTCTCAATGTATCTGTTTTTATTCCAGTACCAATATTTCACTATGCTGTTTTATTAAAGCTTTCAGTATATTTTGAAGCCAGATAGCATACAGTATTGTTCTTTTTGCTACAAGATAGCCTACAGTATTGTTCTTTTTCCTACAGTATTGTTCTTTTTGCTCAAGGTTGCCTTGGCTATTAGGAGCTTTTGTGGTTCTATATAAATTTTAGAATAGTATCTATTTCTGTGAAATATGTAACTGGAATTTTGATAGGGAGTGTGCTAAACCCATAGATTGCTTTGGGTAGCATGGGCATTTAACAATATTAATTGCACCAGTCAATAAACATAGGTTATTTTTCTATTTATTTGTGTCTGCTTCAATTTATTTTATCAATGTTTTATCATTTTCCATGTACAGGTCTTTCACCTCTTTGGTTAAATTTATTTCTAAATTTATTCTTTTTGATACTATTGTAAATAACATTGTTTACTTGACTTATTTTTCATATAGTTTATTGTTAGTATATAGAAAAAAACTGACTTTTGTATGTTAGTTTTGTTTCCTCAAACACTACAGAATTTGTCTATTAGTTCTAACAGGTTTTTGGTGGAGTATTTAGGGATTTCTATATATAAGATTATGTCTTCTGCAAATAATGACAATTTAGCTTCTTGCTTTCCAATTTGAATGCCTTTTACTTTTTTTTCTCTTGACCTATTGCTGGCTAGTACTTACACTACTATGTTGAATAAAAGTGGTGAGAGTGAGTGATATGGCTTGTCTGTGTCTCCACCCAAATCTCATCTTGAATTGTAGTCCCATAATCCCCACGTGTCATGGGAGAGACCTGGTGGGAAGTAATTGAATCATGGGGGCAGGTTTTCCCATGCTGTTCTCATGATAGCGAGTAAGTCTCATGAGATCTGCTGGTTTTATAAAGGGCAGGTCCCTTGAACACACTCTCTTTCCTGCCACTATGTAACACGTGCCTTTCCTCCTCCTTCACCTTCTGTCACAATTGTGAGGCCTCCCCAGCCATGTGCAACTGTGAGTCCATTAAACCTCTTTTTCTTTGTAACTTACCCAGCCTTGAGTATTTCTTCATAGCAAGATGAAAATGGACTAATACGGTGGACATTATTATCTTTTTAATCTTATAGAAAAAGCTTTCAACTTTTCACCGTTATGATGTTAGCCATGGAATTGTCACATATAACCTTTATTGTGTTGAGGTGCACTCCTTATATACCTAATTTGAATAGAGTTTCTGTCATGAAAGGTTGTTGAAATTTGTAAAATACGTGTCTGTAACTATTGAGATGATCATATGGCTTTAGTCCTTCATTCTGTTATTGTGGTGTATCACATTTATTGATTTGTATATGTTGAATTATTCTTGCGTCCCTAGGTTAAGTCCCACTTGACCATGGTGAATGATCTTTCTAATGGGCTATTAAATTTAGTTTGCTAGTATTTTGCTGAGAATGTTTGCATCTACATTCAATAGGAATATTGGCCTATAATTTTCTTTTTTTGTAGTGTCTTTCTGGGGCTTTGGTATCAGGGTATGCTAGGGTCGTAAAATGAGTTTGAATATACTCTCTCTTCTTCATTTTTTGGAAGAGTTTGAGAAATATTTGTATTATTTCTTCTTTACATGTTTGATAGAATTCAGCAGTGAGGCCATTAGATCCTGGACTTTTCTTTGATGGGAGACTTTTTGTTACTGATTCAATCTTGTTACTCATTATTGTCTGTTTAGATTTTCTATTAATGATTTAGTCTCGGTAGGTTAATGTGTCTAGGACATAATAAATTTCTTCAGATCTACTAATTTGTTTGTATATAATTAATTGCTCATGGTTGTCTCATGAATTTGATATTTCTGTGGCATTTGTTGGAATGTCTCATCTTTCAATTCTTATTTTCTTTGAGTTTTTCTCTTTTTTCTTAATTGGTAGCCTAAGATTTATCAATTATATCTTTTTAAAAACTATTAGTTCTATTAATCTTTCTATTGTTTTTCTGTCTCCATTTCATCTATTTCTATTCTGATTTTTATTGTTTCCTTCTTTCTACTCACTCATACTTAGGCTTAGTTTGCTCTTCTTTCTAGTCCTTTAAAGTATACTGTTAAGTTGTTTATGTAAGATTTTTCTTCTTTTTTGCTGTTGATATTTTTTGTATTTTTTATATTTTAAGAAAAAGTTTAAACATTTATTCCAATATTTTTAGTTATCCTTAATGAGAAAGTTGGTGTAGACTATATAGCTGGACATTAATGAAATCAAAATTAAATGATTAATTTGCACTTTCACAGCATCTTATAAAATTTGAGTAACAAGATTCATGTTTATCATTTTTTTGAACACAAAATTGGTTCTCAAAAGAGCAATGTAAGTTTTTCAAATTGCATTCACTCAATTAAATTCAAGCCTTTATTTGGGCAATCATTACTGCTTCCCTAGGACAGCATGTGCTTTTTTCTGGCATCTATTACACTATTCCCTTTCATAATTTGTTATTGAAGTGTAATATGTGAAAAGACAATACACACACATACACATACAAACATTAATAAAGCTTGATGGATTTTTACAAACTTAACAGATGAAGTCAGTCACCAGCATCCAGATCAATAAACCAACCATTACTAGAGTCCTAGAACAACTTCCACAGTCCCTTCCTGCCACCATTCCATGCAAAGTGTCAGCACTAGCCTGATTGAAATATAATACATTAGTTTTTTCAATCTTTGTAGTTTAAGTGAATTTAGAATATGACCTCATTTTTTGTAAGTTTCTTTTGCTTAATATTTAATTTTTGAGATTTTCTCTGCTTTTGTGTAGTGATAAGTTGTTTATTTGCATTTCTACATTATTTTTCATTCTGTGAATTTGCCACAACTTCTTTATCCATTTTACTGTTGAAAAAAATTTGAATAGTTTGTAGTTTCTGCCTACATGTTTATTATTGTGTTTTGATGAACATATGTGCCCTTTTCTGTTAGGGATAGACTTAAGAGTGAGATTTCTCATTCAAAGTATGCATATATTCATGTTGAGTAAGTACTATTTTGTAACATGGTCATACACATTTACCTATTTGCATGCAGTGCATGAGAGCCTAATTGCTCCATATTCTCACACACACTGGTATTTTTTAAAATTATTTCAAGCCATACTAGTGATTTTAATTGGAATTCCCCTGATGAGGTTGAGAATTTTTCTTGTATTTGAAGATGATTTAGACACCCTCTTCTTTAAAGTATATTGTTGAGAATTTTGCCCATTTCTTACTAGATGTCCACTTTCGAGTAGCTAACAGGAATTTTTTTTTTTTTTACATACTGTGGATATAAGACCTTTTTCAGATATATGTACAATGAGTATCTTTTCCCAAATTGTGAGTTGTCTTTTCACTTTTTAATTGTGTCTTTTGGTTAACAGAAGTTTTAAAGTTTTATCGTAGTTCACTGTGTTATTTTTTCTTTTAAATTTACAATCTTTGTGCCTTCTTTAAGAAATTATTCCTACTCCAAGATCATGACTATTTGTATTAAAAAAATCTTTATTGTTTTGTTCATATTCATATTTGCAATATGTAATGTTTTTATTTTTGTGATGTGTGAAGTAGGGTTCAAGATTTTTTTTTCAAATAAATGTTGAGTTAACCCAGCTTCAATTATTAATACGATCAGAAATTTTCCACTATGCTGCAGTGGTAGCTTTTTCATGTATGAGGTAACTCTCTATATTTGGAATTTCTTTTGAACTCTCTTTTCTGTCCTTTGATTAGTGTTTGTATCCTTAATTACTATATTTTTATACCAAGTCTTTTTAAATGTGATATTGTAGGTTCTCCAAATTTTTCTTCAAGATTGCTGTGGCTGTTCTTGGGCCTTTATGTTTTCCAAAACATTTTTGTAAATAATTTACCACTTCCACAGAAAAAAATAAAACTGCTAAGATTTTTGTTAGAAATATGTTGAATCTGAAGATTAATTTGGAAAGGTCTGAAATTTCTAATATAGAAAACTTTCTAATCCATAAACGTGCTGTATCTTTCAATTTAAGTCTTTATATTTTCTCCAGAAATTTTGTATTCTCTCATATGAAGTTCTGCATACTTTTGTTAAATTTTTTCCAAAGTATTTGGCACCATTTAATTTTATTGAAATAGTATCATATTTTAATTATTTGTTTTGTGTTTATTGCTAGCATATGAAAATACTTTTTATATATTTAATTTTACCTAGCAATTTCGCTAAAGTTGCTTCTTTATTTTCGTAGCTTGCAGATTATCTTTGACTTTTATACATAATTATGTTACCTATGTATGAATACTTGAATAATCATGGGTGTGTTTGTTTTGGCATTTCTCATGCTGCAGTTCAGCTGGGGAACCTGTGTTCTACCTGTTTCTCATCTTCTTCTCAGGACCAGAGTGCTACCTGGTATGTTCTCATAAAAATGGCAGAGGCATAATAGATAATATTGCCAAATAAAATGCAGATAGATAAATCGTTTTGAAATATTTAGATCTTTGACACACTAAACCTATAGCTGACAGTTTTTCACTTTCTCCTTTTGACATAGCTACCCTCACTATCATTATACCTGTTTTGTCCACTGGGAAAGCTGTTTACCACCTTTTTAACAAGCTCTAAAACCATGTTTTCCCATTATTCATAAATATTTTGTTGAATTTCAGGTAAACAATGAATAAATTAGCATAAGTATATCCTACACATAGTATTAGTATGCCTCCATGCATTTTTAAAGCTAACTATTACAGTCCTAATACAGCAAGGAAAAATATGCAAGATTTGTTAAGACACACTTCCCTTCATTTCTATTGACCAAGAGTCACATGGCTGAACCTATAGGTAGGAGCTCGGAAATCTATTTTACCACTTTAATTGAGAAATTAAAGTCACATGGTTAAGGACCTTTGTTCACAGAGGAGTAAAGGCTTTGGGCCAATAATATAGTCAACTACATAGCCTGTTAGGTAAAAATGGGATTTAATGGAAGTTATAGAAATATTTAAAAATGTGTAATTAATTGAAAAATAAAATAAAAATTTAAAAAGCATAATTGAATGCTTATTGTGTGCCAGATTCATTTGTGCACATTCTTTACTTAATCATTCCAACAGCCCCTTAAGGTAGAAACTATTTTTAGGTGAACATACAGAGGCTGTTGAAGGTTGTATCAGTCCAGTTTCATACTGCTATAAAGAACTGCCTGAGATTGGGTAATTTTTAAAGGAAAGAGGTTTAATTGACCCACAGTTTGGCATGGCTGGGGAGGCCTCAGGAAACTTACAATCATGGTGGAAAGTAAAGAAGAAGCCAGGCACCTTTTACCTTTTTCACAAGGTTGAAGGAGAATTGCCAAGTGAAGGGGGGAAGAGCCCCTTATAAACCATCAGATCTTGTAAGAACTCACTCACCGTCAGGCGAACAGCATGGAGGAAACTGTTCCCATGATTCAATTACCTCCACCTGGTCTCTTCCTTGACACATGGAGATTATGGGGATTACAATTCAAGATGAGATGTGGTTGGGTACACAAAGCCTAACTATATCAAAGGTGTAGTGACTTGATCAAGATTAAATAACTTTTTATGGGGAGAAGTGGTCCTTTCTGCTCTCTGAGTTCAGAGTCTAAGCTTTTTAACTCTTAAGGATCTACCTTGAAATTGAATAAAAATATGTAGAGTTCATTTGGAAAAGAAAAAAGCCTTAAACAAAATATTGAATAATGATAGGAAAACATGATTTTACAGCTCATGAAAAAGGTGGAGAATAGCTTTCCCAGTGGACAAAACAGGTATAATAATAGTGACAGCAGTTATGTCAAAAGGAGAAAGTGAAAAACCGTGACCTATAGATTTAGTTTGTTAAGGATCTAAATATTTCAAAATGATTTATTTATTTATCTATTTATTTAATTTGCAGATGTATCACTCATTGGTTTTTCTATGTAGCAAAACTTACTCTTGAGAACTCATGAACTATGACTTCACCCACAAAGCCATATCTTTCAAGATTAATTTCCAGATTAACCGAACATATGCTACCTACCTATGTGATCACTATTTTCAAAATCAGTAGGCTTTCCTTTTAGACCTTATGAGCCATATTTTTTTGTAAGTTTATTGTTATAAAGTGTTGATGCCTATGCACTCTTATAATTGGGTCATGTTTTCTTCCCTTCTGGCCTACATAGGCAATAAAATAAATAACTATTTCACAGTTATCTATGTGCATCACATGTCTAATACATATCCCTCTATATTAATATTTGGCCCGCTAAAATAAATGAAAATTTACAGAGAAGATATATGAGGGAGAAATGGTTTCATGTTAAGTAACTTCAGTGGTTATGGATGTTGAAACTATGCTTGACTCTTCAGGTATTTGAAAACATGCAAGATCATTAAAATCATAGGATCTAAAATTGATTAAACAATAAGAAGCTTTGCCATCATTAATATTTCAAAACTCACAAATGGATAAAAAATTATTTAATCACTGGGTCAAAATGAGTATATTCTTCATCTAAAAATGTGTTTATAAATGATTCTGTGACCAGATAATATAATCTTTGGATCCTGTAAATATCCTGAGGGAGCAATAAATTATTTTGTGTATAATAAGTATGGAGAGAGTTTAATTCTGGGAATAATCAAGATCTGATTTATTAAGACAGGAAAGATATAGGGTATCTACATTTTCAACAAAAGTTATGTCCATTTAGTCCGTAATATCATTGTCTTAGGAGTAAGCTGTGCACTGTTGGAAAAATGAGAATGTCAAAATATCTCGTTAGACAATAATATTAATAACAAAATAATAATGACAGGAAAGTCTATCATGTATTAAACTTTGATAAGCCAGACGTTGTTAAATGTTTAATATACTACATTTTGTTAATTTTCAAATGGTCATATTTGTGTATTTTAATACCTACTGAAATAGATTCTTCTTAAAACAGATGACATCTTGCAGTCATTATATGCAAGACGAATTATTATCCATTTTACATCACCTGAACTTGTGCAAAATTTGCCATTACTGCTTAATATTTTTCTCATGTAAATCCATTGGTATTATGCAAGTTAAGCTTAATTGGTGTTTAAAGTGAATTCAAAATGTTGCATTGTGTTGAGTTATTGAAAGGCATTACATATGTAAAATGACACAGAAACAAAACAATGTGTGCAGTTAAACCTGGAACCTCAATTTGATAATGAAGCAAAATTCATCAGAGATATGATCACAATTCCGTATTTTCTTGAAAAGCTACAACAAATTCTCTCAGAATCAAAGAGAAGATACCCATGATTGCAATATTCTCTTTCATATATTGTTTCTGTGCTATGTGAGAAAGGATTACTTATCATGAAAAAAGCCCTATAACTAAAGTCAGGAGTACTACTAGTTCTCTTAAAATATCAGAAAGAAACTTGGAAGAAACCAGGGACAGATATGATTGATTTTTCCACAGAGAAAGAGCATATTAAGACATTGAGCATCTTTTAGCTCTTTGAGGAATTGCTACACTGCTTTCCACAATGGCTGAACTAATTTATACTCCCACCAAGAGTGTATAATTGTCCCCTTTTCTCCACAACCTCACCAGCGTCTGTTATTTTTTGACTTTTTAGTAATAGCCATTTTAACTGGTGTGAGATGGCATCTCATTGTGGTTTTGATTCGCATTTCTCTAATAATCAGTGATATTGAGCTTTTTTCATATGTTTGTTGGCCACATGTATGTCTTCTTTTGAGAAATACCTGTTCATTTCCTTTGCCCACTTTTTAATGGGGTTGTTTTTCTCTTGTAAATTTGTTTAAGTTCTTTATAGATGCTGGATATTAGACCTTTGTCAGATGCATAGCTTGCAAACATTTTATCCTGTAGTGAAGGTTGTTTTATACTCTGTCGATAGTTTCTTTTGCTGTGCAGAAGCTCTTAAGCTTAATTAGATCCCACTTGTCAATTTTTGCTTTTGCTGTAATTGCTTTTGGTGTCTTTATCATGAAATATTCGCCCGTTCCTATGTCCAGGATGGTATTGCCTAGGTTGTCTTCTGGGGCTTTTATAGTCTGGGGTTTTACTAAGTCTTTAATATGTCTTGAGTTGATGTTTGTGTATGGTGTAACGAAGGGATCCAGCTTCAGTCTTCTGCATATGGCTAACCAGTTATCCCAGCACCATTTATTGAATAAGAACTCTTTTCCCCATTATTTGTTTTTGTCAGCTTTATCATAGTTGTGAAGCCTTGTATCTGGGCTTTCTATTCTGTTCTGTTGGTCTATGTGCCTCTTTTAATACCAGTACTATGCTGTCTTGGTTACTGTAGCCTCGTAGTATAGTTTGAAGTTGGGTAACGTGGTGCCTCTGGCTTTGTTTGTTTGTCTGTTTGTTTGTTTGTTTGTTTTGGTTAGGATTGCCTTGGCTATTCAGGTTCTTGTTTGGTTTCATATGAATTTAGAAAGTTTTTTTCTAGTTCTGTGAAGAATGTTGTTGGTAGTTTGCCATTCAACACAGCAATCCCATTACTGGCCGTACACACAGAGGAATATAAATCATCCTACCCTAGTGACAAATGTATGCAAATGTTCATTGCAGCACCATTCACAGTAGCAAAGACATGCAATCAACCTAAAGCCCATAAATGACAGATTAGACAAAGAAAATGTGGTACATGTACACCACGGAATGCTATGCAGACATAAAAAAAGAGCAAGATAATGTCTTTTTTGGAAACATGTATGGAGCTGGAGGCTGTTATCCTTAGCAAACTAATGCAGGAATAGAAAACCAAATACCACATGTTCTTACTTATAATTGGAAGCTAAATGATAAGAACTAATAAACACAAAGAAGAAAACAACAGACATTGAGGTCTCCTTGAGTGGGGAGAGTGGGAAGAGGGAGAGAAACAGAAAAGATAACTGTTGGGTACTGGGCTTAATACCTGGGTGAGGAAATGATATGTACAACAAACCCTCGTGACACATGTTTACCTACGTACACTGAAGGGGTGGCCTACCCCTCCACACCTGTGGGTATTTCTAGTCGGGTGGGATGAGAGACTGAGAAAAGAAAGAAGACACAGAGACAAAGTATAGAGAAACAACAGTGGGCCCATGGGACCAGCGCTCAGCCTACCAAGGACCTGCACCGGCACCCGTCTGAATTCCCTCAATTTTTATTGATTATTATCTTCATTATTTCAGTAAAAAGGAATGTAGTAGGCGGGCAGGGTCATAATAAGGAGAAGGTCAGCAACAAACATGTGAGCAAAAGAGTCTATGTCATAATTAAGTTCAAGGGAAGGTACTATGACTGGACGTGCACGTAAGCCAGATTTATGTTTCTCTCCACCCAAACATCTCAGTGGAGTAAAGAATAACAAAGCAGCATTGCTGTAAACATGTCTCGCCTCCCATCATAGGGTGGTTTTTCTCTCATCTCAGAATTGAACAAATGTACAATCGTGTTTTATACCGAGACATTCAGTTCCCAGGGGCAGGCAGGAGACAGTGGCCTTCCTCTATCTCAACTGCAAGAGGCTTTCCTCTTTGACTAATCCACCTCAGCACAGACCCTTTACGGGTGTCAGGCTGGGGGACGGTCAGGACTTTCCCATCCCACGAGGCCATATTTCAGACTATCACATGGGGAGAAACCTTGGACAATACCCCGCTTTCAAGGGCAGAGGTCCCTGCGGCTTTCCGCAGTGCATTGTGCCCCTGGTTTATTGAGACTAGAGAATGGCGATGACTTTTACCAAGTATACTACTTGTAAACATTTTGTTCACAAGGCACGTCCTGCACAGCCCTAGATCCCTTAAGCCTTGATTTCATACAACACATGTTTTTGTGAGCTCCAGGTTGCGTCAAAGTGGCTGGGTCAAAGTGGCTAGGGCAAAGCTACAAATTAACAACATCTCAGCAAAGCAATTATTTAAAGTACAGGTCTTTTTCAAAATGGAGTCTCTTATGTCTTCCCTTTCTACATAGACACAGTAACAGTCTGATCTCTCTTTCTTTTCCCTACAGTAACAAACCCTCACATATACCCGCAAACCTAAATAATAAAAGTTAAAAAAAGATATTGAGCCTCAATGGGTCAGAAACTTTATTGACTTTAAACATAAGTTGCTACATTTCCAGCATTGCGATTTAAATGAGAAAACAAAGTAAAATTTTGTGTTTAGATAAATAGAAAATTACTAGAATCAACACTTACAGAATGAGTGTTAACATTGTGGGAGAAAATCCCAGAGATAAGAGTAGAGCACTCTCTTAAGAAGTGCTGCCACACCCATGCTTTTGACAGCAGAGAATAATATTACAATTAAAGGGAAAAAGAGAAACAATATTGACAGTGACAGTTTTAGTTTAAAAGCAACTTTAAAAAGTAAGGCTGTGAATATGGTAAGTTTTGGTAACACATACACCAATGTATTTTTTATATTTTCATTTAAATAGTGAAATAAGTCAAATTTTTTACATATGTTAAAAATAAATACTCTAAAAGAAAATTAGTTTATTTTTATTATTTAGTCATACAAAAAATAAAAGTGACTATTAGAATAATGTATTAGATTTGATGAAATATGGTAAGTCATTTAAATTATCTCCCAAATTCTATTTATACATATTATTAGTTTCAGTTTGCACATGAAAAAAAAATTGATTCTTAGAGAAGCTAGGTACCATATAAAAGTCACACAACTCATTCTATGCCTGAGAGTATCCATAAAAATTGTTTTGTTGAAATGCTGGCTGTCTTTCACAGTGTGACGAACTTTATGCACATCTTAAAGACTAAATTTCTTCAAGTTTAAAATGAGAAATTTGAACTAACAATATATAAAGGTCTTTATACTGCTGACAACTATGATTCTGAGGAAAACTTGAGCTATTGTGTAGTGTTCATTGCAACATTCAGAAATGTTGGCTAAGTAATCTTTACATTGGTCCAAAATGTCCAACTCTCTCACAAATCCTCTTGAGCATATTAGGATGTTCTATTTATTTTATACTACATAAAGAGATAATGAGCCTTTTACATTGTAGTCTATAGTAGAAAAAAGAGCTTATTTTTATTTGTCCTAAAATCAACATTTTGTTCTAAACTCTAAGGATTTAGGGAACAAGCTTTCTTTCCTGTATCTATACTTTTAATTAATTTTCAACTTATAGAAATTCTCAATTTTTATTTTTGAACTTTAAGAATATTTTTAAATTTTTTCAATAAAAATACATATAGTATCTCTAACTCCTTAATTGACTTTTTTCTAGAACATATATAGCCTTATTTTATTGCCTATAGCTACAATAAACAAAAATAAGATTTTTCAGTGTGGTGAATATTGCTTGCTTCAGCAAAATCGGTCCTTTTCTCTAAATAGACCTGACACTTGCAGATCCAATGTACTTCTGCCATATTTTGACCAGTCAGATAATCTTCTAATATACTCCTGTGATTTATCTCTGTCAGCATCAAATGACACTGAGAGCTGAGAATTTAAAGGTCATTCAACCCATTTCACTGCTTTTCCATCTGAAGTAGAGTTAAACATTTTAGAAGTGTAGTTTTTCTTAGAGTTCTTCTAAAACAGTCTCTTCTGAGAAATGTACCATCTGAGATGGTAAATGAAATTAGAGAAATTAAATAATTCAACCAAGCTGTTCTATAGGAGGGTATAAGAGCTGTGTCTCTGGAACCTTGAATCAGTATGCCATGCTGGTTATTCTGAGTCTGTTCAACCCATTTGTCTAAGTCTACTTGGTAAGTTGGTTTCCTTACCTGCAATGAAGACATTCTTTCAATACCTTTAAAACTCAGTTATATTGTTTTTCCTTTTTAATCAGACTATTTTAGCAACCTAACTCAAGAGACTGTCTTGAAGAAGCTGAAAGAATACTCTTTGGAGTCAGAAATATATTGAAACAAGTCTGGGCTTTGCTAGTTGCTAGCATAATGTTATGAGCCTTCTCTAGTCTCTTCTTTTTAAAATTTACGTAATGGAATAAAATGATATTATAAAATTGTTGAAAAAATTTCTGTGAGCTGTATGAGTCTATATACTTTAAGCCTGGGTCATTGTGAGTCTTTAATAAATGTTCGCAATTTTATTATGATGGAGAAAATAGGACCAAAGTGTGAATAGTAAATATGACAAGGTGAAAAGTTATTAATACTTATTCTTTTTATGTAGCTCTCCCAAATATTGTGTGAAATTATTATAATGGTGAATAATGAATAAATAAATGTGATTAAGATGTAGAGAGAATAAGGAGAACATAAATAATTTTTTCCACTTTGAGTTTCCTGTGGTGATGGAGATCCTGAGAAACTAGACAGTTTTCCTTCCTGTTATTCATCACCCAAAGTTTCAGCTTCTAGACAAATTAACATAAGGAAATTAAAACTACACACTAAAACTACAATGAGATGCCACTTCACA
Organism: Homo sapiens; assembly: GCF_000001405.40. Taxonomy (NCBI): domain Eukaryota; kingdom Metazoa; phylum Chordata; class Mammalia; order Primates; family Hominidae; genus Homo; species Homo sapiens. The sequence continues at coordinate 104,168,548 of NC_000004.12, read as the reverse complement.
GCTATTCAAATGGCTAAAATTTTAACAAGACTTACCATACAATGTGTTGGTGAGGATGTGAAGCCCCTGCAATTCTTTGAATTTTCAGGTGGGAATGTAAAATGGTACTACCAATTTGGAAAACGATGTGTTAGTGTCTTGGTCACTTTGAGCTGCTATAACAAAGTACCGTAGACTAGGGGGCTATAAAAAAAATTATTTTTCACAGATCTAGAGGCCAAAAGTCCAAGATCAGGGTCTAGCATGGTTGGGTCCATGTGAAAGCCCTCTTCTGGGTAGCAGACAGTCACTTTCCTATTATATCTTCACGTAGTGGAAGGAGAGAGCTCTAGGCTCCTTATTGCCTTGTATGGGCACTAATCCCATTTATGAAGGCTCGACTGTAATTACCTAATTACCTCCCAAAGGCATCATCTATGAATCCATTGGAGATTCAAGCTTCAATATATGGACTTTGGAGGAGAACAAACTTTCACTCTATAATATGTTTTGATGTTTCTTCAAAAACATCAAAGATATACCTATTCCATTTCTAAGTATTTATTCAAGAAAAAGAAAAACAGATGTCCATATAAAGACTTGCACACAAATGTTCACAGCAGCCTTACTTTTGGTGAACTAAAATTAGACACAACCCTCATGTCCATCAACAGGTGAATAGATAACCAAACCAAGGCATATTTAGACCAAGGAATACTACACAGGAGTAAAAAGAAATGAACTATTGATACTCATAGCAACATAGATAAATTTTTCAAATAATTATTCTGGGTGAAAGAAGGAAGACTTCCCCTTCTCCAAAAATAAGTAGAAATTGAATGATTCCATTTAGTATGAAATCTAGAAAATGTATGCAAAAATACAATGACATAAGCAGACCAGTTGTCTGGGGGATGGAGGAGAGGTTAGGAAGTGGGGTCATGGGACAAATTTGGTGAATCATGGACGCAATTGTTCAGACTATACACTTTAAATATTGGATATCAGTTATACCTTAATAATGTTGCTTTTTTTTTTGAGGCAGAGTCTTGCTTTGTCACTCAGGCTGGAGTGAAGTGGGGTGATCTTGGCTTACTGCAACCTCCACCTCCCAGGTTCAAATAATTCTCCTACCTCAGCCTCTGGAGTAGTTGGGAATATAGGCGCTTGCCACCATACCCAACTAATTTTTGTATTTTTAGTAGAGACAGGGTTTCACCATGTTGGCCAGGCTGGTCACAAACTCCTGACCTCAGGTGATCTGTCCATGTTGGCCTCCCAAAGTGCTCGGATTTACAGGCGTGACCCACCGCGCCTGGCCTGTTTTTACTTTTAAAGCATTATATTACACAGAATTTAGTCTTCTCTCTCCAATAAGTGTCTTAGTGTCCTTATCCTTTCAAGTGACAAAAATTAAAGCATAAAAGCACGGTTAAAAAATGTTTATAGGATTATCTCACATATTTATTCTGTTCTATTCTAGAACTTAAAGGTATTGTTTGTATTAATATTTTATTACCTTTACAGTATCTAAAAGGGTCATATTTACTTTCTTCATTTTTGTATAATAAGATACTGACTCAGCAAATCAATGAAACTGTTGCAGTTACACAATCCTAAGGGTTCTTACTCCAGTTTTTAGTAGTTAATTATTTCCAACTTGGCAACTTGTAGATTCAAACCTATTTGGAGAGAATGTAGCTAATCTACAGATTTCCCAGTAGCAAGAACCATTTCATGAGAGAAAAAAAAATACCTGAAGTTAACTAAGGAAAGAAAAATCCTACCACAAAGTGGCCCCAAGAGATACAAGAGAGATATGGGCTTTATTTACACTTGGCTAGAATGCAGGGCATAAGAAATGCAAATGGTATGTTCCTAGTGATTTAGATTCTTGTCTTCCCCATTTTTCTACACAGAGAACATTAAAATTGGTTATAGCAGTTTTCAACAATAGTCTATACTCATGGATTTCTCTTAAAAGCCTACTCAAATATGCTTAAGTGACTAAATATCAGGGCGTGATAGCTCACGCCTATAATTCCCGCACTTTGAGAAGCCGAGGTGAGAGAATCACTTGAGGCCAGGAGTTTGAGACCAGCCTGAGTGACAGAGAGAGACCCTGTCTTTAAAAAACAAAACAAAACTGAATAACAAACACCTCCTTTATGAAAATTAAGAAACTGGCACAAATTGAGGTGCATGCAAAATTTCTGTACAATAAAAATCCATAAGAAAGAACAGTTTTGTCACATAAAATTTCATTCTACATAACTAAATTGCTATGAATCAAATTTTTGTCCTACAGAGAAAATACTCAGCTTCCCATCTTTCTTCATAAAAACTGTCAAGTGTCAGACAGAGAATTAGTATGTGAGAAATATTTTATATAGGGCAGGTGTTCTGTGACTGACAAGAATCCTGCTAAAACCTGGACTGAAGAAATTAAAGCCTACTGTTTGTTGTCATTTAAATTTGAACGATTCTGGGAATCTCTCTACCCTCAAAATATCTCTCCATTGGCCTGTCAAAATGCCTATAATTTCACCATTAGAAATTCACTCCTTTCACCTAGCTGAGGCCATGAGTGAGCTGAGGTACAGGAAATAGAAAATACATGAATGCTTGATTAGACCTGGGAAGCTCTGATGTGCCTGAATACTGGGCAAAGGGAAATATTATTGCCCCATTGTGAAAACTTTCAGCTCTCAAAATTATTTAGTTAGCCCATCTAAGATAAGGCATTTATCTGATATCAACTAGATGAAAGAGAATATCCATTATTATGACATTATTATATTATCAAAGGTACGCAAGTAATACAAGTTTAATTATATAGTATTATCCCTATTTTATTACAGTGTACAAAGAGATTCTTTAGAACACAGAAATCAGTGATAAGTTTTTAAATAGCATTTAGCAACAACTAAGGTGATTAAAACTGAAGGAGCTGAGTAAGTTAGTGAGAATGTTTGTGTGAGAGAAGTGAGTGTAATTTCAGTATCTATACAATATTTAAGGATATTCTGAAGAGACTGTCATTATTGTATTATAGCTTATGCCCATGGAAGGTAAAGTTTTAATTATTCATAACTTAAGGCTTTTGAGTCACATAACAGCGGTAAACATATATGGCAATTAATAAACAACCAAAAGCCAATGTTTCAGTCTCCAGAGCTCTGAATCTCAGAAATGAGGCAGAGGGAACTAGGAATACAAAGAGACCCTCCCAAGAAAGCATTTTTAACAACCTAGCCCAAATCTCAGGTCTGTGTACTCTGCCTTCCCTGGCCTTATCATAAGCCATCCTTCTGCCAGGTAATTCAAATCAAATTCCATATAGGGGCATGTGCTGAGTGATTGTTGCTTTCCTGCCTGTGCTTTCCTGACATTTGCAGTTTCTGGGCATTCTCATTTGCCTGTTCCTGATGCTCATTCACACTGATGTGGCAGTAACATTTAGGTCGGTGACCAGATGCCCACAATATAAAATGCCCATCTCATCACATTCTATACATTTTGTTATTGAGTAGGGGGAGGGAGTGTCTAATCTGTAATTGAACCATTCTATCTTATATTCGTTGGACATACATTACATTTGTGAAATGTCATCTGCTTAGAAAAATGCAAGTCTTCCGTCTTCTTTCTCTACATCCTTTAGAAGCTGTTGCCTTCAAGCTACTTTTCATTCAGAGTTCACGTTTGCTAAAATTGGAATAAACTCAAATAGCTTTAAAAAGAGAGGGAGAGACACTCATCAGAATGCATTTTGTCAACCCTCCTGGTTTTTCTCTCTTTCCTTTCAGAGAGGGTGGCCTCTTCAAATGCACACTTTGCTTTTGACAGCTCTGCAGTGATTGGGTGCAGCAGGATATAGTGCCTGACACATAAAATCCACTGATTCAACTATGCAATATTTATTTCATAGCCAACATAAATAAAAATAAAATATTTCCTTGAACATTCTTGCTCACACACTGCCTGGCTTCATTGCCAGCAACTTTTCAGATTCTTCTATTAGAAAACTTTCATTTGCTTTCTATTATACGATATATCATATTCTCTGATCTGACCCTGATTGGACTGTCCTTTGTTGAATAATAAAACATAGGTATTCCTTGGAAATGTATTTTGAATATTATTGTAGATAAAGCAATAAAAATGGAAGGAGTAGAGCTTGATGAGGATACTTAGATTCATATAAATAAAGCTTTTCAAGTGAAAAAACCTTTTTTGTGCCCTAATTACCAATTATTTGGGCCTTGTTTTGGCCACATTAGCAGTAAGAAGCTATTACTGTTCACCTATTTGGGCTTTTAAGTTATTGGGTTAACCATGACCTTAATGAATCCAAATCCCAATTATTAGAATGACCCCAAGGTAATTCAGAAAACTGTAAAGAAGTCAGAAATTATCATTTGTAGTAGATTTTCTAGCCTCAAGTGAGTCAAGCAAGAGTAAACTTAAGTATTAAGATGAAACCTAATTGAGATACACAGAGAACATTGTGAAATCTCTGTTGGACAGAAAAGCATTTGTTAGTATGGTCAAAGTTTTCCTAAGTGGCAGGAAATCACGAGTCATAAATGAAACATGGCTGTATTGCAAGAAAAGACCACAGAGGAGAGTTGGAACATGAAGTGGCAAAAGATGTTCTGATGGAACCATCTCCAGTGACCTTAATTAAATATCATTCATAATTTCAGAAAGCTGAAGATATTTTTTTCTTGCAGTGGTTTTCATTTTTGATTTTTGTTTGTTTTAATTTTTTTTTTAGATCTAGAGAAAAACAGTTTTCTATATTGTAATGAGAGCATAGTCAATATATTCATTGAAAGAAGGCAACAAAATTGCTCCCAAGGGAAGAACCCAGGACTGACTGTTTCTGAAATGCAAAGACATTTATTGGGATGACAAATGCAAGCATTTCCAATGGAGTTTTATGTGGGCAGAAAACCTTTAAGCTCTAAATTTTGAACTCTTTTCAATTTACTCACTTAATGTGGGTTTGAGTTATCTAACAGCAGCTTTCCAATTATTTGGCTATAATACCCTTTCTAAAATTAAATTAAATCTGACCTAAAGCTGCCTCCATACATAACAATCTGCATCGTAATTTAGTATGTAAACAAACTGCAATCTAATTTAAGGGTATACTCTTGCTACAAATAACAAAGTGTCAGCTAATCATGGCAGCTGAGTTTCAGTCAATCATAGGCTGCCAACTGATCAAACTATGTCCAAATAAGACAAATGCCTGGCTGTAACCAATCAGTCTGTTTCTGTTTTCATTCCTTTTCCTGTCTATAAATACTGCCTGCTCATATTGCTGGGTAGAACTCTCTGAACGTCGCCTGGTTCTGAGTGTTGCCCAATTCATGAATAGTTTGTTGCTCAAATAAACTGTATTAAATTTAATTCATCTAAAGTTTGTCTTTCAACAACTTAAAATGACTTTTAAGAGATACATTAACCCTACATAATTTTAAGGTAACATTGAAAAGTTTTTCATAAATTTAATTGTTTGAATGACTTAATTTTTATGTATTATAAAAATTGTTATTTTAAACTCACAGATATGCTACTTTTTAAATGCATGCAACTAAAGATCATAGCATTCAAGTTACATCTCAGTCCATTAAAATTAAATCATAATAAAATATTATATTATAGTCCATTAAAATTAAATCATAATAAAATATTATAGTCAGACACTGTATTTTTCATATTTGTGTATTTCTATTCCACTTTTCCCACATAGATTATCCTAATTAATGTAATGTGCTTGAAAGATTTACTCACCACAGATCACATTTCTCTGAAGTTTGTATATGCATATGTGTGTTTTTAAGTCTCTGAGTACTGGAAATTTAAATTAAAATTATTATGATTATTTTGGTAAGCAATTGATCAAAAATATATTACCAATTTTGATAATTTAAAAAATTGAAATACCTAACATAATGTGATAGGTTGAACATTTAAAATTATTCTTGTATGTATAGATATTTATTGCTAAAATGAAGCATTGCTCACCATGAGTTCTATATTTAGTTTGTTTTAATGCATGCTCAATTTAAGATATTTTTATTGCTGTAATCCCAGCACTTTGGGATGCCAAGGCGGGCAGATCACGAGTTCAGGAGATCAAGACCATCCTGGCTAACACGGTGAAACCCCGTCTCTACTAAAAAATACAAAAAATTAGCCGGGCATGGTGGCTGGCGCCTGTAGTCCCAGCTACTCAGGAGGCTGAGGCAGGAGAATGGTGTGAACCCAGGAGGCGGAGCTTGCAGTGAGCCCAGATTGCCCCACTGCACTCCAGCCTGGGCGAAAGAGCGAGACTTCGCCTCAAAAAAAAAAAAAAAAGATTTTTCTTGTAAGATATACATGGGAATGATAGAGTTAAGCTTTTTACAAACACATTATTTTTAATTTAGTATGGTTACATAGCTAAAATCATACAGTGGTTTATCAACAAAAAATATTTTTATTAACCTGAATGCTCCTTTAGGTCTACTGAAAGTGAAGAATTAAAGGAATCTAAACAGTAAGATGATGTGTTAGTCACTGAGGTCTTTACTTTCTCAGTTTCTGAAGAGTGTATTTTAAATGCTTTTGAAAAGTTCATCAATGATTATTAATGCTTGCTATTTTTTTAAGTAGAGGCATCTTATTTAATCTGGTATGATCAGAAAAGGTTGGGAAATTTTAAATGTTATGAACTCTGCTATACCTTTGCCAATACAATTTTTAAACAAACTAGATTTATATTATACCATGTTTCACATATATTTATATTAACGCCATGAACTACCTATTTAACTCAATGTATAGAATACAAATTGATCGGAAAGGCCAACTTTTACTATAAATGCAATTAACTGAATGAGATTTATGTTCCATTAGAAAAAGTCTAATTTTGTTCTCAATTTAAATGACTACTTTAATATGCATTTCTACGACTACCAACTATGTTCTGAAATAAAATATATGATAGATAAATAGGTAGATAGATAGATAGACAGATAGATAGATAGATAGATAGATAGATAGATAGATAGATAGATAGATAGATAAAGGGCACAAACTCTTTCCATGAGTTTGTTGCCTAATTAAACAGATTGCAGCCTCATTTGGTTTCTTGGTGATGGTCTCTTTGTTCTCATGGGACTCTTCCTAGGGTGATGCATTCCTTGTTTGAGATGGAAAAAATAGAACAGGTGAGGTCATTATATAGTAATTATACACTTTTTTCATTACCCTCTTCTATAATCTATTTGGATTAAGAATATCCTAACAGTGCATATACCCAATTTCTAATGTCACATTCGGCTATTAACAAATATATATACAAAATAGGAAAGATTCAAAAGTTTGTCACATATTAATGATGTATAGATTAAAGGAGCTACAGTGACACCAATTTTTATATTTTTTATTTGTGTGTTTTGTTATTTCAAAAGATTTATGCCATTTATTATGGAAATTCTTAAACAAAAGTGGAGAGAATTGTGTAATGAACCCCACAGACATATTTCCAACTTCAATAATTAACAACACATAGTTAATCTTGTTTTATTAATATCCTGTCCATTTCCCCAGCTCTGGTTTACTTTTAAGCAAATCTAAGATTTCATATAATTTCAAGTATATTATTTATGTATCTATTTTATAAATAACAATATCAACTTTTAAAAAATGAAAATGAGCAATAATTTCTTAGTGTTATTATTTAGCCAGTATTCGCATTTTCTTGATTGTTCATTTAAAACATGTATTTAAGATTGTGTAAAACAAACCTCAGAGACAGTCAATATATTTTGATGTTGATATTTCTGTTAAGACTCTTAATCTGTATTTTCTCTCTTTTCCCTCTCTCTTTCTTGCTCTTTCTATCTCTCTTCTCTTTTTTCTCTTGGTTGTTGAATAAACCACATAATCTTATAGAATTTGCCAGAGTCTGCAGTTTGCTGATTATATCACCTTGAAATACATTAAATGTTTACTTTTTTATTAAGTTATTTCTATATTGCTTTAGATCTATAGACTTCTTCAGATTCTTTTTCTTCTTCTTTCTTTTCTCCCCCTTCTCCTCGTCTTTCCTTCTTCACCTTCATCTTCTTTTTGGTAGCTGGTGCTGTGTAGCCTTTATTTGGGAATTACATGATGTCTGCTGATTCCTTGCTTTTTTTATTTGATGTAATCAGCTCCTGATAGTATTACTTACATCCATTAATTTAATTCAATACAGTTGCAAAATGTTGTTTTCTAATCCTATTATTTCTTTTACATATATGTAGCTTATAATTTTCATTGTAGAGATTTATGGCCACTTTGTTAAACTTATTTCTAGTTATTTTTGTTTGTGGCTGTTATAAATGGATTGTTTCCTTGATTTCTTATTCAGATAGTTCATTATTGGTGTATAGAAATGCTACTGATTTTGCATCCTGAAACTTTACTGAATTTATCTCTTCTGAAAGTATTTTTGGTGCACTCTTAAAGTTTTTCTATATATAATACCATGTTGTAGGCAAATAGGAGCAATTTATCTTCCTCCTTTTCAATTTGAATGCCTTTTATTGCCATCTCTTGCTGAATTGCTCTGTCTAGAATTTATGTTGAATAAGATTGTTGAATAAGAGTACTATGTTGCTTAGACATGACAAAAATGGACATACTTGTCTTATTCCAGTTCTTAGAGGAAAAACTTTCAGCTTTTCCCCATTCATTGTCATGTTGGCTGTGGGCTTGTTATCACGACCTTTATTGTGTTGAGGTATGTTCCTTTATGCTTAATGTGGTGAAAGTGCTTTTTTTTTTCACCATGAAGAGATATTGAATTTTACTGAATGCTTTTTTCACACTTATCAAGATGATCCATACAGATTTTGTCTTTCTTTTTATGTAATGTATTACATTTACTGACTTGCATACGTTGAACTATTTTGCATCTGTGGGGTAAATTCCACTTTATTATGGTGTCTAATTTTTTGATGTGCTGTTGGATGCAGTTTGCTAGTATTTTGTTCAGCAGTTTTGCTTTTATGTTCATCAGGAATATTGTCTTGTAGTTTTTGTTGTTATTGTGTTCTTGTCTGGTTTTGGTATCAGGGTAATACTGGCCTTGTAGAATTAATTTGCAAGAATTCCCTCATCTTCAATTTTTTAGAATAGTTTTAGAATAATTATTATTAGCCTTTTAAAAATGGTTTGGTAGAATTCAGCAGTGAAGCCATCAGGTCCTGGGCTTTGCTTTGTTGAGATTTTTATTACTGCTTCAATCACTTTACTCATTATTGGTCTGTTCAGTTTTTTTATTTCTTCCAATCTTGGTGAGTTGCATGGGTCTAGGAACTTATTTATACATTTCTCTTAGCTTTTTCAATTTGTTGGCATATAGTATTTCATGATAGTCTCTAATGATATTTTGTATTTCTATGGTAACAGTTCTAATGTCTTCATTTTCATTTCTGATTTTGTTTACTTGAATCTTCTCTCTTTTTTTCTTTGTTGTTCCAGCTAATGATTGCTTGGTTATTATCTTTTCAAAATAACAAATTTTTATTTTTTAAATTTTATTTTGGGACATTTAAAAATGTAAAATTGTTATATTAATATGCAAAATACTTACATGGTCTGATAGTTAAACTTACAAAAATGTATTCAAGCTTAGCTTCTACCACTGTATAATCTATTTTATCTTTTTCACACTTATAGGTAACCTTGGCTTTTTATTTAGTTTTTTAGGTTTTACTTAATTTTTCCAGCTTTATTGAGGTATAATTGATAAATAAAAATTAAATATATTTTCCGTGTACAACATGATGCTTTAATATAGATATATACGTTGTGAAATTATTACTACAATAAATTTAATTAACATGTCCATCACATCACATTATATCTTTTTTTTGTGGTAAGAACGTTTCCCATCTACTCTCATAGCCAGTTTCACACAGAGTACAGTATCATTAACTATAGTTACTACCATGTATATTAGATCTTCCAGACTTATTCGTCCTTCATAACTGAAAGTTTCTACCCTTTGGCCAACATTCATTTCCCAACTTCCGGCCCCTGCCAAATACCAATCTGCTCCCTACTTTTATGATTTCAATTTTGTAACTTTTTCTTTTTAACCTTATGATTTACTTTCCATTTTAAAATGCTTCTCTCCTTTATATAAATAGGGTGTGATATGGTCAGGTTTATAGTTTTTAAGAATTACTCTAATTTCATAAATCAAATACTTTAGTAGGGCAAGTTTGGACATTGGGATACTAGTTAGGAGAGTTTTGCGTGAATTTAGGTCATGGTAGTCTGCGTTTGATTCTTTGGGATTTTAGAACCCTTTGTCCTTTGTGATGTTCTAATATTTTTTGGCACCTATATATTTTGATTCTGTGCTATGGATTTGAACTTTTATTACCCTATAATATGGTTTGGCTCTGTGTCCCTACTCAAATCTCATCTTGAATTGTAATCCCCATGTGTGGATGCAGGGACCTGTAATCCCCACATGTGGAGAAAGGGAGGTGATTGGATCCTAGGGAAAGTTTCCCCCATGCTGTTCTCGTGATAATGAGTAAATTCTCATGAGATCTGATGGTTTTATAAAATGTTTGACAGTTCCTCCTATATTCACACACTCTTTCTCTGTGACCTGCTGCCATGTAAGAGTGCCTGCTTCCCCTTCCACCATGATTGTAAGTCTCCTGAGGCCTCCCCAGCCATGCGGTACTGTGAGTTAAGTAAACCTCATTCCTTTATAAATTACCCAGTTTTGGGTAGTATATTTATAGCAGTTTGAAAATAGGCTAATACAACTTATTACTTAACATCATGTAAACTCTTCATGCATTCAAATGTTTTGAGCTTCACTTATTTATTATCAATAAAATTTAATTTCAACTCTAAAATGAATTATCCTTTGATTTCCAATTTATCCTATGGCTGTCATTTCCTTGATTCAGTGGAACTATTTAATAAAACAGGATAAAGTTTCTTTAAGTTGCAAACTCAAATGAATGTAACTAGACTGAAGCTCCAAACTGAAAAAGAAATTACCAGTCAAAAACTGCCATATTTATATATACTGAGCAGCATTAATATTAATTTGGCCTTCTCAATACTAGTATCAGCAAGACTACACTGCAAGGCATAAACTTGTGATCTTTAATTTATCATATAACTATTTTATTTGCGCCGATATATTCTGAATGTGATCTGAGCAGCTTGATTAACATACCATTCAGCTTGGTAGGCTTAGGATGACTATTTAGGCTTGGGCCTATACTGGGGCATGGGGAGGTCAGAATAAAGAAGAAAGAATTATCTTATGCTAAGCCTATAACTTAAAAATTACTTTTCTGCAAATATAATCTTATGTTTGAAAATTCTTAATCAAGTAACAGAAATTCCTAAATTTAGCAAGAACAGTTTCCATCCGCTTTACAGATATTTTGGCTATGTCACTTGATTGCATTGATATCTGAAATCTGTAAAAATTCTAGGCACTTCTATCTATTGATGATTCTTGATCAACTATAGATGAGGAAGAAAAAAATACAAGCATTATTTTCAGTTTGGCAAAGGGGAACCAATTATAAGAACACCATTTCAAATAATTTCTTTGAAAATCAATGAATAAAATATGTGAAAAACCTTGTATTCTATAAAGTGCTAAAAATGATTAATAAAAATACTAATAGTGAAAATCGTCTTTTTTAACTTTTTTATTTCACAATTACTCCTCATTTCTTCAACTCACTTGTCATTGAATGTTATAATTCCCTTTTAGGATTGCATCATTGTCAAGTATAGTAAATAATTTTTTATTTTGATTCTCGTTAAATTATCTATTACATATGATGATGCTGGCCACAACTTCTTTTTCTGAAATCCTCTTATCCTGATTTTTGTGGTTAAGTAGAGTACATTCTGATCCCCAGCTTCTGTCACTGAGAATAATTACTTTGAAATTCTTTCATGTAGTTGTGTGTGCTGATGATTATTTTTATATTTGGTAAGTATTCTATTGTACAAATATATTAATTTTGTTTATGCATTCACTTGTTGATGGACGTTTAGATTGTTTTTAGTTTTGAACTACTACAAATAAAATCATTTTTTCAAAAAGCAGACCATAATTTTGATGACGTGATTTTATTGTTTGTTTTATATTCTACTTTTAATTAAAAATAATTGTATATATTTATGGGTACAATGGATGTTTTGGATAGGAACACATTGGGAAATGATTAAATCATGCTTATTAATCCTTCTATAACCTCACCTACTTATCATTTTTGTGGTAACAACTTTTAAAATCTACTCTTTTAGAAATTTCTCTGGATTATGGTTCTGGTGTATAGCTAGGAAGTCTGTGCTTAACTCAAAGTAACAAAGATTTTCCTATGTTTTATTGGTTTTAAGTTAAGCTGCGTAATTGTGAGTAGTATAAATTAGATAATCTTGTGGTTTTAATTTTCATGTATCTAAGGACTTATTATGTTAAAGTTTTATAGTTTTAAATTTTGCATTTAGACATTGTGTTGAATTAACTTGGTAATGTTGAAAATCAATTGACTGTGTATGTGTGGGTATATTGTAAACTCTCTACATCACTGCTACATTATTTGTCTCGATGCCAATATTATTCTGTCTTAATTGCTATAGCTTAATATTAGGTCTGGAAGTCAATTAGTTGCCATCTTTAAATAATTTTGATAATACATTTAATGGTATTTCTACTTTATTTAAATTTCTATAGTTTATTTTAAGGATATTGGTATAAATATAGTGTATGGTGTCGAATTCTCTTTCTTTCTCTCCCTCCCTTTATCTATACCCACATAGAATACAAGTGATTTTTCAATGTTTACCTTAAATCCTGCCATCTTGCTAAACTTACATATTACTACTTTTAGTAGTTTGTTCGTAGATTTAAATGGATTTTCTATGTTAATCATCATGTTGTCTGTGAATAAAGAGTTTTATTTCTTCATTTCTAATTTTGATAACTTTTATTTGTTTGTTATTTCTTTATTGCACTCCTGGTAAGTGTATACATCCTTGTCTTATTCCTGATCTTAGGAGAAATATTTCAGTTTTTAAAAATTAAGTTTGATGGTAGCTGTAGTCTTATTTATAGACAACTCTTATTTCATTAAGATATTTCTTTCTATTTATACTTTGGTGGTAATATTTAAGCAGGGAAATATACTGAATTTTGTAAAACACATTTTCTGCATTTATTGAGAAAATAATATGGTTTTCAAATTTCTGTTAATATGGTAAGTTTTTTTTTTTTTAATTTTTGAATGGCTAAACTATCCTTGCCTTCCAGAAATAAACCTAACTTGATCCAGATATACAGTCAGGCATCACTTAACAATGGGGATACGTTCTGAGAAATGCATCATAGAGTGTACTTGAACCTGGATGGCATAGCTACTACATGCCTAGGCTATATAGTATAGCCTATTGCTTCTAGGCTACCAAGTTGTACAGCATGTTACTGCCTACAGTTAATACTTTAGGCAGTTGTAACACAAAGGTAAGTATTTGTGTATGTAAACATATTTAAACATAACAAAAGTACAGTAAAAGTATGATATAAGAGATACAAAATGGTGTACTTATATAGGGCACTTATAATGAATGAAGTTTACAGGACTGGAAGTTTCTCTGGGTGAGTCAGTGAGTGAATGAAGAGTGAATGTGAAGGCCTAGGATATTACTGTACCCTACTGTAGACTTCATGAACACTCCAAACCTAGGCTATACTAAATTTGTAAAATATATATTTTTTGATAATAAATTAATCTTAGCTTACTGTAAGATTTTACTTTATAAACTATTTAAATTTAAAACACTTTGACTCATTGTAATAACACTTAGGTTAAAACACAAACATATTGTACACTTGCACTAAAATACTTTTTTCTGTAAATTCATATATTATGGAATGTTTTTTCTATTTTTAATATTTTAACCTTTTAAACACATTAACGAGGGTAACACATTAGCCTAGACCTACACAGAGTTCGAATCATCAATATCACTTTCTTTCGCCTCCAAATCTTGTCCCACTGAAAGGTTTTCAGTGGCAGTAACACATGTGGAGCTATCATCTCCTATGATAATAGTTCCTCTGAAATACTTCCTAAAAGATTTGCCTAAAGCTATTTTCAATTAACTTTTTATCATTAGAGGGAGTACACTCTAAAATAACAATAAAATGTATAGTAAAGATATAAACCAGCAACATAGTAATTCATTATCATTATCAAGTATTATGCACTGCACATAATTGTATGTGCAATACTTTTATGCCACTGGCAGTGCAGTAGGTTTGCTTATGTCAACATCACCACAATCATCTGAGTAATGCATTTTGTGCTGATTGTTATGATGCTGTATTAATCCGTTCTCACACTGCTATAAAGAACTACCTGAGAGTGGGCAGCTTATGAAGAAAAGAGGTTTAATTGACTCACAGTTCCATAGGCTGTACAGGAAGCATGGTTGGGAAAGCATCAGGAAACTTACAATCATGGCAGAGGGCGAAGGGAAAACAAGCACCTTCTTCATATGGCAGAGCAGGAGAGAGAGAGAAAAGTGGGAAGTGCTACATACTTTCAAATAACCAAATCTCGTGAGAACTATCAGAACAGCAAGGGGGAAATCTGTCCCCATGATCCAATCAACTCCCACCATGTCCCTCCCCCAACATTACGGATTAACATTCAATATGAGATTTGGATGGGGACACAGAGACAAACCATATCAGATAGCTACAATGTCACTAGGTGATAAGAGCTTTTCATTTTCGTTATAATATTAAGGGACCGCTGCAACATATGCGATCTGTCATTGACCAAAATGTCACGTGGTGCATGACTGTATTTAAATGGTTAACGGGCATAATTGACCCATATTTTTAATCCTTAATCCTTTCAATATTACAACACAATTTATTTTACCCCTATATATAGGTTTTAGTGTATTGTTCATTGTGTAAATAATTTTTGTCTTCATTGGGGGAAATATAAGAAACCTCATAACTAAAGCTCTTTAGAAGCAGCTGTTGCTACTACTGCTCTTACTTCTTTCCATCTAAAACCTCCATGTCTTGTTCCAAAAGCCCTTATTAAGTGAGAATTAGATTCAGAAGCAAGGTTCTAGGACTTATACCATCGTCATTCCCTTTCATTCTCACTTCCTATCTCTTTTCTTTCTGTTATTCAATTCCTTTTCTTTTAGCAAATATTTAATAAACACTTAGTTTAGTTTGCCTTCTGGACGTTAGTGCATCAAAAATTCTACCTCTTGTTTAATGAAGTTTGTAGTTTAGTTAGGAAGGCTTATAGGAATCAACATGCTATAATGCAAATAATTAGTATAAAATGATTCTATGGTAGGAAAATGCAAGACATGATTATTTATGATTTAGTTCTATGAAAAATGTTTTCACCTTTAATTGATAAAGGCCCTGGAGTTAAACTACCTGTATTCAGATCCTAGCTGTACAATTTAATAGTGTTGGGAAGCTGGGTGTGATGGCTCATGCCTGTAATCCTAGCAGTTTGGGAGGCCAAGGCGGGCCGATCACCTGAGGTCAGAAGTTCAAGACCAGCCTGGCTAACATGGCAAAACCCCGTCTCTACTAAAAATACAAAAATTAGCTGGGTGTGTTAGTGGGTGCCTGAAATCCCAGCTACTCGGGAGGCTAAGGCAGGAGAATCAATTGAACCCAAGAGGTGGAGGTTGCAGTGAGCTGAGATCGTGCCATTGCATTCCAGCCTAGGCGACAAGAGTGAAACTCTGTCTCAAAAAAAAAAAAAAAAAAAATAGTGTTGGGAAAAGCAAGATATTTACCTCCATGTGCTTTTCTTTGTAGCTGTAAAATGAATATAGGAATAGTATCTATCCCAAAATATCATTGTGAGAGCCACAATGGGATAAAACATGCAGTATCAAAAAAGTTTATGGCACATAACATTCTCAATAAATGTTAATTATTAATATTACTTTCATTTCTATACTTAATACTTGTTATCAGACTTTCCTGATAAAAGATGTAAAGGCTCCAATTATTTTGATATTTAATTAGTGCCTGCTCTGTGTAATATTCACCTGCCACCTCTATACTTGGACACTTGGTTATATTCTGTAAACATGGATTTCAGTTTTGATCTTGGTTAATAGTTCTGGCAATTATTTTAATTTGGGGCTTTCTATAAATACTTGTCTATAACTCAACCTTCAGTTGACTTCAATAATTTTACATAATACCTATTCCATAAATCTGAGCTTTTACTAATATGCTACCATAAAAGCCTTCATTATGAAAAATACATGTCTAATAATATGCTGGTTTTTAAACCAGTTTCATTACTTTCATGTATGTGATAAAAAAGATTTTTTTTCTCATTTCTTGGTATTTCTAGTAAATACATGTTGATGCTTCTTCCCAGTTCTTTTTCCCTGATAATCATCCTTTCTATCCACTTAGATTTTGGGTTAAGCCATGATCATATTTTATTCACATATTCCCAGCTTTCTGATCATATCTACATAAGAGTTGACAGCTGTCTCTAGTTTGTTCAATTGGACCTCTTTTTATACATAAAACTACAAGTTGGAAACTAAGTCATGTTACTCATAGGGAAATCAATCACAGGTTCTTGAGTTCTATCAGTATCTACTGTTGTAAATGTTGGTCAAAGATAGAAAAATTGTCTATCAAGTAGAAAAGAGAAGCCATAAACATAATTTATAATCTTGTGATCAGTTCAGAGATGAAGGTTTTTGTCTCCAATGATATTCCCTGTTTTCTGCTACTGGTGTGTACATCATTTCTAATACATAAACACACACACACACACACACACACACATCATTTCCTCTTCTCTTTACCTCACTGTGGAAAATAGATAAGGTTTATAGTGGTTGGTATGCTCAGTCTATTAGTGGACTAACAGTGGAAATAAAGACCTATTGGAAATAAATTGAAATCTTGAAACTAATGATAGTGGCCCTGTGACATTTCTGAATGTAAAAGTTGGGTGTGACTTCCAGTTGTCTCCATTTGGGGAGATATCGAATGCATTTATAGTTATATATGTACTAATGAATGCATGTCAGGTAGAGAAAGCTTTTAAATTATGTATAGAAGTATATGTAGATGGAGCAACTAAGGTGAAAGGTTTTGTGGAGTAATTAAAACTTCCCAACATATCCAACAAAATATGTCCTAAACGGTCTTGTTTTTACTTGTTCACTAGACAAGAGTTGCATAATGAACATAAACTGTCATAATTAAATTTATCCTCTCTTTCTTTTTCTGTATGTATCCCCACCATTAGCCCCAGGTATTTAAACTGAGAGACAAAGAGAGAGGTTTGTCACAGGACTTGAAATAAGTTCTATCTCTTGCTTGCTGATATTATTGTTTCACTATTTCTAGTCCTTATTCAGCTTTAATTGTTCATCTGTTCTGTGAACTCTATGAATTATTTCTTCATCCTTATATTACCATTAAGTTGCCCTTCAGGTGTAGTCCAATACAAATTTGCATCTGATACATGCAAGAAAACTAGCATATTCTGTTTCTGGTGTTGATGTTAATACTGAGGTTTAAGATATTGGATAAGTTGATCCTAGTATTTCAATAGCCATGTCCTAAACTCTTGTAGATTAATCTTACATATTAATCTTACAGATTACCATATTAACAGATTAGAATGCAATGGAGGGTGTTTATCTATATTATTAAGATAGATCTATTATTATTTAGGGGAAGTCAGGGAGAGAGTAAAATAATAAAGGAATGAGAAAATTTTCTGAAGAAATGTCTGCAATTATTCTCAGGCATTTTTCTCTGTTTCATCAATGGTGACTTATACATGCATTTGAGACAGAAAATTTTAATAACAAAAACTAAGTTTCCCCAGGGTTGATACCCTGATGGAGCTTACCAGCTACCTTAGATACAATCCTTCAGCAACTATGCTCTTTAAATCAGTGAGCTTCTTTCATTATTTTTATTTTGAATTTTGTTTTTTTTTTTTCACTTCTTTATCTTCCTTCAAGTTATCCTACCACTCCAGTAAAGGAAACAATTACACACACTCCTTTTTTTGGGGGGAGAGTAACATCTGAAAACAGAAGTTTTTTGTTTGTTTGTTTTGTTTTTTGTTGTTGTTTTGTTTTGTTTTTGAGACAAAGCCTCGCTCTGTTGCCCAGGTTGGAGTGCGGTGGCACGGTCTCTGCTCAATGCAACCTCCGCCTCCAAGGTTCAAGCGATTCTCCTGCCTCAGCCTCTCGAGTAGCTGGGAATACAGGGGCCTGCAACCACACTGGGCTAATTTTTTGTATTTTTAGTAGAGACAGCATTTCTCCATGTTGTCCAGCCTGGTCTCAAACTCCTGACCTTATGATCCAACCGCCTCAGGCTCCCAAAGTGCTGGGATTACAGCCATGAGCCACCGTGCCTGGCCTGAAAACAGAAGTTTTTGTAAGGTATTCCTAACAGCACTGGCCATCTTCCCTCATGCACATTCCATCACCTCCTCAACAACAGAGTTTTTTTTTTTTTAATTGTCCTGTTTCCTACTTGTTTTCAGATATTAATGTAAATATAAGCATATACTCATTATAGAAAATTTAGAAGTTATAAGAGAGGAGAGAATTAAGAACTATTCATTATTCTCCATCTAGAAATAACCAGTCGTAACACATTATATTTACTTTTTTCTCTACAAGTTTAAATATGCATAGATATTTAGAAATTTGAGATTATAATATACATATTTACTTATATCTGTTTCTGTTTACAATAGATTGTAAATATTTATTATAATGTAACAGAATAAATTAAATAAACCATTTAATTCATCCTATATTGTTGAACATTTGCAATACAAAGTGGCTTAAAAGGCAACTATGACTGGATTTTCCATGCAGAGAAGATGGTATAGGCCTCTTTCTCCCTGCTCTTCCCCAAGCACAGTAACATATTCTGAAAATAATCCAAGAGCTAACCAAAGGAGAACTCTGATCAGTAGTAAGAAGAAGGTGAGCTGGTTTGAAACCCGAAGGCTAAAACAACACAAACAGCACAACAGCTGTGTGTTTTATCTCACTACCAAGACATTGAAAGTTAAACTGACCCTGGAACCAGATCCTAAAAATGTAGGTCAGTTCCTATATGCTAAATATAAATAAGGTGGATTACCTTCTAAAATAAAATTTTAAATAGGAATCAGAGGACCTAACATAACTGAAAAAATATCCAGGATACAATAAAACATCACTATTGGACCAAAATCCAGAAAGTCACAACTTGAAGAAGAAAAGACAATCAATTGATACTTAGATGATTCAAATGTTGTAATTAACTGTTGGGATTTTAAAGCCACAGTCATAAAAATGCTTCTGAAATCAGCTACAAATTTTCTTTTAATAGATGAAGTACTAGAAAATTCTGCAAAGGATTAGAAGTTGTAAAGTAGAACCAATGGAAATAATAAAACTGAGATATACAGTGAGATCCATTTAAAAACTCACCAGATAGGCTCAATAGGAGTGTGGTGATGACAGGGAGTACAATAAAGAAAATTGAGAATTTATTTATATATTTAATAAAATATAAAAAACAGAAAGAAAATTATCTTTAAAAATTAACACAACTAAGGGACCTGTTGGGTACTAACAAAGACAACATTTGTATTTTCTGAGTTACAGAAAAAGAGGAAAATAAGAACAGGATTCCAAGATATTCACATACAAATCCAATAAACTGAGAATTTCAAATAGAATGAACCCCCAAAATTATATGCCAATACACATCATAATTAAACTTCTAAAACTAAAACAAAGGATCTTAAAAGCAGACAGTGATCAGAAACACATTACCTGTATAGGGATGCTAATTTGAATGACAATGGTTTTCTTGTCTGAAAAAATGGACCCCAAAACAGACACCAAGGTCAACATTATTCTGTGACATAAAATAAACCTCAACAAATTTGAAATAATTGAAACTATACAGAGTGAGTTCTCGGACTCTAATAAAATTAAACTAGAAATCAATAAGAGACAACAGGATAATACTGAAACATGCAAAAATTAGATAACACATTTCTATATACCTATGGATCCAAGAGAAAAATTTGAAGCTAATAAAAACATAAATACAATTGAACTAAATTGATAATACAACATATTTAAATATGTGAGATGAAGTCAAAGTAGTGTTTAAATGGAAATATATGACACTAAATTCTTTTATGGGGAAATATGAGAGATATCAAACTAATAATCTCAGTTTCTACCTCGGGCAACAAAAATAACGAGAGTAAAATAAAGTTAGAGTAAGAAGAAGAAAAGAGATATTAAAAACAAGTGCAGTAATCAATAAAATTGAAAACAGAAAACATTAGACAAAAGACAATGATACAAAAAGAAAAAAATAATAAAATTGATAAAACGCTACCAAGACACAAATTAAAAAAAGAGAAGACACAAATCACCAAAACAAGAAATGTTACAGAAGATTTCACTGAAGACTCTGCAGCCACTAAAAAAATAATAAGGGAATATTATGAACAGCTTTACACTAAGCACTTTGACAGCTTAACTAACTTCAGCATTTCTTCAAAAAGTACAAACAGCCAAAGCTTAACCAAGATGAAACTGATAATCAAACAGAACTACAATTATAGAGAAATTGATTCATTATTAAACATTTCTGAAAAATAAATTTCCAGGCCCAAATAATTTCATTAGAGAATTCTACCAAACATTTAAGATTAACATCAATTTTATATAATTTCTTCCATAGAAGGGAATATGTTCCGATTCAATTTATCAGCCTATTATTACTCTGATATCAAAATCGAACAGAGAGGATACAGTGAGAAGATAACTACTGAACATTATATCTCATGAACTTAGATACAAATTTCTCAACATATTTGCAAACTGAATCCAACATTATGTAAAATGAATTGTATCCTATAACCTCGTGGAATTTTCACTAGTTATGAAATGTATTAAAATAAATCTGCCAAAATCCAGAACACTGACAACCCTAAATGTTGGGTAGAATATGAAACAGCAGGATCTCTCATATATTACTGATGGAATGCTAAATGGTACACCCACATTGAATCAGATTGTTAGTTTTTTACAAAACTAAACATAACTTACTATGTGATCCAGTAATTGTAAACCTTGGTATTTACCCAAATGAGTTGAAAATTGATATCCACTCACAAAGTCCTGCACATGGATATTTATGGAAACTTAATGCATAATTGCCAAAATTTGCAAGTAACCAAGAAGTCCTTCAGTAGGTGAATAAACTGTTGTAATCTAGACAATGGAATAGTATTGACTGATAAAAAGAAATGAGGTAGTAAGCCATGAAAAGACAAGGAGGAACCTTAAAGGCATGTTACTAAGTGAATGAAGCCAATCTGAAAGGGCTGTATACTGGATGAATCCTAGTATATGATCTAGAAAAGGCAAAACTATAAAAACAGGAAATAGATAAGTGATTGCCAAGGATTAGGGAGGAGTTAGAGTAAATTCTAATGTAAACCATGGACTTTGGGTGATAATGATATATCAATGTAGATTTATCAGCTATAACAAATGTATCACTCTGGTGGGGATTGTTAATAATGAGAGAAGAGAGGCTATGCATTCAGGGCTGGAGGTGGGGCGGGTACATGGGAAATCTCTGTACTCTTTGCTCAATTTTGCTGTGAACATAAACTTCTCCAAAAAATAAAACATTTTGCTTAGAATTGCTTTGGCTATTCAGGCTGTTTTTTCATTCCATGTGAATTTTAGGATTTTTTTTCTAATTCTATGAAAAATGACATTGATAAATTGATAGAAATTGCATTGAATCTGTATATTGCTTTGGGCAGTATGGTCATTTTAATGATATTGATTCTTCCAACCCAAGAGTATGAGATTTTATTTCCATTTGTTTGTGTCATCTATGATTTCTTTCATCAGTGTTTTGTAGTTTTCCTTGAAGATATCTGTCATCTGTTTGATTAAATGTATTCCTAAGTATTTTATTGTTTTGTGGTTAGTGTAAATGGGATTGAGTTCTTTATTTGATTCTCAGTTTGAACATTATTGGTTTATAGAAATGCTACTATATTTTGTACATTGATTTTGTATCCTGAAACTTTACTGAAGTTATTTATCAGGTGTAGGAGTCTTTGGAGTGGGAGTCTTTGGAGTAGCCTTTAAGGTTTTCTAGATATAAGATCATGTCATCTGTGAACAGAGAAAATTTGACTTCCTCTTTTCCAATTTAGTTGCTTTTTATTTATTTCTTTTGCCTGATTACTCTGGTTAGGACTTCCAGTACTATGTTGAATATGAGTGGTGACAGTGGGTCAAAGCAATACTGAGCAAAAATAACAAAGCTGGAGGCGTCACATTACCTGACTTCAAATGATACCACAAGGCTATAGTAACCAAAAATTGCATAGTTCTTGTGCAAAAATAGACACATAGGTAAACAAAACACAATGAATAATGCAAAATTAAAGTTACACACCTACAAACAACTGATTGTTGACAAAGTTGACAAAAATATGCATTTGAGAAAGGACACCCTATTCAATAAATGGTGCTGGGAAAATTGGATAGTCAAATACATAAGAATGAAACTGTACCCCTATCTCTCACCATATACAAAAATTACCTCAAGGTGGATTAAAGACTTAAGTGTAAGAACTCAAACTATTAAAATCCCAGAAGGAAACCTAGGGAAACCTCTTCTGGATATTGGCTTAGGCAAAGAAATTATGACTAAGACCTTAAAAGCAAATACAACAAAAGCAAAAATAGACACATGGGACTTAACCAAATTAAAGAGCTTCTGCACAGCAAAAGACACAATAAACAGAGCAAACAGACAACCTACAGAATGGGAGAAAAAATTTGCAAACCATGCATCTGGCAGATGACTAATCTCCAGAACCTATAAGTAACTCAACACAAGAAAAAAAAAAAGATAATTGCATTAAAAAGTAGGGAAAGGACATGAACAGATATTTCCCAAAAGAAGACATACAAGCAGCCAAGAAACATCAAAAAATGTTCAGTTATCACTAATCACAAGAGAAATGCAAATTAAAACCACAAGGAGATACCATCTCACACCAGTTTGAATAGCTATTACTAAAAGCAAAAACCAGCAGATGTTGACAAGGATGCAGATAAAAGAGAATGCTTATATACTATTGGTGGAGATGCAAATTAGTACAACCTCTATGGAAAACAGTATGGAGATTTCTTAAAGGACTAAAAAGAGAACTGCCATTAAACCCAGTGATCCCACTACTGGGTATATACCCAGAGGAAAATATATAATTACAGCAAAAATACCTGTGTACTAGTATGCTTATTGCTCACTATTTAGAATAACAAAGTCATGGAATCAACTGAAGTATCCATCAAAAGATGACTGAATAAAGAAAATGTGGTATATATACCATGGAATACTATGCAGCCATAAAAAAATAAAATAGTGTCTATTGCAGCAACATGAATGGAGCTGGAGTCCATATCATAAGTAAAATAACTTAGAAAGTCCAAAACCCCATAATCTCACTTACAAGTAGGAGTTAAGCAATGGGTACACATGGACATACAAAGGGAAATAATAGGCACTGGGGACTTCAAAAGGGAGGTGAGAGTTGAAAAAGTACCTATTCTATACAGTGTTCACTATCCCAGTGATAAGCACATTTGAAACTCAAACCTCACCATTATATGATAAAGTTATCTAGCAAAACCGCACATGTACCCTTGGAATCTATAAAAAGATTAATAAAAACTACTAAAAATTAATTTGTTTTATTCCCCTCATATTAATAAACTGAAAAAGAAAAATTAGATGGTTATAATGATTGCTGCAAAAAATCTGTTTGAAAATTCCAAAATATATTTATGATAAAAATGATCAAGAAGTTAAAAGTGAGGGGAATCTCCACAACTTGATTCATTTAATGTGCCCTCAGCTAACATCTTATTTGATAGCAAAAGATTGAATGTGTTTCCCTAAGATTTGGAATAGGATAAATCTGTTCACCCACCAGTTTTATTCAACATAGTAGTTCTAGCTAGTAAAATAAAGCAGTAAAAAATATAAAATCATACATACTAAAAAGTAAGAAGAAATAGTCAATATTTGCAGATGACATGATTGTCTGCATAGTAAATCCCAAGAAACCTTTTGGGATTTAAGAAAAAATGAAACCCACCAAGAATGGAAGAGTTAAGTTCATCAAGGTCAAATGATAGAAGATCAACAGGTAAAAAATAATCTAATATCTAGCTACTAAAAATGAACATATGCAAACCAAAATTTAAAACATAATTCCATTTACAGTTGCTCCAAAAAATGAAATATTTATGTGTACACTTGACAAATCATACGTATGAATTATATGCTCAAAATCAGAAAATGCTAATGACAGAATTTTTAAAAACTAAATAGAGGGAGATAGTGTGTTTACATTGAAAAGACTCAATGTAATAAAGATGTCAGTTCTCCCAAATTTATCTAATTGCTTCATGGCAATTTTATCTAAATCACAGTAAAGTTAGTTTTGTAGACTGACTAGCTTATTCTGCACTGCAAAGGCACAGGCTCTAGAATAGCTAAAACCAATCAAAAATAAAAACTACAATAATTTTTCAGGACATAGACAATAAAATAAGATATAAATAGAAACAAGGCAGGCATGATGGCTCACACCTGTAATCTCAACAGTTTGAGAGGCGGAGGCAGGCAGATCACTTGAGGTCAGGAGTTCAAGACCAGCCTGGCCAACATGGTGAAACCCCACTTCTGATAAAAAAAAAAAAAAAAATACAAATATTAGCTGGACATGGTGGTGCATGCCTATAGTCCTAGCTACTCAGGAGGCTGAGGCAGGATAATCACTCGAACCCAGGAGGTGGAGGTTGCAGTAAGGCAAGATCCCACCACTGCATTCCAGCCTGGGTGACAGAGCAAGAGAAGAAAGAAAGAGAGAGAGAGAGAGAGAGAGAGAGAGAGAGAGAGGAAGGAAGGAAGGGAGGGAGGGAGGGAGGGAGGGAGGGAGGGAGGGAGGGAGGGAGGGAGGGGAAAAGAAAAGGTGTAAATAGAAACAACAAACAGTTAAAAGACGGGGATGAAGCTACAGTGTAGAGTTTTTATTAGTTATTTTTGTTTGTTGGTTGGTTTGTTTTATATGCAAACCCTGTTAAGTTGTTATCAGGTTAAAATAGTGCGTTATAAGATGATGTTTGCAAGCCTCATGCTAACCTCAAACCCAAAAACATACAATGGATACACAAAAAACAAAAAGGAAGATACTAAAACATATCACCAGAGAAAATCACCCTCACTAAAAGAAAGGCAGGAAGGAAAGAAAGCAGGAAGAGGACCACAAAACAACCAGAAAACAAATAACAAAATGGCAGTAGTAAGTCCTTACTTATTAATAATAACATGGAATGTAAATGGACTAAACGCTCCAATCAACAAACAGTTGCTGAATGGATAAATAAACACTGAATCATCTGTTGCCTGTAAGAAACACACTTCACCTATAAAGACAATTGACTGGAAATAAAGGGATGGAAAAAAGATACCCCATGCCAATGGAAACCAAAAAAGAGCAGGAGTTGCTATAGTTATATCAGACAAAACAGATTTCAAGACAAGAACTATAAGAAGAGACAAAGAAGGTCACTACATAATGATAAAGGGGTCAATTCAGCAAGAGAATATAACAATTTTAAAAACATATGCACCCAACATTGAAGCACTCAGATAAAAAGGCAAATATTATTAGAGCTAGAGAAAGAAATAGATTCAAATACTGTAACAGGTGGAGATTTTGACACCCCGCTTTCAGCAACGGACAGATCTTCCAGGCAGAAAATCAACAAAGAAACTTTGAACTTTATCTACACTATAGACCAAATGGAGCTAATAGATACTTACAGAACATGTCATCCAATGGCTGCAGAATACATATTCTTTATCTCAGCATATGGATCACTCCCAAAGGCAGACCATATGTTATGTCACAAAACAAGTCTTAAAACATTCAAAAAATTGAAATAATATAAAGCATCTTCTATCACCACAATGGAATAAAGCTAGAAATCAGTAACAAGAGAAATTTTGGAAACTATACAAATACATGGAAATTAAACAATAGGTTTCTGAAAGACCAGTGGGTTAATAAAGAAATTGAGAAGGAAATTGAATAATTTATTGAAACAAATTATAATGGAAACACAACATACCTAAACCTATGGGATACAGCAAAGGCAGTACTAAGTGCCTACAACAAAAAAGAAGAAAATCTTCCAGTAAACAACCTAATGATGCATCTTTAAAAACTTGAAAAGTAGCTCAGCAAAGGCTACAAGTGCCTACAACAAAAAAGAAGAAAAATCTTCCAGTGAACAACCTAATGATGCATCTTTAAAAACTTGAAAAGGAGCTCAGTGCGGTGGCTCACACCTGTAATTCCAGCACTTTGGGAGGCTGAAGTGAGCGGATCACTTGAGGCCAGGAGTTCAAGACCAGCCTGGGCAACATGGCAAAAACCCATCTCTACTAAAAATACAAAAATTAGCCAAGTGTGGTGGCATGAGCCTGTAATCCCAACTATTCAGGGAGCTGAGGCATGAGAATTGCTTGAACCTGGGAGGCAGAGGTTGCAGTGAGCCAAGATCATGCAGCTGCACTGCAGTCTGGGCGACAGCGTGAGACCCTGTCTCAAAAACAAAACAAAACAACAACAAAAACAACGTCCTTGAAAAGGAAGAGCAAGCCAAACCCAAAATTAGATCAGGGGAGAAATAAATGAAATTAAAATGAAGAAAACAATAGAGAAGATCAATGAAACAAAAAGTTGGTTTTATGAAAAATTAAGCAAAATTGACAAACCTTTAGCCAGACTAAGAAAAAAAAAGAGAAGATTCAAATAAATCACAGATGAAAAAGGTGACATTACAAGTGTTACTGCAGACATTCAAAGATCATTAGTGGCTACTACACAAAACTGTATGCCAATAAATTGGAAAATCTAGAAGAAATGGACAAATTCCTAGACAAACACAACCTACCAAAATTGAACCATGAAGAAATCTAAAAACCGGATATACCAATAACAAGTAATGACATCAAAGCCACAATAAAAAGTCTCCCCAGTAAAGAAAAGCCTAGGAACTGATGAATTCACTGGCATAATTCACTGATGAATTTTGTCAGACATTTAAACAAGAACTAACTCCATTCCTACTGAAACGAATCCACAAAATAGAGGAGGAGGCGATACTTTCAGACTCATTCTATGAGGCCTGTATTACCCTGATACCAAAACCAGAGAGAGACACATCAAAGGAAAGAAAACTATAGGCCAATATCTCTGATTAATATTGATGCAAAAATTCTCAACAAAATATTAGAAAATTGAATTCAACAATATATTTAAAAGATAATTCATTGTGACCAAGTGGGATTTATTCCTGGGATGTAAGGATGATTCATCATATACAAATCAATCAGTGTGATACATCATATCAACAGAAGGACAAAAGCCATATGACCATTTCAATTGATGATGAAAAAGCATGTAATAATATTTAACATTCCTTCATGATAAAATCCTCAAAACACTGGGTATTGAAGAAATATACTTCAACATAATAAAAGCCATATATGACAGACCCACAGTTAGTATTATACTGAATAGGGAAAAGCTGAAAGCCTTTCCTCTAATATCTGGAACATGACAAGGATGCCCACTTTCACCACTGTTATTCAACATAATACTGAAAGTCCTAGCTAGAGCAAACAGACAAGAGAAAAAAATAAAGGGCATCCAAAGTGGAAAGGAAGAAATCAAAGTATCCTTGTTTGCACATAATATATTCTTATATTTTGAAAAACCCAAAGACTCCACCAAAATTAGAACTGATAAACAAATTCAACAAAGTTGCAGAATACAAAATCAATATATAAAAATAAGTAGCATTTCTATATGCCAACAGTGAAAAATCTGAAAAAATAAATCAAAAAGTAATCCCATTTGCAATAGTCACAAATAAAACTAAATACCAAGGAATTAACTGAACCAAAGAAGTAAAATATCTTTATAATGAAAACTGTAAAACACTGATGAAAGAAACTGAAGAGGAATAATTTGAAAGGAGCTCATTCCAATGGGATTATTAAGGAAGATTTTAGACAAGAACATAGTTTGACCTAAAACTTGAAGTTTGAATAGGGATTCAATAGTTGATAGAAGTGAGGTGGATGAAAGAAAACTTTCCAAGACAAGACAGGGCTATCTCAGTGAAAGACATTCTTAAGGGAAAAATAGGTAATGTAGTGAATGGAGTTTAATGACTGTGAATGATGGAGTGTAAATTGAACCTGAAATGTGAGATTGAGAAGACATGGCTCTGGGTTTTCTAACCATAGGATTTTCTTAGTTGTAAGAAATGTATGCCAATTGTTCACAAACATTTTCAGTCTCATTCCATATTATAGGATTGACTTGGGGAAATGGCTGCTAAAGCAGAGACTTTATTTTTTTGACCAGTTTACATCTACCTGAGGGCATATGACTGGCTCTTAACAATGGAATTTGAATGGTGATGTGTGTCACTTCCAGTCTAGCATGGTCACCAAAATAAAAGCTTTCTCTACTATCTTTTTCCCAGTTCTTGGCCAAAGAGGAAAGGATTCTGAAGTCATAGCAGAAGATACTGCCAAAAGATGGAAGCCTGCGTTCTTGGCTACCCTACCTAGCAATTTCAACTTTATTCTGATAGTCTCCTGAATGCCTTATAGGAAAGAAACTCAAACAGTATTTCACAAGAAGGCTGGCTTTGATGTCAGGGACCGACTGTGGAGACAATTAGCTAAAAGTAGGGAAAATACTAAGGAAGTTATTAAATTAATTCTAACAGAGCTGGGAAGTGTAAAATTAGGGAAGTGGCATAAGAAAGGAGGGAAGGAGTGAACAGCTGCTAACACAGTTATTGGAGATAGAACTGGTAGGACTGGGTTACTGGACCTGGTGAATGAGTGAGAATGAAGAATGTGAAAGAAACACTGGAGACATCTTGTCTCTGTGACCAACACATAAAAGTCGTAGGCTAGAACATTTTGGCTTAACTTATGATATTGGCTGATTATAAGTGTTGCCGAAAGACTCACTGCCTCTTGAGTAGCCTCAAGAGGCTGTGAATTCTTCACTACTCAAATATCCACAAGGATGGCAAATGACCATTTGCTAAGGATGTTATAAAGGGCTTTTTCCATGAGGAACAGATCTTGTAAAAATCTAACTTCTTACGTTTCTGACAATTTAAGGTTTTATAATTTAGCAATTATACTGGTGGTATTTATAATATTTCAATAATTTATATGAAAAAATTAGGATACAATTCAAATAACAGAGATGTATAAAGAAGAAATACATTTTATGTCATGTTCATGACTGCCCACTGTAAACAAACACATCCTCCCTTACTCCAAATGATTCTAGTGACTAATGAGCATAGCAGAGTTATGTTGTCTGTAGGCTTGAAGTATTGTCATTATCCTTTAGTTTTAGTTCATGAGTATTCAGGAATTACATTCACATTTTGACTAACATTTAGCACTATCTACATAATCTAATTAATAGGATGTTCTTATAATGGTGAACAATTATAAAATTTAGATGTGGCACACACATTTTCTGTTGTTTTTTTTCCTAAAATAATTACCAAAATGTGTTTCGTGATTTCTATTTAGTGTACAGATTATATTTTACAATATAACCTTCAATGTTCCAAATTTTACTATTTCTCTTTACAACCTCTTCCTCATTCTTCACAGTCTTTTGATTTATCTACCTGTGAAATTTCATCTGCTGCAGAATAGCATTGTTTCCACATTATACAGCATCAGGAACTACATAGATCTATACATTATTGCTTTTGTGAGTGCATATTTTGTGTCCACTGCTGATTTGCATGGAGTCTGCTGTCACTTTGTTCTTCCTCTATAGTTTTTTTTTTTCATTCTTCACAGCTGCTTCAATAGCACTTTGCCATTGGATTGTCCATGATGAGGAAAAGATGCGACATGTTCAGATTCTGATGACACAGCAAACTGCAAATTACCCATTGGCAATGTGAAGTCTATTGCTGGCAAATAGTCTCTGGAATTTTGTAATAGGCAATCTGGGCATTGCTGTATTCCAGCACAGCAGATGCTGTTGGGTGTAACAGTTCCATTTTCTAGTAGTCAGAATGGT
The DNA here is from genome assembly GCF_000001405.40 of Homo sapiens. Lineage (NCBI taxonomy): Eukaryota > Metazoa > Chordata > Mammalia > Primates > Hominidae > Homo > Homo sapiens. The sequence continues at coordinate 104,138,201 of NC_000004.12, read as the reverse complement.
AATCAGCCATAGCAAGGTATTCATGACTGCCCACTGTAAACAAACACATCCTTCCCTTACTCTAAGTGACTCTGGTAATTCATGAGCATAGCAGAGTTATGTTGGTTATAGGCTTGAGGTATTGTCATTACCTTTAAAAATTCCACATTTATATTTCTCTGAAGCTTCATTAGTTGGTGATATGGAGTTTCTCTAGTGTTGGCTATACAAGATAAATCACTTCTGAGCCAATAAAAGCATTGGTTTTAATGAAATAACATATTTTAAATTATATAATTTTCCTATGAAGGTTTAGTATAACCACAGTTTGCTTCAAAGGTTAGAAATCCTTTATAGCAATCAAGATACTATGTGAGAAAACTGTTCTTATACCCTTATGTGAGAACTTTAAAGCTTGATAGAAATAACACTTAGATGCTTTATTTCAAAATGGATAAATTTTATATCTTTCTTTTTTATTATACTTTAAGTTCTAGGATACATGTGCACAACATGCAGGTTTGTAGCATATGTATACATGTGCCATGTTGGTGTGCTGCACCCATTAACTCGTCATTTACAAACTATCCTAAATATATATGCACCCAATACAGGAGCATCCAGATTCATAAAGCAAGTCCTTAGAGACCTACAAATAGACTTAGACTCCCACACAATAATGATGGGAGACTTTAACACCCCACTGTCAACATTAGACAGATCAACGAGACAGAAAGTGAACAAGGATATCCAGGAATTGAACTCAGCTCTGCACCAAGCAGAACTAATAGACATCTACAGAAGTATCCACCCCAAATTAACGGAATATACATTCTTCTCAGCACCACATCGCACCTATTCCAAAATTGACCACATAGTTGGAAGTAAAGCACTCTTCAGCAAATGTGAAAGAATAGAAATTATAAAAACTGTCTCTCAGACCACAGTGCAATCAAACTGGAACTCAGGATTAAGAAACTCACTCAAAACCACTCAACTACATGGAAACAGAACAACCTGCTCCTGAATGACTACTGAGTACATAATGAAATGAAGGCAGAAATAAAGATGTTCTTTGAAACCAATGAGAACAAAGACACAACATACCAGAAGCTCTGGGACACATTTAAAGCAGTGTGTAGAGGGAAATGTATAGCACTAAATGCCCACAAGAGAAAGCAGGAAAGATCTAAAATTGACACCCTAACATCACAATTAAAAGAACTAGAGAAGCAAGAGCAAACACATTCAAAAGCTAGCAGAAGGCAAGAAATAACTAAGATCAGAACAAAACTGAAGGAGACAGAGACACAAAAACCCTTCAAAAAATCAATGAATCCAGGAGCTGGTTTTTTGAAAAGATCAACAAAATTGATAGACCACTAGCAAGACTAATAAAGAAGAAAAGAGAGAAGAATCAAATAGATGCAATAAAAAATGATAAAGGGGATATCACCACCAATCCCACAGAAATACAAACTACCATCACAGAACATTAGAAACACCTCTCACAATTAAACTAGAAAATCTAGAAAAAATGGATAAATTCCTGGACACATACACCCTCCCAAGACTAAACCAGGAAGAAGTTGAATCCCTGAATAGACCAATAACAGGTTCTGAAATTGAGGCAATAATTAATAGCCTACCAACCAAAAAAAGTCCAGGACCAGACGGATTCACAGCCGAATTCTACCAGAGGTACAAAGAGGAGCTGGTACCATTCCTTCTGAAACTATTCCAATCAATAGAAAAAGAGGATATCCTCCCTAACTCATTTGATGAGGCCAGCGTCATCCTGATGCCAAAGCCTGGCAGAGACACGACAAAAAAAGGGAATTTTAGACCAATATCCCTGAAGAACATCAATGCAAAAATCCTCAATAAAATACTGGCAAACCGAATCCAGCAGCACATCAAAAAGCTTATCCACCGTGATCAAGCGGGCTTCATCCCTGGGATGCAAGGCTGGTTCAACATATGCAAATCAATAAACGTAATCCATCACATAAACAGAACCAAAGACAAAAACAAAATGATTATCTCAATAGATGCAGAAAAGGCCTTTGACAAAATTCAACAGCGCTTCATGCTAAAAACTCTCAATAAACTAGGTATTGATGGGACATATCTCAAAATAATGAGAGCTATTTATGACAAACCCACAGCCAATATCATACTGAATGGGCAAAAACTGGAAGCCTTCCCTTTGAAAACTGGCACAAGACAGGGATGCCCTCTCTCACCACTCCTATTCCACATAGTGTTGGAAATTCTGTCCAGGGCAATCAGGCGGGAGAAAGAAATAAAGGGTATTCGATTAGGAAAAGAGGAAGTCAGATTGTCCCTGTTTGCAGATGACGTGATTGTGTATCTAGAAAACCCCATTGTCTCAGCCCAAAATCTCCTAAAGCAGATAAGCAACTTCAGCAAAGTCTCAGGATACAAAATCAGTGTGTAAAAATCACAAGCATTCCTATACACCAATAACAGACAGAGAGCCAAATCATGAGTGAACTCCCATTCACAATTGCTGCAAAGAGAATAAAATACCTAGAAATCTAACTTACAAGGGATGTGAAGGACCTCTTCAAGGAGAACTACAAACCACTGCTCAATGAAATAAAAGAGGATACAAACAAATGGAAGAACATTAGAACATTCCATGCTCATGGATAGGAAGAATCAATATCGTGAAAATGGCCATACTGCCCAAGGTAATTTATAGATTCAATGTCATCCCCATCAAGCTACCAATGACTTTCTTCACAGAATTGGAAAAAAAACTACTTTAAAGTGCATATGGAACCAAAAAGGAGCCCGCATTGCCAAGACAATCCTAAGCCAAAAGAACAAAGCTGGAGGCATCATGTTGCCTGACTTCAAACTATACTACAAGGCTACAGTAACCAAAACAGCATGGTACTGGTACCAAAACAGAGATATAGATAATTGGAACAGAACAGAGCCCTCAGAAGTAATACCACACATCTACAACCATCTGATCTTTGACAAACCTGACAAAAACAAGAAATGGGGAAGGGATTCCCTTTTTAATAAATGGTGCTGGGAAAACTGGCTAGCCATATGTAGAAAACTGAAACTGAATCACTTCCTTACACCTTACACAAAAATTAATTCAAGATGGATTGAAGACTTAAATGTTAGACCTAAAACCATAAAAACCCTAGAAGAAAACCTAGGCAATACCATTCAGGACATAGACATGGGCAAGGACTTCATGACTCAAACACCAAAAGCAATGGCAACAAAAGCCAAAATTGACAAATGGAATCCAGTTAAACTAAAGAGCTTCTGCAAAGCAAAAGAAACTACAATCAGAGTGAACAGGCAACCTACAGAATGGGAGAAAATTTTTACAATCTATCCATCTGACAAAGGGCTAATATCCAGAATCTACAAAGAACTTAAACAAATTTACGAGAAAAAATCAAACAACCCCATCAACAAGTGGGCGAAGGATATGAACAGACACTTTTCAAAAGAAGACATTTATGCAGCCAAGAGACACATGAAAAAATGCTCATCATTACTGGCCATCAGAGAAATGCAAATCAAAACCACAATGAGATACCATCTCACACCAGTTAGAATGGCGATCATTAAAAACTCAGGAAGTAACAGGTGCTGGAGAGGCTGTGGAGAAATAGGAACACTTTTACACTGTTGGTGGGACTGTAAACTAGTTCAACCATTGTGGACGGCAGTGTGGCGATTCCTCAAGGATCTGGAACTAGAAATACTATTTGACCCAGCAATCCCATTACTGGGTATACACCCAAAGGATTATAAATTATGCTGCTATAAAGACACATGCACACGTATGTTTATTGCAGCACTATTCACAATAGCAAGGACTTGGAACCAACCCAAATGTCCATCAATGATAGACTGGATTAAGAAAATGTGGCACATATACACCATGGAATACTATGCAGCCATAAAAAAGGATGAGTTCATGTCCTTTGTAGGGACATGGATGAAGCTGGAAACCATCATTCTGAGCAAACTATCACAAGGACAGAAAACCAAACACTGCATGTTCTCACTCATAGGTAGGAATTGAACAATGAGAACACTTGGACACAGGATGGGGAACATCACACACTGGGGCCTGTCATGGGGTGGGGGGCTGGGGGAGGGATAGCATTAGGAAATATTATATCTTTCTAAACGTCTGTGGTAAGCTTCTTGAAGGCAAGAGAGCTATCTTGTTCACTAGTTTATATGCTAAGTATACAGTATAATACATAGAATATTGATTTCATCCAAAAAATAAATAGTACAAAGACTGCTCTCATCCATGCCATAACACATATTGACCTTTGACAATATTCCATTACTAAGTGAAAGAAAAACATTTTAAATACCTAGTTGAGTTGAACCACAATTACAGGTTTATTCCCGCTTAAGCCTTCTATGAAATTAATACAGACAAGAATAACAACAGTACTATCTGAAAGGGTGAGATTCACAAAATCAACATAATTTTTGCATTAACAAAACATAGCTTAAAATTTAAGGGCCACGTTAATTTCCTGGCTTTAATGAGTAGTCTTTGTAGGAGGCAATGTAGAATACCATGCAGTCAATATATGCAAACAGCATGGATGATGTTTCTTTACCATAAGTAACTAATTTAAAAGAATTTTGAACATTTTCTAGGTTTATACTGAACTACAAGTCAAAACTCTTTATTTTGTTTTAAGGTATAAAACAACGGAATTTAAGTGGTGATGTGTGTCACTTCCAGTCTAGCAGGTATATAGAGTGATTTACTTCCTTTTTAGAATTCCCAACACTCAAATTGCTAATTATTTCAGCAATCCAAATTTTGGCCACAATGGTGTAAATATCAATTAAAACTCAAAATTAAATTTGCAAAGGCCATCTCTTTTGCTGTTCTTGTTTCCAGTGCTAGCCAAATTGTACATGTGTATTTTGGGGTGCTTACCAATAAATTGGTTGGAAAGAAATAAGTATTTAATTGAGAAGAAATGTGTTAAAAGGGATAAATATAATCATTAGAATCAAGTTTGAAAAGTATTATATGAATCCAAGTAAAGGGAATAAGTCCAGAAGAAAGTGCTGCATTTCTCTTTAGCAAAATGTATAGCCCTTAGTCCAAAATTACAAAGATAATCAGGACAATGAGTTTGCCTCCTTTGTACTTTTAAAGTTTTTATTTATTAATTTATTTTATCTTACTACAATTATTTTGCTTACTGACTTGAGTTTTTGTTGGGTTTGGGGTAGTGCATTTAGTAACTAAATGGCTCAATTAAGTTGATATATTAGGTCCATGATAATTCAGAAATACCAAGTCAGTCTTTGTTGCTGAATCCATATTAGATAAGGATTTCAGTTAACTCTCTGGGTATCTTGGAAGCATGCAGGCCTGAACCCTAAAGGATCAGGAAAGAAGAATGTGAGAAGGAAAACAGATGGTCCCTGATGTTTGTTGACAATGTGCATAGTTACAGGATTATGGTGAGTTGTGGGAAAATTGAGGATTTCAGAAAACTTGGAGATAATGGAAGATTGTATAATTTAGCTTTACGGTAGAGTATAAGATAGAAAATTTAATTATTAAATTGATATTAGTCAGACCTATTTTTATTTATAATTTTATATTGTTTTTAGTTTTATTATATTTGAATCACAGAAATTTCCTGCTTTGGTGAAATGAGAATCCAAAGATAAAAATTAAATAAATTAAATGAATAATAATTTATTAAAAGAGTAGGAAATATTTATTTAAATTTTATACAATTATAGGTATTTTGAAACCAATTAAAACTACTATTCCTAAAACTAGAATAATTTATTCTTAAAAACCATATGTTACAAGTGTTTTCATATATGAGACTGTATCTTCTAGGCTCAATGAAGGTGCAGCTGGTTAACTGCTTTCAAAAAAATAAAAACAAAATGAAAGTGAACAGCAACAAGGCAGCAGAATGAGAGTTTTTAGTCTGCTTTAAAAACAAATACAAACTAGTTATTGCTTTGGCATTCAAAATTTGGAAGTACAATGTGTTTACCACACTCACTCTTCTACCTTTAAAAAAAAGACCTTTGGAAACAAAATATTTCTAATGTGCTAAAATATTTAAGAAATTAGCTGTGAAATGAAGTCATAATCATGTTTCTTCAGATTACAGCATCCCAAATTCCAGCTGAGAAAAATCGAGGGTTCTTATAATAAATGATAGAAATCTGCCTTGGATTCCAGAGCGATAAACTAGAACGTATAGCTGTGTATTTAGTTGTGAAATTAAATTGTATTTAAAATTATCGAGTATTTAAAATTGTGAAGTTAAGAAACAGAAAGGCATAGATTCAAAATTCTTTATACAACATATTACCTGTGTAACTTTGAATGAATAAATTATACTTTTAAACCACAGCTTTCTCAGTGTTGAAATATGAATAGCTATAAAGCTTACTTTTAGAGTTATTGAGTAAATTAAATAATATATATAAAACATCTATCATAGTACTGTTGTATAAATACATTAAAAACCTAACCTATTATTATAGTTTCTAAAATGAATTAATTATTTGCCTAGGTTCAAGTAAAATGTACAGCTGTATTATATTGCTTTCTATGTTCAGTTTCCAGATACATATAGATCTTTTTCATATTTTGCTTATATAACTGATTTTATACTAAATTCAATCCGTAGCATTTCAATCTTATAATTCTCAAACGATAACAACTCTTTCATTCTCCTAAAATCATTATTAGCACTGAATTTGTTATCTGATAAATTAACCATTCCTATGTAACAAGCAAATTTTCTATGCCTTAATTGTTAGAAACATTCCACAGAGTTTATTAAAGAAACTCTGTGACTTATTACAAATGGGGCTCTATTTAGATTGACATAACTCTTAATCTCTAAACGTATTTAACATCAGATAATTGTGCTACCATCTGGTATTTCTATACCTTTAACACAAGTGTAAATAAATGGATATTTTGCCTGTCAAATTGTTGAAAGCACCCTTCATGTTCCACTAGCCATCTAATCCTGTGAAAACAGAAATGAAGTTACTTCTGCATGATTTGTTCTCTGTGAGCCTGTATTGGTTCTAATGTCAACCCTTCCATTTTCCTATATATATTTTAGGTTGATTTGTTTTACAAATATTAATTGATAATTGTTATATTTTATGTATTTTACCATGTGATAAGAAAAAATGTGTAAACAAGGAAAACACAGCCTCTTTTCTAGAGTTATGAGTCTGGTTGGTATTATGGGCAAGAAGACAATTATAATGTAATAGGTCCAATTGCAGAAAAAATTTCATGATGTATGTTACCTAGATTGTTTGTGTGTGAGGGGACAATGAATTAATGAATATATCATAGAAAAAATAAAAGTAAATATCCAAGCAAAGATTTGAAGGATAACCTCACTGGGGAGGAAGAGAGTTTAGTAGAAAGAAACTAACATTTAAAAAAATACAAGCAAAGGAAATATGAACTATAACCAGAATGAGTACATTTGGTATAGTTGGAGTGAAGAGAGTATACAGGTAGGGAAAAGAAGAGGCTGAAATGATAAACTGAGCCACAACATGAAGCACTGTGCAAACCCTTGTAGCTTTTCCATCTACAGCTGTCGTAATCAACCTTCCTTGCCCCACAAGTTTAGAACATTATTGGCACATTTGCATGTCACAAGCGTACTTGCAAATTCATTTTTTATTATTAACTTTTGTCACAGTCACGTTATATAATTGGAATATAATCAATTAATTTGTTGCTTCATTTGATACTATCATCTATCCCTCTCTATCTATGTATCTATGTATCTATCTATCTATGTATCTATGTATCTATGTATCTATCTATCTATCTATCTATCTATCTATCTATCTATCTATCTATCTATCTGTCTACCTACCTACCTATCACGAGTTGAATTGTGTCTCCAAAATTCCTATGTTGAAGTCCTCATCTCCGGTACCTCATAATGTGACTATATTTGAAGATAGATCCTCTAGTTTGGTTATTAAGTTAAAATGAGGTCTTTAGGATGGATCCTAATCCAAATTCATCGGTGTTCTTGCAAGTAAAGGAGACTAGAACACACAAAGAGACACCAAGGATGTGCATGCACAGAAGAAAGACCCTGTGAGGACACAGTGAGAAGGTGACCATCTGCACACCAAGAAGAGAGGTCTCGGAAGAAGCCAAACCTGCCTTATCTTGGAATTCTAGCTTTCAGCACTGTGAGAAAATAAAATTCTGATGCTTAAGCCACCTAGTATATGGTATTTTGTTATGGCAGCCCTAGCAAACTAATTCAATGTGTGTGTGTGTGTGTGTGTGTGTGTGTGTGTGTGTATTTATATATATATATTTAACATGTGTTTCATTCCCTGCACTCTTCTGTTGAACTAGGATATAAAGAAGAGAGACATTATTTTTAAATTCTAGGAATTTAAAGTTCAAGGTAGAGATATACTAGCAATAGAAATATTACAAAATGAGTATGTACAATAATAGAGATATACATATGGTATGAGGCAATTGGTAGAAAATTATCTCAACACAATGTGGGGTTTCTTAGAGGTGATGGTGCTTCAGCAAAAACTTTATTCGGCAAAAGAAAATATTGATTAGCAGAAAAAGTGGAGTTTGCAAGATGTAAAGGCTGGTTCTTGGTAGAAATATGGCCTTAGTTTTCTGGCTTGTCAAAGAGGTATGAAGGAGCATGGCCGATTTCATGCCTTGCAATGGCACAGTGCTGCTGGCACAGGCGTATATGTGCATGGAGTGGCAGGCAGGAACCTCTTCAGTGATCTTGAAGAGAATTTTTATTATCTCCTATTCAGGGCTTCTCTTCTACGATGACACTTTTTTTTTTATCATTTTCATATATAGATTGTTGTCCTTTCCGAAAGGAAGCAAGTTGGAAATTAATTAATCTTGCCAAACTCTATTATCAGTCTGCTTTCTCTGACCTTTCCCCTACTCAATGGTTCTTTCATTTCTTCATCCACTTTTTAATTTGAAAAGCATATTCTAAAATACAGCAATCTTTTTTCAGTCTTCAGCCCTTTCCCTGACTATCAGTTTTTGCTGAGGTTCTTCCCTCAGTTTTTAACCTATTTTAGTCTGGTGAAAGTTAATGATTAATTCCTCCCCCAGCTGTTACAGGCTCTCAGTACACACAGGAGCACAGAAATACTCAGCAACCCTTAGTCATAACACTGTGGGATATTTACTTCTCTTTCTTCCCATCCTCCACAGTTGTTTGCCTTTTGGATCAGTTGCCTTATGCTAGATTTTAGCTTTTCCCCCTTTAGCTAATCATTCTTTACTAGATATTAAAATCATCAGCAAGGTATTATTAACAATGCAGATTCTCCCAAAATATCCTAATTGAAACTGAAGGAGTATTACATGAAAGGAGAAATCTTCCCTAATTTTTAAGTCTGTAGGGTGTTTATTTAATACTTCTTAGCACCAGGTATACTTAAACCCTTTAATATCAACACTGTGGTACAGTGTTGTTTTTCCCTGTGTTCTTGAGTACATGGCTCCTGAACACAAAGCAACAGGGCTGCATTTGTAGACCTGAAGACACATGAAGAGTATTTAATAGAAAACTCTTGGATTCCTTCCAATTGTAAAACCACATATGGAATCTTATCAATACCACAAACACTAAATTCTTGTTTACACACTCTTTTTACTAGAATCCATGTTTTGTAGCTGGGACAATTTTGATGGCAATCATTAAAACAGCAAATTAATTTCCTGTATTAAGCTTAGGTTTAAATTTTTGAAAGCATTATAGTTCTTGTAGTATTCATAATTCTCCCTAGATACAGAACTAATAGGAGCTATATATACAGATAATAAAGATTTATTATAAGGAATTCGTTCACATAATTGTGGTGAGTAGCAAGTCCAAAATCCACACAGTCAGTGTCTTAGTTCTAGCTGTAAAACTAGTAGCTTCTGTAGAACCAGGAAGAGCCAGTGCTACAGTTTGAAGGCTGTCAGGCAAGAGAATTCTCTTACTTGGAGAAGGGTCAGCTTTTTACTCTATTTAGGCTTTCAAGTGATTGGAAGGGGCCTACACACATTATGGACAATTTTCTTTACTCAGTCTATAACTTTAAATGTTAATCTCATCAAAAATACCCTCACAGAAATACCCAGACTAATTCAAGGAACTATCTCGGATCCTGTGGCCTAGTCAAGTGGACTCATAAAATTAACTGTCCCAGGATCCATGGGTCTAATCTCAAACTCATGGAAACTTAATCTGGGAATAATGTCTGTATGTGCTATGATGTGTGATCTCATTAATTTTTTTTTGTAAATAGATAATTTAGGGAATTCCTTCCTCTTTTTTTTCATATAATAAACTTATTTTGTCAATACTATTAATTAAATTCTGCAACTTTTCTCTATTTAACTTCCAAAACAAACAAACAATTGAACAAAAGAGTATAATATTTTAAATGTCAGTATATGGATGATATGGTTTTAGGCCCCTGGTTGTGTTTCATTGATCATATTTTACATTTTTGTGCCACAACCTTGACATCTTAATCACTTTCACCTTATAATTCTTGATATCTAGAGTAAGCCTTCTTACATTTCTATTTTTCCTTACAAATTCTTAGCTACTCATAACTTTTTGATATTCCATATAAATCTTAAAATCAGCATGCCAAATCTTAGGGACAAAAATTTTATTTGGATTTTTATTACAATTCATTGGATCAATATATCAGTTTGGGAATAATTGCCTATTTTATGGCATCAAATCTTCTTATCCATGACCAAACTCAATCTCTCCATTTATTTATTTCTCAATCTCTCCATTTACTTATAATTAAATAAGATCCACAGTTCTTATTTAATTCCTTTTAATAGTTTAAAATATTTTCTACATGAAGATCTTCACATATTTTGCTAGATTTATCCCTATGCATTTTTTTGTTTTTATTGAAAATAACTTAGAGCATGTTTTATAATTTTTGAAGAATACATAAAAATGCAATTTATATTCACACATTCATCTTATATCCAGCAAACACACAACACCCTTTAAGATTCTAATAATTACTCAGTTTCTTCTTTTGGGTTTTCTATATTAGTGAACATGTCAATTGTGACAAAGATTTTCTCTTCCTAGTAATAAATTGCATGCAGTCTGACAAACACTGCCTTTTCCCTTAGAGTCTAGTCACTTACATTTATTATTATAACTGGCATAAATGACGGTTTTAGTCGTTCTCTTCCAGAAACTTTAAATTTTTTACATCTCTGATAGTATTGCAGCATCTAGTTCTTTTAGTACCTCTTTGGATAGACCACATGGTTCACAAGGTCTTGCATTTAGATTATCATCTTGAAGGACGAAGTCTTTGTCCCCCATTTTTAGGCATTGTTTGATCCTATTTTCTTCAACTGACTTCTCAGTACCATTTACATTTTACAAAATAGTGTCTCAATTTCTGTTTACAGAAATTCTTCCCAGTTCTTTTCTATTAACTGGATAACTTGAAACAATTAATTACTTCTTGTCCTCTCCTCCAATGTGCCACTTTTCGATTCTGAGTCTCTCTCACCTCTAGAATTTGAGTGGCTAAGGGACACAACAACCCTTGTCTCAAATATACAATATAAAGGTTTAATATGGCCATGAAGTTAGCCTACATCCTGGCCATAATCTCCTCCTCTTTAGATGTGTGCTCTTTTTGGGTTTCTGAGCCCCACACATTACAGCAGAATCTTTGGGAGGAGATCAGGTTCCCTCCAGCTTCTCTCTCTAAAATGTTAACCTCTTATAAAGAAGAGAAAAAACGGTGTGAATTTACTCTCCCAAGGGCTCAGAGTGGTTTACTGAGTTTGGCTTTATCCTAGTTGGTCTAGTCTCTACCCAAGAGAGTCAGATTCTAACAACGTATGTCTGTTTAAAATACTCTACCAATGATCATAATGTAATAGAACAGTCATTCCTGTTTTAATAGAGTCTGTGGTTTTGCCCTACAGTTTCATTTAGAGCAGGGAAGCACCTCTTCCATTTTAAGGGGAATCCTTAGCTATTTTTTCTATGCTCCAAGTTTCTGTGTCCCTGAGACATGAATGTCTGCAGTACAGTTTTATTTTCCCAAACCACCCCTATAGACTACAGTTTTTTTTTAATCACTGTGGTTTCATTGATAGATTGGTCACATCTATTCTGTAATAGTCATTTGATATGTACCAGGAGCAAATTGATAAGACTGGCTTATCGCAATTTCCTAGGATTTTGAGTTGGTAAGGACTTCAACTTACATAATGGAATAATACTCAACTCTATGCCCACTTTTCAAAAAAAATTTTTTGAGACCACTTTTCAAATTTTACCCAAAGCTTCCAATCTCAATTCTGCTCTACTTTGCTGTTCTATCTTGGTTCCTAAGAACAAATAGGGTTAGCTTGTTCTATTATTTCTGCAAGTTACTTTTACTAACAAGAAGAGTTTGGCAAACTATTCAGTATCTTTCAGCAGGCTATTTCTTTTTCTTAATTTTTTATTATGTATTAAACTTTTTGTTGGTACATATTAGGCATATATACTAATAGAGCACATGAGATGTTTTGATACAGGCATGTAATGTGAAATAAGCGTATCATGAAAAATGGGTTATCCATCCCCTCAAGCATTTATCCTTTGAGTTACAGACAATCCAGCTACATTCTTTAAGTTCCTTTAAAATGTCAAGTTAAGTGATTATTGACTATAGTCATCCTGTTGTGCTATCAGATAGTAGGCCTTATTCATTCTTTCTACTTTCTGCACTCATTAACCATCCCCAACTGCCCCACAAACCCCCACTACCCTTAACAGCCTCTGGTAACCATTCTTCTATTCTCTATGTCCGAGTTCAATTGTTTTAATTTTTAGATCCCACAAATAAGTGAGAACATGCGATATTTGTCTTTCTGTTCCTGGCTTATTTCACTTAATGTAATGACCTCCATTTCCATCTATGTTGTTGCAAATGACTGGATCTCATTCTTTTTATGGCTGAATAGTACTCCATTGTGTATATGTATCACATTGTTTTTATTCATTTATCTGTGGATGGACACTTAGGTTGCTTCCAAATCTTAACTATTGTAAACAGTGCTGCAACAAACATAGGCATGCAAATGTATCTGTATACTGATTTCCATTCATTTGAGTATATGCCCAGCAGTGGGATATTTGGATCATATTGTAGCTCATGTTTTAGTTTTTTGAGAACCTCCAAGCTGTTCTCCATAGTGGTTGTACTAATTTACATTCCCACAGTGTACAAGGTTTCTCTTTTCTCCACATCCTCACCAACATTTGTTATTTCCCAGCAAGGTATTTTTTTTTTCAGATAAATTTCACTATAGAGATCATGACTAATAACTTGGAATCTGGTATAACTTTACCAAGAATGTCTTTCTGTACTCTTCTTTGAAAAAGACATTGAAAGTCCTGAAATACTTTTATCTTCTCAAATATAAAAAATTTTATTTATTCTTCCCAACTTACCTTCACTCTCTATCAATTCAAAGGCTAGATATACACATTGAATCACTTGTGGCATTTGAAATTATATATTCAGTAGGAGTGGCGAGAGAAGTCATCCTTGTCTTGTGCTGGTTTTCAAGGAGAATTCTTCCAGCTTTTGCCCATTCAGTATGATGTTGGCTGTGGGTCTGTCAAATATGGCTCTTATTATTTTGAGGTATGTTCCTTTAATACCCAGTTTATTGAGAGTTTTTAACATGAAGGGATGTTGAATTTTGTCAAAAGCCTTTTCTGCCTCTATTGAGATAATCAAGTTGTTTTTGTCTTTGATTCTCTTTATGTGATGAATCACACTTATTGATTTGTGTATGTTGAACCAACCTTGCATCCTGGGCATGAAGCCTACTTGATCTTGGTGGATAGGCTTTTTGATGTGGTGCTGGATTTCATTTTCCAATTTTTCCAGTATTCATTGAGGATTTTTGCATGCATTTTAATCAAGGATATCAGCCTGAAGTTTTCTTTTTTTGTTGTGTCTTGCTCAGGTTTGGAAATTAGGATGATGCTGGCCTCATAGAATGAGTTAGGGAGGAGTCCCTCCTTTTTGATTTTTTGGAATAGTTTCATTAGGAATGGCACCAGCTCTTCTTTGCACAGCTGGTAGAATTCAGCTGTGAATCCATCTGGTTCTGGGCTTTTTTTGTTGGTAGGGTATTTATTACTGCCTCAATTTCAGAACTCATTATTGGTCTGTTCAGGCATTCAATTTCTTCCTGGTTCAGTCTTGGGAGGGTTTATGTGTCCAGAAATACATCCATTTCTTCTAGATTTTCTAGTTCGTGTGCATAAAAATGTTTATATTATTCTCTGATGGTTGTTTGCATTTCTGTGGGGTCTGTGGTAAAATACCCCTTCTCATTTCTGATTGTGCCTATTTAAATATTCCCTCTTGTCTTTATTAGTCTGGCTAGTGGTCTAATCTATTTTATAATTTTTTACAAAAAAATCTGAATTTATTGAACTTTTGAATGATTTTTCATGTTCTCTACCTCATCCATTTTAGCTCTGATTTTGGTTATTTCTTGTCTTCTTCTAGTTTTGGGATTTGTTTGCTCTTGGTTCTCTAGTTCTTTTAGTTGTAATGCTAGGTTGTTAACTTGAGATCTTTATAACTCTTTATGTGGGCATTTAGTGCTATAATCTCCCTCATAAAATGGCCTTAGCTGTGTCCAAGAAATTCTGGTATGTTGTATCTTAGTTCTCATTAGTTTCAAAGAACTTCTTGATTTCTGCCTTAATTTCATTACTTACCCAAAAGACATTCAGGATCAGGTTATTCAATTTCCATGTAATATGGTTTTAAGTGAATATCGTAGTCTTGAGTTCTAATTTGATTGTGCTGTGGTCTGAGAGACTGCTTATTATGATTCAGTTGTTTTGCATTTGTGGAGGAGTGTTTTTCACTGATCGTTAGAGAAATGCAAATCAAAACCACAATGAGATACTGCCTTACACAAGTCAGAATGGCTATTATTAAAAAGTCAAGAAATAACCGATGCTGGCGAGGTTGTGGAGAAAAAGGAACACTTATACACTCTTGATGGGAGTGCAAATTAGTTCAACCATTGTGGAAGACAGTGTGGTAATTCCTCAAAGAGCTAAAGACAGAAATACCATTTGACCTAGCAATCCCATTACTGTGTATATACCCAAAGGAAAGTATAACATTCTGTTATAAAGAAACATGAATGAATATGTTCATTGCAGCACTATGCACAATAGCAAAGACATGGAATCAACCTAAATGCCTATCAATGATAGACTGATTAAAGACAATGTGGTACATATATACCATAGAATACTATGCGGTCATAAAAATAGGAGATCATATCCTTTGCAAGGACATGGATGGACACACATTTACCTATGTAACAAACCTGCACATGTACCCCTGAACTTAAAATAAAAGCTAAAAAAAGAAAATATATATAACTCCTAATACTCATAGAATTTCTAAACCTCTTTCTTTTTTTCTGAGATCTTATTTTCCCATAAAATTTCATGGACATATTCCTAGTAAAATTCATAAATCTCTCCCTCTTGTTTCCAGCACTGCCCCTACTGAGTACATTTCTACTTTATTAGAGGCCCCAAATGAAATAAGGCAAAAGCTATTGACTATTCCATACGTGTATCTCTTACTGTCATTTCTCTTCCATAACAGACTCCAGCCCTGGATTCATTCATAATTTCCAATATTGTCACTTTTCACTTTTATCTTGTTTTTATTTGACAGATGATAATTGTACATATTTATAGAATACAGTGTGATGTTTTGATCCATGTATACATTGTATTATGATCAAATTTGTTACTTGTAAATAACAAATCTATCACCTCAAACATTTGTCATTTCTTTGATTTGAGAACATGCAAAATCCTCTTTTCTAGCTGTTTTGTAACATATAGTACATTGTTGCTAACTATAGTCACCATACTGTGCTGTAGAACACTAGGACTTGTTCCTTCAATCTAACTGCAACTTTGTACTCATTGACCAACCTCTTATTATCCTACACACCCCCTATTCTCCTCGCCTCTGGTAACCACTATTCTACTCTTTATTTCTATTAGATCAACTTTTCTAGATTTCACATATGAGTGAGATCATGCAGTATTTTTTCTTTTGTGCTTGGCTTATTTCATTTAACATAATGTCCTCTAGGTCCCTCCAGGGGGTCACTAATGACAGAATTTCATTTCTTTTTATGGTTAAATAGTATTCCATTGTGTGTGTGTGCGTGTGTGCGTGTGTGTGTGTGTGTGTGTGTGTATATATATATATATATATACCACATTTCAAATTTATTCATCTATTGGTGGACACTTAGATTGATTTCATGTTTTGCCTGTTGTGAATAGTGCTGCAATGAACGTAGTATGCACATATCTGTTCAATGTATTGATTTCATTTTCTTTGGGTATATTCTCAGTAGTGGGGTTGTCAGATCAAATGATAATTCTATTTTTAATTTTTTGAGGAACATTCATACTGTGGTCCATAATGGCTATACTAATTTACATTTCCACAAACAGTTTATATGAGCTCCCCTTTCTCCACATCCTCACCAGCAGTTATTATATTTTTATCTTTTTGATAGTATCCATTCTAAGAGGGGTGAGGTGATATTTCATTGTTATTAATTTGTGCTCCCTGATGATTAGTGATATTGAGCATTTTCTCATATACTTGTTAGCCATTTGTCTTCATTTGATAAGGGTCTATTCAAATCTTTTGCTCATTTTTAAATTTGTTTATTTGGTTTGTTGTTTTGAATTGAGTTCCTTACATATTGTTGGGATTAATTCCTTGTCAGATGCAAAGTTTGTGAATTTTGTCTCCCATACTGTATGTTGTTCCTTTACTCTGTTGATTGTTGCCTTTGCTGGGCAGAAGATTTTAGTTTTATGTAATCCCATTTATCTATTTTGCTTTTGTTGCTTGTGCTTTTGAGGTCTTATCCAAAACATGCTTGCTCACTTAGTAATGATTGCCAAATCTACAAGGCAGATATTATGCTATGCTTTTCTAAGGTACAAAATAACATCTATTCTATAACAACAACAATAACAAAATAACAGAAACAAAAACAAACAAAAAAATCGTTGCCTGGATCAATGTCATAAAATATTTCCCCTAGTTCTAGTAATTTCATAGTTTCAGGTCTTATATTTAAGTCTTTAATCCATTTTGAGTTGATTTTTGTAACTGGTGAGAGATAGGGGTCTAGTTTCATGTTTCTGCCTATGGATATCTAGTTTTTCCAGGAAGTTTTATTGATGAGACTGTCCTTTCTTCAATGTGCATTCTTGGCAACTTTAACGAAAATCAGTTGGGCATGAATGCATTAAATTACACCTAGGTTCTCTGTTTTTTTCCATTGGTCTACTTATCTGTTTTTATGCCAGAACCATGCTGTTTTGGTTATTGTTGCTTTGTAAAGTCAGGCATTGTGATGCCTCCAGTTTTGTTTTTTGCCATGTTTTCTTTTTTATATTTTGTTCATGATTGTTTTGGTACTTCAAGTTTTTTTGTGATTCTATACAAATTTTAGGATTGAGTTTTTTTATTTCTGTGAAGAATCTCAATGGTGATTTGATAGGGATTTCATTGAATGTATAGATCACTTTGGGTTGTGTGGACATTTTAACAATATTAATTCTTCCAATCCATGAACATGAGATATCTTTTCATTTATTGCTGTTCATAGTTTCTTTTATCAATGTTTTACAGTTTTTATTGTAGAAATATTTGACCTCCTTGGTTAAATTTACTTCTTTTTTTTTTCTTGGTAGCTATTGTAAATGGGATTACCTTCTTTTTAAAAAAAATATTTTGCTGTTGGCATAAAAAATACTACCTATTATTGTATGTCGATTTTGTAATTCTGCAACTTTACTGAATTTGTTCATTAGTTCCAACAGTACAGTGTATAGAGTTTTCTTTATCAACGTGAGGTAAAATCATGACGTCTACAAACAGGGACAATTTGACTTTCTTCTTTTCAATATGCATATGCTTTATTTCTTTCTCTTGCTTAAATACTTTGGCTAGGACTTCCAGAACTACGTTGAGTGAAAGTGGTGGAAAGGTAGCATCTTTTTCTCATTCCAAATATTAAAGAAAAAATATTTCAACTGTTCCCTGTTCAGTATGATTTTAGCTGTGTTATATGGCCTTTATTGCACTGAGATGTGTTTCTTGTATACCTTATTTGTTTACAGTTTTTGTCATGAAGGGATGTTAAATTTTATCAAATATTTTACTATATCTATTGTGACTGAGTTATTCCTTTTCTGATACTTTATGAGGGAACACTAGTAAATTTACAATATCACACACATCTGAATTTCTGGATGGATCACCCAGTCTCATTTGCTGAGGCTTTGAATGGTCCTAGGATCTGTTTCTGAGTGGTTTCTAAAATTTTTTTCTTAATATGAGGAGGTGTTTTCAGTGCCATCATAGACAACCCATACCAATTTACACTGTTTTATTTCTTGCTCCATCAATCAATTATTTGGGAGTCAGACTGGGAATGATTCCTGGCTAATGTGTAGGGGATTGATTTAATTCAAGCTGCATCTGGGTATTGTTCCAGAGTTTAGATAATCCTGAACAAAACTTTAAAATAGTATTCAAAATTAACTGGGTCTCTGTTCCTAGAGATCTGTTAGAGTACTTGAAGGCTCTACTTAGTATCTTGTGACTGTCCTCAAGTTTTTACTAATTTTGTCTGAATTTTACCTCCTAAGTTCTGCTGGATTCCATTGATTTTGTTCATTTGGCGTATACAATTTCACTGACTTAAATATGTTGTCACTCATTAAACTACACTAAACTACATGGTTTTCAAACACTTTCCTTGACTCCGTAAAGCACTCACACATATATCTTCAAGTAATAGGCTTACTGAAATTCTGAGCAAACAAATCTTTGCCACAGTACTACAAACCAGTTAAAACCAGACAACCCCAATGTAAGAAAGAAAAAAAAAGTCCTGGACTTTTTCACAGTTTGCACGTCAGTCTTTTACTATGTTGGCTAGTCCTCCTATTCCATTGACTTGTATAGAACATTTTGATTTTCCTAGCCTTTATCACATAATTCACTTTGTGCCTTGTCTTTCCAAATCCATGTAGTGGAGTTGGCTCCACTATCTATGGGCCACCTATTTTCACTGGAAATAAAATTAAATAAAAAGAAGAAAGCATTATGCGAATTTTCACTGATCTAAATTGGGCCACCTATTTCCATTGGAAATAAAATAAAAAGAAGAAAGCATTATGAGAATGTTCAGTAATCTAAATTATGATACTACTTTTAGAAAGTGCATATAATTGCAGAAAGTTTTTTTTAATAATTACTTTCATTTGGCCTCCTGATAATTTTCCATAATATAGCATTATGTTTACATATTCGACTAAAAGCTAGTTTGCTTGCTTGTCTTTCACCTTCATAGCCTACTCTCTTCTATCTTTCCTTCTTTTTTTAATTAGGCAAAGGGTTTCTTCTGTCTCCTTTTTTTCTACTCCCATTACTTACTTTCATCCTTTTTTTAGCATGTCTCACTTTATGACTTTATTCTTCTGTCTTCCCTTCTTCTCCTTTCTCCCTTCTTTCACACGTATCCTCTCTCTGCCTTTTTCATGAAGTTTACAAAAAGAGAAAAAAATTACTTCTGGTAAATTATTTACTATTATATTTTTGGACATAAAATATTCATCACCTAAAAACAAAAGCCAACATTTCCATTAGTAGTCATACAAATTTATACAATTTTCTCCATGTGTCCCACAGGTTATAAATCAGATTGGTTCTTCCTTTGGATGTAATTGGACTGTAAAATATTCCAGCACGAGTTGGAGGTGGGGATGGGAATAGCTTTTTCCCACCCTTGTGAATAACATAAAGACTTCCATTCCTTGAGTGATCTGCTAGGTCAGAACCCCTCATCAAATTTGTCATTGTGGGTAGGTCTTTACTGCATTTATCAGCTTAAATCTCAGCCTTCTCATCACCATTTAACATTTCTCTGGCATAATTTAAATGAATTTTGATGGTATTCCAATATCGTAGAGCATATTCTGCCAGTCTAAAACATGTTCAGTAGCTACAATCACAAAACATCTAACTTTATCCAATTTCTCTTCTTGGATGCTTTTCTCCCCCTCATCCCACATGCCAAACTAAGCCATTTTTCTTGTGCAGTGGCACAAACAGGCCCCAGAGTATCCAACATAAAAATGTTGAGATGGATTTAAGGCCTCAAATTAGCCAACCTAAAAATTTTGAGATTGATTTAATGATTTTAACTTTGTTTCTATTATTCATGTGACTGCATCCTCAAATACTCAAGGTGATATTTCACTAGAAATTGTATGTTAGTTGTGATAGAAAATATTTTAAAAATATTAATGCTCATTTATAATATCTATTTTCCAATCACCCAATCTTACAGAGGAAGAGATGTAATGAAGAGACAAGAGTTTTACCCTGAAACATACTCCTAGAGAATACCCAAACTGGTCGTAGGAATGTTTCTAGGCTCTATTAGTCACCATTAGTGTACAGTTTGGAGTAGTGCAAATGTTGTTGTAAGTACTTTGGGGTATGAATATGGACCATGCATTAGATAATATTAGATAATTCCTATAGCTTACTTACCAGCTCAGAAGAAGCATCTCTTTATAAATACATATTATTGATACTATAAAAGCTCTTTGATTGCCATACAGAGTATGTTATTATTGTCCATTTTACAGGCTTATTAGATACACAATATTGTGGGAGTGCCCTAATACTAGGTTGAACTATATGAAATCCCTAAACTATTTCTGACCTAAAAATTATAATCAATATTGTATAACCTAATATTTTGATGAAGTAGCAAATGGTGTTTGGGATTAAAATAATGTCAAAATCTGTAGTAGTCTACTTCCTAATTATTGAAGTGGAGATTGGATGGGAGTGGATAAAGGCCAATATGAATTTGACCTATTGGAATAGGAAAAGTAATCCAAAGTGAAAAAATTTCTTTATAAATTTTTTGAAAGAGAATTGCAACCAAGGAGAATAGGCATAAGGAATTAAAACATGAGCATACTAAGTACCTGACAAAGCTTCTTTAATAGCTTCAGATTAATTCATTTTATCCTTAGTGTACTGGCTTATTCACTTCTTCATATATCTCTAGCTTGTCTGACTCCCAATTCCTGTTGATGCAGCATGTGGGAACTGGCTCCATAATCTTTAGTTTCCCGGACTATAAAATATCTAATAAACTAAGCAACTAGCAGCCAAGTATATGTACTGCAGCCAGCTGGTAAAGTCTTGCTGTGTATTAAAGTGAAATTCCACTTTCATTTTTAAATGAAGCTTTGGAATCCTTTCTTTTATATGTAATGTCACTTAGAGTTTTGGAGTCATTAATCTAAAACTTCTCATCTTAACCAAAGCTTTTCTGTCTGCTGCTACAAACAGGGAACACAAGTCAATTACAGGCAACCCTTAATTTTACTAACTATTAAAAAGCATAATTTCCCATTAGATTATGAGATATGACAGTTTTAAGCTTATTAATTTGTGTGGAATTACCTCTAACATGTAGGAAATAAGTATCATACAGAAGTGAATGGACCAAATGCAGAGACTGAGATCAAATCTGTCCCAATATCCCCAATGCTATATTTTTTTGGTATAGATGCATAAATGTTCAAAGTTACTTTCTGTTGATGTGCAGTTTACATCACTGTTTATTAACTCGTTCTTTATAGACCAATTGGAATCCTGATTCCAATTTTTTTTAAAGATGGCTTTAATTAATGTGGCACTTGGGTAGGAGTCTAAATAGTAATAAAAATAATTTGTTCTAGAGCTATCACAATCCAAATTCACAAATTGAGACACGACAAGGAGACATTTAAAAAGCTGTGACCATGGGAATTAAATACAGGATCATGAGAATCTGCCTACCCTTTGGGAGAGAGAAAATGAAGAATAGATTCATGGGCAAGAAAGGTGTATTTGTGATAACATAGTCCATCTTCTTTCAATTTTTGAAAATAATTATGTGGTAAGGGACTTTTTTAAATTTCTAGAATTAGTTTGTATAGTCAAGTTTGGAATGTATGCTCCCTAATTTCCAATTGAGTTATCTTCCTCTATACAATAGAGAGGTAAAATGATCAAGGCAAAATTCTTTCTGATTCACTGAAGGCACAAGAGCAAGTGTTATTATTCTCTGCAGAAAAACATGAAGACCAGTGTGATGGTTAATATTGAGTGTTGATATGGTTTAGTTCTGTATTCCCACCCAAATCCCACCCTGAATTGTAATAATCTCACATGTCAAGGGTGGGGCCAGGTGAAGACAATTGAAGCATAGAGTTGGTTTTTTCCATACTGTTCTCATGATGGTAAATAACTCTCATGAGATCTGATGGTTTTATAAATGGGAGTTCTCCTGTACAAGCTCTTTTGCTTGCCATCATGTAAGTTGTGCCTTTGATTCTCCTTTGCCTTCCACCATGATTGTGAGGCCTCCCCAGCCCTGTGGAAATATGAGTCCATTAAACCTCTTTCCTTTATAAATTACCCAGTCTTGGGTCTGTCTTTATTAGCAGATTGAGAATGGACTAATTCAGTGAATTGGTACCAGATAATAAGGCATTTCTGTAAAGATACCCAAAAATGTAGAAGTGACTTTGGAACTCAGTAGCAGGCAGAGGTTGGAATAGTTTGGAGGGCTCAGAAGAAGATAGGAAAATGTGGGAAAGTTTGGAACTTCCTGGAGACTTGTTGAATTGCTTTGACCAAAATGCTGATAGTAATATGGACAATAAGGTCCAGGCTGAGTTGGTCTCAGATGGAGATGAGGAAGTTGTTGGGAACTAGAGTAAAGGTCAGTCTTGCTGTAAAAAGAGACTGAAAGCATTTTGCCCCTGACCTAGATATCTGTGGAACTTTGAACTTGAGAGAGAGATTTTAGGGTATCTGCTGGAAGAAATCTCTAAGCAATAAAGTATTCAAAGGGAAGCAGAGCATAAAAGTTCAGAAAATTTGCAGCTTGATGATGCAATAGAAAAGAAAAACCCATTTTCTTAGGAGAAATTCAAGCCTGCTGCAGAAATTTGCATAAGTAACAAGGAGTGGAATGTTAATCATGAAGACAATGGGGAAAATGTCTCCAAGGCATGTCAGAGCAGCTGCCCCTCTCATCACCAGGCCCCAAGGCCTAGGAGGAAAAAATGGTTTTCCCTGGGCCAGGCTTAGGCTGCCTCTGCTGAGTGCAGCTTCTGGACTTGATACCCTGTGTCCCAGCTGCTCCAGCCATGGCTTAAAGGGGCCAAGGTATAGCTCAGACTGCAGCCTCAGAGAGAGCAAGCCCTAAGTCTTGGTAGCTTCACATGGTGTTGACCCTGTGGCTATAGAGAAGTCAAGAATTGAGGTTTGGGAACCTCCACCTAGGTTTCAGAGGATGTATGGAAACACATGGATATCCAAGCAAAAGTTTGCTGCAGGGGCAAAGCCCTCATGGATAACTCTGCTAGGGCAGTGGGGAAGGGAAATGTGGGATGTGACCCCCTACACAGAGTCCCCACTGGGGCACTGCCTAGTGGAGCTGTGAGAAGAGGACCACAATCCTCCATACCCCAGAATAGTAGATCCACTGACAGCTTGCACCATGTGCCAGGAAAAGCTGCAGACACTCAATGTCAGCCCATGAAAACAGGTGGGAGAGGGGCTATACCCTGCAAAGCCACAGGGACAGAGCTGTACAAGACCATGAGAGCCCACCTCTTGCACCAACATGACTGGGATGGTGAGACATGGAGTCAAAGGAGATCATTTTGAAGCTTTAAGATTTGCCTGCCCCACTGAATTATGGACTTGCCTGGGGCCTGTAGCCCCTTCATTTTTGGCCAATTTCTCCCATTTGGAATGGCTTTATTTACCCAATGCTTGTACCCCCATTGTATCTAGGAAATAACGAACTTGCTTTTGAGTTTACAGGTTCATAGGTGGAACGGACTTGCCTTGTCTCAGATAGGACTTTGGACTTGGACTTTTGGAATAATGCAGGAATGAGTTAAGACTTTGGGAGACTGTTGGAAGGGCATGACTGTGTTTTGAAATGTGAGGATATGAGATTTGGGAGTGGCCAGGGTGTAATTATATTATTTGGCTCTGTGTCCCTACCCAAATCTTACCTTAAATTGTAAAAATCCCCATGTGTCAAGGGCGAGACCAGGTGGAGACAATTGAATCATGGGGGCATTTTCTCCCATACTGTTCTCATGATACTGAATAACTCTCACAAGATATGATGGTTTTATAAATGGGAGTTCCCCTGCAAAAGCTCTCTTGCCTGCTGCCATGTAAAATGTGCCTTTGCTTCTTCTTTGCCTTCTGCCATGATTGTGAGGTCTCCCAGCCATATGGAACAGTGAGCCCATTAAACCTCTTTTCCTTATAAATTACCGAGTCTTGGGCCTGTCTTTATTAGCAGCATGAGAATGGACTAATTCATGTGTCAATTTGATTGCATTGAACAATGCAAAATATGTTTCTGGGTGTGTCTGTGAAGGTGTTGCCAAAGAAGATTAACATTTGAGTCAGTGGTTTGGGAGAGGCAGACCCACCTTCAATCTGGGTGGGCACCATCTAATCAGCTGCCAGTAAGGTTAGAATAAAGCAGGCAGAAGAAGTTAGAAAGAGCAGACTTGCTGAGTCTTCAGGAGTTCATCTTTTTTTTCATGCTGGATGCTTCCTTCTCCAAAACATCAGATTTTTGGACTCTTGGACTTACACCAGTGGTTTCCCAGGGGCCCTTGGGCCTTCAGCCACAGACTGAAGGCTGCACCGTTGGCTTTCCTACTTTTGAGGTTTTGGGATTCAGACTGGCTTCCTTGCTCCTCAGCTTGCAGATGGCCTATTGTGGGACTTCACCTTATGATCACGTGAATCAATACTCCTTAATAGACTCCCCTTCACATATACATCTATGTTATTAGTTCTGTCCCTCTAAAGGACCCTGAGTAATACAGCTGGAGAAAACTGATTTTTGAAAACAGCATATTATAACATTTCCTGGGCATCCAAATATCCTCATTGAAGGTGCCCAAAAGGGCAGCTACAGAAATTTCAGCTAGTAAGTGTGTGTAAATGATAAGCATAAGGCCTATGATAGACTTGTGGTGTATAGAAATGAGGCAATATGCTTTCTGTAGTGTGCTTGATAGTTTGAACAGAGAGAATAGCAAAGAATGATCATTCACTTCAGCTACAAGTATACACCAACACATTCTTGCTCATCGAAATGATTAAAAAATCAATATGATGTTTTTAAGGAGGTAAATGTTTAGAATGTCTATGTTTTTGTCTCGACTATGAAAATTGGCTTAATAAGCAAACGTTTCCTCACCCATCACAAGCATAATTCTTACTTGGTAAAATGACTGCCTAAAATTGCTTTGCCTTAAAATAAAGAGATAAAAATCCAGTTCATTGAAGAGGTAAGAACAATGTTTACATTTAATTTGGAAAGAAATAAACTGAAGGCCAAGCAATAATAAAGGTAGGCAACTTTCAAGAAAGAAGAAAGTCATGATGATGAGGTCAAATTTAAGATTATTTTTAAAAAGGAAGAATAAATCATCCTGAAAGTTAGAAAATTGGACATATATACTATGTGGAAGTGGCACTGAGAAACTCGTTGACCTGAAGCTATCCACATTAAGGCTTCTAAAGTTTTTTTTTTTTTAAGGATAGACTGAAAAAAATTGGGAAATTATTATTTTAAAGTAAATTATTCATGTGTGGGCACATGGTGCTGTGGGGATTTGAATGTGACAGAGGGCATGGATCTGAGGACTATTCAAAAGATATTTAAGAATTTTTTTAAGTCCATTGAGTGTATGATCTGGTAAGAATGAAACCCTGCAGGGAGCAATGGCTCCTGGATTACAACCAATCCGCCCCTGCTAGGAGTACAAGGCACCTGTAATCTCACCACTTTGGGAGGCTGCAGAGGGTAGATCACTTGAGCCCAGGAGTTCAAGACCAACCTGGACAACACAGGAAAACCCCGTCTCCACAAAAAAATATGAAAAATTAGCCAGGCACGGTGGCATGCGCCTGTAGTTCCAGCAACTCGGGAGGCTGAGGTAGGCGGATCACCTGAGCTCAGGAAGTCGAGACTGCAGTGAGCCAGCCTAGGCAATGAAAATGAGACCCTGTTTCAAGAAAAAAAAAAAAAAAAAAAGCCCTGATTTAGGTCGACCAGAACCCTAAAGACCTTTCATACTACAGCGAACGGAAGGTGTCTGGTAGATTCACTAAATACACATCAAACCGGCTGCCATGTGTATTTTCCCCAAAGGATAAAACTATTTGGGACTAATCCTTTTCCAAGAAGCAGATTCGTGGATTTTCCTAATTTACATTTTAAAATATGCAGTAAACTTGATAGAACAAAAATGGTAAAATTGGCTTCTAGGAAATTCAATTTTTTCTACATATGCTAAGTTTGTCTTGCTTGTTTTTCTGACCTATCTTTACGAAAAGAAAACTTTATAATAAAAGAGTATTTAAAAATAAATTTTTGCAGTTTTATTATTAGATGTTTCTCAATAAGAACTTCGTTTTTCTCCTTCAATCCTAAAGCGTCTTGGCAAGAGTGTTTTGCAGTTCGAGGTTACTTTAAATAAATGGAATTAGGTGGGGGGAAACTTGCACTATTTGGAGATTATAAATAGTAGCCCTTTCTCCAATTATTTCTATATCTTTCTTTTCCATCTTATAAAGTAGATCACACAGGTCGTAAAGAATACAGGAGCATTAGCCACACAGAGTCTTGCTGCTAGTCCATAGTCTTTAAAGTACACCCCCAAAGATATGGTAATTTCCTCACACACAAAAAATTACAAACTATAGTTTCTACATGGACATTCGTACACCAGTTGAATATTCACATCCCCATCCCTAACTTCACCCCTGTCACGATGGAATTTGCACTTATTTTTTACTACTAGCATTTCTCAAGAAATGGATCAAGGCAATTGCCCAATCTATGTAGTTCTGAAATCTCATGATTTGAGATTACTCCACATTTTCCCCGACTGCTACAATTCTATAATATGACCAAAATGTTTGTGAAAATTATTACTGTCGTATGTTAGGTATAGAGAAAGCAAAGCTTGTTGACCACTAAGGGAAGAATGGAGCCCATAATATTTGCTGCAAGGAATGGGAGGTACTGGTGACATTAACATAGGATGTTATAGAATCTATTCAGCTGGATTCAGCCCTTAGAATTTCCGTACTTGTGAAATTTTTTTCTAGTTTTCAGAGTTATTCTGAATTTTGTAGCTATTATAACTTGGAGCACTTTTCAACAGAGACCTTGCAATCATGAACCAGATATCGTTTTGCAATTATCCTAGATTTTTTTCCATCTCTTACTGTTGCTATGCACCGCAATTGTTGGTTTGCTTTTTTCCCTTTTTTGTCAATACAGTGACAGAATTGCTGTACAATTTTGTAGGGCTTTATGATTCTAGCTACACATTTTGGAAAAGAAGACTCCTCACTATGAGTGGTAGCAATTCTAGCTATTTTATTTATGTTTGCTTCCATTTTATTTTATTTTTGCCATTCTTGAGAGAAAAGCATCCTTTTTAGCAGGATTCATTGTCAGGGAGTTTAGAAAGTATTTTCAGGGTTGTTAGAATGAGTATTTTCAGGGTAATTTTCATTATGTAGCATTTGGATACGTTTTACATCCAAAGCAATTTATAAATTAGAAATTAACTCATTGATACGCCCGCCCTGTGTCCCACAGGTAAGTGAAATCTTGCTGTCTAAATATCATAATCCAAAATTTACCTGTAAGTGATTAAAACACAAAGCTTGTGTTGTTTGATATTTTTAACATATATAGGAATAATAGATTATAAAAGAGCTCTGATAGCTAAAATTGTTCATACTCTTGGACCTGCATTACCCAAAGTATGTACCACTAAACACGTATCCTGAATAATGTTAATGTTTATCCTGAATAATGTTAATGTTTCCAAATAAGGTCACATTCACAAGTTTTAAGTAACATAACTTTGAGGTGGGGGAAGGGCACTATTCAACCCAGTACAACAAGTGTGATGTATTTAATCGAAGATCAAAAGTGCCAGAAAAATAAAGAGTTAACAGAGAGTTAGCAGAAATATTTTGAGTCAATATAATGATGCTTCTTACAATAACTGCATCCATAGTTTTATTTTCAATCACAATATTGAGGGCATTCTTTTAATAAAATCATACAAACTATTTATTTGTATTTAACCTTACACTTTGTTCCTACAATTAAAGCTCTGAAACAGGAGGAATTTTTTCTTTATTTTTCAAGGAAAGAAACAAAAATCCAGAAAATATGTGATTCATTACAATGATTAAATAAATATTGGTTGAATTAATTACTAAAATTACAAAATGATATTATAAGTATTATTTCTATTCCTATTTTATTCTTTTTATTGTTATATTTCTTTAATGTTGTCTTTGTTTTGTATATTTTGTTATGTGAGACATGTTTTATTTGCTTTCTTTTCTTTTTTTTAAATTTTAATAGCTTTTGGGGTACAAGTGTTTTTGGTTATATGGATAAATTGTATAGTGGTGAGGTCTGAGATTTTAGTGCACCCATCATCCAATAAGTGTACATTGTACCCAATATATATTATTTATTCTTTATTTCCCTCCCACCCTCCCTCTTTAGAATCTCCAATATTCATTATACCACTCTGCATGCATTTACATACCCATGGCTTAGCTCCCACTTACAAGTGAGAACATAATGGTATTTGGTTTTCCATTTCTGGTGGCCCCCAGCTCCACCCAAGTTGCTGCAAAAGCCATTATTTCATTTTTCTATGGCTGAGTAGTATTCCAAGGTGTATATATATATACCATATTTTCTCTATTTACTTATAAGTTGATGGGCACTTGGATTGGTTCCATATATTTACAATCGAGAATTGTACTGTGATAAACATATGCATGCAGGTCTTTTTTGATATAATAATTTGTTTTCCTTTGTGTAGCTACCCAATAGTGGAATTACTGGACCAAATGATTGATCTTTTAGTTCTTTGAGAAATCTCCATAATGTTGAACATACAGATTTGTACTAATTTATATCACTACCCCAGAACCCTAGAATTTTCTTTTCATCACATCCATGAAAATTTTTTTATTTTTTTAATTTTTTTTTACTTCTTAATAATGGCCATTGTGGTAGGGATAGGTGGTATCTCATTGTGGTTTTAATTTGTGTTTCCCTGATGATTAGTGTTGTTGAGCTTTTTTTCACATATTTGTTGGCCATTTGTATATATTCTTTTGAGAATTGTCTATTCATGTCATTTGCTCCCATTTTAATGGGATTATTTGTTTTTCTTGCTGATTTGCTTGAGTTCCTTACTGATTCTGCATTTTAGTCCATTGTCAGATACATTAGTTTGAGAATATTTCTTCCCATTCTCTGGGTTGTCTGTGTACTCCAATTATTATTTCTTTTGCTGTGCAGAAGCATTTTAGTTTAATTAGATCTCATTTATTTATTTTTACTTATATTGCATTAGTTTTTGGAGTGTTAGTCATAAATTCTTTGCCTAGGCCAAAATCCAGAAGAGTTTTCCCTACATTTGCTTTCAGATTTCTATGGTTTTCATTCTTACATTTATGTCTTTAATCTGTCTTGAATTGATTTTTTTCATATAGTGAGAAGTAGAGATTCAGTTTTATTCTTCTACATCTGGATATCCAGTTTTCCAAGCAACATTTATTAAATAGGGTGTAGTTTCCCCAATTTATGTTTTTATATCCTTTGTGGAAGATCAAGAGTCTGTATGTATTTGGCTTTATTTCTGGTTTCTCTATTCTTTTTCACTGGTCTATGTATCTATTTTTATACCAGTACTATGCTATTTTGGTAACTATAGCCTTGTAGTACAATTTGAAGTTGGGTAATATGATGCCTACAGATTTGTTCTTTTTGCTTAGGATTGCTTTGGCTATTTGGGCTCTTTTTTGGTTCCATATTAATTTTGTTTTTTTTTTCTAGTTCTGTGAAAAATGATGGTATTTTGATAGGTATTGCATTGAATCTGCAGATTGCCTTGGGTAGTATATTAATCCATTCCCACACTGCTGTAAAGGACAGCCTGACACTGGGCAATTTATGAAGACAAGAAGTTGAACTGACTCGCAGTTTCACAGGCTGTACAGGAAGCATGGCTAGGAGGCCTCAGAAAGCTTACAGTCTTGGCAGGAGAAGGGGAAGCAATCAAATTTTCACATGGCCAGCAGAATAGAGAACAAAGGCGGAAGTGCTACACACTTTTAAACAACAAGACCTTTGAGAATTCACTCACTATTATGAAAACAGCAAGGAGGATATCTACCCTTATTATCTAATCACCTTCCACCAGATCCCTCCCCCAACACTGGGAATTACAATTCCACATACGATTT
The DNA here is from genome assembly GCF_000001405.40 of Homo sapiens. Lineage (NCBI taxonomy): Eukaryota > Metazoa > Chordata > Mammalia > Primates > Hominidae > Homo > Homo sapiens. The sequence goes on along the minus strand of NC_000004.12, from coordinate 104,107,580 downwards.
GGGTGGGGACACAGACCCAAACAATATCATTCTGCCACTGGACACTCCCAAATCTCATGTCTTTCTCACATTTCAAAACACAATTATGCCTTCCCAAAAGTCCCTCAAAGCCTTAACTCATTCCAGCATTAACTCAAACATCTAAGACCAAAGTCTCATATGAGCCTGTAAAATGAAAAAATATATATTCATTACTTTTAAGATATAATGGGGGTACAGACATTGGGTAAATGCTCCCATTTCAAAAGAGAGAAATTGGCCAAAACAAAGGAGCCCCAGGCCCCATGCAAGTCTGAAACCCAGCAGGGCAGTCATTAAATCTTAAATCTCCAAAATAATCTTCTTTGCCTCCATGTCTCATCTCCAGAGCAAACTAATTCAAGGAATGGTCGTCTCCAGCCCTGTGGCCCTGCAGCCCCCTTGGCTGCTTTTATGGGCTGGTGTAGAGTGCCTGTGGCTTTTCCAGGTGCACAGTGCAAGTTGTCAGTGGATCTAGCATTCTAGGGTCTGGAGGACATTGGCCCTCTTCTCACAGCTCCACTATGCAGTGCCCCAGTGGGAACTCTGTTTGGGAACTCCAGCCCCACATTTCCCCTCCACACTGCCATAGTAGAGGTTCTCCATGTGGGCTCCCCAGCCCCTTGGCAGCATACTTCTCCCTGGACATCCAGGCATTTCCATACATCCTCTGAAATAGGGTGGAGTCTCCTAAATCTCAACTCTTGCCTTCTGTGTACCTGCAGGCCTAACACCATGTGAAAGCTACCAAGGCTTGGGGCTTGCATCCTCTGAAGCAATGGTGCAAGCTCTACCTCGGCCCCTTGTAACCATAATTGGAGCCAGAGCATCTGGGACACATAGCACCATGTCCTGAGGCTGCACAGAGCAGCGTGGCCCAGGGCCTGGCCCACAGAACCATTTTTCCCTTCTAGGCCTCCAGATTTGTGATGGGAGGGGCTGACATAACAGTCTCTGAAATGCACTGGAGACATTTTCCCCATTGTCTTGGCTATCAACATTTGGCTTTTCTTTACTTATGCAAATTTCTGCAGCCTTGAATTCCTCCCCAGAAAATGGGTTTTTCTTTTCTATTACACGGTTGGGCTGCAAATTTCCCAAACTTTTACACCCTGCTTTTTAAAAAGAAAATATAAGTTCTACTTTCAGGTTATTTATTTGTTTATGCAAATGAGTCTAGGCATTTAAAAGCTGCCAAGCCACATCTTGAACTCTGCGTCTTAGAAATTTTTTCTACCAGATACTCTAAATCACCTCTTTCAACCTCAAATTTCCCCAGATCTCTAGCGTGGGGCACAATGCTGCCAGTATCTTTGCTATACCATAGCAAGAATGACCTTTACTCTAGTTCCAGGTAAGGTTCTCATCTCCATCTGAGACCACCTCAGCCTGGACTTTTCTGTCCATATCAGTATCAGCATTTTGGTCACAACTGTTCAACAATTCTCTAGGAAGTTCCAAACTTTCCCTTATTCTCCTGTCTTCTTCTGATACCTTCAAACTTCCAAGCTCTACTCATTACCTAGTTCCAAAGTCACTTTTACATTTTCAGATATCTTTAATAGCAATGCCCCACTTCTCTGGTACCAATTTTCTGTATTATTCTGTTCTCACACTGCTATAAAGAACCACTTGAGACTGGGTTATTTATAAAGAAAGGAGATCTAATTGATTCACAGTTCCACAGGCTGTACACGAAGCACAGCTAGGAGGCCTCAGGAAACTCACAATTATGGCAGAAGGTGAAGGGGAAGCAAGTATGTATTCACATGGCCAGCAGGAGAGAGAGCGAAGGAGGAAGTGCCACATACTTTTAAACAACCAGATTGTTTGAGAACTCACTCACTATCATGAGAACAGAGAGGGTGATATCTGCCCCTATGATCCGGTTACCTTCCACCAGGTTCTTCCCCCAACATTGGGAATTACAATTTGACATGACATTTGGGTGAGGACACAGCAAAACCACATCTGGTAGTATGGTCATTTTGATAATATTAATTCTTCCAAACCATGAACATGAGATATATTTCCAATTGTTTCTGTCATCTGTGTTTTCTTTAAGTAGTGTCCTGTAGTTCTTTTTGTAGAGAACTTAATCTTAATCACCTCCTTGATTAAGAATATTCCTAGGTATTTTAATGTTTTGCAGCTATTGTAAAAGAGATTGAGTTCTTGATTTGATTCTCATCTTGGTTATTGTTGGTGTGTATTCATGCTACTGATTTGGTACATTGATTTTGTAACCTGAGACATTATTGAATTAATTTATCAAACCTGGGAGTCTTTTGGAAGGAGTATTTAGGTTTTCTAGGTATATAATCATATAATTGGCAAAGAGATAGTTTGACTTCCTCTTTTTCAATTTGGATGTTGTTTATTTTTTTCTCTTGCCTGATCACTCTTATTAGCACCTTCAGTATTTTGTTGAATAGAAGTGGTGAAAATGGGTATCTTTGTGGTGTTCCAGTTCTTAGGGAAAATGATTTCAACTTTTCCCCATCTAATATTATTTTGGCTATTGGTTTGGCATAATGGCTTTTATTATTTTGAGGTATGTTTTTTCTATGCCTATTTTATTGGGGGTTTTTATCATAAAGGGATGTTGGATTTTATCAAATTTTTTTTCAAATTTTTTTTCTGTGTTTATTTAAGCAATCATATGGTTTTTGTTTTTGAGTCTGTTTATGTGGTGAATCACATTTGTTGACTTCCATATTTGCATCCCTGGGATGAAACCCATTTGATCATGGTGATTTTTGTTGTTGTTGATATGCTGTTGGTTTCAGTTTGCTAGCATTGTTGTTGTTGTTGAGGATTTTTTCATATATGTTCATCAGAGATATTGGCTTGTAATTTGTTGTTGTTGTTGTTGTTGTTATGTTCTTTCCAGGCTTTGTTATTAGAGTGACCCTGGCTTCATAAAATAAGTTTGGGAGGATTCCCTCTTTCCCAGTCTTTTAAAATAGTTTTAATAGGATTGATACCAATTCTTTGTGTGGTGGAATCTGGCTTTGATTTCATCTGGCCTTAGGCTTTTTTTTTTTGTTGGCAATTTTTAAATTACTGGTTCAATGTCTCTGCTTGTTATTGATCTGTTCAGAATTTTTATTTCTTCCTCATCTAGATAGGAGGGTTGTATCTTTCAAGGAATTTATGCATTTCCCTTAGATTTTCTAGTTTGTGTGCATGGAAGTATTCATAGTAGTCTTGAATCATCTTTTATATTTCTGTGGTATTGTTTGTAATGTTTCCATTTTCATGTCTAATTGAGCTTATTCAAATCTCTCTTCTTTTCTTGGTCAGTTTAGCTATTGGTCTATTTTTTATTCATTTGCAAAAAATCAACTCTTTGTTTTATTGATCTTTTGTATTTGTTATTACAATTTCATTTAGTTCTCCTCTGATCTTTGATATTTCTTTTCTTCTGCTAGCTTTGGGTTTGGTTTTTTTCTTGTTTCTTTAGTTCCTTGATTTGTGATGTTAAGTTTTCAATTTGTGATCTTTCAGACTTTTTGATGAAGGCATTTAACACTGTAAACTTTCCTCTTAGAACTGCTTTAGCTGTATCTCAGAAGTTTGGATAACTTGTGTCAGCATTATTCATTGTGAATAACTTTAATTTCCATCTTGATTTCATTTATTCAAAAATCATTCAGGAGCAGATTATTTAATTTCCATGTATTTATATAGTTTTGGGGGTTTCTTTTGGAGTTGATTTCTAGTTTTATTCCACTGTGGTCTGAAGAGATATTTGGGAAAAATTATACAATTTTTTTTATTGGAACCATGCCACTTGGTATTGAATAACAATTTTAAATCTCCTGGACTAGTGGGAGTGCAAAGATATTTTGTTGTACTTTGTAAAGTAACTTTAAGCTTTCCTCACTCTCTACTATGGAAAAGGAAGAATTAATACTCACTACTCCTGAATTTTCAGGCTTTCTTAACTTGCTCTGGAAAAGCAAATCTAAATTATTGTTATGACGATATTAGTAAAATCTGACAGATATATGTATTTACATAATTACTTCAGGCTTTTGCATGTAATTTTAATAATTGCTGAAGTACAGCAATAATTTTGACATGTCAAAGTAGTTAACTAGCATTAGCGCTCAACACTAATTTTTATTCTACAATGCCCCTGCTATCATGAGTTCTTAATTTTTATTGATTGTTTGCAGGTATATCTTTTAATATTTTATTTAAAAAGCATAAGGACTATATATTCTGTGCTTTACCATATTTTCAACTACCTTTCTGTAAATTTCATATAGTTGTTAATGAAAATTTGGCTGGGTATAGAATTTTGTCTTCACAGTCCTTCCTTAATCCTATTTCAAGATGATTTTATATGAAATCAATTTTTATATGTAAAGTATTACAGAAGCCTTTTGTGTTTTGTAGATTTGTAAGTAACTTGTCTCACTTTAGATACTTGGGTGTTTTTCTTTTTTTTAATCTATTAAATTGAAAGAGTACTAGAATTATGTGTAATTTTGTGTTTTTAATTTTTTTCAGTAATTCATAGGCTTTAAAATTGATATTCAGATAATATTTCAGACTTTTTTAGAAAAATAATTTATATTTAGTTTTTTTATAATTTATAGCTTAATTATCCATTCTCTGTATTTATGTCTATGGCACCCCTGTAATATGCATTTTTATTTTTACATGCTAAGACCACTTCTCTTTTTTCTCAGAACTTAGCTTTAATGTCATTTCTAAAAGAGACCTTTTCTGTTTATCCTAGTAAAAAATATATGTAAACAAATGTCACTCTTCTATTTTTTGTATTTAAGTTATAATCATTTCTAATCAAATGTTATGTATGTTAAAATATAGTATTTGTATCATGTTTAAATCAATTAATATACATCGTTTTAAAATATAAATAGCTAATAAAAAATTTATTTTTCTTAAAATTTCTGTGCATTTTATTAAGACATTCAAAAATCAAGAGAATATACATCAAATTATTTATAATGAATATCTTGTTTGAGGTGAGAGTGTCAGTAGACCAGTTAATATTCCTTTTTTTTTTTTTTTTTTTGAGACGGAGTCTCACTCTGTCGCCCAGATTGGAGTGCAGTGGCGCAACCTTGGCTCACTGCAAGCTCCACCTCCTGGGTTCACACCATTCTCCTGCCTCAGCCTTCTGAGTAGCTGGGACTACAGGCGGCCGCCACCACACCTGGCTAATTTTTTTGTATTTTTAGTAGAGACGGGGTTTCACCATGTTAACCAGGATGGTCTCGATCTCCTGACCTCGTGATCCGCCCACCTCAGCCTCCCAAAGTGCTGGGATTACAGGCATGAGTCACCTCACCTGGCTCGCCAGTTAATATTCTTAATATCTTGATGTATTAATTTGGCAAAATGAATAAGCCTCAAAAATGCTATTTTCAAATACTGGTTATGAAACCTTTTTTTGATAAATAATAAATACCATTATCTTGAAATGGCTAGTTTTGTCTTTCTTAATTTAAAATATATAATACATATTAGGTGTTACCATATTTAGGTGGCTATAACTCTGTGCTGTGAGAGCAGGGAGAGAAAACTCCCTAGGGTCAGAGCAAAGAAGCTACAATGTGCACAGATGTAATTCTCCTAGGGCAGTGGCCAGGACCTCAGGAATAAGCAGTGAGTGCCAGTATATGTCACCTCCCTGAAGGCAGAAGAGACCATTTAGCTCAGTGCTGACAAGTCTAGCATGGATGCCAGACCACTCATTTCCAGGAGAGCATCCATGCAGTGTCTGTTCATATTAGGAAACCAGAGGGAGCGTTCTGCATTGGAAACAATACATTTGCACTATAATTTACAGACATAATTAATATACCTGATATAAAAGAAAATCTAATCTAAAAGAGTTGTGTACATATGTACCAATAAGTAATTTAAAAAATGGCAATCAACACATATAAAATTGCTTAACCACACCAAAACTTAAATCTAATCAAAAGCATTGAGGCATCAATGTGAACTGATTTTGATAAGGATATACATATGTCACATTTTAAAATATAAATGAGCCCACATAAAGAAATCTGGAGAATATTTACAAATCAATTGGGTGATTATCTTGAGACAGGACACATTAAGGAGGAGATACAAGATAATGCCTCTTATGATTATATATTTCTCCAGTGTTTTTCTTTCTTTTAACTTTTATTTTAGGTTCGGGGTACATATGCAGGTTTGTTACATGGGTAAACTCGTGTCACAGGGGTTTGTTGCACAAATTATTTCATCACCTAGGTATTCAACCCAGTACCCAATAGTTATCTTTTCTGATTCTCTCCTCCCTTCCATTCTCCCCCCTTCAGTTAGACTCCACTGTCCATTGTTTTCTTCTTTGTGTTCATAAGTTCTTACCATTTAATTCCCACTTATAAGTGAGAACATGTGATATTTGGTTTTCTGTTCCTGCATTAGTTTGCTAAGGATAAGAGTCTCCAGCTCCATCCATGTTCCTGCAAAAGACATGGTCTTATTCTTTTTTTTACCTAGTATTGTATAGTATATATAATATTCTATATACTATGGCTACATAGTATTCTGTGGTGTATATGTACTACATTTTCTTTATCCAATCTGGCATTACTGGGCATTCAGGTTGATTCCATGTTATTGCTATTATAAACAGTGCTGCAAAGAACACTCATGTGCATGTGTCTTTATGGTAGAATAATTTCTATTCTTTTGCATATATACCCAGCAATGGGACTGCTGGGTCAAATGGGAGTTCTGCTTTTAGATGTTTGAGGAATTGCTATATTAGTCTGTTCTCCTGCTGCTGGTAAAGATATAACTGAGACTGGGTAAATTATAATTAAATAGCTATAATTGACTCACAGTTCCACATAGCTGGGAATGCCTCACAATCTTGGCAGAAGGGAATGCGGAGCAAAGTTATGTTTCACATGGTGGCAGGCAAGAGACAGCATGTGCAGCGTAACTCCCCTTGATAAAACCATCAGATCTCATTAGACTTATTCACTATCATGAGAACAGCACAGGAAAGATCCATCCCCATGATTCAATTACCTCCCACCAGGTCCCTTCCAAGAGAGGTGGGAGTTATGAGAGCTACAACCTGAGATGTGTATGGGGTCACAGCTAAACCATATTATTCCACCTCTGGCTCCTCCCAAATATCATGTCGTCACATTTCAAAACTAACTATGACTTCCCAACAGTCCCTCAAAGTCTTTTTTTTTTTTTTTTTTGAGACAGTTTTACTTTGTTGCTGAGGCTGGAGTGCAGTGGCATGATCTAAGTTCACTGCAATCTCCACCTCCCAAGTTCAAGTGATTCTTGTGCCTCAGCCTTCAAAATAGCTGAGATTGCAGGCATGCACCAACACACTAGGCTAATTTTTGTATTATTAGGAAAGATGGGGTTTTGCCATGTTGGCCTGGCTGGTCTTGAACTCCTGACCTCAAGTGATCTGCCCACCTTAGCCTCCCAAAGTGCTGGGATTACAGGCATGAGTCACCACACCCAGCCAGTCCCCCAAAGACTTAACTCATTTCAGGATTAACTCAAAAGTCCACCGTCCAAACTCTTATGTGAGACAAGGCAAGCTCCTTTCACCTATGAGTCTGTAAAATGAAAAGCAAATTAGTTAACTCCTAGATACACTGGGGGGTACAGGCGTTGGGTAAATACACCCATTCCAAATAGGAGAAATTAGCCAAAATGAAAGGGCTACAGGCCCTATGCAAGTCCAAAATCCAGCAGGGCACTCAAACCTTAAAGCTCCAAAATGATCTCCTTTGACTCTATGTCTCACATCCATGTCATACTAATGCAAGACTTGGGTTCCCATCATCTTGGGCATCTCCAGCCCTGTGGATTTGCAGGATACAACATCTCTCTGGGCTGCTTTCACAGGCTTGTGTTGAGTGCCTGTAGCTTTTCCAGGTGCACAGTGCAAGCTGTCGGTGGATCTACCATTCTGGGATCAGGAGGATAGTGGCCCTCTTTTCATATCTCCACTAGGTAGTGCCCCAGTGTGTACTCTGTGTGGGGACTTACACTTCACATTTCCCTTCTTCACTACCCAGCTGAGGTTCTCCATGAGGGCTCCTCCCTGCAGCAAACTTTTGCATGGATATCCAGGCATTTCCATACATCCTCTGAAATCTAAGCAGAGGTTCTCAAACTTTAATTCTTGACTTCTGTGCAATCACAGGCTCCACACTATGTAAGAGAAGCAGGGCACCAAGTCCCTAGGCAGCATGCAGCAGGGGGTCCCTGGGCTTAGCTCAGAAAACCATTTTTTCCTCCTAAGCCTCCAGGACTATGATGGGAGGGGCTACCACAAAGGTCTCCTATATGCCCTGGAGACATTTTCTCCATTGTCTTGGAGATTAACATTTGGCTCCTCATTACTTATGCAAATTTCTGCAGCAGGCTTGAATTTCACCTCAGAAAATGGGATTTTCTTTTCTATCACATTGTCAGGCTGCATATTTTCATAACGTTTTTGCTCCTCTTTCCTTTGAAACATAAGTTCAAATTCCAAACCATATCTTTTTGAGTACATAAAACTGACTGCTTTTAATGGTACATAAGTCACCTCTTGAATGCTTTGCTGCTTGGAAATGTCTTATGCCAGATGCCCTAAATCATCTCTCTCAAGTTCAAATTTCCACAAATCTCTAGGACAGGGGCAAAATGCCACCATTCTCTTTGCTAAAAAAAAAAAATTGCAAGAGTCATCTTATTTCCACTTCCTAACAATTCCTCATCTCCACCTCAACCTGGACTATATTGTCCATATCACTATTAGCATTTTGGTCAAAGTCATTCATTCTCAAGTCTCTAGGAAGTTCCAAACTTTCCCACATATTTCTACTTCTACTGAGCCCTCCAAACTGTTCCAATCTCTGCCTGTTACCCAGTTCCAAAGTCACTTCCACATTGTATCTTTACAGCAGCACCCCACTCTACCAGTACCAATTTACTGTATTAATCTGTTCTCAGGAAGCTAATAAAGACATACCTGGGACTATGTAACTTGTTAAGAAAAGAGGTTTAATTAACTGACAGTTCCACATGGCTGAGGAGGCCTCAAAATCATGGCAGAAAACAAATAAGGGAGCAAAGTCACACCTTACATAGCAGTAGGCAAGAGAGAGCATGTGCAGGGGTACTCCCATTTAAACAACCATCAAATCTTGTGAGACTTATTCACTATTACAAGAATACCATGAGAAAGACTTGCCCCCGTGATTCAATTACTTTCCACCGGGTCCCTCCCAAAACACATAGGAATTATAGGAGCTATAATTCAAGATTTAGGTATGGACACAGCCAACTATATCAATTGCCATACCATTTTCCACAATGGTTGAACTAATTTGCACTCCCATCAACAGAGTATAAGTGTTCCCCTTTCTCTTCAACCTCACCAGGTTGTTATTTGTTATTTTTTACTTTTTAATATAGACATTCTGACTGGTGTGAGGTGGCATCTCAGTGTGGTTTTGATTTGCATTTTTCTAATGATAGGTGATGTTGAGCTTTTTTTAATGTGGTTGTTGGCTGCATGTATGTCTTCTTTTGAAAAGTGTCTGTTCATGTCCTTTGCCCACTTTTTAATGGGGCTGTTTTTCTCTAGTAAATTTGTTTAAGTTCCTCATAGATGCTGAATATTAGATCTTTGTCAAATGTACAGTTTGCAAAAATTTTCTCCTATTTTATAGGTTGACTGTTTACTCTGTTGATAGTTTCTTCTGCTGTGCAGAAACTCTTAAATTTAATTTGATTCCACCTATCAATGTTTGCTTTTGCTGCTATTGCTTTTAGTGTCTTTGTCATAAAATCTTTGCCTGTTGCTATGTCCAGGACTGTATTGCCTAGTTTGTCTTCAGGAGTGTTTATAGTTTGGGATTTTACATTTAACTCTGTAATCTATCTTGAGTTGATTTTTGTGTATGGTCTAAGAAAGAGGTTCAGCTTAAATCTTCTGCACATGGCTAACTCGTTATCCCAAAACCATTTAGTGGATAGAAAGTCCTTTCCCCATTGCTTTTGTCAACTTTCTTGAAAATCAGATGGTTGTAGATGTGTGACCTTATTTTGGGGCTTTCTATTCTACTCTGTTGGTCTATGTGCTTGTTTTTGTACCATACCATGCTGTTTTGGTTACTATAGCCTTGTAGTATAGTTTGAAGTTGAGTAATATAATGCTTCTAGCTTTGTTCTTCTTGTTTAGGATTGCCTTGACTATTTGAGTTCTTTTGTTTGATGAATTTTAAAATACATTTTCTAGTTCTGTGAACAATGTAATTGGTAGTTTGATAATAATGGCATTGAATCTGTAAACTGCTTTGGGCAGTCTAGTCATTTTAATGATATTGACTTTTCCTATCCATGAGCATTAGATGTTTTTCCATTTGTTTGTGTCTTCTCTGATTTATTTGAGCAGTGTTTTGTTATTCTCATTGTAGAGATCTTTCTAGGTATTTCTAGGCATTTTATCCTTTTTGTGGCAATTTTGAATAGGATTGCCTTTCTGACTTGGCTCTTGATTTTGCTGTTTTTGGCATATAGGAATGGTAGTAATTTTGTACATTGATTTTGTATCCTGCAACTTTGCTGAAGTTGTTTATCAGCTGAAGTAGCTTTTGGATGGAGTCTATGGGTTTTTCTAGGTATAGAATCATGTCATCTGCAAACAGAAATCATTTGACTTTCTCTCTTCTTATCTGGATGCCCTTTATTTCTTTCTCTTGTCTAATTGCACTGGCTAGGATTTCCAATACTATGTTGAATACAAGTAGTGAGAGTGGGCAGTCTTATCTTCTGCCAGTTTTCAAGGGGAATGCTTCCAGCTCCTGCTCATTCAGTATAATGTTGGCTGTGAGTTTGCTGTAGATGGCTCTTATTATCCTGAGGTATGTTCCTTCAACTTACTTTATTGAGAATTTTAAACATGAAACAGTATAGAATTTCATCAAAAGATTTTTCTGCATCTATTAAGATAATCATGTATTTTTGTCTTTAGTTCTGTTTGTGTAATAAAACATTTATTTATTTGCATAAATGATATGCATATGTTGAATCAACTTTGCATCCCAGGATGAAGCCTACTTGATCATGGTGGATTAGCTTTTTGATGTGCTGCTAAATTTGGTTTGCAAGTATTTTATTGAGAATTTTTGCTTCAATTTTTATCAAAGTTATTGGCTTGAAGTTTTCTTATTTGATGTGTCTCTGCCAGGTTTTTGGTATCAAGATGATTCCAACCTCAGAGAATGAGTTGGGGAGGCATCCCTTCTCCTCTACTTTCTGGAATAGTTGCAGTAGGAATGCTACCCACTCTACTTTGTACATCTGATAGAATTTGGCTGTGAATCCATCAGGTCCCAAGCATTTTTCAGTTGGTGGGTTATTTATTGCTGATTCAATTTTGAAACTTGTTATTGGTCTGTTCAGGAAATAAATTTCTTCCTGGCTCAGTCTTGGGAGGATGTATATGTACAGGAATTTATCCATCTCTTCTAGGCTTTCTAGTTTGAGAGTATAGAAGTGCTTATAGTAGTTTCTGATGTTTGTTTTTATTTCTGTGGGGTAAGTAGGAACAATTCCTTTGTCATTTCTCATTGTGTTTTTTGGGTCTTCTCTCTTTTCTACTTTATTAGTCTAACTAGTGGCCTAATTTATTATTTTTTTTTTTCAAAAAAAAGCTCCTGGATTCTTTGATCTTTTGAATGATTTTCATGTCTTGATCTCATTCAGTTCAGCTCTGATTTTTGTTATTTCTTGTCTTCTGCCAGCTTTGGGGTTCATTTGTTCTTGATTATTTAATTCTTTCACTTGTGAAGTTTGGATGTTAATTTGAGATATTCTAATGTTTTGCTGTGGGCATTTAGTGCTATAAATTTTCATCTTCATACTGCTTTAGCTGTGTCCCAGAGATTCCAGTATGTTGTATCGTTGTTCTCATTATTTTCAAAGAACTTCTTGAATTCTGCCTTAATTTTATTATTTACCCAAAAGTCATTCGGGAGCATATTGTTCAGTTTCCATGTAATTGTATGGTTTTCAGTAATTGTCAGTCTTGGCTTCCATTTTTATTGTGCTGTAGTCCAAGAGTGTGTTTGGTATGATTTCGGTTCTTACACATTTGTTGAGGATTGTGGTCGATTATGTGGTCAATTTTAGAGTATGTACCATGTGGCAATGAGAAAAGTGTATATTCTGTTGTTTTGGGGTGGAGAGTTCTGTAAAGTTCAGTCAGATCCATTGGTTCAATGTTGAGTTCAGGTCCTGAAAATTCTTTGTTAATTTTCTACCTCAATGATTGTCTAATAGTGTCAGTAGAGTGTTGACATCTCCCACTATTATTGTGTGAGAGTTGATGTCTCTTTGCAAGTCTCTAAGAACTTTCTTTATGAATCTGGATGCTCCTGTGTTGGCTGCATATATATTTAGGATAGCTAGGTCTTATTGTTGAATTGAACTCATTAGACTAGAACATAATGCCCTTCTTTGTCTTTTTTGATTTTTGTTGGTTTGAAATCTCTTTTGTCTGAAATTAGGATTGCAACCCCTGCTTTTTCCTGTTTTCCATTTGCTTAGTGGATTTTCTGGCATCCCTTTATTTTGAGCCTATGAGTGTCATTACATGTGATATGGGTGTCTTGAAGACATCATATCATTGGGTGTTGCTTTTTTATCCAGCTTGCCACTATGTGCCTTTTAAGTGGGGTATTTTGCCCTTTTACATTCAAGGTTAGTATTGATATGTATAGATTTGATACCATCATTGTGCTGTTAGCTGGTTACTATGTTGACTTGTTTGTGTGATTGCTTTCCAGTGACACTGTTCTGTATGTTTAATTGTCTTTTGTAAGGCAGATCTGAAGGTAATGAATTTCTTCAACATTTGCTTATCTGAAAAGGATCTTATTTCTACTTCACTTAGGAAGGTTAGTTTGTCTGGATGTGAAATTCTTGGTTGGAAATTATTTTCTTTAAGTATACTGAATATAAGCTCCCAGTCTCTTCTGGCTTGTAGGGTTTCAGCTGAGAGATTCACTGTTAACCTTATGGGGTCCTCTTTGTAGGTGAACTGTCCTTTCTCTCTAGCTGCCTTTAGCATTTTTTATTGTATTTTGCCCTTAGAAAGTCTGACAATTACGTGTCTTGGGGATGGTCCTCTTGTGTAGAATCTTGCAGGAGTTTTCTGTATTTCCTGAATTTGACTGTTGGCCACTCTAGCAAGGTTGGGGAAGTTTTCTTATAACATCCTGAAATATGTTGTCCATGTTGTTTGCTTTCTCCCTCTGCCTTTTAGGAATCCCAGTGATTTATAGATTTGGCCTCTTTACATAATCCCATTCTCAGAGGTTTTTTTCATTCCCATTCCTTTTTATTTTATTATATTTTTTTTTTGTCTGACTGTCTTATTTCAGCAGCCAGTGTTCAATTTTTCAGATCCTTTCCTAAGCTTGGTTTTTTTTCTGCTGTTAATAATTGTGATTGCATTGTGAAATTCTTATATTGTGTTATTTAGCATTGTCAGACACTTTAGGTTCTTTTTCATACAAGCTATTTCATCCTTCAGCTCCTGTATAGCTTTATTGGATCCTTATTTTCGTTGGATTGGGTTTTGCCATCTCCTGAATCTTGGTGATCTTTGTTCCTGAATTCTAAATTCTATTTTTGTCATTCTAGACAGTACAGCCTGGTTAAGAACACTTGTTGGAGAATTGGTACAGTCATTTAGAGGACATACAACACTCTGGCCATTTGAGTTACTGGAGTTCTTGTGTTGGTTCTTTCTCAACTCTGTGTGAAGGTGTTCCTTTTACTTCCGTGTAGACTGAGTACAGTCAATAGACTTCTTTTATGAATGCTTTTACTGTGCTGGGACTTTCTGCAGGGTCTTTATTTGCAGCTGTCTTCTTGTCTCTGGTTTTAGAGGGGGATATGTTAGTGGGGTATTTTTTATGTTAAAGCTTTGGGGTTTGATATACCAGGTGACACTTAGGCTTATTGGTCAGTTGGTAGACTCTTGCTTCATCATGTGGTTCCCTTGTTTCCTCACAGTTATAGTTTCCTCACAGTTGCAGTTGCTTTCCCTCTCAATGCTCTGAAAGTGTGGGTTCTTCTCTTGAGTGCTGAATGTAGCTCACAGCTTGGCACTCCTGAGCTGCCCACTGCAGCTCTGGGGTGATTTCAGTGTTTATGTTTCTTCCTCAGCTTGGAGGCAGCAGAGGGAGGGACCTCAGTAGTAGTTGTGGCCAATGGACATTTGCTAGTCTCCTGGGGGCTCCACCCCAGATAGATGCAGGTCAGCAATTGCTCAGTGCAATCAGCCCAGGATGGAGGGTCTGTGTTGTGGGCCCAAGCCAGGTGTTCCCTGTTTTGTGATGAGCAGTGGGTGGGGGAGGTGGGACCCATGGAAACTGGACTGGCCTCCTCCCTTTTGGTTTACTGAAGCTTGCTGGACATACAAATAAGGCACTTAGGGTCTTTGTTCCTTTGTTAGTCTGAGAGCAGCAAGGGGAGTTTCACTGCAGAGGCAATGGCAGAAAGGCTTTCAGTTGCCCCTAGAGGCTCTGTCCAGGGAGTTGTCAAGTTGCTACTGGCTCAACAGCTCTGGCAAGGGGTGGCTGGATGCCCAGGCCTGGAGGACCTGCCCAGTGAGTAGATATAAGAACAGGCACCCATGTAACAGACTGGCCAGTTTTTGTAGGGCTGGTGTAGTATTCTGGGGGCCTGCTCCAGTTTCTAGTCACCTTAGATTTTCCAGTACTTGGAGGTATCACCAGTGAATGCTGCAAAACAGCAAAGATGAACACCTGGGAGCTTTATCCCAGAGAGGTACAAGCCTCTTACTAGCCCAAAAACACCTGTAGGAGGTGGTTTGAGACCCTGGTTGTGAGGTCCTGCTCAGTGAGGCGGTATGGGATTGGGACCCACTTAAAAAAACAGCATGGCCACATTTGGATAGAGCAGCTATGCTGTGCTGGGGGATCCCCTCGGCCCCCAGTCAGCTTAAAATCTCCAAAACCTAAAAGCTGCAGCTGCAAAGTTGCCCAAAGAGTAAAGATGGTGGCTTAGCCCACCTCCCAAGAACCCACCTACCCCTTCATCTCAGGGAGGTGAAATAGCACTACTGTGGGTGGCTGGCTGGAATTCCAAGCCAGTGAGCCTTATCCTGCAAGGTGCCATGAAAGTAGGACAGGCAGGCTGTCACTGCTCAGCCCCCTGGATTTATCCTCTTTCCTAGAGGTATGTACAGGGGTCTAACCTACCACTTTGCCAGAGTTACAGTTACTTTGGCCAGAAAGCCTGAGTACCTAAGGTTCCTGGGATTCCACAAGTGCCTGAGTGGCTGCTCTGCAGAGATACCACATAGCTCTTTCTGTTAGAGTGAAGGCCGTGGTGGAGTGGGTTCACAAAGCGATTGCCTGACCGAAGAATTGCAAAAGTCTATGAGAGAAGCATGAGTTCCCAGCTTTGCACATTCACTTACCACTTCCCTGGGTGGAGGAGGTTCCCCTGGCTCCATGTCACACCCAGGAGGGCTGTTGTCCTGTCTTATTTTTCTTCATTTTCCATAGGTCAAGTTGTTTCTTTGATTAGTCCCAAGACAAGTACCTGGATGTTTCAGTTAAAGGTGCTGTATTTACTCACACCTTTTTTTTCCTCTCCATAAGAACCAGGCACACTAGCTGTTTCTAATTGGCTGTCTTGTCCATCCCCCAAAAATTCTCAATACATACAATGCACATAAACAAAACCTCTTTGGTGCACATAAAGCTATTTGATATCCTTTTTATTTCGGAATAAGTTTAATTTTTAAAAAGTTATAAAGATTGTATATAATCCCTGCATATTCTTTGCTCAGTTTCCTCTGTTGTCAATATATTACATTATCATGGAACATTTGAAAAAAACTAAGAAACTAGCATTGATAAGTTACTGCTATCTAAACTCCAGACTTTATTTGGGTTTTAACGTTTTTCTCATTAATGACCTTTTTCTGTTCCAGAGTCCAGTCCAGGGTGCCAAACTGCACTTAGTTTGCATGTTTCCCCAGTGTCCTCTGGTCTACAATATTTTCTGAATCTTTCCCTGTTTATCAAGACAGTGATAGATTGAGGAATGTTGATTAGGTATTTGTTAGAATACCTGATTTGGGTTTTCTTATTTTTTGTGATTAAATTGAGCTATATGTTTGCAGAAAGAAGACCACAGAGATAATGTGTAATTTTAATCACATTATAGCAAAGATACATACTGTAAGCATGACTTATCACTGTTGTGGTCAAGGTAGTATTTTCCAGGATTATCCACTATAAACTTATTATTATTCCTCCCCTTCCATATTCTATTATTTTGAAGTAAGTCACTAAAACCAGCTCATACTCAAGGGGCAGGAGAAAGAATTGAGTATTAACTATTTCTGATATTTCTGATGATGGAGTAAGGCTCTATTATTAAAAGGGTCTCATTCTTGGTTTAATGTTCTACTGTTGCTACCTTGAAATTTTAAAATAATTTTGTCTTGGAACTTGTTTTGCAAGTGAACTGCAATAGGACAATAGATCTTGCATGTGACATTTCATCAGATGGTAGGGCATGTGCTGAGCAATTACCCTGATTGTTCATCATGCAAGTGTATGCTTAGTGCAGTTGGGTAATGATAAGGCCCTAAGGATGCCACATCAAGACCTGGGCCCAGATTGGTGTTAGCAATGATGGCAGTAGCAGAAGAAGCAGCAGCTGTAGCCATCAAGCAAAAATAGAGAGGCACTGCCCAGGGAAGTGCTGAAACCTAGTGCTGATTTCCCCATCTTTCCTTAAGCCCTGTCCTTGCAGCTTCTGCACAAATATTAACACTCCAATCTCATCAAAAGCACAGTAACTTCCAATGCTCAGGCAGTAAATGTTCAACAAACTATTACAAAATAAAAGCTTAATATGGACATTGCAAAAACATATATTAAAGGGTTAAAGAATTTTAAAAAGCACTTACAGTCTCTCGTTTTGAAAATTGCAACATTGCAAAGCAATATTGAAAGGCTTCAAAATAAGAATTAAGTTTAAAGATCATCATATAAGATGAAAAAGAGTACTATTTTCATATGAAACTTCAAATGAACTAATTATTTATGAGGAAAATAATTTCAAAATTAATTTTTTTCAATTAAACATACAGCAATAGGATGACTACCAAGGCATTTTGAATTATATATAAATCACAAAGCCACTTTTGATGTCCTGTACAACCTCCAATAGTTATAAGAAATGTCAGAGGAAATATTAAAAGGCCATTATATAAATTGAATTCAGAATTGCATGAAACTAATTTGTAGAAAGAGTTAAATCTTTTTAGAAAAATTATTCTGTGAGAATCGTCAGCTCAAGATGTGATAAAATTTATATTTTGAAATAATATCAAATTATTAAATTTGAATTTAATGAAGAATGCAAACACTCTTAACAGCTACAGTAACAGTGACAACAGCAGAGTTCTTTTTCAAAATTAAAAATTGTCAAAAATTATTTGTGATTGGCATTTACCAAGAGCTCATGATGGCATTTCCAATTACATTGATTAAAAATAAAGCTGCTTGGCCAGGCTCGGAGGCTCACGCCTGTATCCGAGCACTTTGGGAGGCTGAAACAGGAGGATTGTTTGAGCTCAGCAGTTCCATACCAGCCTAGGCAACATGACAAAACCCTGTCTCTACAAAAAATACAAAAATTAGCAGCCATGGTGGCATGCACCTGTAGTCCCAGTTACTTGGGACCCTGAGTTGGGAGGATCGTTTGCACCCAGGAGTCGAGGCTGCAGTGAGCCTGGATCACGCCACTGCACTCCAGTCCGGGCAACAGAGCGATATTCTCTCACAAAAAATAAAAAAATAAAGTTGCTCAAAGTATAAGTGTGTATGACCTAATAAATGCATTTTGAGATAAGCAAACCAGGAAACTCTTATGATTACTGAAGTTATCATGTTAATAAATTATTTTGTTTATTGTACTACATAAAATTTTGACACAAAAATAGTATTTTTCACAATATATAATTTTATTTCATTGCTCATGTGTTGCTATTGCTCTTATTACATAAGTAATAAAGTATCTCTAAAGGAAAAGGCTTATATTTTAGTACTTTTTTCCCCCTGATTTTGAACTGGGCCCTGTATAATATTTAGCCAGCCCTGGTTACATAAGTGATACACACACGCACACACACATATGCATACACACATATATACACACATACATGCACACTTACATGTTGCAACAACATTCCACAATATTTATAGTATAAATACCTTTTCTCCTAACTGAATTAACTCTGCAACTGGTTATGATAGCTGTCCACAACCAAATTCAGAAAGAAGAAGAACCAAATTCAGAAAGTTCAGCTCTTACAGTAAAGTTGACCCAGTATGAACATTTTTACAGTATGGATTCCTGCACCTCTCCTTATTTTAAAAGTTATCCATTTCTTCTAAATTAAAATCAGAGAAAAGGAGACTTGAAATAAGGTGATGTTATTTTCCTCATTACTTGCTTCCTATAACCCTGGAAATAGATAATTCAGAGAAACTGCATAACCTGCCTTTGCTCTCCTGCTTGCAGCTTAAAATTTCAAAGTGATGACTTTTCCCAAGGTGCAGTACTTACTCAGTATCTATTTTTCTTAGGCTGAGTGATTGTATTAGACTAGCAACAAAGAAAATAGTTTACACAATGTTCTCTAAGTCAGCATCATCAAGGTCAAGTAATTCTACCTTTTCTTTCAGATTGGAGGATGGTTAAAAAATATTCAAATGGAGGTTGGAATCATAAAGAAAAATCTGTCTCACTATATAATATGCTTCAAGTAGTTGGTAAGTTTAGCTTCTAGAGATCCTGACATCAATATACAGCACTAGTCTCGGTATATGTTTTGTTACAGAAACAGTTGGTGCTGTTGGGGAGCAGGGAGACGTAACAGGGAATCCATCTTAACAAAATGATCAATAAAGATATTTGTTTCAGGTCAATAAATATGAAACTCTAAAACATTAGGGATTTTTAAGATATCGAAACTTTTGTAATAACATCCCAACTATAAGAAGATGAATTTGTATAAAAATTCATAAAAAATCTAAATTTAGATATGTAAAATGAAAATTTCTGCAGCATATTTGATCAGAAAAATAGTTTTTCTGACTGCATGCCTTTTTTCTTTCTTTCTTTAATAAAGATTTTCTTTAGCATTGGAGAAAATATATCTGATTTAAAAATACTGAACCTGGAGGACATTTGCTAAGTGAAATAAGCCAGACATAGAAAGATAAATATTGTATAATCTCATTTATATGTGGAATCTAAAGAAGTAAAACTCAAAGAAACAGAGAGTGGTTGCCAGGGGCTGGGAGTGGCAGGGAATGGTGGAATCTTGGTTAGAAGGTACAAATTTTCAGTTACAAGATAAATAAAATCTGGAGATCTACTGTACAGTATGGTGACTTAACTTAATAATTATGTATTGTATACTTGAAATTTCCTAAGACAGTATGTCTGAAATGTTCTCACCACACATACACAAATGCCAACTGTCAGGCAATGGATATGTTAATTAGCTTGATTGTAGTAATAATTTCACAATGGATAAGTATATCAAAACATTATTCTATACATCTTGAATGTATGCAATTTTTATTTATCAATTACAACTTAGTAAAACTGAGGGGAAACATATGTAGTTGAAAGACAATAACTATATATATATATATATTTCTAGGCATTTCTTTCTTTCAAATATGTCTATTTCTTACCAATAATCATATATTTAAATTTATTTTTATGTATGAATCTGTTTTTTTAAAGTTTTTAACTAGTTCTTTATATTCTATAATGAGCAATTCAAAACATTGCAGTCTTTGAGCATCTAAACCTATTTTTGCTAAAAAACTAAATTAAAAAAGAAACTGAAGATATATTGCATATTTTTATCCACATCCTGAGCAGACCTGAAACTGTTGAGCAGCAAGTAAAAAGCTGAATACTTTTCTCTTTTCCTTACTGTTGAAACTCTGCCCGAGAGAGAACAAATTACTCTCAAAAAGAAGAAAAGAAGAAAATTAATTTATTGAGCACTTGCTGAATACCAGACACTGCTGTAGAAAATGGGTGTGTGTAAAACCCAAGTCACTTTGTGAAATTGGCAGTATTATTATTTTTTTACAAATACAGGAATAAATGAAACCAAAGAGCTTGAATTACTGAATAACAAAGTTCACTTAGCGAGAAAGTTGTAGAACTAAAAAACAGGCTGAAGTCTTCCTGAATCCACATCAAACACTTAAACCAACAGAATCCAAAAACAATTTAAAAAATACTAATGAAGTTACAAAGAAACACGTCTTATAATTCTTTTGGGGTTGTGCTTATAATATATGTAGAACTTGAAGTAGTTTTTTTTTAACCTTGAATTAAATCTATAAAAAAATGGGTCTTGCCTCATTTTCTTTCAAGTAATTACAGCAAAGAAAAAATAAAATAAGGTAAGAATAAAAGAAAGAAATGAAGAAAAATCATTAAAAAGTTTTCCAAGAAAATGGTTTTACCCATGGTTTTACCCATGGACATATGGCAATATATAAGAGAAAAAGAAAGGTGTGATATCAAGAATTGTTTTGTAATACAAAAACTCTTCTCAAGCTTTTCTCTTTTATATAAGATACAAGATATACATGCTTAATTAACATATATAGGAATTAAATTAAATATTAACGCAGCTGCTGAGTAAGAATTTGCAAGTTGGGTATTGTATATCTAAGAGATATCTTCATTATTTTGATTTACCTTTAATTTTCTTAATCTAAAAGATGGGTGGTTTGTATATTTATTAGGACAAATTTTCTGCAGTTGAAAAAAAGTGTCTTGTCTTGTTTTAAATAGAATAGATGTATATCTCACTACTATAACAAAAAATTAACATAACTTGTTAATCAAAAATTGATATTTGAATAAACAATAAACTATTATATTTTTAAACAAGAAATTGCGTTTTTATATTAGTATGTGATTTAATATAAAGGTATTTTTAAAACAAGAACAAAAACAAACTTTCATAGATTTTCAAGTAATGGTTAAACTAGTTTGCTCTACCAGAATGGTAGTATTATGTTCCAGGTTATCTTACAAAACAAATTACTATTACCATTGATTATTACCATTCATAATTATACTATTATCACTGATAATTTCCAGAGACAATATTACATGAAAATAATTTAATTTCACTTTTCAATGAACCACTAATTATATCACAAAAATTATGTGATTGCTTTTTATGGAATTTTTGGACATTGGAAAATTAACTATGGTTAAAATTTACTGGTATCATTATTTGTTACATATTTTAAACATAGTAGTGAATGGTGTGGCAGAAATCTGTTTTGGCAACAAAATTTTTATGTTACTCGAGGTAACCAACTACTGTTTGTCTTCGAGTCAATGGGAAAATCAACTAGATTATATCATTACTAAAACTCAATTTAAGGCAGTATGCAATGTTGTTTCAGAAAGTCTTTATAACATGAATTTCTATGTTTTATTGTAGAAGAAAGCAATTTTATTCTAGAGTACAAAACAATGTATATTTGAAAATATGTGCTTTTAAATTTATTCACTCAGTACTAATTCTTACAATATTTTAAGATAAACCTGTTTTGTAAAAGAATTTAAAACCTAAAATTCAAGGTATCAAACTTTTGAGGAGATTAAGAAATCCTTTGAAGAAAACAAAACAAAACTGGTTATTAAACACACTATTATCACCAAAGATGGCAAAGAGATGGCAAGTAACATTTGAAAGGATGCTCAACATCATCCATCATTAGGGAAATGCAAGTTTTAAAAAAATGGTAAGATACCATTGCACATCTTTAAAATGAATAAATCCAAACCACTGAAAACTCCAAACGCTAGTGAGATGTGGAGCAAAAGTACACTCACCTGTTGCTGTTAGGAATCCAGAATGGTACAGCCACTTTGAAAGACAGCCTGGAAGTTGTTTCGTCTTCTTCTTCTTTCTTCTTTCCTCTTCTTCTTCTCTTTCTTCTCCTTCTTCTTCTCTTTCTTCTCTTTCTTCTTCTTCTCTTTCTTCTCCTTCTTATTCTTCTCTTTCTTCTTCTTCTTCTTCTTCTTCTTCTTCTTCTTCTTCTTCTTCTTCTTCTTCTTCTTCTTCTTCTTCCTCTTCTTCTTCTTCTTCCTCTTCTTCTTCTCTTTCTTCTTCTCCTTCTTCTTCTCTTTCTTCTTCTCCTTCTCCTTCTCCTTCTCCTTCTTCTTCTTCTTCCTCTTCTTCCTCTTCCTCTTCTTCTTCTTCGGTACATGTGCACAGCGTGCAGGTTTGTTACATAGGTATACATGTGCCATGGTGGTTTGCTGCACCCATCAACTAGTCATTTACATTAGGTATTTCTCCTAACACTATCCCTCCCCCAGCCGCACACCCTGCAACAGGCCCCAGTGTGTGATGTTCCCCTCGCTGTGTCCATGTGTTCTCATTGTTCAACTCCCACTTATGAGTGAGAACATGTGGTGTTTGGTTTTCTGTCCTTGTGGTATTTTGCTGAGAATGATGGTTTCCAGCTTCATCCATGTCCCTGCAAAGGACATGAACTCATCCCTTTTTATGGCTGCATAATATTCCATGGTATATCTGTGCCACATTTTCTTTATCCAGTCTATTATTGATGGATATTTGGGTTGGTTCCAAGACTTTGCTATTGTGAATAGTGCTGCAGTAAACATATGCGTGCATGTGTCTGGATAGCAGCATGATTTATAATCCTTTGGGTATATACCCAGTAATAGGATTGCTGGGTCAAATGGTATTTCTAGTTCTAGATCCTTGAGGAATCACCACACTGTCTTCCACAATGCGTGAACTAATTTACACTCCCACCAACAGTGTAAAGGTGTTCGTATTTCTGCACATCCTCTCCAGCATCTGTTGTTTCCTGACTTTTTAATGATTGCCATTTTAACTGGCATGAAATGGTATCTCATTGTGGTTTCGATTTGCATTTCTCTGATGACCAGTGATGATGAGCATTTTTTCATACGTCTGTTGCCTGCACTTCTTCTTTTGAGAAGTGTGCATTCATGTACTTTGCCCACTTTTTGATGGGGTTGTTTGTTTTTTCTTGTAAATTTAAGTTCTTTGTAGATTCTGGATATTAGCCCTTTGTCAGATGGATAAATTGCAAATTTATCCATTGGTCTATATATCTGTTTTGGTACCAGTACCATGCTGTTTTGGTTACTGTAGCCTTGTAGTATAGTTTGAAGCCAGGTAACATGATGCCTCCATCTTTGTTCTTACAAAGCAAACACAGTCTTACCATATGATCCAGCAATCACACTCATTGATATTTATCTGAATGAATTGAGAATGTCTGCCCCATCCCCCAAATCTGCACACAACTGTTTATAGTCACTTTATTCATAATTGCCAACACTTGAAAACAATCAAGATGTTCTTCAGTAGGCACATGGATAAACAAAATGTGGTACACCCAAACAATAAAATATTGTTACAAAAGGAAGGAGCTATTAAGCCATAAAAAGGATGGGAGGAAACTTAAATGCATATTGCAAAGTGAAAGAAGCCAGTGTGAAAGGGGTACATACAATATAATTCCAAGGACACAATATTAAAAAAATTTATGAAGGTAGTGAAAATATCACTGGTTGCCAGGGGTTCAGGGGGAGGGGAAGGGGTGAGTTTTGGGGGCATATGAGATTTTTAGTGCAATTAAATTATTCTATATGATACTGTAATGGTGGATACATGGCATCATGTACTGATCAAAACTCAGAAGAATTAGCCAGGCGTGGTGTGGCTCATGCTCCTAATCCCAGCACTTTGGGAGACTGAGGTGGGCAAATCACCTGAGGTCAGGAGTTCGATAGCAGACTGGCCACCATGGCAAAACCCCGTCTCTACCAAAAATACAAAATAAATTAGCTGGCATGGTAGTGGGCCCCTGTAGTCCCAACTACTCAAGACGGTGAGGCAGGAGAATTGCTTGCACTTGGGAGGGGGAGGTTGCAATGAGCCGAGATCTCGCCATTGCACTCCAGCCTGGAAGACTAGAGCAAAACTCCATCTCAAGAAGAAAAAATAAAATAAAATAAAAATAAAAATAAATAAAAAAATAAACCTCACAGAATTATATGACACAGAGAGAACATTAAGACAAACTAGGGGCATAAATTAATAACAGTGTATCAATATTGGCTGATCACTCATAACACGTGTACCCCAATAATGCAAGATGTTAATAATAAAGGAAACTGTATAGAGTGAGGAGAGGGTCAAATGGAAACTCTGTACTTTCTGCTCCATTTTCTTATAAACCTAAAAATGAAGTCTATTATTGAAACGTTTAAAAATCTTTAAATACACATTATTAGTGCCAACATTTTTTTTCAGTTTCTTGATGTTGATAACAATTATCTATTGTGGAAAATAGGATTGAAGAAGACTTGTATCAACTGCAAATCTCATAGATCATCTGTAATCACAAGTTAATTTTATATTTTCCATATTTTATATTACCAATTTACTTTAAAACAAATTATGAGTACAGAAAGAAAATAATAATTTTCTAGTGTTCTATCAACATAATTTTAAGAATTAGTTTACATTAATACAATTATTTAAAAATTAACAAGCAAAATCGATCAACAAAAATGTTATTAATTGGAACATCACCTATGAAAAAATAAATTTTAAGTTGTTTATCAAAATTATGTAAGGTTTGCTCTATAGATTACAATAAATCTGCAACAACAATTTTGCCAATAAATTGCTATGTAGCTTTGTTACTCTCAGTATTTCTATAACTGAAAACTTAAAGAACTCATCAATGGAAAACATACCCTATCAAACTTAAATTTTATGTAAATCCTTTTAAATCTAGTCACCCAACATATAGAAATAAGAGTATGTATACACCTAAGAACATAAATTAATATGTTCAACTATATCAAAAAATGTTCATATTCAGAATAATGAAGGCACCTACAAAATATTGACCCTCTCCTTAGATGTGCATTATCCAAAATGCACAATATTAACCAGCAACTGAATCCTAGAGAGTTTAAGTTTCCAATTATTGTAATTAAAATATCAAATTATTTCACCTGTATATTTTATATAGAATAATTTTATATTTTTCATAGTTTTATTTTTAAAAGATAAAAGGTATCAGATAAATATCTTACTTGATAATTACATTTTTCTGTTTCTAACAAAAATGCCACAGCCTTAATTTTCAATATTTTATTATTAACAAGATTATAAATTACTATAATTATCAAGAAAGTAAATTGTAAAATCCTTACATAAATATTGGAGATGATGAAAATTATTAAAAAATAAAAATAAGAGGAGCAAATATAAAGATAGGTGATTATTGCAGTACTAGACAGAAAATACATATTAAACTATGTAGTCATTTCATGTGACCATCGTGCATAGTTTTCTTTAACTGACTTTTAGAAAACGTGTACTGAGGTAAAATTTGCATAACATTAAATTCACACATTTTAAGTGTTCAATTATTTCAGTCAATATCAGCATAATCTAAACTTAGAATATTTGTTACACTCCCAAAATTTTCTCTTGTGTCCATTCCCAGTTAAACTAACTCTATTTTTTATCGATACATAATAGTTATACATATTTGGGAGGCACGTGATATTTTGATACATGTATACAGTGTGTTATGATCCAGGACAATTGAGACATACATCAAGCCAAATATTTATCCCTTCTTTAGGTTGGGAACATTTCAATTCATTTTCTTCAGCTATTTTGAACCACATATAAATTATTGCTAACTATAGTTACCCTACTATACTATTAAACACTCGATCTTATTTCTTCTAATTATATTTTGTACCTACTAACCAACCTCTCTTATGTCTTTCACTCTCCCTACTTTTCCAAGCCCTTGATAACTACCGGGCAACTCTATCTCCATGAGATCAACTTCTTTAGCTTCCACATATGAATGAGAATATGTGATATTTGTCTTTCTGTGCCTGGTTTATGTCACTTAATGACCTCTAGTTCCATCTATCTTGCCACAAATGACAGGACTTTATTCTTTTTTATGTCTGAATAATATTCCATTGTGTAAATATGCCACATTTTCTTTATCCATTCATCTGCTGATGGACATAGGTTGATTCCATATCCTGGCTACTGTTAATAGTGCTGCAGTAAATATGGGATGGCAGATGTATTTTTGTTATACTGATTTTCTTTCTTTTGGACATATACCCAGCAGTAGGATTGCTAGATTATGTGGTGGATCTATCCTCTCAACCAAGAAGCCATGATTTGCTTTCTGCTTCTATAAATTTGCCTTTTCTGGACTTTTCATATGTATAAATCATATCCTGTGTGGGTTTTTTTTCTTTTTGATTTCTCTCTCTTTTATTGACACATGATAGTTGTACATATTTATGGCATACATATAATATTTTGATACATGCATACATGTGTAATGACCAAAGCAAGATAATAGGGATTCCCATCACCTCAAACATGTATCATTTCTTTGTCTTGGGAACATTTCAAATTTTCTCTTTTTGAAATATACAATAACTTATTGCTAACTATATTCACCCTACTGTGCTATCAAACATTAGAACTTATTCTTTCCATCTAATCATATTTTTGTATACATTAACCAACCTCTCTTCAGCCCTTATTTTCCCCTATTCGTCCCAACCTTTAGTGGCAACCATTCTATTCTCTACCTCAATGAGATCAACTTTTTTAGCTCTCACATATAAGTTAGAACATGTGATATTTGTCTTTTCATGTCTGACTTATTTCACTTAAAATAATGTCCTCCAGGCTCATCCATCTCTTTCACTTATAATGTTTTTTAGGTTTCATATTTGTAGTAACGTGTTAGTAGTTTGTGCCTTTTCATGGCTGAATAATATTTAATTGTAAGGATATTTCATATTTTGTCTATCCATTTGCCAGGTGATGGACATCGAGATTATTTGCAGTTTTGTTTTATTTGCATAATGTTGCTATGAACATTTATGTGCTTGTATTTGCGAGAACACATATTCTTATCCTTAAAATAATCGTCGTTTCAAGGGTTCCTAGAATCGTTGTGCCATATGATAAGTAGATGTGTAACTTTTTAAGAAACTGGAAAAAGTTTTCCAGAGAAAGTGTATCATTTTAGAATCTCAAAAGCAATGCAGGAGGGTTCCAGTTTCTCCACATTCTCATAAACACTAGGCATTGTCTTTTTTTTTTTAATAATAGCTATTCTTGTGGGTGGAAATTAGCATCCTACTGTGATTAGAATTTCAATTTTTCCTAATGACTAATAGGTTGAATATCTTTTCCCATGCAAGTTCAAAAGTATTAAATTTTAATCAAATCCAATATATCAGGTTTTCTTTCAATTTATTTTTATGAACCATGCTTTTGTTGTATCTGAAAACACTTTGTTCAATTCAAGATCAATAAAGGTTCTCCTGTATGTTTTCTGCTAGAAGTTATATATTGTAGGCCTTACATTCAGTTCTTTGACTCATTTTGAGTTAATTTTGGTGTATGATGTGTTGTAATAAATGAACTAAGTTCATTTGTTTTCTTTGCATTAAATAACCAGTAGGGAGTATTGCTTTCTCAGGAACTCCTTCCCTCAACTTCCCACCGGGAAGATAGTCCTTTTGAGCTCCATCACAATGGTCTGAACCTTTCCTTGTCACTGAACTGCTCATATGTTGTATTTCATTCGATCTAAATGAATGAAATCACAGGGAGATGAGACATGTTTGCAGATAATATTATTCTTGATAGAAGTATTTTGTCTAGTTCATTCTATGGCCCTTCAACACTCAGCCAGGTCCTGGTAAAGAGAGAGGGCAGAATATGTGTTTAATAATTGAATTAATCAACTTATGC
Organism: Homo sapiens; assembly: GCF_000001405.40. Lineage (NCBI taxonomy): Eukaryota > Metazoa > Chordata > Mammalia > Primates > Hominidae > Homo > Homo sapiens. Next base: position 104,079,562 of record NC_000004.12, on the reverse strand, counting down.
AAAATTAGCATTGAAAGAGATCTTTGAGAGGAGGCAGAAAGGTAGAGTGGTTCACTGGAGTGAGACAGACTAGGTTCAAATCCTCCTGGTTTCTTCATGTTGTAGCTGTATAAACTTGGGCATGTAACTTACTTCTCAAAGCCTCAGTTTGCTCCAATGTAAAATGAGACTAAGCTTTCCTCTCCAGATTATTTTTGTTGTGATGAGAAAATATGTGAAAGTGCTCAGTACATATTAAACAGTCAAATTGTAGATATTTGAAGTCTTGAAGTCCTCTCTGTTCTTATACAGATGAGGGAACGGATGCCAAGCGAGGGAACCGATTTACCCAGTGCATTACTGTACAGAGGCTAAGGGTCAAGAGAACAGTGTTCAAGTCCTAGCTCTGCCACTTAGCTGTGTGACTTTGGACAAGTTACTTAGCTTTATTGTGCCTCAGTTTTCTCATTTGTAAAGGAGAATAATAATAGCATGGAATTCATGGGATTATCGATGAAGAAAAAAATGCATTAATATTTTTGAAACATTTAGAATGGTAAACACTCAATAAGGGTTTGTTCAATAATTTAATAAAATTATACATAGTGACAAAAATTAACCAATTGTTTCAGCTGCATTTTTTGAATACACTGTTCTTTTCAATAAGTTGTCTTAGCACCTTTGTCAAAAATTAATTGACAATAAATAGGATTCAATTCTGGAATATCAAGTCTATTCTATTAACTCATGTACTTATCTTTGCACTAATACCACAGTGATTATTGCGGCCGTACAGTACATTTTGAAATAGAGTAGTGTAAGTCCTCCAAATGTGTCTTTGTTTTCCAAAATTATTTGGACTATATTAGGTTTTTTATATTTTCGTATGTACATTTTAGGATCAGCTGCCAATTTTACAAAGTGCCTGCAGAGCTTTTGATAGAAATTACAATGAATCTATAGATTAATTTTGTAGGAATTGACCTGTTGGCAATATTGACTCTTTTAATACATGAACACATGTTCTCTCCCCATTTAATTAAAACTTCTTTGATTTCCCAAGCAATATTTGTAGTTGTCAGTGCACAAGTGTTTAACTACTTTGTTAAGTGTTATTTTTATATTTGTTTTAAAATATAATTGTTTAATTTCTTTGTTTTCTTTTTTTATTTTTTATTTTAATAGGTTGTTGGGGAACAGGTAGTGTGTGGTTACATAAATAAGCTCTTTAGTGGTGATTTTGGTCTACCCATCACCCAAGCAGTGTACACGGTACTCAGTGTGTAGTCTTTTATCCCTCGCCACCTGCCCCCACCCTTTCTCGCAAGTCCGCAACGTCTAATGTATCATTCTTATACTTTTGTGTCCTCAAAGCTTAGCTCCCACATATGAGTGAGAACATACGATGTTTGATTTCTCATCCTGAGTTACTTCACTTAGAATAATAGTCTCTAATTCCATCAAGGTTGGTGTGAATGCCATTATTTTGTTCCTTTTAATAGCTGAGTAGTATTTAAAGGTGTGTATATGTATATGTGTGTGTGTGTATATATATATATACACTTATATATCTAATGGCTGAGTAGTATTCAATGGTGTGTATATGTGTATATATACTTACATATCTAAATGTGATTTATGTATATATATTTACATATCTAAATGTATGTATTATGTATATATATTTACATATCTAAATATATGTATTATGTGTATATATTTACATATCTAAATGTGATTATGTGATTATGTATATATATTTATACATAAATTCCATTTATGTATATATGTGATTTATGTGTATATTTGTGTGTGTATATATATATTACATTTCCTTATCTACTCATTGATTGATTGGCATTTGGACTGGTTCCATATTTTTCAATTGCAAATTGTGCTGCTAGACATATGTGTGTGCAAGTATCTTTTTCAAATAAGGACTTATTTTCTTCTGGGCAGATACCTAGTAGTGGGATTGCGGATCAAGTGGTAGATCTACTTTTAGTTCTTTAAGGAATCTCCACACTGTTTTCCATAGTGATTGTACTTCTTTACATTCCTACCAGCAGTGTAAAACTGTTCCCTTTTCACCAACCATCTATTATTTTTTGATTTTTTGGTTATGGCTATTCTTGCAGGAGTAAGGCAATGTTGCATTGTGGTTTTGATTTGCATTTTCCTGATCATTAGTGATGTTGAGCATTTTTTCATGTTTGTTGGTCATTTGTATATTCTCTTTTAAGAATTGTCTATTCATGTCTTTTGCCCACTTTTTGATGGGATTTATTTGTCTTGCTGATTTGTTTGAGTTATTTGTAGATTCTGGATATTAGTCCTTTGTTGGATGTATAGATTGTGAAGATTTTCTCCCACTATGTGGGTTGTCTGTTAACTCTGCTGATTATTTCTAGAAAATAACAATTCTAAAATTAATATGGAATCAAAAAAGAGCCCACATAGCCAAAGCAAGACTAAGCAAAAAGAACAAATCTGGAGACATCACATTACCTGACTTCAAACTGTACTATAAGACTATAGTCACCAAAACAACCTGGTACTGGTATAAAAATAGGCACATAGACCAATGAAACAGAATAAAGAACGCAGAACTAAAGCCAAATACTTACAGCCATCTGATATTTGATAAAGCAAACAAAAACATAAAGTTGGGAAAGGATACCCTATTCAACAAATGATGCTGGGATAATTGGCTAGCCACATGTCAGAGAATGAAACTGGATCCTCATCTCTCACCTTATACAAAAATCAACTCAAGATGAATCAAAGACTTAAATCTAAGACCTAAAACCATGAAGGCTCTAGAAGATAACATCGGAAAAACCCTTCTAGACATTGGCTTAGGCAAAGGCTTCATGACCAAGAACACAAAAGCAAATGCAACAAAAACAAAGATAAATAGATGGGACTTAATTAAACTAAAAAGCTTCTGCACAGCAAAAGAAATCATCATTTTCAGGTTGTTCATTGCTAGTTTTCTTATTTTCTCATGTTCTTTCTAAAGGTATCTTGTGCTATAATTTTTTCTATTATTTCTTGCTTGTTTCTCTAAACTTTATTACTTTTTATTCAATTATTTAGCTTCAGTTTTTTTTTCTAATTTTTAAAAGTACAGGATTAGGTATAGTTTTGATGTTTTGTGATATAGATATTTAAATACATGCATTTTCTTCCAAAACTACTTAAGTTGCATCTCATAATTTGCATAGGTTTTACTTCTGTTTTTATTTCTTTTGAATGCATTCTGTTTTCCATTGTGGTTTCTTCTGTTACTTAAGGGTTATTTAGACATGCACAGCTTAAGTTCCAGGTATTTGAGGATGGGAATTTTCCAGATTTATTTCTGTTTTTGATTTCTAATTTAATTCTTCTGTAGTCAGAGAACAAAGTTTATATGATTTCAATATTTTTTACTTTAACAAATAATGTTTCATGGTCTTTTGTAAAGGGCCATATAGTCTTTCCTCAAGAATGCTTACGTGCATTTGAAACAATGTGTTTTCTGCAGTCTTAGATTGGGAATGTTCTGTATATGTGAAGTCTAATATACCCTGCTACTTTTCTGTCTATTTGATCTATCAGTTATTGAGAGTGAAGTGCTACATTACCAAATTATAATTGTTTTCTTGTTTATTTCTTGCTTCAATTCTGTAAGGTTTTTTGCCGTGCATTTTTGGACTCTGTTGTTAGGTATATACACATTTACAATTGTTATAACATTCTGGTACTGACCCTTTTATTATTATGAAGTATACCTGTTTATCTTAGAAAAATGTATTGTTCTAATATATATTTTGCCTCATATTAATATAAGCACTCCAGTTTCATTATGGTTTTTGTTTGTATGATATATATATATACACATATCTAATATATATTTTGCCTGATATTAATATAAGCACTTCAGTTTCATTATGATTTTTGTTTGTGTATACACACACACACACACACACACACACATCTCTACACCATACAAACATTTTGTTTATATGGTATATATATATATATATATATATATATATATATATATATATATGGTATACATATTATACAATAATATATATGTTATATATAGTGGGTTTTATGCTTACTATTATAAATGTTATACATATGTATATAGTAAGCACAAAACAAGTATTTGTTCAATAATTCGATAAAATTATATACATATATAGAAAAAATGTATTTGAAATTTTGCTTTTATATACAGTCTATAATCTCTGGTTTTAGGCTATTTATATTTAATTTAATGCCTATGTAATTATATTTTTATTTAACATTTTATTATTTATTTTCTGTATATCTCTTTTGTTCATCTGTTTCTTTCTCACTAGTTTCTTTAGTGCTAATTAAATATTTTTGTGTGTTATTTTAATTCTTTGATTTTTTTCATATATACTTTTTTTCTTAGTCACGTTGGGGATTACAATATACATTCTAATTTATACATTCTACTTCAGATTAATACTAGCATAATTCTAGTAAATTATAAACAATTTGCTACAGTGTAAGTCCATCCCCTTATTTGCACCATTATTGTCAAGTATTAGATCTATATAAACAAAATACAGAGCTATTAGTATTGCTTTATATAATATGATGTCCATTTTAAAGTTAAGAAAAGACTGATAAACACGTATTTATAAGATATTTTATATTAGTTAACAGTTACCATTAACAGTCTCTATTTCGTCCTATGGATTCTACTTACCCTTAGGTGTCATTTCTTTTCATCCTGAAGACCTTCCTTCAGTATTTACTGTAAAGCGGCATGTTAGCAACAAATTCCTTGTTTTTACTTTCCTGGAATATCTTTATTCTGCCTCATATTGAAAGAATAACGCTGCTGGATATAGAATTCTTAATGAACAGTTTGTATTTGGTTTATATTTTGTTTTGTTTTAGCACTTTTAATATTCCATTCTACCGCCTTCTAAACTCTATTAGATAAGTCATTTTTCTCTTGTTGCTTTCAATATTTTCTCTTTGTATTTGGCCTTTAACAGATAGATCATAATGTGCTTAAGTATGCCTATTTTAATATTTGTTCTATTTATATTTGTTTATTAATATTTTCCATCACGTTTGATAAGTCTTTAGCTGTACTTTTTTCACTGATTCTTTTTTCTGTCATCTGGAATACACTGTTGAGCAGCTACAGTGCCATTTTAACTTCAGTGGTTATACTCTCCAATTCCAGAATTGTTATTTGATCATTTTTTGTGACTCCTGTATTACATTGATAATTTTATTTGTTGATTCTTTGTCATCATAGTTTCCTTTCATTTTTAACCTGATTCTCATTATTTCTTTTAACATATTTTAAAAAGCACATCTGAGTCATTTTTTCTGCTAAATCCAAGGTTGATGGATACCTAAGGACGGTTTCTATCTATTGACTGCTTTTTATTTCTGACAATGTATTACAGCTTCCAGTCTCTTTTATCTCTCATACATTTTATTGAAAAACTAGACATTTTTGATAATATTTGGTAGCAACTCTTTATCTTGATATTTTGATCCTGATGATGTTTGTCAGGTGTTTGTTTCTTTCTTTATTCTTGATTTTGTAAGTTGCCTGGATGTAACCTGTGAGATCAGTCTCCACTGTGGTGCATGACCAGTTATGTCTCTGCTCAGATTGTTAAAATTATTTATTTTTTATTTATTTATTTTTAGCTTGGCTTCCTAGGAGATACTTCTGCATCTGTGTAACTTAGTGTCTCTCCAATGATTACACATGGGTTGAGCTCAAAACTTTGGGCCAGTCAGATTTCTGTCTTCTGCAGAGAAGTGTGTGTGTGTGTGTGTGTGTGTGTGTGTGTGTGTGTGTATGCCTGTGCGTGTGTTGGGGGAGAAGGAAAACACATTCAACACATTCAATGTTCAGGTCCTTTCCAAGATGCACCAAATTAACTTTTCTATGCTCTCTTTTAAGTTTCCTATGCATATACATGCAGTCAGTGTCAACCAGGAATGTTTGAATATCTTTTGCCTTCGTCAGTGTCTCTTGGATGCAAGCACAACCTCGGCCAGAAATGTTTGTCCTAATCACATCCACTACCTAAGGCTCGTAGAGCCAAGCAGCTGGTTCTAACCTGTTTGCCTGCCTTCAGGAAGCCATTTCCACCAGTAATACTGAAGGGTGTGGCTATTACCCAACACTCCACATACAAAGGTTGCTGATTCTCCATCTTTTGAGTTCTGACATTAGAATCACACTGACTTGGGGAAGAATAGGAGGAGCACCAGCCAGAATGATGCAGACTCACACTGCTTTTTTTAAGTTTAGCATTTTTTCAAGTGTAAAGACTTTTTCAGTTTTTCTATGCCTCGCTTAAATTGCAGAGCAATGGAGTGGTATTTTCGGTCAATTTTGCTTCAGTGTATAATTGCTTTTTAGGGAGAGTATTTGTCAGTCTCCTCAGTCATAGCAAGAAGTCTTATGTGACTTTAAATGTGTATATATGTTCCAACAAAATGGACAAAAGCAACAAATAATCTAAATATCTCTTCATGGAGGAAATTTGTAGCTGTGAAGAAATGTGGAATTATTTTTAAAGAGTAGTACATATTTTTTTGTTCCAACATGTCCAATGTGGAGTTGTACTTTAAATTTTAGATGTCCACCTCATAAAAATAATGTGTATGTAAACTTTGCGGAAAATGTATGGCATAATGGAAGCAATATATTGTTGTATAAAAGGAGTATCATAGAAGAGATAGAAAACTTGAGGGTAAAACCTTACAGAATTGAATCCAGATAACTTATGTGCAAGAAAATATTGAAGATTGCATATACTCACAAAAATCAAAATTTATTCATTAGAACACAACGGTATTATAAAGATCACTAAGAGATTATAGGAAATGGGAACTAAAGGGCAAAGAAAGATAAAACATGGAAATTATACTCAATAAGCCACTAGTAATGATGTGTATACATGTTTTGAAAAGCAATGATAGAATCTTTCCAAGAAAAAAATATTGTTTATTGTATTTCTTGGAAGTTACCTGAGATAAATTTTCTGTATGACTTTTTTAGTTTCTCAAGGGGAATACATGTAAGTATACATAAAAATTTAGAATTGTTTAATAAAATATTTGGGATCTTATATAGAGGTATTGGAAATGACACATTGTGAAGTGAAGAGAAAGTTCTTGTTTAGTTATACTTGAATTTGTATGCAGAAAAATCTAAAAATATGGCTTTGGAGGATTTCCTTTACCATTATGATTCTGTAATATATAATGCATAGAGGTAATTAGAAAACTTAAGTGTTATATTTCCTTTCACACCAAATATGACAGACATTTGTATAGTATATTTAATACTCTTTGAATCATGCTAACTACCCACTGAAGAGTGTGAGGGTGATAGTTTGACAGGTTTACAAAAGATTATTGAGAGATCTGAAAAAAAATACACAATTGCTTAGAGCTTTAATTACATCAGGACTGATTTCTACATAATATCAACTAGAGAATACTTTTCTACTATAGCATAGATATTACATAAATATATTTAAAACTCTGAATTAACTAAACAAATATCAGCAGGGATAAAAAGTGGGTTTTCCTAAACTATACATGTAGTCATTAGTACTTTTATTATCTCCTGTAAATGGCCACAGGCGATTATAAAATTCTCTCTATCCAGTCCGAACTAAAAGACTATTCACTGGATATGGAATTCCCGAAGAACTGCTAAGTGATAATGGAGCCCAATTTACATCACGGAAGCTCCAAACCTTTCTTGGCTTAAATGCAGTGAAATACATTCATTTCATACTACAGAAGCTAGCCGCTAATGGCCTCATCCAGCACTTTGGACAGTTGTTCATGTAAGCACTTTTGCTTGAAAGTGAGGAGGCTGCACAGTGCAATAGCACCTGCCTAATGCTCAGTTGTCCTTCTGCTGTGCTGAGATGTTCACTTATCATTAGATGAAATCCCCACTCTGTGACTTCTGGGCAAAGAAAAGCACTCCCTTTTTTGATCTCAGAGAATCAGAAATATCAACAAGATATTTCAGAGCAAGGTGATTTGGAGGAAAAGGCATTAGGAAATGGGCCATAAGAACACATTTTCAAGCTGTTTCTTAGGTATTTGTTACTCTTAATACCTATAGAAATATATGACTATATCCTATTATAATTAAAATGAAGGAATAAATGAAGAGGTGCAAAAGACACGCAAACAAAGGAAAAAACATATTTTCATAATAATGGATTTTCACTTTCTTATCTGGTATTTCAGATATCAGTAAACTGTATGAGTAGTTTATACTTGAGATGTCTTAACTCAACATGAGAGAGAGGACAAGACTGCAAATGACATTGAAGGAGATTACCTAGAAGGAAGAGTTTATGACCTACTGGCATATATTTTAAAAATTTTGAAAGTTTTGTTTTCTTTTATTTTTATCTTTTTCTTTGCATTTATTTTGTTTTTAAACAAAATGCATATACTGACTTAATGTAAGTAATTTGTGCCTTCAGATAAGTTTTAAATAAGTAAATATGCATATGTTAGGGATAAAGACTGAATTAGATTTTTAGTACTTACGGCATGAATACCTACCTTCTAATACCAGTACTTCCTTTAATTATTCAGTAATCTTGGCCCTGTTATTAAATTTGTTGTTCCTCAAATACTTTATTTCCGAAGGAAGAACAATACATATTTTCTTTGCCTGCTTTCTTATGTTGTTATTGTTGTTATAAGAGAATAATGATATAGATCATTGAAAGGGTTTTACCTGAGAAATAAATAAAGAGTATTCAAATAGGAAGAGAGGAAGTCAAATTGTCTCTTTTTGCAGATGACATGATTGTATATTTAGAAAAATCCCATCGTCTCAGCCCAAAAACTCCTTAAGCTGATAAACAACTTCAGCAAAGTCTCAGGATACAAAATCGATGTGCAAAAATCACAGGCATTCCTATACACAAATAATAGACAAACGGAAAGCCAAATCATGAGTGAATCCCCATTTACAATTGCTATAAAGAGAATAAAATACCTAGGAATACAACTTATAAGGGATGTGAAGGACCTCTTCAAGGAGAACTACAAACCACTGCTCAAGGAAATAAGAGAGGACACAAACAAATGGTAAAACATTCCATGCTCATGAATAGGAAGAATGAATATCATGAAAATGCCCATACTGCCCAAAGTAATTGATAGATTCACTGCTATTCCCATCAAACTGTGATTAACTTTTTCACAGAATTGGAAAAAAACTACTTTAAATTTCATATGGAACCAAAAAAGAGCCTGTATAGCAAAGACAGTCCTAAGCAAAAAGGACAAAGCTGGAGGCATCACGCTACGTGACTTCAAACTATACTACAAGGCTACAGTAACCAAAACAGCATGGCACTAGGCACAAAACAGAGGCCTCAGAAACAGCACCACACATCTACAATCATCTGATCTTTGATAAACCTGACAAAAACAAGAAATGGGGAAAGGATTCCCTATTTAATAAATGGTTTTGGGAAAACTGGCTAGCCATATGCAGAAAACTGAAACTGGGCCCCTTCCTGACACCTTATACAAAAATTTCAAGATAGATGAAAGACTTAAATGTAAGACCTGAAACCATAAAAACCCTGAAAGAAACCCTGGACAATACCATTCAGGACATAGGCATGGGCAAAGACTTCATGACTAAAACACCAAAAGTGATGGCAACAAAAGCCAAAATAGACAAATGGGATCTAATTAAACTAAAGAGCTTCTGCACAGCAAAAGAAACTAGCACCAGAGTGAATAGGCAACCTACAGAATGGGAGAAAATTTTTGCAATCTGTTTCTGACAAAGGGCTAATATGCAGAATCTACAAGGAACTTAAACAAATTTACAAGAAAACAAACAGCCCCATCAAAAAGTGGGCAAAGGATATGAACAGACACTTCTCAAAAGAAGATATTTATGTGGCCCACAAACATATGAAAAAAAGCTCATCACTGGTCATTAGAAAAATGCAAATCAAAACCACAATGAGATACCATCTCATGCCAGTTAGAATGGTGATCATTAAAAAGCCAGGAAACAACAGATGCTGGATAGGATGTGGAGAAACAGTAATGCTTTTACACTGTTGGTGGGAGTGTAAATTAGTTCAACCATTGTGGAAGACAGTGTGGCAAGTCCTCAAGGATCTAGAACTAGAAATATCATTTGACCCAGCAATCCCATTACTTGGTATACCCAAAGGATTATAAATCATGCTACTATAAAGACACATGCACACGTATGTTTATTGTAGCACTATTCACAATAGCAAAGACTTGGAACCAACCCAAATGCCCATCAATGATACACTGGATAAAGAATATGTGGCACATATACACCATGGAATACTATGCAGCCATAAAAATGGATGAGTTCATGTGCTTTACAGGGACATAGGTGACGCTGGAAACCATCATTCTCAGCAAACTAACACAGGAACAGAAAACCAAACACTGCATGTTCTCACTCATAAGTGCGAGTTGAACAAAGAGAACCTACAGGCACAGGGAGGGGAATATCACACATTGGGGCCTGTCAGGGGGTGGGGGTCAAGGGAAAGGATAGCATTAGGAGAAATACCTAATGTAGATGACAAGTTGATGGGTGCAGCAGACCACCATGGCACATGTATACCTGTGTAACAAACCTACACATTCAGCACATGTATCCCAGACCTTAAAGTATAATAAAAAAAGAAGTTATAAGAAATATAAAATAAATATACATTAATTTTAAATGGATTTTCTACTTGTAAAATGTTGCATTAAGCTTGTATGAGTTAATAATTCATTCATTTTATTTCTTTAAAAAGAAATTATAAGTCCTCCAATAAACTATAAAAGAAGTAACATTAGCTGAGGAACACTAACATGATTTCAGATAGAAGAACACCCTGAGTCAAAGTAAGACAAATGGGAGATTTATTCTAACTTATAAGAGAATATTAATTCTCATGATTACCAGACAGAACACTCTAATCCCCAAATTAAGCTCAAAGAAGGTAGACTGAAAAAAATCTAATAACTAAAAGAAGTATTTTTTTCAGAGATATGGCCTAGTCAGTTGGTGTTTGATAAAGTGGACAGAATGTTCTGCTAATCAGGATAAGGTAGATCAGGGCTATTTGAACATTGTGGCTCTTAGCAGAGTAGTGAGTAGAAACCAGGTTTAAACATAGATGTTTCAATGGGACATTGTATAAGAATATAAACTTATTAGAAATCTTGCAAGTAGGAACAGTCTACTTCTACTATAGATTTTCTCTTGTGTTTTGTTTTAATATTAATTATGTTTGTCATTGATAAAATGATAAACATCTTAACTCCTTGGAAATTAATTTTGACTGTATAAAACCTAAATGGTAATTTTTGGACTGTAAATAGTTGTTTGATTCTGAATCACTAGGTTGGGGTTGTTTCTCAGTAAATAAGAGGGTATAGTTACGTAGAAGAAATACGTCCTAGCATTTGATAGCACTGTTGAGCAACTACTGTTAATTATTATACATTGTATATTTCAAAATAATTAGAAGAGAAACTTTGAAATGTTCCTAGCACAAATAAATGATAAATGTTTCAGGTGATAAATATCTGAATTTCCTTGATTTAATCATTATACATTGTATGAGTATATCAAAATATTACATATGCCCTATAAGTATGTATAACTATTATTTATCAATAAAAAAACATTTGGATAGAAAAAATATAGCATCCCTCTCCTTTTTTATTTTGAAAATAATTTTTAAATTATGAACAAAAAAATTAACATGATCAATGGCATTCAGATCATTGAAGTTTTTCTATCAACTGTGTTTAAGACAAGAAGGATAGGAGTATGCAAAAGGAACAAGACATGTATAAGGAACTTGTTTTGTAAAACAAACCTGGAATCTATTTGAGCTTTTCTTCTTTTTTTATGCTTTGCAGTAGTTTATACAGCATTGGTATTGTTCAGTGTTTCAGCATTTTTTTATTATAAACTGAAAAATTATAATTGTATATATATTGGGGTACATGGTGATGTTATGATATATGTATACAGTGTGGAAGGAATAAATCAAGTGAATTAACATATGACCTCACATACTTGTTATTTTTGTGGTGAGAAAAATTTATCTTTTAGCCATTTGAAGTTTGCCAATCATTATTATTAACTGTGATCACCAAGCTGTGGAATAGATGTCAAAAAACTTTTCCCTCCTAACTGAAACTTTATACCAATATCTTGCCATTTCCCCACCTCTTAGCCTCTGGTAACCACAAATCTACTTTCTGTTTCTGACTTCGATAGTTTTAGATTCCACTTAATCATATGGTATTTGTCCTTCTGATCCTGGATTATTTCACTTAGCATAATGAAATTTTCAAAGAACTAGTACTCTAAAACCTGTCTGGTTTTAGGAGTACATTTGATGAGATGTAGTTTTTTCTCTGTTATTATTATTGAACATATAGTTGATTATAATAAATTCCCCAATATTTGGTCCCTAAATCAGTTTCAAATTCTTAGTATTAAAAAAATGAAGTTGATATGATTGATTAAAAACAAATTATAAATTGAAAAACCATAAATTTATAAAATAAATTAGAAAAATGCAGTTATTAAAAGAAAACCTTAGAGATGCTGTGTCTGATTAATATTTGTATACTTTCAATCTTTGTACACTTTTGTGGCAGAGATTGCTAATTGCCTTATCAATATTCATTACCCTTTTCTTCTATTAAAAAAATAGGCATTATAATTGAAGCTATGGCAACGAACCATGACATTTCCAGTCTCTTTTCTTGCCGGGTAGGGTCACATGACCAATTCTGGCCAATGGTATATGAGAAAAGTTGAAGTGTGCAACCTCTGAAACTTGCTTGCCCTCAAAAGAAAAGGAGCATACAAAGTATTTTCTTCTTGTTTTACCCTTCCCACAGGCTGTAAGGTAGATACTAACTGATTTCAAGCAAGCTGATGAGGTAAGAGTCTAGAGATGGCAGAACAAAAGGAATGAAAGTGTTTTGTGTCCCTGACACCTCTAGGGCACCTTACCAATCCCAAACCACCAGAAGAGTTTCATCACAAAGAAATTAATATTAATCTTGTTTCAGTCAATATACTTTAGGATACCTTGTTACTGTGGCTTACACTACATCCTAATGTAACTTAATTTTAGTACTGTGAAGAATGTGATTTCTCATAAAGTTTTTAGGATGTTTGAGCATGGTCATTCTTGTGTTTTTTCCTCAGTAGACTAGTAAGTGTCAGTAGTATTTTAGAACCAGATTTGTCTACAGTTTATTTCACGCTAAAGCTCTGATAACTGAGATATATGCTAAATATAATTATTACTTTGTAAAATAGAAGTGATACGATAAAATAATTTTTATGTTTGTCCAAAAATGTTTGCCACCCATTAATGATATCAGACCGTACTGATGAAAATTTTGTTAATTTGAAGAAACTTTCAGGCATTTCTTCGCCCCATCCTCTCTTACACCTCTCTCAACGGCTTGCTAAGAATTTTTACCACGTATTCGTACATTTACAAAATAAGAACTTTGACAGCACAGGAATTGCAGACAATGAAGGGTGTATTCTAAAGGCCTTTTCAGGATGCATAAGCTTCTCAATGGTAGAGCAAGTTTTATTCACTGTCATTCTACATCAGATGTAGAAACATAGTTGGTATGAAACAGTGTAATGTGATTTATTACTATAAAAGAAATTATAGCATAAATATAAGGGGTGTTGTTAAAGTATTTAGATATAAAACTACTTATTTTGCTTCTGCTTTGACTTTCTGATTTCTTATAATGGTGTAGTCTATAATTCCTTTCACTACTCTTTCTCTTTTCGTGCATTATCCCAGCAAGCTTTTAAGTTATCTATTGCTAAATGAGAAATATTTAGTAGCATGCGAGACAGTCACTGTTCTTTTTATGATAACTAACCTTCATGTAAAAATCTCCTTTTCCAGGTTTTTGTTTATTTCGATTGTAACTTGCCTTTGAAGCTCTTCACTTGCTTAATAATGTTAGTTCTTTCTGAGACATAAAACAAACAAAAAACATCCCGCAAAAAAGAGCCTACTTCCTTTGTTTGTGTTTTAAATAACTAGGCATTTGTGAGGCTTTTAAAAACACTATTTAAGTTTCTTAATAATAAAATTCTTCTAAGATTCCCATTTACTTTCCTTTTAGATTTTCCATGGTACATGTGATGCTGTATAATAAAAGAATTGGAGGCAGGATTTCTAATGAGTTAGATTGGATTGAAGCATGACAGGGACAGGGGTTGTCTCTCAGAACACTTCTCACAGGCTGCAGGCTCTGAGGCCAATACTGGGAGGGAGCATATCAGGAGGGGTCTGCCCCCTGGTGGATTCCAGCAGAGAATTTCTGATTATGTCTATTATTTCAAAAATAGATCTTCTCTTCCACTCCCTGACGTTTGTCAAATTTGAATTCTTGTGTGTTTCTGAAGCTGATAATATTAATTTTAATCTCTAATACTTGTTCTCATCCAGACAACTAAGAATTAATTTGGAAGTCCCCACCCAAAGAGGACAGAGGATTTGCCTGGAAAAAATTTTTCCTTCCCTCAGGCAGAAGAAAACACAGGAAAACAAATATGATCTAGCCAAAGCTATCCCTGCCTAGACATAGGTGTGTCTGAGCCAAGCAAGCATGTGGTCTCATAAAAGGTTTCCGAATGGAAGTGCTGTGAATCGCATCATACATAAGCGAGTCAGTTAATTCCCCACGGCTCAAGACATCCTCTCATTGATTTATGATGATTCTGCAGCATAGCCCACTAAATTGCTGAGGATATGCAGTGAACTCGGAGAGCTTAAAGAAATCTGCCTCATGGACAAACCTTATTTTTTTTTAATAAAAATGTTTTCCACACTCAAGATTCTACCTTTTTTTCCTGCCTGATTTTAAAATATGTACCTGAGTTTCAAGTACAGTTTGAATCATTCAGTATGCACTTTTATTTTTATAAGCATCAATATTTAAAGAAACTACTAATCTTAAGGATGATTTCTTTAGGAAGAGTTATTTTCCTTTCCATCCTTTTCCCCTTCCTCTTTGACATTTTCTTTTCTACGCTTCCCCAAACATTTCTCCTTTCTAACTTAAATTTCTTTTTCTCTTTAGAGATCTAGCCTAATTGCCCTCTAGTTTTATAATAAAACAACTTCTTCTTGCCTGGAATGGTTTTCCTAATGCCTATAAATGTAAATAGCTTTTAGTGCCAGTATACTAAGTCTGTGGCTGAATGTTATACAGCCTACGATTATCATACCCCATACCTGCTTCTCAAATCTGCAGGAAATACGCTATGTCGCTATTTGAAACAGTTCTACTAAATCAGTTTTTCAATTATAACATATTTTTATACATTCAAGGCCTAGGAAACCTTACATTTAACTTAAAGAAATAGAATGAACCATTAAAGCCACAGCAAAATTTACTAGTTTAATGATGGCATTTCAAAAATTTGGTAATATGAAATGAAAACATGGACTGAAGAAAGAAAGTTTGATGATGAAAAAACAATGGATTTCCTATTCCCTAAATAGGCACAAGTTAATATTTTAGCTTTATAGAATTATTCACATTTTTGCAGCTTTCTTCTGTCTCAGCTGTTAATTAGTAGGAATAGAAATCACATCTACCTTTTTTACTCTTTGATATGGTGTATTTTATTAGTTTGAAAGACTATTAACTAGGCAATGAAAATGCAAATTTCATCCTATATAGCATCTTTCAGCCCAGAATCTAAAAGTCCTGGCTGCTTTCTTTTTTCTTCCTCACTTAGCTTTGTGCCTTGAATGGCATCTACGTGGATTTGAAAGCACTATTTTTGCCTTTACAAAACCCTGGAATCGTCCCTTGCAATCACAGGATGCATGCACTCTCTAAATAAGTCCCTGTTTTCTAAAGGAGATATTGCTTCAGGCTGTAGGATCTTCACATTGAACAAGGCACAAAGAGAAATGGACCCTATGTCTAGGCCATTCTATTCAATCATTCATTTTCAAGAAGGACAGACAAGTCAGGCAAAGGAAGAATGAACACATAAGCAAGCAGAGTACACTTGCTTTAGTTTCTATTTAGGAGAGTACACACAGGATTACTTTCATAACACACATCTTTGTCTGAGTCATAGCATTTAAAAACATTGGTAACAAAAGAATAAGGCTTTTATTGTAAGCTTTTATTTTGTCAACATATCACAACTAACCTGGCCTCCAGAAATATAAAGATATATAATCCAACAGGAAAATTTTTTTAACGTTTGATGTCATTTGTGTGAATAAGAGTTGTGTTTTTTGTCCAGTTTCAAGTATAACATATACACTAAAGCAAGATGCCAAAACTTTTCATATTATGTAAAGAAACATTGTTATAAAATAGTAGCCTAAACCAGGTGCAGTGGCATGGTGAGGTAGTCTAAGTTAAACTGGAGGCAGATGTGGGAGCATCACTTGAGCTGAGGAGTTTGAGGCCAGCTGGGCAACAAAGCAAGAACTCGTCTCTAAAAAATGAAATGAAACAAAGGAAAATTCCAAAGGCTCCAGAAATTCTATTAATAGGGCAGGATACAAAAAAATCAATGACGGAAGAAGGTTGTATAAAGTCAAATAATGTTTATTTTGATCGCTCAAACATTGATATCTATCAAAGCTCTCCTATTAACATAAATGTATAAGATGAAATATATAAAATAAATTCAAATATATTTTTATAAATATCTATCAATTATATATTAATAACCATATATCTTAGAACTCAACTAGTTCTGCTCTTTAATAACTGTATATTTTAGAAATCAATTAATTCTGTATCTGATGAGCGGGATGCCAAAAATTCCCCCAAATAAAATAAGATGTTATTCCCACATTTCATCTATTTGGGCTATCAAATTGGTACCTTTGTGTGTTTACATGATTTACATGTGACATGCTCTCAGAAATTATATTTATGTGACTGAGCAAGATGGAGTTCTCATTCAATATGACATCATTCAATTAAAAAGTAAAACAAAATCCAGTCCAGCATGTTAGTTATAATTCAAATAATTGTTCCCATTAGAATATTTCTAGATTATATCAAATAGAGAGGTATGCAGTTTCACCTAGATGAATCTAACTTTATCATAAAAATTACTGCTAAAAAATATAATACACATTTTGGGTTGGGGTAGGGGCAGACAGACAAGAAACACTAAAATACACAAAGGTAATTTTCTTCAAAGTGAGGTCAGATACATTCATTATATATAACCAAAAGTTGAGATGATATTTAAAGACCACAATAAACTAATATATTAAAAATATAATTCAGTTTTTTAAAGAAGATTTACATGTCATTCTTCAGGACTGTGTCTGTGAAGTTCATTCCTCTATTATGTTAAGAAAATCCTCACCAAATTTCTGTGATGGCACTCAACAGTATTGTATTCACAAGTGGGCCTCTAGTAGATACTAAAGAGATATTTAAATTCATTTTAGCACATTAGCAACAGGAAGATGATGATATGGAGTATCACTAAATAGCCACTAAAGTAATATTGGATGCCCTACCCATTATGAGTGGTGTTTGCACTGCAAAGAAGAGGGAGAAGATGAGGATGGCACAGTAATCAGATCAACCTGTGCTCTGATAGGGAAGGGAAGAAAAAGGTAGAAAAAGAAAGAAGGGCTCCTCCTTGGAGAGCTAGTTCTAGAGCAGAATGGGATTCCCAATGTCCTAGAAGAAGTCTCACTGTTCACCATCAATACTAGCAAGGTAAGTCTCACTGTTCACCAGCAACAATAGCAAGGTAGCCCTTTGCTTCATTCTCCACTTCCTGAAAGAAGAGATCGTGAAAGTCTGTCTTCCTAACTAGTTCCAAAATCTGTCTTCCTAACTAGTTCCACTCTTAGTCACACTAATTGCATAACATCATATTTGTCCTGGGGATTTGTCTCAAACATGTTTAAATTTTAGGACTTCACTACCCACCTTACTCTTCTATATTCCATTCTAAATATATGTGGAAAACAATGTGTTAAAATTAAAATACCTAGGTTGACATTTATTTCAGATCGTGATCTAATGAAAGGAACTAAATTTACCTTTCTGTCTGAAACAGCCAAAACCCATACCAAATATATAATTAATAGTTTTCAATGCACTGGACATCAGAAAATGAAGGATGGTGATTCCTGAGATATTAGAAACAAATGAGCTGAGACATACAAGTGTGTCAGCTTAATGTCTTAGAGTTTCCAGACCATGGCACAAGGGGGAGGAACTGAGGTGAAGTCCAGAGCACACCTTGAGTTGAGGAGATGGACTTAAGATTTCAAAAGGGCAAAGTGCTTAGAGTTTGTAGGATGGAACACTGGAAAGAAAAAAAAAAACTGCAAACAGGAAGAAATCCAGAGATCTGTAGAGGGGTCCATTGACTAGTCAGCAGAGTACTGATCAGCACATACATTTAAGGACACTACCTCAGTTTAGGGAAAGAACCACCAGAGGTTATTAGACATAACAGTGTCCAGCTCACACACAGAGAGGGTAATAGTGCCCGCTGCCATTGGTCTGATTGGAAAATTTTAAAATAGATGAGGCAAGATACAGAGGATCTTGTCTCAGAAGTGGAGAATAGAACCAGTCTGAGCTCTGCTCCACTCTCACCTACCAAAGCATAAAAGCAAGACTCAAAAAAAGATTGAATTGTTTCTAAGTAATTTGACTGCATTCTAGAACAAAGGTAAGAATATTTATAAAAATAAAACTTATCCAGTATCTTACAAGCCACAACTGACAATGTCTGCTGTTCAGTCAAGGATTATTGTGCATACAAAGAAAAAGGAAAACAAGAGCCATGATAAGAAGAAAAATCAATCAATTGAGACTGTCCTAGAACTAACACAGATCTGAAAAGTATTATACAAAGACATAAAACTTATTATAACTCTATCCCATATGTTCAAAAATTGAAGTAGAGACATTGACATTGAAGATATAACAAAAAAAAACCAAATAGAAATTTTAGAGCTGTCTACAATGTCTGGAATGAGAAATACACTTGATGTGATGCCAGATTTTGAAGACTTAAATTAGATTTTCTGCTCTAATATTCATAAACTATAACAACTTTTTTTAACCTTAGTTTGCTTCTCTGTAAAAGAGGACTAATAAGTCACAGTTAAATATATTGCTGCAAAGATTAAAATGATATGATGATAGAATTAGATGTTGAGGTATAACATTTGGCATGGTTTCTGGCACACTGTATGCATACAATAATTTTGAATGTATTATGTTGCTCCTCTTCTCATATTCATTTCTGGTTTCCTAATACTTGAGAAATAAAATCCAAACTCTCCATTTTGACATTCAAGATCTATACAATCTGGCTTCAGTCTTCAGTCTTTTGTCCAGTCTGTTTTCTATGTTAATGTAGCTAAATTCTAGTCAAACTAAAATTTACAGTTCTTTTTATATATCTATTAAAATTCTCTGCCTCTGCCTCACTGTCTGTTATGTGCTGACTTGTGGTCCACTCACTCTCATGTTGACATGCTAACCCCTTGTATCCCACAATGTGAACATATTTGGAGACAAATATAATTAAGTTAAAACAAGGCCATTTGGGTTTGCTCTAATCCAAGATGATTGGTGTTCCTATTAGAAGAGTAAAAATGTGGACACAGACATATACGAAAGGAAAACAATGTGAAGACAATCTTTTACAAGCCAAGGAGAGAGGCCTGGAATAGATCTCTACCTCATGGCCTTCAGAAGGAACCAATCCAGCCAACACCTTGATCTCAAAATTCTAACCTCCAGAACTGTGAGAAGGTAAACTTCTATTCGGTAAGCCACTCAATCTGCGGAGTTTTGTTATGGTAGTGCCAGCAATATAATACACTGCCTATTCACCCTTTGCCTTTTATCTGCATGCCATTACGCATATATCCAAACTATGAACTTCCATTTAAAATTTCAATAGTTTGTCAATTTCTTCATCAGGGTGGATAACTCCTTTCACCAAAATGTAATATCTTTATCTTCAGGAATCTTACTGCAGAATAATCTACATTTTTACGGCACTTAACTTATATACATGTGAATTATTGTTCCTTAGTTAGATGCCCTGTTGTTCTTATTGAACCAATATTTCTTAGGGGGTAGAATCTATTTCTAGTTTATTTTTATATTCTCCACAGAATATAGCTGTTCTATGCACATGATAATGTCTCAATTAAGATATTCTTTATGAGTTTAAGCATAAGTCATATGTCAACAGACAACTCATATAAGCATATCTGTGTGAGTATGTGTTTGTATAATTTTTAATTGTATCTCCTTTACTGTGGAGTCCATAGTAAACTCTGAACACAAGGACTTTATCAGTCTGATGAAAGCGCTGGTTCAGCTTTTTAAAAAGTCCATACTCTTCTTAGGCCATAATGGATTGTTTTCCTATATGTATTATAGATAGCAATATATTTTTGAACAACTTTGAAAAGAAAAATAATTAACAATTTTGTATTTTGGTCCTAATTGCACTTCTATTATCAAAACTAACAACTTTAGGAATATCTTCTTCTTGTCAGACCCTGCCATCTTGCTGAGGGGGAGCACTCTAGTGCCTTCCCTGATATACAATTTATGAGATGATACTTCATCTCCTCTCAAAAACTCTATGCTTTGTTTTACCTCCTGAAACACTGCCACCACCCTTATATTTACCCATTGTTATTCCTTGTCTTTTACTTTTTTGTTTTAACTCTAGAGAGGACTTACTTGTATGTCTTCTCCAAGGGATCAACAGAGAAAGCTAACCATAGCAATCATTAATTACTTTACATAATCAAAATCTGAGTGGACAGGAAGAAAGAGATTCAAGATTCACCTTGAATTACCAGCTCAATGAAAACTTTCCCTGCCTTGAAACACGTAGAATTCTTGTCTTCATGCTTTCACTCTGTTCTGCTATGGAGGGCTAAAATATAACACATGTAACACTATAACGGGGTAACAGGTAATTTTTCACATGTTTCACCTCCCCATATTAACTCAAAGCCCAATATTAGCAGGAAAAATGTCTCATTAATTTTTTCTATGTGTGTCTCCAGTATATAGAACGTTAGTTAACACATAGTAGGCTCTTTTTACATTGGAGTGCACTAGCAACTCATAGGTTAAAAGATTCCAACAGATGACAGGAAGTTGTTCTATGTACTATTTATTTTCCTCTCCTCCTCTTTTTCTTCCTCATTCTCTTCTTTCTCGTTCTTCTCCTCCCGATTTATTTTTATTATTGTCGCTGTTATTTATTTATTTATTTTGGTCATCTATTTCAAGAAAAGTTTATCTGGTGGTGATGGCAGCAGCAGTAGTTTCTTCTTTTCCTTCACCTTCTCCTCCTCCATCTTCTTCTTCACCATATTATTATTACTACAGTTAGATTTTGTTGCTATTGTTATTGTCTCATTGCTGTTGTTGTTGTTATTATTCTCTATCACAAAATCCAAATGCAAGTTTACATCGAAATTTTTCAAATATAAGTAACACCGGTGTCTTCAGTGCAGTATATTAGAAAGTAAAAGATTTATTTTTATGAAACCCATGGTCCCTTTCAACAAGTCAAAATAATGCTCACCAGAGTTCCCTGCCCTTTAACTAAGATTACTTGGCCTCCAGGCAAAAGTCATTTCCTTGTGGTTCATCCAAACCTCAGCTGTCTCTGGAGGTGGTTTCTCACTTTCTAATTTACAGATTGTGATTTTATTGACATTTAGGAGGGTTGCAATGGGCAAGTAAAAAGTCCCTAAGGGGTCTACAATTTTAGGATTAACCTTTTCTGTATAATTACATACTTTCCATTGCAGAATATTTTATGATTATTTGAAAAATGTAAATTAGTGTCTTTTCCATAAGAAAGCCACTGTGATCAGGATTCTGGAAAGAAATATGCTGGCATCACTGGGAGCTACTGGCCACAGGACCTGGGGAGCTTGGGCTTAAAGTCAGGCTGATCTGAAGAATTGGGTGATGTCTCTGAGACTAGAGGTGATACATTATCATGCTCAGGGAGAGAAGCATTCCAAACAGAGGAAATAGTTCAAAGCTGTAAGCACAACTGGGTAAGTTCCACAGCGTAGGCATTCAGTAAAAGTTCTAAACAAAAAGATACAGGTGGACATTCATAGAGCAGACTTGAATTGGAGAACCGACAAGTACAAAACATGGGATAATTCTAGATGTCAGTTACCTTATAATAATAGGAGAGGGGTTTAAGTCCAGTGACTGGTGACTATGACATATGTTCAAAGTAGGACCAATAATAAAATATTACTGTTGATGATAAAGTGGCTACTGTCACAATGTTTCCTTAATTTCCCTTCACTTCTTTTATTTAATTCACCACTGCTCAAAATGAAAATCTGATACATAAGTTTATCTTAGGATAATAAGGAAGTAAGGATGTAAGCTGCTGGACTAAAATGAATGTATAGTAGCCAGGAGAAAAATCACTATTTGACTCAGGTTTACCAGCTCCCTTTTGACAGTGGCTGTTGGTGCTTTGCCTGGATTCCCTTTATGAAGCCAATGCACCTATCACCTACTGGTTATGAGTATCAGTAATGATAGGTACAATTACACCCATCTGTGGAAAATTGCCCTTGGCTTACAGAATTTGTCTCACCAGAAGATGCATGAGAATGTAAACACTCTCTGGAGAAGGCAAAACCTAGCAATCACTGACTGATTCAGGATAAGATATTCCAGCCCCAAAGCCACTTCAAGCCAGGACAATTCTATGGTGCCATTCACACTCCAGAGCTCCCCATGGGATCACGCTTGTCTAGATTCAGTGAAACCATATTTTTGCTTAGCTCCTTGGCCTGCATCATCTCACTTTGATTTATTTCCTTAAAGGTTTTCACTGAGAACACTCCAGGAGTGCTTGTACAAAATTACTTATCTCAGGCTCTACCTCTCAGGCAGCTGAACTAAGACCCTTCTCTACAGATGTTTATTTACCAAGTTGAAAAATGTAGGTATGCATTGGATTCTGAACTAAGCAAGGGATGAAATGAGTACTTATTCTCCCAGTTCTTACCATGTGACCTCTCTGATCCTCAGTTTCCTTATTACTAAAATGGGAATAATAAGGTTTTGGGGAGGATTGTTAACTATTTTCATGCTAATGATAATATCCCAAATTTGTATATTAAAACTACATTTGTATATTTTATTCATTCATTTATAGCTCTTTACTAAGTTCCTTCTATTTGTTAGGCATTGTCCTAGATTCCGGGGTATAGAGGATGAATAAACAAACAAAAATAACTATTCTGATGAAATATTAACGGTGGATAGTACTCAAATGAGAAAAATGTACAGTAATTTAGATAAATATTTTGGAAAATTAATGTAGAAAATGGGTGTAGTAATGTGTTTTCAGTTCTCATGACAACCTTGTGCATCTTTTGCATGAAAAAACTAAGGATTAGAGAGACTTGCTAAGTTATTCAATATCACACAATCGGTAATAAAATGGAACACAAATCCAGACTTACTTGACTTAATGGTTAAGCTGTATTACCTCACACAATATAAATAAAATCTATAGTGATAAAAACATTGAATAATTGAACCACCAACCATTTTTCCTATTGAATCCTCAGGACATCTGATATTAGCAAACATATCCAGTTTATTTTTAGAATTTCTTACTCTTCATTGTGTGAAAAACCTTGGCTATTATGTTACCCTGCAAGCTGCCCACAAGAGAAAGTAGAAGAGACATTAAGATCTAAGAATTAATGTGTATAACTTCTGAGATTAAATGGGATTAAAAGGAGGATTCAAGAAAGAGAAATGAAGGAAAGAAAATATGACCAACATTCATAGGAGGAATAACAATATTGCTAGTTAAGATATATGAACAGTCATTACAGTTTTGTTTCATTGAGAAAATGGTTAAAAGGAATTGAATCTGACTAAGCATGAATGGCAACACTCTAGATGGAACACCTGTCTGTACCACAGGAGGTGGAATTGGAGTAAAGAAGGCACAATTACATCATCAGGCTGCTTACCTCTTCATAAATTTTAAGCTCAGCTAATTTAAATGAAGCATATACTTCTTCTGTAGGTGAATTGAGTTATGTAACACCAACTATAAAATGATAAGTATAGAGAATGCTATGTTACTTTCTTTGAGAGCTTAGAAAATTTTGGTTTATACAAGTAGTACTTATACTCAAGTTTTGACATGAATGGAAGCCTGGTATACCCACTATCTGTCAGCACCCACATTGTTTTTGTATCTCTCTTACACACACACATAAATTTAAAATAAAAATTTAAGACAAAAAAAAAAAAAAAAAAACTAAGACAAAAAACTTCTTGAGGTTTTGGAAAACCAAAACCTCAAGAAGATAAAGTGACTTACTCTTGTTTTAGTTTTCAGCTGGTAGAGTCAGTGTTTGAAATCTGATTTTTAATAGAAAAAAAAAAACTTTTTACCCTGTGTTACTTGCTTTTTACTAACAAAATTTTATTTTTAAACGATTATATATGACAAGACTTTAGCATAGTATTGGACACAAAGTAGGTATAAAATATGTGGGTTTTTTCCCTTTAATTTCTAAATCAGATATAAAAATATGAATGAAACTGGACTTTCTATCTTGAGGTCAGAGAAATAAAAAGACCTATGGACAGAATACTCAGTGCTGGAAGGTTGCCCAGGGAGGTTTAGGGCCAAGGGCCAAATCTAGTGTATGTGCTACTCATGTCCTGTACCAACTATGAAAATTCTCCCATAGATAAAACCAGCAATGCTGCTTCCTCAAGAGTAACAATTCACCACTGTTATATAAAAATATTATTGTGTTCTCAGATAAATCAAACAAAACAAGAACACACATTAGGGTAAACATTTATGCATGTTTTATTATTTCAAGACTTCTTAGAGAGTTCAATATATATTAGGAATCTCCAAAGGTAGGAAAGGAAAAAGGCAGGTATTACCCCAAATATTTTGAACAAGAAATATATCTCTCATAGAGCATGTTGTGGGATAAGAGTTCTAAAGAATAGATATAGGGAAAATTTATTATATTCATTTTTTGCTTCAGGTTGACACAGAGAAATGTGGTCACTTTCCCTTCAAGAAATAACTTTATACCACATATTTAAAGATTGGGCAGGATTTTGCAAAAAATCACAATGCTGGACCACTTGCCTGTATGCAAGTAGGTTGAAGACCCATCACCTCATGATTTTTGATTAAGGCAGAAAACTTGGCCAAAGGGGTTCAAATTGACAGCAAAAGCACAACAAGATTGACTGGATAATTCAGCATCTATCTGCTGACATAAGCATCCTTAAATTACATTTCTCCCTTCTTATAACCTGGGGTCAAGGCTGGTCCCTGGGTCTTTATTAAGCTCCCTATAGGTGAGGATTAGGTAGGTCCAGCAGCCAGAGACAGAGGAACACAGAGGCTGAAGTGGGCAAGGCTATTAGACTTCCAAAAATAATAAGGAACCATTAATCCACCCTTTTATATGTAGGAAGACTGATGACAAAATACATTGAACAAAGTTGGTAGAAAGAGGGTAGTGATCAATTAGAGTAGCATTTTCTTGATTGTCAGGGTTACATGGTGTTACTTAATTATTTTCCTAGAAGTATTATAATCATATACTACCAGACCTATTTTAAAAGTCTCTGGAAACCAGTCTCAAAGAAGGACCAGCAATTAGCAGAAATTGACATGTGGATCGGCATTACAAATAAGTGGAACAAGATACAAGGGAAGCTTTGTACTGGGAAAAGCACATTGAATTTGTAATCAAAACTCAAGTGCTGGAATGACCACTAAGTGTGGGACTTTGGACATTTTTTCCCCTTTGTGCACTAAGATGGTTGAACTAAATAATATAAAAGGATCGTTTTATCTTTACTTTTAAACATTCTACATTATTTGATTTGTGGTACAGGTGCAAAAAAGATCTTTCTGCAAGAAAAAAAAAAAAGAAACTTCTTACAAGTTGCCTGATTAGACAGCCATTCTTAGATTGCACATTGTATCCTCAGTATTCTCTGCTCAAATGCCAATATTCTCAGGAGAGTAATACATGTCTCAATTAATCAAGGGTTACATAGTAATATCGAACCAAAAATTTGTTTATCAGATCATTTTGCAGTTGCAGAAATTGTCCAGAGAACACTACTGCATGGAAGAGCATGGGAAAGGTTGAGAGGAAGAGGTGATGTTCAAGGAAGACTAGCCTGGATAAGGCACCACAAGGAGACCTGGTAATTAGCTGGCTATCTTAGGAGACCAAGTGTCTGGAGGGCAAAGATGTAGGGATGATAATACAACTATGTAAAATTAAGCGTATCAATTTTCATTTATCATATTATTCAATTAAGGACTATAGTTATCCAGAAAAAAATTCTTTCATGACCTGAGAAGTCTCTAGTCTAATTATACGGCTGTTTTAAATATCTGGTAAAATATTTTGGAAAAACTCAGATAATTTGGTAATGCTACTATTTTATTTTAGAGCTTAGCAAACTCCACACTTCTATCCCTTAGCAAAAACAGTTTTAGAGCAAAAAGCATATCTCTTTTACTAAAAAGACCCTGATAATATTAGTTGAAAGACTTTTAGAGTAAATGTTTAAAGTACATACAAGGCAAAATATGAAATATGGTATTCTGGAAAGAATATAGGATTTAGATTTTACCAAACAATCTAGATTTAGATTTTGCCAAATCCACCAGATTTGAACACTGGCTCTTATATTTTATAAACTGTATAGTATTGACAAGGCCCTTTACCTCTCAAAGCCTCTGAATGTTGTGGGACTGAATGACTTAATACATTGTGTCTGTCTGTAGCTGCTCAATAAATCTGAGTTACTTAGTTCGTAGTTAAAACTACCATTTATTGTCTAATTCAGTAATCTATTTTCCTTCCTGTATTATGGAACATTTTATTTTTTAATATAAGAATAATTTTCAATTTAAAAGGATTAAGGAAAAGCCATGGGATAAGGAAACTAAAAATAATAGACAGGCGATATCCAGCCATTATATAGTTGGATACCAAGTTCTGATTTAATATGCCTCTACCCTCCCCTCTGGGGTACCTTGTAGTTAGAGGATTATGCCATGAGTCAGTTTGTCTGCTGATAAAATATTTTCTCCTCTGAGCAAATTTGCCACCATAATGAATAATTATTCTCTTCCATTAAAAAGATTTTACATCTACACAATTGAAGTTAGAAAATAATCCTCATTTTCTATCATACTAATCAACGTTTTCTGTCACCAAGACGTTCAGCTTAAGTATCTAAGGAATATCTCTTTCTGAGATAAATAGTAATATCCCAAGTAAGTAACAAATAATATCATAGATTTAAAAAATAAAGAAGGAAGAACTGTATTTGCTGAGGCGTATTCTATTCAAAAATACTCTAATATCTTTACCTGAGATCACTCCATCACATTTTGTATCACATTTCCTTACTTTAATGGAAAAATATGTTCATCATAAACTCCCATTGCTAATAAAGCAATCAGACTTCAACTTAAGAAAACACAAATACGTCTTACTTGACAGTTGAATTCAATGACTTCCCTGGATTGCTGGATTCGGTAGATTTAAAGGAAGAAAATGGGACCCAAAAATCAGAAACAAATACTTGTTTTCACAGAGTTCTTTAACAGAAAGTTAAAAAAAATAGTGCCTAAGAAATGAATGAGTTACTGTTTCAAGTAGGCAATATTTCAGTATCTTTATTATAAAATAATTATCTTACATAATCGTGGGTTAATGGAGGTAGATACCACATTTTATCAAATAAGAGTAGGATGGGAAATTCTATATGGAGAATCTGAAAAGATACTAAAGTTATTATGTATTGCTGTGAAAAAATTACCTGAAAACCAGCAGCTACAAATTCTGTGAGTCAAGAATCCAGGTGTGGCTTAGATGAGTGTTTTCTGCTTTGAGTTTCTTACAAGGCTTTGATCATGGTGTTACCTGTGGCTGGAAGTCATCTTAATTCTCAACTGGAGGGGAATCCACTTTGAAGTTCACTCAGATGGTTGTTCGCAGGTCTCAAGTACTCACTAGCTGATGCCTGGGGGTTTCAGCTCTTTGCCATCAGGCCTTCTTCATAGGGCTACTTGCATCATGGTAGTTGGCTTCCCCCAGAAAGTGAATTTGAAGAGAAAAAACCCAACACGGAAGCACAATCTATTGCAGGACATGTTCATTGAATTGACATCCAGTCAACTCTGCTGTGTCCAATTCACTAGAAGTAAGTCACCAAATCCTGCCACCTCAAGGCAAATGATTACACAAAGGTGTGAATCAAAGGAAGGAGGGATCACTGGGAGCCATCTTAGAGTGTGCCAGTTAGGACACTCAGTGCTTACATGTACGTTTCCCTTTCCCCTTAAACATCTGAAAGCAGCCAACTTTCTTCTCTAGTGTTTGGGCATAATCAGTGGGTAAAAACCACTGGGTTCCAAGGGTAGAAGATAGGTAACTCTCACATTGTGGTTGAATTTCAAACCTCAGAGCATACTGAACAGGGCATATCCATGTCATCTCAGAATGCGTTAATTTCTTAATATACGATAGCAATATGAATGTGTTTATCTCATTTTTCCAGGTATTTATGAGACTTTGTATTTTCTATCCCCTGCCCTCCTTGTTTTCCTTCCATCATAGCTTAATCTTGATTCTTTGCTCATTGAACTTCATTGGAGGTCATTTAACATAAATCATTACTACCTTGGTAAATTAAGCAGATGGAAAGCCTTACAAAAGGTCTTCTTGTTTTCTGTTAGATATAGCATTTAATAAAGGAATTGGGGGGAAGATTTATTTTTGGCTGATTTTTTCAACCTAGCTAAATATAGCCATCACGATTTTTGTTTTTGTTTTTTAGTCTGAGGTGACTAAAATCTTCTACAGATTGAATTTTTCTACCCACAATCTAGGTACACATACTTTAGAAATAAATTTAGCCACAGTAGAACTTATTGTTATTAAAAGACTAAAATATATGTCATAATTTAGTCTACAGAAAAAAATAAAAATGAAATGACATACTTAAATATACATTTTGTATTTTATTCAGGAAGTTTGGCTGTTCCTATGGACTAATAGTAGGTTAATACTAAGGCTTGATTCTTGTCTTTTCTGCTGCATTAAAATCCAAATCCTAGTGACTACAGAGTATAAAATTACAAATGTAAGCTTTTAAAGGTTAGAATAAGGTTGAAGATGAAAAGTCTATATTACGCTCTGTAGTTAAATCCAATTATATTACAGCACTCAGTCTGCTTCTTATATCTCATTTGTCAATTGAAGTTTATAATTATGCTGAGGAAAATAAAAATTTAAAATGTAGAATTTTAATAGCATATTTCATTTTTTAATTCTCCTAATTTTTACTCTAAAACCTCGTCCTATTTTGCTGCTACATTTTCTTGTTTTCGTGACCTTCATTAAACTCTGAAATTCTCACCCCCACTTGTGAAAATGTAATGAGCAGTAGCAATTTTGAGTGGAATCCAGTTTAAAAATCCCTTGCCTCACTCAGCTGCTTCTTAGATACCTGAAATGTGCTGCTTAATTTAGAAAGAAAATTTGCAGTGAGGCTGCAATCCTGCATTTCAGAGAAAAAGGAGCAGGAGATGATTTGTAGGTGACTGAAAGGTGATGTTTACACTTAGGATTTCCTGAGCTTACCAATTTTAACCTTGGAGCTTAACTGTCTTCGATTTTAAGAAGAATTAGACTCAACTCATATTCTGGATATTTTTCTACTTTAGAGGTGAATCTTGGTTATGAATGAGAAAAATGCAGGCCACA
Organism: Homo sapiens; assembly: GCF_000001405.40. NCBI lineage: Eukaryota > Metazoa > Chordata > Mammalia > Primates > Hominidae > Homo > Homo sapiens. The sequence continues at coordinate 104,049,623 of NC_000004.12, read as the reverse complement.
TGTTCAGTCCTAAAAGAAGGAAAAGCAAAACAGTCTGTGAAGGAGATGTATGGAAGGTATAGGTTTAGCTTTCTTCTAAGCCAATTGCAAGGAGCTAACTTTTTAAATTTAACCTTTGGAATGTATTTACATGCGCAAAGAAATAAGAGGCTCTAAAGTAGAGCATTTGCCACTTCCAAGCAGAAAAATAAAATGTCAAAATCGCTACATGAGAAAACATGTTTTTAAAATTCTCATTGTAAACTATTTTAAATAAATATGATAAAATTGAATGCAACATATTTATGCATATATGCTTATTACTTGTATGTGTAAGTGTACATAAAGTTTGAAATAAAGTGTAAAACTCATTATTTTACTAAAATGTAGAATAATGGATTCGTTTTCCAGGTTAACATGCTTTGTTTTCTAAACATGAACTTTATGATTCTTTATAAAATGAACAGTCTGGAAAAATTGGGTCTTTTCCAATGGGCTACTATTAAGAGATCTTAGGCTGGGCATAGTGGCTCATGCCTGTAATCCCAGCACTTTGGGAGGCCAAGGCGAGTGGATCACCTGAGGTCAGGAGTTTGAGACTAGCCTGACCAACACGGAGAAACCCTGTCTCTACTAAAAATACAAAATTAGCCGGGTGTGGTGGCACATGCCTGTAATCTCAGCTACTGGGGAGGCTGAGGCAGGAGAAGTCCTTGAACTCGGGAGGCGGAGGTTGTGGTGAGCCAAGCTCATGCCATTGGACTCCAGCCTGGGCAATAAGAGCGAAACTCCAACTCAAGAAAAAAAAAAAAAAAAAAAAAACAGAGAGAGAGAGATTTTATTGAAGGCCTTCTATATCCGAGACTAGAATTAAGTAGTATAGTGCCCCTATCAGGCTTTCAATAAATATTGGTTAAATGACTGAATAAAACAAGGAAAGCAATAAGGAAGGAAGAGAGAGAGAGGAGAGAGTCAGGAAGGGAAGGAAGGCAGCAAGACAGAAGAGAGGAAAGAAAGGAAGGAAAGAAGGAAGGGAGGATGAAATGACATGATATTATAAATGACACATAAAATGCATTGGATATCTCATCTTGAAAAGCTTTCTTCACTTCTAAAAACTACTCTTCTCTTTTCCCTCTTACTTCATGGTTTTGCCTTTTTAGTTTCTGTGATAGTTTCTTCTCTCTCTTTCTCTCTCTCTCTCTCTCCAATTTTTAAATATTGGAGTGCATTAGGGCTTAGTCTTCAGATATTGCTTCTTCTCTATAATCAGTTCCCAAGTAATCTCTCCAAATTCTATGACTTTACTACACCAATAATCCTACCCACCCATCCAATATGTCTCTAATTGAAGTGCTCCCCTAAACTCTGCATTTGTATATTTAACTTTTTACTTGACCCTCTACATAGATATAAAATAGTCATGTCAATGTCAAATTCTACCAAACAGTACTCTTGATTCATATTCCTTCCCTGTGAATGAATCTGCCTTTCTTTGATCGTTCCTATATCTTCTACCAATGGTATTGCCTTTAATCTAATTTTTCAAACTAAACCTTAAAGATGTTTTATTTCTTTTCTTCTATCACAACACTCATCCAATCCTTTAACATGCCCTGTTGGTTCTTCATCCGGGAGACCGCAAGTGGTATCGCTTTTTACCTTGCCCATTGCTGTTATGATAACTTGCTCAATTACCCTCTTCTGTTGTTTAGATTACTGCCATGGACCCGTGACAATATCCCTGCTTCTGCTTTTGCCTCTTGTTTTGGTCAGGGTCCAACTAGACCAACAGAAATCACTCTAGACAATTCCCCATAAACTAGAAGTTTAAAGACAGGAACCAACCAGATCCCAAAACTATACTTGTTGCTGATGTCCAGTGAAAGCAGAACCACAGTAAGTCTCTCAGGCTCAGAATCAATGAAAAGACAGAAATAAATAAGATAAAATATGGCCTGTCTTCTCTCTTCCATCCACCTGTCAGTTTTCTGCCAGTATTTCATCCAGTTATTTCATAAGAGAGGCTGCGAAATGCAGTACTAAAGGTTCATCTTCCTCTAATGATAGACAATAGAACTTGGGAAAGGAGAGAAATGTACATGAGAGCAATAGGGCCAAGGCCAATGAGCTCCACTCCCTCACTCGATTTCAGCCATAGCTTATTGTCCCCAAAGACAAAACAGTAGGTATTGTGAAATATAATACACACCATGCCAAGCACCTAGTCTCAACTTTCCAATAGCTTTATGGCATACTGTAAATAAAATATGAAGTCCTTACCATGAACTATAATCTTTGTGTGATCTAGCCACTGCCTATTATAATGTTTTCTAATTCTTTCATTTTCCTTATTTAATTACACCACATTGTCTTTCTTGCATTTCTTTGAATATGCCTAGTAAAGCTTCTTTCCCAAGAGATTTTTCATCTGTCTAGTAATCCATCTCTCCTGTTGTTTATATGGCATTTAACATAAACACAGAGAATTTCCCCCAGAGCATTTCTCTGATTACACACCTAGGAGATAAATCTATCTCCCTTTACCCTGCTTTATTTTTCTTTTTAGCACCATCACCCTCTTACATTACATGGCATTAATATTTGTTGATTGTTTTCCTCCTCTTTGGAAGATAGGCTTTCACTTGTTTACTGAAACATCTTTGGTACTTAGAACAGTACCTAACAAAGAGAAAATCAGTAGATACTTTTTCAATAAAAGAAAAATAATAAATTTCTCTTGTTATCCTTATCTCTTCATGAATTGTAATTGCCATAGGTTTCTAAACCAGTTATTTCAAAAGTTTCTTTTAAAGTAAAATTTTTGGAATGCAACACACTTTCTCAAAGAGCTATATTGCTGGTAAGGCAGTGGATAGCTTTTCAGACTATTTTACTCAGAATGTGGGCAATGTCATCAATTCAAATTAAATAAATAAAAGACCAAACAATTATATACTTGACATTTAAGTAATATAAATTTTTTGAATACTGATAATTATGAAAGGTATATTTAATTTAAAAAGCTAAAATAAATTCTCATCAAACATAAGATTTTGAGGTTAGAAGCCATCTTATATGTCACCTAGTCAAAATTCTAAACCAAACTAGAAACTTCCTTTCAAAACAGCCCTGTCAAAAGGTCATCCTTTCTATGTGTGAACATTTCCAGTGACAGAAAACTGACTGCATTGTAAAGCACAATCCTTGATATATAAATTTGAGCTAGTTCTGCAATTTATATAGTTCTGTTTCAATATCTCCTGCCATCTAATATCTGCTAGTGTTTACCATTTTGCCTTCTGAGTTTATGCTGGGTAAATATAGCCCCCTTTTACTGACAGCTCATCAATTATGTTGAGAGAGCCACTATATCCTTCCTAAAATTCCTTCTTTCTATGACAAATGTACTTATCCTTTCAATCTATTCTATACAGCTTGATTTCTGGACCTCTTGCCCGGTCAATCACCCTCCTCTGTATACACTCCTCCTTAACACTGTCCATTGCTGGATTTCTTATCAGTTAGCTATTGGGATGAACAGACCACTTCAACACTGAGTGGCTTAAAAGAACAACCAGTTTTTAGCACTCAGAAGTCTATGTATCAGGTGGCTCTTTTGATTTCTGCTGAGCTTATTCTTACATCTCTGGCCAGCAGTGCATCAGGTAGGCAGCTCTTGTGATGTTGGCTGGGCTCTTTAACACTTTTGAATGTCCACGTCTATCTGAGGGACACTTTAAATGTTGAATAAGGTTAAGTACTGTCAACATGCTTTATGCTATACTTATTGCAGGAGTACAGAATTTTAAAAAAGAAAATGGTGAGTCACACACACATATTCACATTAAAATGAGGAAGAAATAAATACTCATAGGTACTAAGGCATAGCTGATGTGTATAATTTGACACTTCCATATTTTCTTTATTCTCAGCCAGCTCCTTAGTAGGTCATGGTTTCCTGCCTAGGAGGTTGACACAAGCCTTCATTTTTGAAAGGTCTAGTCTTTAGCAGTCCTGCTTTTATTGAGTTGTATTTATCCATTTGCTGTATAGAGAACATGAGAACATCCAGGGTATCTACTTCATTCCAGACATGTGTCTCCTGATCCCATAGTAGCAACTTAATTTCTCCTTAAGAGTCAGGGTCAATTTTCCAAGAGAGTACAGTAACGCTTTTCTTTGTCAGTGGATTTACTATAATGAGAATCTTAAAGTGGCCAAATGGCAATCTCAACTTCAAGTTTAATGAAACAATTGTCGTGCTCCCTGGTGGAAGTAGTCATCCCTTGGGAGGGAACTAGACTTATCAAGCAGCAGAACCCAAAGACATGAGGATAGAAAGTGCAAGTTTCACTGATATTCATTTACTAGGGATAAGAGTGAGCGAATAGCCCTCAATTTTAGCCCCTTTTTCCTGAGTTATGAGTATCTGCTATGGGAGAAAGAAAGCCAAATATTAGTTCACTGATTTACAACATAGACTGCACCCTAGGGAACATCATTCCAGCCCCACCAAGTGATGCAGGCAGCTGGCCCAGTAACTCAGTCTTCTAAAGGCCTTTTCACTGTTGCATTATGCTCTCTCTATAGGGTGCTGCAGAGCATGAGAAATCAATAAATTCTGTAAGTATCAACCCATTTCCAGATACACCAACTATATTTGGAAGTCATATCTCAACGTGCCCCAGACACTTGGACTACAGAAATTTCACTGTAGCGGCAGACCACAATTTATGTGTCGTTCGTCTCCTTGCCTCTGGCACACATGTATATTATTAATGTGTCTAGAGAAGATGCTCTTTCCTTCTCATCATGTCCAAGGGAAGTATATCTTAATTGAATGGTTTACTGATGTTCTGAAAGAAAGAGGCCATCAAAGTATATATGAGACAAGTCTGCCAGGGAACCTAAGATGAGAGGAAAGCTGGTTGAACCCCTCAAACTCACTTTTTCCAGCATAGAAACCATGAGCTGGGAAAAATTTTCCACAAGCTTGTCGCATAAAATTGTGGCTGTGAAGCCAGATTCTCCTAACTTATCGGTGTTTTTCTTTTTATTTATTTATTTATTTATTTATTTATTTATTTATTTATTTTTTCACTTCTCTGTGGCCCTAGCCCCATTCTCACGTTTGAGTTCTAGGTTGTTGCTAGTAAAATCTCAGTGCTGTATATTTGTTTTGGTTTTCTGTGGGGTGTAGAGATGACAGCTTGCTTGGACACCCTCATTTTAGAGCCAAAAGTAGCTACACAAAAAGAATTCTTCCTAAAAAAAATACAAGGAAAACTTTAGTTTAGAAACTAATCATTTGTAGACCCGAATGAAATGATTGTTTTAAAAATGTCTGAAGTTACAAATCATTAGAGTGAAATACTGATAAGGACATTTACAATGGAAGATAAAACTAAAACAATTTCTAAGTTTGATACATAGAGATATGTATCTTATAAATTCAGGTAGTAGGAAATACTCATAACCACCTTTAGAACATATTTATCCCCCAAGTTTATCTTAAATCTACTAAAGCCTCTGGATATCACTACCAGTTTAAAGAAACTATGAGCTAAAATTAGAAGTCAGATAAATATAAAATGAAGGATATTATAGAGAACAAAAACAGATCAGTGCAGAAAATCAAAGTAGGAGGATTCTATCAAATAAAAAATGTTAAAAACCACAACAGAAAAAGTGTGGTAATCTTATTATAGTAGAGTAAGTTGGATATACCTGGTAAATGATTTCATCCAGGAGTTATATGAATGAGTTATTTGCATAATTCAGTTAGTGGCATATTTTTATAACAAGTAGATTAACTGACTAAACATGACTGCAAATTATTTTTGTAAATTAAATTACAGTAGCTAAAGTTGACTTATTTTATGCATGAAACCTTATGAATATTTCTGATTGATTTTAGAACATCACTTACCCCTAAAATTTTAGTTTCAGATTTATCTGCCACATTATGTCTCCATCCTGGTACTTTTATAGAAATATAAATTACTTTTAAACAATGCTTATGTACAGCAAGTGCTGATATTAAAAGAATAATACATTATATTTGTTAAATCAGAAACTCCCTGTCAGTTAATATAAATAAGTATTATATTCCTGCCTTGTGAGTTTATAGAGAATGCAACCTCTAAAGCAAGGCCCAACTGAAATTTTTAAAGTCCTTTTTATCCTCCATGGAAATATACTGATGTTCACACTTCAAAAGTAAAAAAGTTCAATGGAGAGAATTTTATATTGCTGTATAGTGAATAAAAGACCAAAAAAATTCTGACAGCATCTCTAAAATCACCTGAGATTTCCTTGAAATTTTATTTCACTCAGATGATAGTCAGGAAAATGTTTAGGTGCTGCTATGTGATATTTACACATGCATTCACTTCATTTCTATCAGTAATCCTTTTAAAGCCCTTAGTTATTTCCGTAGATACCCATTCATAATAAGAAATAGCTATTTTTAAATAACCATCCCAAGGCAAGAGGATAAAGTAGTCACAACAGAAAATACTAGACTTTTGTGGCCTAAAATAAATAATGTGCTCTAAATTTAGAAAATAAGGAGATGAAACTAAAATGCATATTACACATCGTTTGTCTCTTTATGTATTTACCTATGAATGAAAATATTCCTGGTAAAATATTTGTCAAATAACTGTTATCAGGGTAGAGGATTTTTATTTATGTATTTGTTTAATTGTCTGCCTAAAGGTAATGAAAAATGGAAGAAATGTGGGTGGATGAATATAAAAAGGGAAGAGATGGCTTTTCCAAATTTGCACTAATTTTTAAGTAACAGGTCACTATTTTTTAAAGCAATCAAAGAAGGAGAAAATGAAATTACTTATTTTTAAGGGAAAAAATAAAAGCACTGTAAATTATGGAAGGGAAAATTGTAAAGTGGAGTCAATTTTGCTGAAAAATCATTTTCCTAGCCTAAACATGAGAAAAATCAATTCAGAGCTCATACATGCCACCCTCCTATACTCAAGTGAACTTTGAACATGTAAGATTTGGGGAACGATTAGTGCATTACTCATCATCGTTGGTGAGGGGCACCAGGGCAAAATATGAACTTCACACTTTCAGGTAACTGACTGCATCAGGAGGCACAACAGCAACCCTCAGATCCTCTGAACTGGAAGAAGCAATGCAAAAGCTTATCTGAATATTGTTTGCCATTGCTTAGAACATTGTGATTTGCATCTTAGAATGTGCTTTTTACCACAGGCACTGCCCCTTGATCACAGAGGTTACACAAGGAAAATGACTTTTGACATGCTAACGATTGGCATCTAACTAGAGAGTGCAGGGGAAAAAAGACATTAAAATCCTATTATTTTCCTTAACGAGTCTTTATTTTGAGGCTCCAGGAAACAATGTATGGTTTTTCTGGGAAATGAATATTTCTGTGTTCTTCTCTTTCAAAAGAGACTTAAGACACATTCAACCAATATTTATGAAATTCATATTTATAATAGATAATTATTTGGGATAATGTTTATTATCCTGATTTTTTTTAAATTTTATTATTATTCTACTTTAAGTTTTAGGGTACATGTGCACAACGTGCAAGTTTGTTACATATGTATACATGTGCCATGTTGGTGTGCTGCACCCAGTAAGTCGGTATTTAGCATTAGGTATATCCCCTAATGCTATCCCTCTCCACTCTCCCCACCCCAAAACAGGCCCCGGTGTGTGATGTTCCTCTTCCTGTGTCCATGTGTTCTCATTGTTCAATTCCCACCGATGAGTAAGAACATGTGGTGTTTGGTTTTCTGTCCTTGCCATAGCTTGCTGAGAATGATGGTTCCCAGCGTCATCCATGTCCATACAAAGGACATGAACTCATCATTTTTTATGGCTGCATAGTATTCCATGGTGTATATGTGCCACATTTTCTTAATCCAGTCTATCATTGTTGGACATTTGGGTTGGTTCCAAGTCTTTGCTATTGTGAATAGTGCCGCAATAAACATACGTGTGCATGTGTCTTTATAACAGCATGATTTATAATCCTTTGTGTATATACCCAGTAATGGGACGGCTGGGTCAAATGGTATTTCTAGTTCTAGATCCCTGAGGAATTGCCACACTGACTTCCACAATGCTTGAACTAGTCTACAGTCCTACCAACAGTGAAAAAGTGTTCCTATTTCTCCACATCCTCTCCAGCACCTGCTGTTTCCTGACTTTTTGATGATCGCCATTCTAACTGGTGTGAGATGGTATCTCATTGTGGTTTTGATTTGCATTTCTCTGATGGCCAGTGATGATGAGCATTTTTTCATGTGTTTTTTGGCTGCATAAATGTCTTCTTTTGAGAAGTGTCTGTTCATATCCTTTGCCCACTTTTTGATGGGGTTGTTTGTTTTTTTCTTGTAAATTTGTTTGAGTTCATTGTAGATTCTGGATATTAGCCCTTTGTCAGATGAGTAGGTTGCGAAAATTTTCTCCCATTCTGTAGGTTGCCTGTTCACTCTGATGGTAGTTTCTTTTGCTGTGCAGAAGCTCTTTAGTTTAACTAGATCCCATTTGTCAATTTTGGCTTTTGTTGCCATTGCTTTTGGTGTTTTCGACATGAAGTCCTTCCCCATGCCTATGTCCTGAATGGTATTGCCTAGGTTTTCTTCTAGGGTTTTTATGGTTTTAGGTCTAACATGTAAGTCTTTAATCCATCTTGAATTAATTTTTGTAAAAGGTGTAAGGAAGGGATCCAGTTTTAGCTTTCTACATATGGCTAGCTAGTTTTCCCAGCACCATTTATTAAATAGGGTATCCTTTCCCCATTGCTTGTTTTTGTCAGGTTTGTCAAAGATCAGATATTTGTAGATATGCGGCATTATTTCTGAGGGCTCTGTTCTGTTCCATTGGTCTATATCTCTGTTTTGGTACCAGTACCATGCTGTTTTGGTTACTGTAGCCTTGTAGTATAGTTTGAAGTCAGCTAGTGTGATGCCTCCAGCTTTGTTCTTTTGGCTTAGGATTGACTTGGCAATGTGGGCCCTTTTTTGGTTCCATATGAAATTTAAAGTAGTTTTTTCCAATTCTGTGAAGAAAGTCATTGGTAGCTTGATGAGGATGGCATTGAATCTATAAATTACCTTGGGCAGTATGGCCATTTTCACGATATTGATTCTTCCTACCCATGAGCACGGAATGTTCTTCCATTTCTTTGTATCCTCTTTTATTTCATTGAGGAGTGGTTTGTCGTTCTCCTTGAAGAGGTCCTCCACATCCCTTGTAAGTTGGATTCCTAGGTATTTTATTCACTTTGAAGCAGTTGTGAGTGGGAGTTCACTCATGATTTGGCTCTCTGTTTGTCTGTTATTGGTGTATAAGAATGCTTGTGATTTTTGTACATTGATTTTGTATCCTGAGACTTTGCTGAAGTTGCTTATCAGCTTAAGGAGATTTGGGGCTGAGACGATGGAGTTTTCTAGATATACAATCATGTCATCTGCAAACAGGGACAATTTGACTTCCTCTTTTCCTAATTGAATACCGTTTATTTCCTTCTCCTGCCTGATTGCCCTGGCCAGAACTTCCAACACTATGTTGAATAGGAGTGGTGAGAGAGGGCATCCCTGTCTTGTGCCGGTTTTCAAAGGGAATGCTTCCAGTTTTTGTCCATTCAGTATGATATTAGCTGTGGGTTTGTCATAGATAGCACTTATTATTTTGAGATACATCCCATCAATACCTAATTTATTGAGAGTTTTTAACATGAAGCGTTGTTGAATTTTGTCAAAGGCCTTTTCTGCATCTATTGAAATAATCATGTGGCTTTTGTCTTTGGTTCTGTTTATATGCTGGATTACGTTTATTGATTTTTGTATGTTGAATCAGCCTTGCATCCCAGGGATGAAGCCCCCTTGATCATGGTGGATAAGCTTTTTGATGTGCTGCTGGATTCAGTTTGCCAGTATTTTATTGAGGATTTTTGCATCAATGTTCATCAAGGATATGATTTTTTACAAAGCAGCAATTTCAGACTTAGAGAAGTTATGGACTTAACCAGAATCAAGCAGCTGGCCTCATCTTAGTTGTAGCTCTCAAGACAAAACTGTTTATAATCTAGAGCAAGCAGGTGAGGAATAGTGAGACAAAATGACTACCTGCCTACTAAAAGATTTTTGTCTTCACCACTTTTATTTTGTTTTCACCATTTATCAAATGCTGACTTGAAGAGAATACGATAAGAAAAACAAGAACAAATTAATAACTAATAGTATTGTTTATTGTGTACCATGCAGTATGCTAACCACTTTGCATGTCTCATTTCACCTAACACTTCCAACAACCCCATGGGAGATGATGCTATTATTATCACTATTTTAGAAATAAGAAAAATAAGTTCAAACTTCAAAACTTGTGTGGTGAAATAAGGACAGTGATGACTAAGTAAAAAAGTAAATTCACAAAGCCCAATCTCTTAATGGGAAGAAATTATAAATGTCTTAACCAAATTATTTTGTTTACATTTTCCTTTTATATATATCCACAGCTGTTACTTTTGTAAAAATATTTAATCCTAAAATTACTATTTCAATAAATACAAAAATGCAAGTTTTAAGTAATAAGAAAGCACTGTGTTAAACATTAATGTCAACACCATTTCTTTCTTAGGGATATGTAAATACTGGTGCAACTTATAATCTATGAATTTTATATTAGACAAAATTTGATACTTGTAATCTACTAAACTCTTAGTACTTTAACATCAGCACAGAGGAAAATGAATCCAGAAGAAAAAAAAATAGACTATTATCTGTTATTCTATTTTTTATTCTCTCTAAGTATAATTGGGATGTTGGCCAAGTTGAATTTTATAAGTCTATAAATTCTAATATTTGAATCCACAAAGAATGCCAGTCTATAAATAAAGAATTTGATAAGAGACAGACAAATGAGCATTTGATTGACAAAGGTAATCACATGACTGTTTCCTCCAACAAGAGAATGTGAAACACTGTGAATGCATGGAGTAAGTATGGTTAAGCTCAGTGTGCTGGAATTCCATAGTGAATACACATCATTTGACTAACTGAATATGAAATCCTGAAGAGTTAACAGGGACACACCATTCTGCTCCAATATTCTTACTCTGTAGCTTGTAAATATTTATACTTTACTTGTAAAACATTATTGAATGTATGTGTTTATGGTGTCTAATGCTCCTATCAAACTATAAATGTATCTGGAAGCAGAGCATTTTTATCTTCACATTTTTAAGCCCTAGAATAATGCTGAACATATAGTAACGATTTAGTAAATATTTGTGGAATTAAACAAAATACTACTTTTTTCTTATTTATCTGGTTACAGAACACCCTTCAGAGATTTAGATTTGCCAGTAGTAAACCAGAGCACAATCTTGAAAGTCTCACATATTAAGCAGCATTGCAGAGGGGTTAAAAGTACAAGCTTCAGAGTCAGACATTTTAGGTTGAGTCCTGATGCTCCCTAATTAGCTGGAGAGAACTTGGGCAATGATGCCCTTTCTAAACCTCAACTTAATCTCTATAAAATAAAGATAATAATGTCTATCACCTAAGAATTTTCAAAGTTTCAATTAAATAGCACATATAAAAACATTTAGCACAATGTCTAACATGTTGTACACATTCTATAAAACCTGCCTATTAGTGTTAATATTATTGTTATTATCATTAGTCAGGGCCCTAACAGAAAACGAATTCAAATCAGGTGATTCAAATTAAGAGACATTCACAAAGGGCAATTTACAGAGGTTTTGGCAGGATTCAAGAAGTCAACAAGAGCTACTGTAGCAAGCAGAGATCAGCAACAGTAGAGAAATGCTTCTTCTAGTTCTGAATGGGCAATAGGAGAAAATCGTGTTCCTGAAACCCAGTAAGGGCTGGAACCTGGGAGAGTGGCTGGCTGGCAAGATCTGTAGTCATGAACGAATGCAGATACTGCCAGAAGTGAGCCTCCAAAGTCAAAAAAAAAAAAAAAGTGGGTAAGAAATCTCCAAATCTCCTTCTCTTCCTACCTTCCAATCTCTTGCTAGTGATCCCCATTAGTTGAAGTCAACTGGTGATATGATTCAAAGAGTCAGCAGGGTAGGAAAAAAGATTTATTTGAAAGAACAAGAGTGCCAAATTTTGTCAAAGGCCTTTTCTGCATCTATGGAGATAATCATGTGGTTTTTGTCTTTGGTTATGTTTATATGCTGGATTACATTTATTGATTTGCATATATTGAACCAGCCTCGCATCCCAGGGATGAAGCCCACTTGATCATGGTGGATAAGCTTTTTGATGTGCTGCTGGATTCAGTTTGCCAGTATTTTATTGAGGATTTTTGCATCAATGTTCATCAAGGATATTGGTCTAAAATTCTCTTTTTTGGTTGTGTCTCTGCCCGGCTTTGGTATCAGGATGATGCTGGCCTCATAAAATGAGTTAGGGAGGATTCCCTCTTTTTCTATTGATTGGAATAGTTTCAGAAGGAATGGTACCAGTTTCTCCTTGTACCACTGGTAGAATTCGGCTGTGAATCCATCTGGTCCTGGACTCTTTTTGGTTGGTAAGCTATTGATTATTGCCACAATTTCAGAGCCTGTTATTTGTCTATTCAGAGATTCAACTTCTTCCTGGTTTAGTATTGGGAGGGTGTATGTGTTGAGGAATTTATCCATTTCTTCTAGATTTTCTAGTTTATTTGTGTAGAGGTGTTTGTAGTATTCTCTGATGGTAGTTTGTATTTCTGTGGGATCGGTGGTGATATCCCCTTTATCATTTTTTATTGCATCTATTTGATTCTTCTCTCTTTTCTTCTTTATTAGTCTTGCTAGCGGTCTATCAATTTTGTTGATCCTTTCAAAAAAGCAGCTCCTGGATTCATTAATTTTTTGAAGGGTTTTTTGTGTCTCTATTTCCTTCAGTTCTGCTCTGATTTTAGTTATTTCTTGCCTTCTGCTAGGTTTTGAATGTGTTTGCTCTTGCTTTTCTAGTTCTTTTAATTGTGATGTTAGGGTGTCAATTTTGGATCTTTCCTGCTTTCTCTTGTGGGCATTTAGTGCTATAAATTTCCCTCTACACACTGCTTTGAATGTGTCCCAGAGATTCTGGTATGTTGTGTCTTTGTTCTCGTTGGTTTCAAAGAACATCTTTATTTCTGCCTTCAAAAAAAAAAAAAAGAGTGCCAAGTGAGTACACTCTCCACCACACCCACATTAGAATATAATAAAAAATTTCTTAATCTGCAAAACATTTCCCCCTAAAGCCGCCTGCTCCCATGTAAATTTGCATGGTTTCTGTGAGAATATATTTTAACATGTCTCATTACTACAAACAAGACATTTGATTTAATCTGAAATACTTGAATATATTATGAGGATGCATTTTCAACATAAAAATGGGAAATAAAGCCATTGACAACTAGCCTCCAATATTGCCTCCCTTATGATCTAACAGCAAAGATCTTGTTGGTCTTCTAAAGAAAAATGAATGGAAAAATTCATTAGAGGCTGACTCCAGAGTAAAGAAGTGCTCAGTTTATGCTCAGAAATCATATAATACCTCAAACCACAGTGGAGCAACCCATGCTGAGCTGATAATGAAAGGTATTTAAGATACTTTGACTTTAGTTAATATCAGATATAAGAGAAACGTCATTTAGAGCAGGATTTAAGGAAGCTTGAAGATAATTTCTTCATCTGTTTCTCTGTAGTTCTGTGAGTTGTTTCTCTCTCTCTCTCTCTCTCTCTCTCTCTTTTCTCTTTCCCCCACCTCCCTCCTATAACTAGAGTTCTTAGAATATTATCTCTAAGATAGGGGATAATCCCTGATTTTGGAAAAAGTACTTAGAAATTATTACCTATACAAATTTATGAGAAAAATCGGGTTTACTGGTGCACAAGAATACAGTAGTCTTGAGCTGCAAAAACTATAACTTAAAAAGCCTTCTTGTAAATTCTTCAAATCAATTATCTGACTTCCTCTAGAAATTGATCTTTTTTTTCAAAGAGAAATGAACTATCAACCAAACTGACAAACCAGTGAATGGGTATGGAGAAAACCACACAAAGATCCTGACCACATTTCCACTGGAATCTTCATACTATGAAGCCATCAGAGGTTGTGCACACAGCAGCATAGCCTCAGAAAAGCATGATTGGCAGTTTCAGTTGGTGAAAAGCTGTCATTGGAAATCAGGCAAACTAATCTCCTTCAGTGTCTGAGACTGGGCACATACCTACAAATCTCATTAGGATGTTAAATTCTCAGAGCTCTCAAGAAAAGGGAAACATCTAATTAAAATATATAAATATCTTTATGTTAAAATTATTAATCACATATGTCCTCAAAAATCTATATCATATTGGATTTTGCCTGAAAGAGGGGAATAGAGCAAAGTTGCCCAATTTTTTTTCTGCTTATTTATTTTTCTTCTATCAACAATGTATTTATTCTAACAGTTGTCAATCTGAACTCCTTCTAGGTCACGATATATCTCCTATTTGGAATTCCATTAGTGTGACCAAAAGAGACAATCCAAAATCATTGACAATATTCTATGAGACAAATAATTTCATGATTAATTATCTGAGCACACCCATGTCACTTTTTACAGGTAAATCAGCATTTAATTATATAAAATTTTCTGTCATTCATGATTTTCCAACATACACTATTTCTCATTTTCACTAATGAGGAATAAAGCATAAAATAATATCAGCCTTTTAGGGAGTTAAGAATTCATTGAAACGTTAATAGTCAAGTAATTGGCTTTGTAATTTCTTCTTTCTATAGCTCTGTGTATCATATAATGCATCAGATAGTGGTCAGCCAAGATTATGTCCAAACATGGATATAATTGATTGATTTGTGAGCCACTATTCTGGGATTCTGAGTAATACTCTATGTGTAATACATCCATATGCAGTAGAAGTAACTCCTGATTAATATTTTTTACAATAAGAGGTTTTTATTGAATGTTTCAAGTCTACATTAACATAAAACTTAAATTCTTTTTATGTTATTTCATGGAGCAGAAGAGGAAGAACTCTTGAAACTCCATCTATTTAAATCAACACTCTCAGTAACTCACGTTAGTATGAATGAATAATCTCAATCTTTTTCAAGTGACAACCATACTCCATTCTCTATAATATTTATCTTTTACAACCCCCAAATAGAAACCTATGAGTAATAAAGGAAACTAAAATCTATTGCATGCATATCTACTATTGAACCAGTTCTGGTGTATGTGTTTTTATCCGGCTTACTAAATTGACTTAGGCCCTACGGCTACATTGAAAGATGTGTGAGATTCGATTTTTTACTGCTCTGTGAAGTCTCCTTAATAAATAAGAAAACAATAAAATAAATGAAAATGTTATTTAAAGTTTCCCAATAAACTGTCCATGTAAAGTACAGTTGATGGACACAAGTTTCATTTTAGCGAATGTCTCCTGGGCTCATAGACTGCCATGCTCTTTGAAATCATTTCAAACAGTTGCATAAATGTCTACACAGACCTACCCAATGCATATTATGAACATGTTTTTAACCTGTTGATTGGTTTCTACAAAATGTGCCTTTCTGTCTTTTGCCATACAGCTAAAAAAAACAAAAAACTGTTTGTAACTCTCTGATGACAATAACATTAAGCAAAATTCAGAGAGCCAGAGAATAAGTGTGTACATATATGCAAACACACACTCGTATACACACAATGTGGATGGCAAGGCCATGAATTGTTAGTGAATGCATAATTAGTACAGTGCTGCTACACTACCATTCCATTCATCTGTTCTACTTGTATTTACCTGATTTCTTTAATCTGCATAAATTTAAAGAGTACAAGGGCGGTTTGTTACATGGATATATTGCCTAGTGATGATGTCTGGGCTTTTTGCGTAACCATCACCCAAATAATGTACCCATAAAGTAATTTCTCATCGCTCACCCCCTCCCACACTCCCACCTCCCTGAATATCCAATAGCTGTTATTTCACACTCTGTATGTCCATGTGTATACATTATTTAGCTATTTTTATTGAAAGTTTTCTCAGGTGAGAAATTAACTTGATAAAATCTCAACCTGGAAATAGTATTTTTGGAACAAATTTCTCAAAGTAAAGAGTGTAAGCATTTTTTAAAAGAAATGACCACTAAAGGAACACACATTGAGATTTAATTTTATATGTGTTACTATGGTCTTGAAAGTGCTCATATGTTTTCTAGATATTTAGTAGTGTTGCTTAGAACTCTAATAAAATATTGTTGGAACTTGGTCATTGAAAAGAAGATATACTTTGCAATTTGTGGGGTGTCAGAAGGTCAATCGCTTGTTGTGATAGCTGCTTTTGGAAAATGACAACAATAAGTAAGTAGTAACTACTTTCCTGAGCTTATTAGTCTTAATTTGGAAGTCGTTTGAATTCAAGCATCTCTTTCTGACTGCCCTCCCGCTCACTACTACTGAAACCACGTAGGAGTCTTTCTTTTAATTAATTAGGGTATAATTAAACAGCAGGTACCCGAGCAGAAGCTTGAGAGTTGGTTCCATCTGTTCTCCAGGGTCTCACAATGGCAACAAGAGAGTTCCCTCGCATATTTTACCTTAAGCAGCTTTTGTAGTTTAATTCCAAGCTATCTCTTTTATAAATTGCTCTTATGATTTAACTTGATAATGTAACACTTCCAAATTGGAGCCCCTCCAGCATTTACCCTGAAAACATACAAAAAAGAATTATGAAGGGAAGAGAGAGCATTCCATAAAATTCAGATCAGCAAACTCAATTAAAACAATATATCATGCACTTATTATGTAAAGCAGTGGGCAGACTCCATTCCATGAAAACAATCAATTTTATTTTAAAGATAGAGAAATGTAAAGACATGGAGAAGGCTGACAATATTCCAGAATGTAAAAGATGGGACAGAATTTATAGGAGTCCTAAATTAGATCTGATTCCTAGTCTGGAGGAGCCCCTGAACATTCAAAACCAGGAATGTGATTTTTGCTAAAAGAATATTTTTGAAAAGACTGAGTAAAACTGGCAATATTATGTACTCAAATACTAGAGCACCTGTATCACTTGCTACTCCATATTATAACTTTATGAATCATTCTTGTTTCTTCTGTAAAATTTTTAAGTTTATTGAGAAGAAGAGAACTATTAGATTCATTTCTTCATCCCCACAGGAGATACTGGAGTGGTTTAATCACTCTTTGATGAATGGCAATCATTCAACCAGCTATTCTTTTTTTGCCCATTGTATAAATAAACCCCACCTTCTCATTGATGGCAGCATGCTCAAATCTAGAAAAGGCTAAGGCTTTGAAAGATTTTCAGGATCACAGCTTGATGCTCTTCGAAATTCAAATTGATCTATTCAAGTTATGTTTTCAGGATGCTTATCACTTAAACACAAAGAATGGTTTTAATGAATGTCACACAGTATGGGATACTCAGGGTGATGACAAAAATAAAGGAAATCCACAGATTAGATTGTGATATATACTTATTTTGCCCAGATATTAGAAAAACAAGTAAACTTATTTGCCTACAACAATAAGTCAAAACACTACTCACTTTAATTTTAACTTTGTCATAAGAAGATTAAGAACCAACATACATATTCACTATACCATCCATTGATTCAATGAATACATATTAACTTTATGTGGTGAGTAAACACTAATCCCTACATACATACTTTAAAGACTGTTAATCAAATTATAACAAAATATTTTAGGAACAAGTATATTGCAAAAAAGGTGAACAGTAACTACAAGAATATATAGTAGAGGCATTTCACCAGTTCAAGGAGACAGGAAATGATCCTTTTGTTGAGATGACAGCAGTGAGTTTAACTTGACAAGGCAGAAAAAAAAATGAGTTTCTTTTTATTTTTATTTATTTATTTATTTTATTTTTTTTATTATTATTATACTTTAAGTTTTATGGTACATGTTCACAATGTGCAGGTTAGTTACATATGTATACATGTGCCATGCCGGTGTGCTGCACCCAGTAACTCGGCATTTAGCATTAGGTATATCTCCTAATGCTATCCCTCCCCCCTCCCCCCTCCCCCCACCCCACAACTGTCCCCAGAGTGTGATATTCCCCTTCCTGTGTCCATGTGTTCTCATTGTTCATTTCCCACCTATGAGTGAGAATATGCGGTGTTTGGTTTTTTGTCCTTGAGATAGTTTACTGAGAATGATGATTTCCAGTTTCATCCATGTCCCTACAAAGGACATGAACTCATCATTTTTTATGGCTGCATAGTATTTCATGGTGTATATGTGCCACATTTTCTTAATCCAGTCTATCATTGTTGGACATTTGGGTTGGTTCCAAGTCTTTGCTATCCTGAATAGTGCCACAATAAACATACGTGTGCATGTGTCCTTATAGCAGCATGATTTATAGTCCTTTGGATATATTCCCAGTAATGGGATGGCTGGGTCAAATGGTATTTCTAGTTCTAGATCCCTGAGGAATCGCCACACTGACTTCCACAATGGTTGAACTAGTTTACAGTCCCACCAACAGTGTAAAAGTGTTCCTATTTCTCCACATCCTCTCCAGCACCTGTTGTTTCCTGACTTTTTAATGATCGCCATTCTAACTGGTGTGAGATGGTATCTCATTGTGGTTTTGATTTGCATTTCTCTGATGGCCAGTGATGATGAGCATTTTTTCATGTGTCTTTTGGCTGCATAAATGTCTTCTTTTGAGAAGTGTCTGTTCATATCCTTTGCCCACTTTTTCATGGGGTTGATTGTTTTTTTCTTGTAAATTTGTTTGAGTTCATTGTAGATTCTGGATATTAGCCCTTTGTCAGATGAGTAGGTTGTGAAAATTTTCTCCCATGTTGTAGGTTGCCTGTTCACTCTGATGGTAGTTTCTTTTGCTGTGCAGAAGTTCTTTAGTTTAGTTAGATCCCATTTGTCAATTTTGGCTTTTGTTGCCATTGCTAAAACACCAAAAAATGAGTTTCTAACCACAGGAAACAGGATGTGTGAAAGCTGTTTCTAAGTGCTGATAGAACTATTGCAGTAGTCCAAATGAGGGATGATGGCTGGATGGTGGTTGTAGGATGGAGTAAAAGGAACAGATTTCAGAGATATATGTAACTATTTTCACAGGACATTCTGATGGTTTGTACACTACTATGGCTTTTAATATATACACAAACCATGACTTGTGAAGGGCAAATAAAGTTTAGTATGAATAAGATTTTAGATAGCACACATAAAAGAATAAATTCTGTCACATATAGTTTACTTGTCAGTAAAAGTCAATGCTATAGATTTAATGCAAAGGAAAGGCTAGAAATCTCTAAATTGCCAGCAAGTGAACATGATAAGCTTTGTGACAATTGAAGAGATGCCAAAGATGTTATTGAGGTCAATAGAGATAATATGTGTGTGTGAGCAGTAGTAATATAACAATCTATTTAAATGGATATATTCAATATGAAAGATCTTAACACAAACCTTATAGCAAGGACATTCTTATATAACTAAATTTGCAAATAAAATATCATTTGTTTGATTTTATGTAAATGATTTGTCCAATGTAATGTAAATAATGTAAATGATCAACTTTGATGTTCTACTTGTATTTACTTGATATTTTTTAATCTGCATAAATTTAAAGAGTACAAGGGCAGTTTGTTACATGGATATATTGTTCAAAGACTTACAACTGCAGGATATGATATTGTATGTTGAGGCTAGACACAGATCATTAGAGATGATTAACACTACTCATTTGACATATGAATAGAATAGCAAAATTAATCAGGAAGCTTAAAATTAATATAATACAAAATTCAGACTAAGACATTATTTGAATTATTTTAACCATATCTTACCCATTACATAGGATAAAAGGATGTTCTAACTTATTCTGAAGTCAACCATTCTATAGATGCAGAAGATAAGTAACTAAAGATACAATAAATCATATACACACATATATAGTACAATGGTATTATAATATCCATATAGTACTGAATAATGCAGATATAATACTAAAATTTTGCAGAAAATAAGGCTTCATATATTATTTATATATCTATTTGCCTGTTATCCAAGACTATAATCTACACAGAATAGCAGAATTATGGAAATTCACCTGCTAAAATGCATTTGAATGCATTTAGGAAAAAAGCTATGTTAAAAACAAATACCTTGACAAACTCATCAATTATTACATGGTATGTAGTTTAAATACATTAGAGGATATTGACAATTTTAATACCAATCATCTCTATCCCTATTTCTGCATTTCAGAGGCCAACACTTTCAGTTCTTTTAGTTTTTCACTCTAGTATGTCTATCCCTTTTTAGAACAGCACATTTGTACTGCTATTTATTGATTTACCATAATAATATCAGTTGACTTCCTGTTAAGATAGAGAAGAATTTAGTTCATTTACATTGATCCTCCCCTCACTTTCCTTCTATACTGTTGTGGAACAATGTTTAATTAACTCAATATCCAGATTTTATATTGTTATGACTATGTAAATGTTGTTCACCATTAAATCAAGTAGTGTTTTATGTTATGTTTCATTTGAGAAATTTTTTTCCCAGGGAGCTACTAAATGCTTATGTTTCATCCTTTTATTCATTCATGATCCAATTGATATTTTCCTCCTACGCCAGCAGACTTTTCAAATACCTGTTGAACATACTTCATATTTTCAAATGCCTTGACAGTTTTGTCAGTTCTGCAGGCTTTGTCATCTGGTCTGTCGGAAACAATGGCCTTATACATGTCAGATTTTTAATGAGAACACTATTCTTTTGCATGGATC
This sequence comes from Homo sapiens, assembly GCF_000001405.40. Classification (NCBI taxonomy): domain Eukaryota; kingdom Metazoa; phylum Chordata; class Mammalia; order Primates; family Hominidae; genus Homo; species Homo sapiens. The sequence goes on along the minus strand of NC_000004.12, from coordinate 104,028,813 downwards.
AGTTTTATTTGCCCCACTAAACATCTCTTTTTCTGCAACCTTTTTTATTCCTGTTTCAATCTAGATTAAATCTAGATTGTCTGCTGCCTCAAAGCCATCAACCTGGTATTTCTTGTCACCACTTTCATAGCTTAGGTGTCTATTTCCTAGGTTCCTAAGTTTTAGTGTGTTCTTGTATCATAGGTGAGTATGTTTTAACACCTTCATATCTTTTTTAATTTCTTTGACCAAACTCACAAATGATAAAGAGTTTGGGTATAGAAATTCTAGATTTTAAAATATTTAGATTGCTGAATATGTAGGCATTGCTCTACTATTTTCTAGCTAAGTTAAGAATTTTTATTTCTTTTAGATTCTTCAACTTCTGTCTCACACAAGTCTTCCTATTATTTGGAGGTCCTTTATTTTATCTCTGATTTTGTGAACATCTCTGATGTTCACAAAATTCACAGTAATATAATTTAACATTGGTAACTTATCTTCTATAATTTGGGGCGCTATCTGAAGTTTCATGGTTTTAGTTCTGGAGTGTTGTTTTGTTATTTCTTTGATAATTTTCTATCTTTCAGATCTTAGAAAATATGTGACACTTCCTACTCTGGATTGACTTTTAATTTCCTGTATATTTTGGATTTTTTTCTACTCTCATTTTGTTCTATTTTACTTTCAGAGTTGTTTGTTCAATTAAATCTTGGAACTTTTCTACTGTTTTTTTTTAATTTTAGATATCATCTTTTTAATTTCTAAAACATATATTCTCCGTCAGATTTACCTCAGCATCCTGGATTTGTATTTGATAAACCTAGAAGCCTCAATAATAAGTACATTTTTTAATCTTATTCTTACATACATATCACATATACACAAGGACACATATAACTATACTAAAAAAAAAAACTTTCATAAAACAGTATCTGGCTGGGCGTGGTCACTCATGCCTGTAATTCCAGCACTTTGGGAGGCCGAGGTGGGCAGATCATGAGGTCAAGAGATCGAGTTCATCCTGGCCAATGTGGCGAAACCCCATCTCTACTAAAAATACAAAAATTAGCTAGGTGTGGTGGCATGTGCCTGTAGTCCCAGCTACTTGGGAGGCTGCGGCAGGAGAATTGCTTGAACCTGGGAAGCAGAGGTTGCAGTGAGGCGAGATCACACCACTGTACTCCAGCCTGGAGACAGAGTGAGACTCTGTCTCAAAAAAAAAAAAAAAAATCTAACCTTATACCTTCCATGCCTTATACCTGCCATGCATTTGGATATTTTATAACCTTTTTATTTTTCTTGCTAATTTAAGTTATTTCTTTCTTTATTATTGATTTGACCAAATGTTGGTGTTTGTGGAGGGAGCAGGAAACGCCCTGCTATAACATGATAAAGCTGTGAGTAGGTCTTTTTGTTAAAGCATTTTTTAGTATCAGTATCCATAGGCCATTCTTTCAGGCTGGTCAGTTACTGCAGAGAATTCTTCATATCCTTCACTGGCAAATACACATTTGTATGTCTCAGTTTTTCTATTGCTGGGTAGTGGCAGAAGGCACCTTGATTCAGTGTAGTATATTTCATATAAAAGACCTTCATTTCAGTCTTTTAACTTATTACTCTCTTCAGATTTGATACCTCCAAAGCGAGAACCTTTTAAGTTCAGTTTCTCCAGAGATAAACCTGAGGTTGAGGGTCATTTCCTAGTTGTGCAAAGTGAGGGACACTTATTTGTTCTACACCTAGATTGTATCAGTCAAACTAGAATAAGTTTTGCTATAGTAAAAAAGAACCCAAAATATTCAACTTTAAGAAAAAAAATAATTTCTTAATATACCATATGCCTATTACATACTGAGTTTTATTTCTCTCCATCTCATTCAAGGACTCATGAAGATGGAACATCAATCATCTTAAATTTGGCTAGGAACCATTCTGTAGAGAAGAGAGGTCTCTGGAGGGTCTCACATTGGCTACTGTTTCCTCTGACTTGAAGTGACCTAAATAAGTTATTTCATCCCACATCTAATTAGCCAGGATGAATCTTCTGGTCCCTCCCACCCACAGGCAGTTTCAGGAAGTACAATCCTACCTGTGCCCAGATAAAAAAGAGAGGGAACTATTTGGTCAAACCATAATGTTAGCTACATAAACATTTAATTATATCCTCATATCCCTTCCACTTAAGTTCCTTAAGCCTTAGACCTCCAATGGATCTGTGAAGCAAATTGGACACTTCTCATTGATAAGCTTCCATGTAAGCACAAATACTCTAACTTCTGCCTCTTGGGTGGGTCTGTATCACTGCTTTCCTCTCTTCCAAGCTACTGCTTCACTTGAGCCAGTCTTTGTCATAGTAGCCTGGCACAATTTGATTGTCTTATTGTTATTTTAGTAATGTTTTGAAAGAAAATAGATATGTCTTTGCTATGCAACTGCCATGTTTACATAGATTTTTGACACACCTATGTTTGTAGGTGAATCTTGACGTATCACTAAAAAGAAGGTAGAAGTAGTGTTCAGTGTCTTTCTTTTAAGAAACATTAGAATCATCTTGATCTTTTATCATTTTCCCTTTACCTAAATCCAAACGAATTATTTCACTTCTGTCTTAACCTTGTCTCTTTCTCTCTCCATTTGCCCTAGTGAAAGTACTATTTCTTTGAAGTTGTATTATTCTATGATTCTTCTAACTCTACTTTCTCTCGTGCATTATAATCTACCAAAATATTATGTCTCCATTGCTTAAAATTCCTTACTGGCTCTCTGTGGCCTAAGTCTAGATTTCTAAAGGTGATACTAATGACTCAATTTGATTTGGCCCTAGTCTGATTCGTTAATCAATTATGGCTTTCTCTAATTCCTTAGCTCACCTCATTGTTCCTTGTCAACCTTTCTCTCTGCCTGGTATTTCTTTAACCCTAATTTCATTTTCTTAAAAGCATGCCCATATTTGGGACTTAACACATGTGCTAACCTAACCCCCAAGTGGAAGTAGTTTTCCCATTTCAACATTCTAACAACAAAAATACCAATATCATTTAGAGATATTTGCAATGAAAATCTTATTTCATGTGTTATTTTACATGCAATAGAGGGCAAGGATTATGTTATCATGTATGTCTCAAAATGCCTAGAAAAACACCTTTAGGAAAGATGACCTTTATTTAATTCATTTACATTTTATTCAACTTACTGACTCACAGAGATGTTCCCATGAGTATCTCCAGGTTCCCCAAATTCTCAACATTAAATCAATTAATGCAATCTTTTGGTAATATTCTCTTTTGTTGTAACCTATGACAGATTTGGTAGTTGCTCCATGTAATTGGATGTGCCAAAATGTTCAGTTGTTCTGATTCTCCATGGACAACCTAGACAGATGGTCAACTGGCAGGCACCCAGAAATACTAGTTCTATTTATTAAGTACTGTCCAAACAACTAAATCTTACAGATGCTGACAAAACTACTATATTTTTATTGTGCTGATTTGCTGATAGTTACAATTATGTGCAAATAACTATTTCTTAAGGACATGTTTTTGGATAAATGACAAAATTTTAGAACCTGAATATTAAGAATCGAGTTGTTACCATTTCTTTTTAAACTGCATTTCCTAGCTTTGATTCATAAGTTTTACACGAAATTTTGAGTTAAGTACTTCACTCAGTGGGAATGGTGCACTATATCTTGACCTATATCAATTTAGTCATGATTTGAAAAGTACTAAAGTCAAACCTGCAATAAAGGACAATTATATCATATTTAAGTTAAAATAAGTCAGTCAGTTAGCAAACAAGTGTCCAACTACCAGAGGCAGGTAATACAAGAATCCAAAATAAATTCTATTCTCAGAGGTGACAGAGCACTGATTCTCCAGCAAGCTTGGAGGAGGCCCTGAGGTTAGATCAACTCAGATGGAATTTCATGTTTTGCTGCATGGAATTTCCATGATGGAAATGGAAGATGGGAGAGAAGAGAGGGGAAAAAGAATAAAAGCAAACAAAAACTAAATGGCTTCAATTTCCAGATGTAAAGAAATAAGTGAAACTCCATTAACTTTGGATATGTGTCTCAATTTGGATTTTATTTTCACTGTAGTGAGCATGTTCACAGGTGCATAGAGAAAGAAAAAATTGAAACCAACAATCTGATTCAAACAGACTAAAATGACCATTTATTTCTAAAGTGCAAAGTGTTTGAGATCAAAGACATTTACTAAAATACCTAGATTCTGAAATGTGGCTAGTCTGATAATATCACTTCAACTTATCATGTAAAAACAATAATGCTAATGTTTCTGGGTCTGTATTTAGAAGGAATTATAATAAAAGCTATACTGTATAGAGAGTTAGAAAGATTTTTATATTTTGACACAGGCCTTCTGTTCACTTGTCTTGTGAAGGCAGGCCCTTCTTTATATCATTGGCTCTGAAAGCTTCCTTAAACTACACTTTGAATGAGACTGCCTATATTTCTTTAGTTCAGCAACTAAGCAGTAAGTCCACAAATTTATAATTTATAGAAAAATATATTTGTATATAAGTCTAAAATTTCTGCTGTAGGAGCTTACTGTTCAATTATCTACTGTATTATTTTCAAGTTCATTTGAGAAACACTTAAAATAATGCAATGATGTGGAGTAATTGTCCAATGGCAATTGTGTGTGAGTTTCAATATATTAAAATTTAACAAAGAAAGAATAATATAAGAAATCATGTTCTTCAATGCCTATACTATTTTTTAAGAAATAATATAGAATAGTGGGAGAAACAATATCAAAAAGGAAAAAAGAAGCATACCACTCTTTCTAATAGCAAATTAAAAACCACAGGATGAAAAACTCATGGCTCTTATTCCTAGAAGATATAAACTAGTGTTACTACACAGGTCAAGAGCATTACATAGAATTTTAAAGGAGGCACTAGATGGTAGTAATTTGCAATACTTAATATCTAGAACTAAAAAACAAATTCACTTTATCCCTTTTCACATTGGCTCTATTCCTGGAGTTAGAAATATATATATTATTTTCTTGTTTGCATTCTTCTCTCTGAGTCAACAGTTAACAAGTAGTAAAATCATTCACCATTCTCATGGTGGGACTTTGTCTAGTAAATACTTGTAAGCTCTCCACATGCATTTCAGGTACCAACTTTTTCTCAAACCTTATCTGTTCCTGTACTTATATTCCTCACATCATAATATACTCACATACTTAATTTTTTTAAGGTAGTGTGGCACTGTTTGTGTTTTATGTCACTTCAAATGCTTCTGAGAATGATTTGAAAACGCCTAGATGGAGAAAAATTTCCAACAGGAAAGAGCTTGCAGTAGTATTTAGGAAGGATAGTGGAAAGGCAAAAACAAGCCGCCAGACCTTCACAATCTAGCACTATGAGGTGAAAACTTTTCTTGTGTGGCTGAAACTGCTAAATTAAAGCATAGTAAAACTATTTTGGTTTACTGTGGCCTGTCATATCAATAGAGTTTCCTATGTAACAATCAAATCAACCATCTAGTGGCCTGTATTGATCATCAAGACAGCTGAGGTAAACGGTTGTGCTGTGCCATGAGGGTCTGTTTGCTTGGCCATATATAGTCTCAGCAAGATATGCACGGGAATATTAATTATGAAGACAAGCAAGAAATGAGAGAATGTGTGCTGAAAACCCCCACAGAAAGCAGCAGTCTCATTTCCCACAGAGTTCCACAGCATACACAGACGTTCTCTGCTCAATGAGCACAGGCAGAGTTGTTGTCCTGCTGCTTTATGTTAATTAGAGAATAAATAAGTGGCCAACTGTAGTCTGTGGGCATATGTTGGTCAACTGTCTCTGTCTAATTAGGTTGTAAGCCCTCTAGGCAGGGACCTCATTTAAATCTATGTTCTGGAAAGCACTTAGTGCCTTTGTTGAGGCCTAGTGAATGCGAAAGACTAGGGCAAATGGCTGAGGTTTAATAAGGAAGAGAAAAACTTTCAAGAATTTGTGTCTGCGTGTATGTGTATGTGTGTATGTGTGTTTGGTATCTTGAGAAATGCTAACTAAATATTTTGGGCAAAGAATGTAATATTACTTTTGATAGACTAACACCCCATATGTTGCTTTTTGTAGCATAATACATATATGTAATTAACATGAAATTTATATGTAATTTAATGAAATAAATTCTGTATAAATTTATGTGTATTTCTTCTAAATTATACAGAGTATTTGCAAACGTAATAAGCATAAACATCAAATGAATATATACTAGTTTAATTTGAGTGTCTGAGCACTTACACCATATATTGCATAGTTTGCATGTGTGTGTGAATGTGTTGTGGGAAGAAATGAAAACCAACGAAATGAGAAAAGGAAAGGCTATTTATTCTTTACTTGCTATAGCAAGGGAGTCTGCCACTGTCACTCTCATTTTGGCAGGCACTCAAAGGCAGACAGAGGAGTGGGAAAGCTTTATAGTGGAAAAGAAAAAAGTCTTTGGGTATATCCTGATTGGAGGCTGTTGATCTGGGGAAACTGTAGACAGGATAACTAGATCCAGAGACTCCTATGTAATTGGTTAGGAGTACATATTTGGCTTTCTCTGACTGGCCCCAAGTTGAAGTTGGGGACAAAAATTAGGGAAGCTGTCAGTTATTAATCAAGCCTTGGACAATTTGAGCTGATTGTTACAGAAGTTATTGTTTAGCTTTTTGGATTGTCACCAGAGAGAACAATCAAGATTCCTGCAAGTCTGACCTATAACAGGTTGGTTTCCTGGTTTGTTTATTGTGAATAAAAGGTTAGTTTCCTAAGCAGTTTGCTGCAGGTTATTGGTCTCAATTTCATTTTTATTTTTTTAGAGACGGGGTCTTGCTATGTTGCCCAAGCCTCACTCAAACTCCAGGGCTCACTTAGTGCTCCTGTCTCAGCCTCCAGAGTAGCTGGGACAGCAGGTGCCCACCTCCAGAGTAGCTGGGACAGCCGTGCTCACAGTGCCCAACTACTCAAAGTTCCACTTTTATATATGATTTGGCCATTGTCTGTTTATATATTCAATTTCTCCATGTGTTGTATGTATGATTGTGTGTGTGCATGTATGTTTTTTATTTTTTGCAATAATGTAATGTAAGAGTGCTTTGAAGTGCACACATATTTAAGTATTCTGGTATCTATTAACCATTTATATTTAGTGGGTATTCTTTATTATGTTTGTGTGCATGTGTGTGAGCTTGTGTCTATGTATGGGTATGGTTCAGGGCTTTCTCTTCTTGTCACTCCCTGTATCCTCTGATGCCTGACACTTCATGTCTGTTGCTCTTAATTTAGAATAGTGAGGTGAAGTTCCAGAAGCAAAAGGCAACAAAATAGAAATTAAGATATACACATTTATATATGTGTGTTTATAAATTTTTGTGTTTAAAGAATACTTCTTTTCTGTGAAGTTAGTCATTCACTTTTTTGGACCCCTATAACATTACATTGTATATTGTTTTTCATATCACACACATGTATCTGTGATATGTCTTTTTCCTCAAGAGGCTTTAAGATTCCCAAGGGCAAAAACCTAACCTTATTGTGCTTTTTGTTTTTTGTGTTTCCCCCTAATGCTAGCCAAAGTAGTTTTCAACAAATACCTAATGGTTGATTCAAACTATGTCTATTTATGGTGTATTTAAAAATCCCTACATTAAGAAAATTTCAAATTACATAAACACTAAAACTGCTTTATTCCTTAATTAATTATCAAAGATGAATGTATATATCTTTGACAAGGGATAAGATAGTGGCTTTGGCCACAGGTATCTAACAGTATTTCTCGTATTCATTTATCATAGATTGTAGGTAATTAATGCCACGAAATATCCTAAAAAATGTATTGTCTAAAACACTTAAATTTTATATCCTCTTCCTAGACTAAAAAAAACTATTGACATTTTAGAATATAATAGAAGTATTATATTCTAATATTTTAAGACAAAATTTGTTTTTTATTCCATGGATCTCTGATGCCACTCAATGGATGTCCTCTAAAGATGAAAAGCAGACATTTGTGAATATGGAAGAGCGATGACAAAAATGGCTTATGGTTTGCCTGTTGTCCTCTTTTATAATTTGTAGAGAATAAAGTAGAGATTGTAAAATTAGTAGGCCAGCTTATTCATTTAGGAAGTCTATTCTTTGAATTAGTTACCCTCACATATTCAATTAGCCTGAGAATGTACCCTTTCACTGCATTTTCTTTCTGCTGTCCAAAAGCTTTTTGTTATTCCAATATTTTCTCTGCCTCTTCTTCCTTCCTTTTCACAGCGAGAACCACTGGCTCTCAACCTAATGGCTTATCTCCTCAGAAATATTCTAGAAAAACAGATCAAATCCCCCTTAAATAATTCTCAGAAACAGCCGGGTGCAGTGGCTCTTGCTTGTAATCCCAGCACTTTGGGAGGCCGAGGCAGGTGTATCACCCAAGGTCAGGAGTTTGAGACCAGCCTGGCCAACATGGTGAAACCCTGTCTCTACTAAAAAAATACAAAAAATTAGCCAGGTGTGGTGGCGGGTGCCTGTAATACCAGCTACTCAGGAGGCTGAGGCAGGATAATCGCTTGAACCTTGGAGGCAGAGGTTGCAGTGAGCTGAGATCACACCACTACACTCCAGCCTGGGCAACAGAGCAAGACTCTGTCTTAAATAAATAAATGAAATAAAAATGATCCTCATAAACTCTGAAGTAAATCAAGTCTCCAATTATGAAAAATAAACTAGCCTTATTTCTGAATTCCCACCTTTGCCTCATTCTCATTCTGCTCCTCCATTCTTTACCTTGCATTCTCTGTGCTACTCTTCTTAAAACTGAGCTTTATTACACAATGTTTTTATTTACTGTTTAAGTAGACTCCCTGTTTTTGTGACTTTCTGAATACAGTAGTCACCTTCCTCTACTGAAGGCTAATATTGCCCTTGTTGAACTGCTCTCAGGAATTCGAGAAGAGTTTCCGTCCGTGTCCTAGTTAACTGGAGTAGAGATATCCCAGGTCTACTGGGATTTGCGAATTCAGCCTTCTCTGGTAACCCTAACATTGATTCCTCTTCCGGTGTACAGAGAGATGTTTGCTTTATCACAGCCTTTGTCTTTCAGGTTTTTTTTTTCTAATTAGCATATCTCTGTTACCAATTTCTGTTTTAACATCTTTTGGGGTAAAACACTTGTTTAGTGAAAGTGCCTTTTTCTATCAGCAAAAAATATCAAGAATCGGTCTAGGGCCTAGTACTGAATGTCACCTAACTGTTCTTTCCCATGGTATGTATTTCATATTTTTTTTAAGAAAACCTGTGCTCACACCACCCTTTCATGTATATAATTCCCCTTCACCCATGATTTTTTAAAAAACAAGTCATCCCCCCAAAATTGTGTAAAATCCAGTTTAAAACCCATAACATCCATGAATCCATCTAAATAACATTATTCCTTACTTCTTTTTCTCCTTTAACACTCCCTATCTATCCATCTCTATCAATCACTGTTTGAAAATTCATATTGTTGCTCCCCAATTAAATGAAAGTTTTTAGATACTGCTAATTAAAATGACTTATTATGATTTTAATTGAGATGTAACTATATACCAAGCACTTAGTCAAGCGGTTGATATTTACTATCTCATTTACTTTTTATGACATCCATTTGTAGTAAGCATTAGGCCCATTTTAAACGCAGAAAATTGGGCATTAGAGAAAGTTTCTTGACTAAAGTCACCTAGCTGGTAAACAATACAGCCAGGATATATTTCTTTTTTCCCTTTCTTGCTTACCATTTTGTAACGTAATATCTATTTAATTACATATGTTGTTATTTGCCACTACAATGTAAATTGTTAAGGGCAGAGATTTTAATCTGTTTTTGTTCATCATTTTGTCTCAAATAATGCTTACCTCTAATAATATCTCTGTCCCTGAATCAACCAACCAATCAATAAGAAAAGGGCACAACATGAAATTTACAATCTAAATATCCTTTTTATATAAAAAAAGAAATGATTCGAATCATGATTTTATTGTTACTTAGCAGAGTTCAAATTCCAGGTGTTGCTTACTGCATGCTTTTTTGAATTATTTTTAAAATCAGAAAATTTAGATAAAATAATGATACATTGTGAAGAATATAAATAAATTCCTTTGTTGATAGTAAGGAATGTAGCATAAATTTGTTAATTACCCAAAATATAAGCAAAATCTTGAAAGCAACAATCATCTATGCATTAAGAATATAAAAGTGTTAACATTTTTCTGTTTACCGATACTAATATCCAAAGTCTCTTGGGCACATTTGAGAAACTTCCTAAAAACATTTTTAAAGTAAATAAGCTTGTGCAGACATCTTTTATTTTTTACACACTGAAAGTATTGGATAAGGGAGATAGAACTCTGAAGTTGAGTTATAACTTTCATGTTATCCTTAAAAATCAACTTTACAGCACCAAACATCCTTCCAGAATCTTCTGAGATTGTCTCCCATCCCCTGCTTATTTATTTATTTCCTTTTATTTGTAGTTGACAAGTAATAATTGTACATATTTAAGGGGTACAGAGTGACATTTCCGTCCATGTATACAAAGTGTAATGATCAAATCTGGCTAATTAGCATATCTACCACCGTGAATATTTATGATTTCTTTTTGTTGTGAACATTCAAAATCCTCCCTTCTAGCTTTTTGAAAGTCCATACTAAATTAGTGTGAACCATATCCATCCTACAGTGCTGCAGAACAATATAACTTACTCCATCCATCTAACCCTAACTTTGTATTAGCTAACCAACCCCTCTTTAGCCTCTCCTCTTTCCCACCCTTCGCAGCCTCTAATAACCAGAACTTTACTCTCCATTTCTATGAGCTCAATTTTTTTTAGCCTCCACATATGAGGGAGAACCTGTGGTATTTATCTTTCTATGCCTGGCATATTTCACTCATAAATGTCCTCCAGGCTCATCCGTGTTGTTGTGAATGACAGGATGTCATTCCTTTTTATTGCTAAATAGTATTCCATTGGGTACATATACCACATTTTTATTATTGATATATCCACTGATGGATATTTAGGTTGATGCCATATTTAGGCTATTGTGAATTTTCTAGGATTTTGAACTCTCTATTGAAAGATCTAGGTTTTTAAATTTATGTTTAAACATTATTATTTTTAACTACAAATATATATTTATGTCAGTAAATCAGTTGTGGTATGTATTTAGTGAGGGTATACTCTTTTCCTGAGGGTTTTATTTTTAAAATATGGATTAAAACTGACACAATCATAAATCTTAAATACCACATTCATGTTTCACAAAAAATAATTTTCCAATGATTTGCTTAACAAAAGACAAAACAATATTGTAAACTGTCAAAGAAGAAAGCAATCACAGTTCCACTGGGAGACAAAAGTGTCTTTCTTCTCTAAATACTGAAGCAATATCTGTACAATATCAAATGCATTTAAAAGGCTAATCAGACAGTTGCCATGATGGGAACAGAAGAGCCTACTTTTCTTCTTTCAAAATCCTGGGTAAGCCACAAATGAAAGGAAATGGAGTATCAGGGATAAAAATGGTTAAAATGCCTTTTTATAGCCTTTCCATTTTCTTTTGAAAAACATTTTAGGATGTAATAGTTAGTATTCCTAAAAGGACTTAAAATACTTATTAATTATAATAAATAAACCAAGCACCATGAACCCAGTTCCTAATTTTCAGAGTGCACAAGCATAGCATTGTTGATGCTATTTCTGGAATTTCTTTCTATTTTCATTTCAATTTTTTGTGATGACATCTTAGGATGGGGGACAGATCACTGATTTCCCTCAAGAAGAATCTTTATTTACTGGGTAACTTTTGCAACAAGTAATACATCAAAAAGAGGGAGCTATGTGTTTCAAGATACAAACAGGTATGATGGAGCAAGTTTTCGATAAATAACTGGCTAGATTATTTTAATTTCTGAACAGCCTAAGATTAAGATGCCCTATCATTATGCCACATTTCATTGTTCTTTCCTAATGGTTTACCTTAGAAAAGGTGCTCAAAATAAAATTGATGCAGTCCATAAATATTAAATGAATTATTTCCATATGCCAGGCACTGTTGCAGGTGGTCAATATGTAAACAGTAATAAATGAGACAGATGTAGCCCCATTCTTATAGTGCTGACATTTAAATAGCACACAACAATTGAATATTTAATGCCCCTAAAGAGGTAGACAAGATTCAAAAGAAAGTAAATAATGGAATGATATATTTTTACATTAGTAGAGTTAATAAAGTAGAATATCAAAAAGAGTATACTTAATTAAATTAATTAATAATTCCTCCCTCCACCTCTTGCTCTTTCTCTTATTTTTTACATATTATCTCTTTCATATTTACTCATAAATAATGAATTTGGTATGTATTACAAATGAAAAAATGCTTTTCCCTTACAGTTAAGTTATAAATTTGTAAATAACCTCAGAAACATGAGCAAATTTGTTACAGGTAAAATGAGTGAACATCACAGTTCTTTTCACTGAATTTCAGAAAAATTTATAAAGTCATCTATATGTGAACAATATTTTAAATGACTTGTAAGGACTGTCTAGAGGAACATAAAGAGTCTCATTTACTCATAGATGCTGATGAATCAATTTATCCCCAAGGCAATGATATTAGTATGTCACCTCTATAGATCGTCCTAGATGATTTGGCATATATTAAAAAAAAAGTGTACTCTTTCCTTATTGATTAGGAATTGATTCCTTATTGAATAGGCTATGTTAAAATTAGCATATCTAATCAATTATTTAATCCAATGAAAAATAATGGGAAATATACTAAAATGTTGTCTCTGCTAAAAATAAAAAAAAAATCAAGAGGAAAGTTATTTCTCACCAACTGCTTTTCTTTATAAAGAATAGTTCCAATACTTAGTGAATGATGGAAGAATTAGGCCATCTGCTGGCAAGTGGCAAACAGGCAACCTTTACACATCCAAACTCAACTAAAGCCACCTCAATGGTACTTAAGGGACTGAGGGAGTTGATTAGAAAAGGGAAGCATTATTTTTCCTTGTCCACATTAATTGGTAATCTTTCACGTTTAATATTTTCAATCGCAGTGATTTAACTTCATAACTTTAAACACTTTTAATAGTGGTAAGGGGCTACAACAGTAGGTAGTTATAACTCTATGGCATGCATCATTTATTTATTCACCAATATTGATTGATAGTCTGCTATGTATAAAGAAGGTTGTAAACATTAGGGACAGAGCAATATACACGACACCTTTCTTACTCTCACAGAACTAATATTTTAGATAGTCAGTTGTTTAATTAACATGCTAAATCTTAATTTTTTGAAGAGTGGAGTAGGCCAGGCGCGGTGGCTCACGCCTGTAATCCCAGCACTTTGGGAGGCCGAGACGAGCGGATCACGACGTCAGGAGATCGAGACCATCCTGGCTAACATGGTGTAAACCTCGTCTCCACTAAAAATACAAAAAAATTAGCCAGGCGTGGTGGCGGGCGCCTGTAGTCCCAGCTACTCCGGAGGCTGAGGCAGAAAATGGTGTGAACCCAGGAGGTGGAGCTTGCAGTGAGCCGATATCGCGCCACTGCACTCCAGCCTGGGTTACAGAGAAAGACTCCATCTCAAAAAAAAAAAAAAAAAAAAAAATAGTGGAGTAAACTGAGCTATATAGTTTCATAGTTTATACTAGATTCTACTTTTTTTCAATTTGGTTTCTAGAGAGAAAAACAATAATTCTTGAATCTCTGTTCTGGAAAATACTAGCTCATCATTTTGTCAGCCAATGTCAACCAAATTGAATAAATGGTGCTAAAATGCACTTCTGAGGATTCTTGGCCCTTATACATTTGACTGACTCTAATTCCAGTGATCTTCTCAAATTGTAGTAATCCATGGAAATGATAAATCTCCGTTAGCAGGGATTTTTTTTTTAAGTAGGCTTTCCTTGAAGCAATAACAAATGACTCTCCCTTCAATATGAAGGACAGAACAAGCATTCCAGCCTTGAGGATGTTTGCATCGGGTCATCCTAAATATAATGCATTGATGTTACTGCTGAAGCTTCTGCTAATACTACTGAACCTGTTATCCAGGAAAATTAAGGACTTCAATTTTCCAAGAACTTCAATTTGGCACCATTCCCAGGATTTTACTTGCACACACATACCACCACCCTTGCAGGTTCATTTCTAGTTCGTAAAACTCTGCGAAAGTAACAAATTATCTAATTAATATCCAAATTGCCTAATTAATACCCGAATCACCCAGTTAATATCAATTCTGAAACAGTTTTATTTCGTTTCTGTCAACATCTTTCTTCATGTAATTCTTTACGGTCTACTCCCTATTCCCATTTTTCTCTATAGATTTCATTCACAAACAACTTATGTTTCAACCATATAAGTTAATACATCTCTTTTATTCTTTCATCTAAATGGCACTAAACTTACTTCAAATCTTTATTGTTTGATTGCAATGGGCTTCTGAAGCCACCACAACATGCAGACCAAAAGAAGAGAAAGAAGGGAGATAGGATCCCCCAGGAGAATTTGTCTCTCAGGTTACATTTACATATTTAAAGGAGAAATATTTTCTAAGAGGTGCCACCTTCAAATATGTACTGGACCATGCCCGAAATCAAGAAATTAAACCTTTGAGATTTTTATTTTTAGTGAGCGAGATTCTGAGGCAGAAAAGATAACAACCACCAGAGTTATCTTCCTAAAACAGAAATGCAGGACTTTCAATATCCTTACATTGCCTATAAGGATTCAGACAACCATCCTTGCAGACTACATGCAGCCCACCTATTCTCCTAGCTTGTCCAAGGCACAGGAATAAGGAAAGAAGGGCTTCACAGAAAACATATACCTTGGAATCAAAAAGAGTCTTAAAACACCACACACACACACACACACACACACACACACACACACACACCTTATTCCAAAGCAAGAACATCTTTCCCAGTGATTAAGGCAGTGGTGTTGGGCATTGGATGCTGGGCATTGGAGGAGGAATTGCCTCAAGGGAGGAGCAGAACTGCACTTCAACATAACTAGGGCTTCATCTCAAGATGGTGGTGCTCATATCTCTCCAGGGTAGTGCAGTGTAGCACACTAGGGTATGAGTGAGGATGGTGCTGCTCTGCGTTAATAATTGAAAAGTGCCCATGGTTAAGATGTGACTTTTATGGGCCTTGAAGATAAAGATTATTTTAACTATGGGGACAGGAGGCAGGTTGGCTGAATGCAATGGGCTATGTCTCATGGATTTCTCAATGCTCTGTGTTGTTGTTGACACACATGTATTCTGCTATTAAAACATTGTATTATTTTGGATAAGGCACTTCACTTCTCTGAGTCTGACTTTTTCTGTTAGATAAAGATGATTGTAATACCTATTTCTTGGAGTGGCTTTGAGAAAGGGGTGAACTAATGCACGAGGATACGCGTTGTGTTTTAAAGCACTATACAAAGGTAAAATATTAAGCACTAGAAAGCTGTTTGGTACTGCTAAGTCACAAATGTTCCCACATATTAACCTTTTAGTGACTAAAATAGAATTCTAATTATCTTACTGGTATTCTCGTATTCAGTAAAATAAATAACATAGCTTGCAAGGATACACACACACACACACACACACACACACACAGTACATGTAGTCACTCTCCTATAGGACTCAAAGCTTTGTTCAGTTTGAATCTTAAAAATGTGACTCATAGATATTTTGCTGTTTTCTGACTTTGCCCATTTGAACAAAAGTTGCCTAACATTAAATCCTAAAAATAAGTCCAAAGCTATTATTGATTCATTAAGAATAATTACAAATAAATCTACCTTTCCAGTTTCATCTTGCCAAATTACCTTCCTGATTTCTTACTATATGCCCATGCATTGCAGACTCCTAATATTTAACCAAGCTATGTTCTACTATTCTTCTGTGCCTTTGACCATGTGAATCATTAATTTGATTATTTTATCCTCATTATTTTATCTATTTGATAAAAAAATTCTTGTTTTTCAAGGCTCAATTTATACTACTTCCTTAGTGAAGCTATCTCCAAATTCCTTGTCAGTATTGGGACATCCTCTTTATATAGCTCTTCCTACCTGTACTAAACATGACTCATTATTTTATAAATATTATTAATATGGATGTTCCTATTTAAACTCTTAAAGATAGTAATATCGTGATGTATATTCTTATATTTCTGTGCCTATCCTAGTGTCTAGCACATAGCAGATCCTATAGTAATTGAAAATTTCTTTTAAATATGTACTTAAATGTAAGCTAAATTTTCTAGCAGTTCATCAGTTTGAATGATGCTCAAATTTACTTTTTCTCTTCTTTTTGTACAGTTGTGGGAAAGCAGAGATTATAAAAAGACTATGGGGAAAGATGTTTTTGGCTGCCAAGCACATAGTCTCCCCTTCAAAACTCTGTGATAACAGAATAAATAGTGCTTCCTATTATGCACAGAGGGAATATTTAAACCTAAGGGACAAGTGAGACAGATGATTTGTCATGGTTAGGGTGGTTAACATTGGCCTCAAGGCTATCGGTTAATCTAAATGAAATGGTCAACAAGACTAGAAAGGATCAGTAAAGCTACTGATATGGTAACTGTGTTTCTAAGGTAGAGTCCATTAAGAAACAAGGATGCCACAGTCAGGTGGTCTGCTAGGGTACGGTTTTGAGAAGCAAATACTGGGCACAGCTTAATAAGGGAGTACAAAAGACTAAGCCACCATTTATTTCTGCAAACAGAATCAGATAAGTATTTTCAGTGCAGTAAGAGCTATGCACAGAAATACCAGGTTGTGCAACGAGAGAAAGAGATGCAACAAAGAATGTCTGAAATTTGTGAAAGTAAACAGACTTCTCAGAATAACAATAAAAATTAAAATTTTTGTCATAACATTTAGCACATTTGAATCTGAAATTGAAAAATTACTTTTGTATATAGATTTATTCTAAGGATCATCAGGGAAAAATGATGACTACTTAGGCTAAGACTAAGCTTCTAAATATCCATAGTTAAAATATTTTATCAGATCTGCTTGAAAGGATATTTGTAGTCAAATAGTGCCCATTTTGTATGCATGTAGCAATTTTAGATAGGTAGTGCTAGTTAAGAGTTTGGCAAAACCATGTGTCATTTACTCATAATGTATATAGATTCTTTTTAAAAAATGGCCATTCAGATTGAAGGGCCAAATTTTCATTTTATTAGCAAAGAAATACTTGGTATAGGAGAGCGTGAAAATTTACACTTAGATGTGATTTTGATGACTATTCATAAACTACCCTAGATTTTTTTTTCTTACATTCTTTCTTAGATGGGACCATTACACAGCAGTCAGTATATACCTGATACCAAGCCTGATGAAATTTGCCTGCTTTCAGTCCACTTGGACTGCAAAAGTACGGTGACGGAAGCACTGGCTTTGGAAGTTTTGGTTTTCAGCAAAACTCTCAACATAAAAGCACATAATAGTAGCACATTATCCAAAAGAGTCCTCAAACAGGTTCTTTAAAGGCAGAGCCTAAGACAGAGACTCAGGTGCATTATAGCTTACAGAAGGACTCTGGAGGAAAAACCCATGAAGAATTACACGGGATGGGGAAAGGGAAGGGGCTGAGCAATGATGTGGTCCCACATAAAGTTTAGACTTGTTCCTGATCCATTTCAGGGAGAGAGAGCCCTGAAGTACACATTGTGATTTGCTCAGCAATGATACCCTGCTTTGAGAGAAAGGAGCTGGGCTTTTCTGCTACCTGTGCCCCACGTGTGTCAGTCGTTGTTGTTATGGGTGGAGAGATGTTGTAGTCTCCTAAGCATATTCAGCCCAGTGGCATTTCTCTGGAGACATAATCCCTTTGAAGCATATTCAAAGTACCTATGGGATGAGGGCAGTGGCCCAGTGAAAAGAATCTGGCCTGAACTCTCTAAAACACCTACTAGCAAAAGGAATGTATGCACACATAAATTACAGAATTATATATTTTGAATATATTAACATTAAACTCTATATAGTTAACCTTATAATTTTATTTTAATTTATTCACAATATATACACAGCAAATGCCTGATGTGGATATAAGCGGTTTAGCAGGAATTTCCACTGTTTAAATTATGTTGCAATATTAGATTGGTGCAAATGTAATTGTGATTTTTGCCTTTAAAATTAATTTTATCACCTGGTTCTCACTTTAACAAAATTATTAATCCTTACTAAATTAGGATTTTTGTATTTGTTGGCTAGATTTATACATTTCTTTTCATTCTGTTCTGTGGGGATACTTGTAAGAAAGAGGAAACAAGACAAGATAAAAGCCTTAAAACATGATTCAATTTTGCTACTATTCTGTTTATTTTTATTTCAATAAGTTTTGGAGGAATAGGTGGTATCTGTTTACATGAATAAGTCCTTTAGTGATGATTTCTGAGACTGTGGTGCACCCATCACCCAAGCAGTGTACATCACCCAATATGCAGTCTTTTATCTCTCATACTTCTTCCACCCTTTCCCCCAAAGTCTATTGTATCATTCTCCTGCCTTTGAATCCTCATAGCTTAGCTCCCACTTCAAGTGAGAACATGTGATGTTTGGTTTTCCATTCCAGAGTTATTTCACTTAGAATAATGGTCTCCAATTCTATCCAAGTTGCTAACAATGTCATGATTGTGTTCCTTTTTATGGCTGAGTAGTATTCCCTGGGTGTATATGTGTGTATTCCCTGGTGTGTGTGTGTGTGTGTATACACACATACAAAACACATTTTCTTTATCCACTAGTTGATTTATGGGCATTTGGGCTGGTTCCATGTTTTTACAATTAATTGTGCAGCTATAAACATGTTTATAAACAAGTTTCTTTTCTGTATAATGGCTTCTTTTCCATATAATGACTTCTTTTCCTCTGAGTAGATACCCAGTAGTGGGATTGCTGGATCAAAAGTATATCTGCTTTTAGTTATTTAAGAAATTGCCACACTGGATTCCTCAGGGATCTAGAACTAGAAATACTATTTGACCCAGCCATCCCATTACTGGGTATATACCCAAAGGATTATAAATCATGCTGCTATAAAGACACATGCACACGTATGTTTATTGCGGCACTATTCACAATAGCAAAGACTTGGAACCAACCCAAATGTCCAACAACGATAGACTAGATTAAGAAAATGTGGCACATATACACCATGGAATACTATGCAGCCATAAAAAATAATGAGTTCATGTCCTTTGTAGGGACATGGATGAAACTGGAAACCATCATTCTCAGCAAACTATCCCAAGGACAAAAAACCAAACAGCTCATGTTCTCACTCATAGGTGGGAATTGAACAATGAGAACACATGGACACAGGAAGGGGAACATCACACTCCGGGGACTGTTGTGGGGTTGGGGGAGGGGGGAGGGATAGCATTTGGAGATATGCCTAATGCTAAATGACGAGTTAATGGGTGCAGCACACCAACATGGCACATGTATACATATGTAACTAACCTGCACATTGTGCACATGTACCCTAAAACTTAAAGTATAATAATAATAAAATAAAAAATAAATAAATAAATAAATAAAAAAGAAATTGCCACATTGTTTTCCAAAGTGGTTGTACTAGATTACATTCTCAAAAGCAGTGTAAATATGTTCCCTTTTCACCACATCCATGCCAACATTTTTTTTTTTATTTTTTGCTTATGGCAATTCTTTTAGGAGTAAGGTGGTATCACATTGTGGTTTTGATTTGCATTCCCCTGATCATTAGTGATGTTGAGCTTTTTTTCACATGGTTTTTGGACATCTGTATATCTTCCTTTGAGAATTGTCTATTCATGTTATTAGCCCACTTTTTGCTGGGACTGTTTGCCTTTTCTTGCTGATTTGTTTGAGTTCCTTGTAGATTATGGATATTCATCCTTGAATTCTTTTTTTTTTAATTTTATTTTTTTATTATACTTTAAGTTTTAGGGTACATGTGCACATTGTGCAGGTTAGTTACATATGTATACATGTGCCATGCTGGTGTGCTGCACCCACTAACTCGTCATCTAGCATTAGGTATATCTCCCAATGCTATCCCTCCCCGCTCCCCGCACCCCACAATAGTCCCCAGAGTGTGATGTTCCCCTTCCTGTGTCCATGTGATCTCATTGTTCAATTCCCACCTATGAGTGAGAATATGCGGTGTTTGGTTTTTTGTTCTTGCGATAGTTTACTGAGAATGATGGTTTCCAATTTCATCCATGTCCCTACAAAGGACACGAACTCATCATTTTTTATGGCTGCATAGTATTCCATGGTGTATATGTGCCACATTTTCTTAATCTAGTCTATCGTTGTTGGACATTTGGGTTGGTTCCAAGTCTTTGCTATTGTGAATAATGCCGCAATAAACATACGTGTGAATGTGTCTTTATAGCAGCATGATTTATAGTCCTTTGGGTATATACCCAGTAATGGGATGGCTGGGTCAAATGGTATTTCTAGTTCTAGATCCTTGAGGAATTGCCACACTGACTTCCACAATGGTTGAACTAGTTTACAGTCCCACCAACAGTGTAAAAGTGTTCCTATTTCTCCACATCCTCTCTAGCACCTGTTGTTTCCTGACTTTTTAATGATTGCCATTCTAACTGGAGTGAGATGGTATCTCACTGTGGTTTTGATTTGCATTTCTCTGATGGCCAGTGACGATGAGCAGTGATGATGATGCTCATAATCCTTTAATTCTATATATAGATTGTGAAGATTTTCTCCCATTATGTGGGTGATCTGTTTACCCTGCCGAAAATTTCTTTTGCTGTGCAGAAGCTTTTTAGTTTAATTAATTCCTATTTATATACCTTTGTTTTTCTTGCATTTGCTTTTGGGTTCTTGGTCATGAAGTCTTTGCCTAAGGCAATGTCTAGAAGGGTTTTCTGATGTTATCTTCTAGAACTTTTATGGTTTCGGGTCCTAGATTTAAGATTTTGATCCATCTTGAATTGATTTTTGTATAAGGTGAGAGATGAGGATCTGGTTTCATTCTTCTACATGTGGCTTGCCAGTTATCCCAGCACCATTTGTGGAATACAGTGTCTTTCCCCACTTTATGTTTTTGTTTGCTTTGTTGAAGAGTGGTTGACTGAAATTATTTGGCTTTATTTCTGAGTTCTCTATTCTGTTCCATTGGTCAATGTGCCTATTTTTATACCAGTACCATGCTGTTTTGGTGACTATGGTCTTATAGTATAATTTGAAATTGTGTAGTGTAATGCCTCCAGATTTGTTCTTTTTGCTTAGTCTTGCTTTGGCTATTTGGGCTCTTTTTGGGTCCCATATGAATTTTAGGACTCTTTTCTTGCTATGTGACATTGTGGAACTGGCTAAAAAAGATATTTAGATGAATATAAATAACAGAATAGAGTGAAAAGAAATTGATCTTCACGTATACGGTCAACTGAATTTCAGCAGTGGTTCTTAGAATATTAAATAAAAGGGATTTTAGGCAAAAAGAAAAAAAAGAGAGAAAAAAAAGTCTTTTCACCAAGTGAAACCGGAAAAGCTGGATACCTATATGAAAAAAATATTCCCCAAAATCCATAAACAAGCTATGTGGTACATACAGCCATACCATTGACTATTATTTAGTATTAAAAAGGAACAAACTATTGCCACATGCAACAAAATAGATGAATAGCAACTATATTAAAGAAAGAAATTGTTTATAAGGAAATTATAAAAAGGCTTAATTATAAAGACAGAAAGCAGAACAGTTATTATAGAAGCTGAGCATAGGGGAAGATATTATCAGTAAAAAAAAGATACTATGAAGTTATTTGAGGTTGTTGAAATCTTCTTGATTGCAGTAATTGTTAAATAACCATATTCTTTATAAAAATGATGTAACTACCTACTAAAAAATTTAATTTTACCTTGTACATTAGTAACTTAATATACTTGACAAAAAAAATTTAATTTTGGAAAACTTTAATACATGGCAGAAACACGTATTGTTTATCGTGTGGGCCATATTGCCAACTAGAGTGTGATTCACTGGACTGAGCATGGGGAAGTTACCATTACCTGGTCTTTCAGATAACCAGAATTTCCATTATATACAATCAATCCTTTTTCTGGTTAATTATTTTTGAAGTGATTTTCTCACTTTTCCTACAGTTGCTGAATGCCAAATATTAATCAATTGCTATAGTTTTGATTTGATTTATTCATTGAGGCAGACATGGTCACTTATTTCTGTTGTCTTAACAATTAAACCATATTGACTGTTCAATGACCCAACTGATTTTTGAAGATTGGCTGCCATTCCAGTTGGAGAGGAAGTAGGTACCACAAAAGTAAATTGCTTTAAATGTATACACATCTGACATCAGTGTTGTGCAGCAGAAATACCATGGTTTATTTATTGTTAACAAAATATGCTAATTCATAGATATAAAAAGAAAGTCATAGGGAATGGATCCTATATCTTCTTCAAGAGAAGAAGAAAACAGAAAAGAACTGCCCATAAAGTATTCACTTATATTTAATATGGGTAATCATTGAATGATATTAAACAATGATAATTTTTGATATTTGCAAAACAGATAAGCAGTGTTGGGTGACAGTTCGAGAATACATGAATTTAAATAATAGCCTGTCACTGCCATCCTCACCACCCTTATATGCAACTATGCTTCTCTATTAATTGGACTTCGCTTATCTATTATGAAACTGGTTATGAGAAGTCTGTAGAGGAGGGATACTAAATTACAAATTACAAATATGTATCTTAGTTTGATAGGGATATTTGAAAAGGAAAAAATAACTGTATCAACAACAATAATAATAATACCTAACACTATGAACAGAACATCTGGATGTCTATTGATAAAACGGTAGAAAGGGACAATGAGAGATGCAACTATAATTTACCCAATGTTGGGCATTAAATGATAAAACTGTAAAAATTTAAAATGCTGTTTCATGAGGAAAATTTAATGGATTTATATGCAAAGGGGTAATCTATTTCAACTATGCTACAAATTAGAAAAGATATTCTCTGAGAAAATAGGTTTTAAAATTCCTGCCATTTTCAGAGTTCATAGTGTGCATCACCAGGCCAGAAGATTAGCCATCACTGCCACCATCACCATCCATATAAGATAATGGATGTCATATGTCATGTATACTTGGATAGACAGAGACAAAATATGGTAAAGCTGTTTATAAATTAAAAGCAGTGATTAAAGAGTTAAGTCCCTAAAGCTAGAGTAGACAGACAGACATATATTTGGATGGGGAAGAATGAAATAAAATATACCAAGAGGGATACAGAATGGAAATCAGTGACCAGATCAATGACTATATCTCCAGAAAAGGTATCAGCACTTCATTAGCAAGCAGGGACTGGAAGCTGATATTATAAATAAGTGCCAAGAATGATAATGGCTTTGAGATTTTACTCTACTTGCAAGTTGTGTAGAGTAAACTATGTGGCATTTTCATTATGAAGTCTAAACAGGTCATTTTCTTTTTTTTAACACAATACCATATAATTACTTATAGTTCAAGCGCTTTACATTACCTTTCCAGAAATTAGTCATCTTATAACTGAAAATGTGTACCCAATGACCACCGTATCTCCATTTCTCCTACCCACCTCCAGTCTTCTGGAAACAACCTTTCTACTTTCATTTCTGTGAATTAATTATTATATTTTATTTTATCTTACTTTTAAGGTCTGGGATACATGTGCTGAAAGCACAGCTTTGTTACACAGGTATACAAGTGCCATGGTGGTTTTCTGCACCTTTCAACTCGTGGTCTAGATTTTAAGATCTGTGTTCATTAGGTATTTGACCTAATGCTCTCCCTCTCCTTTACCCCAAACCCCCAGTAGGCCCCGGTATGTGTTGTTCCCCTTCCTGTGTCCATGTGTCCTCATTGTTCAACTCCTACTAATGAGTGAGAACATGTAGTGTTTGGTTTTCTGTTCCTGTGTTAGTTTGCTGAGCATGATGGCTTCCAGCTTCATCCATGTCCCTGCAAAGGACATGATCTCATTCTTTTTTATAGCTACGTAGTATTCCATGGTGTATATGTACCACATTTTCTTTACCCAGTCTATCAATGTTGGCCATTTGGGTTAGTTCTATGTCTTTGCTATTGTAAGTAGAGCTGCAATAAACATACATGTGCATGTATCTTTATAGTAGAATAATTCATATTCCTTTGGGTATATACCCAGTAATGAGATTGATGGGTCAAATGGTACTTCTTGTTCTAGATCCCTGAGGAATTGCAACACTGCCTTCCACAATGGTTGAACTAATTTACATTCCCACCAACAGTGTAAAAGTGTTCCTATTTCTCCACAGTCTCACCACTCTCTATTGTTTCTTGACTTTTTAATAATGACAATTCTGACTGGCATGAGATGGTATCTCATTGTGGTTTTGATTTGCATTTTTCTAATGATCAGTAATGATGAGCTTATTTCATATATTTTTTGCCTGCATAAATGTCTTCTTTTGAGAAATCTCTATTCGTATCCTTTGCCCACTTTTTGATGGGGTTGCTTTTTTCTTGTAAATTTGGTTAAGTTTCGTGTAGATTCTGGGTATTAGACCATTGTCAGAGGGATAGATTGCAAAATTTTTATCTCATTCTGTAGGTTGCCTGTTCACTCTGATGCTAGTTTCTTTTGCTGTGCAGAGCTCTTTGGTTTAATTAGATCCCATTTGTCAATTTTGGCTTTAGTTGCAATTGCTTTTGGTATTTTCATCGTAAAGTCTTTGCCCATGCCTATGTCCTGGATGGTATTGCCTAGGTTTTCTTCTAGGGTTTTTATGGTTTTGGGTTTTACATTTAAGTCTTTAATCCATCTTGAGCTATTTTTGTATAACGTGTAAGGAAACGGTGCAGTTTCAGTTTTCCGCATATGGCTAGCCAGTTTTCCTAGCACAATTTATTAAATAGGGAATCCTTTCCCCATTGCTTGTTTTTGTCAGGTTTGTCAATGATCAGATGGTTGTAGATGTGTGGTGGTATTTCTAAGGCCTCTGTTCTGTTCCATTAGTCTATATATCTGTTTTGGTACCAGTACCATGCTGATTTGGTTACTGTAGCCTTGTTGTATAGTTTGAAGTCAGGTAGTGTAATGCCTCCAGCTTTGTTGTTTTTGCTTACGATTGTCTTGGCTATACAGTCTCTTTTTTGGTTCAATATGAAATTTAAAGTAGTTTTTTCCAATTAGGTGAAGAATGTCAGTGGTGGTTTGATGGGAATAGGATTGAATCTATCAATTACTTTGGGCAGTATGGTCATTTTCATGATATTGATTCTTCCTATCCGTGATCATGGACTGTTTTCCATTTGTCTGTGTCCTCTGATTTCCTTGAGCAGTGGTTTGTAGTTCTCCTTGAAGAGGTCCTTCACATCCCTTGTAAGTTGTATTCCTAGATATTTTTCAGCTCCATTTCAGCTTCAGGTCATTTATGTTCCTCTCTAAACTGATTATTCTAGTTATCAGTTCCTGTAACATTTTATTAAGGTTCTTAGCTTCTTTGCCTTGGGTTAGAACATGATCCTTTAGCTCAGAGGAATTTGTTATTAACCACCTTCTGAAGCCTACTTCTGTCAATTCGTCAACCTCATTCTCCGTCCAGTTTTTGTGCTCTTGCTGGAGAGGTGTTGTGTAGTGGGAAGTCAGGGACCCCGAACGGGGGGACCGGCTGAAGCCACGGCAGAAGAATATAAATTGTGAAGAGTTCATGGACATTTATTAGTTCCCCAAATTAATACTTTTATAATTTCTTATGCCTGTCTTTACTGCAATCTCTGAACATAAATTGTGAAGATTTCATGGACATTTATCACTTCCCCAATCAATACTCTTATAATTGCCTATGCCTATCTTTACTTTAATCTCTTAATCCCATCATCTTCATAAGCTGAGGATGTATGTCTCCTCAGGACCCTGTGATGATTGCGTTGTCTGTACAAATTGTTTGTAAAACGTGTGTTTGAACAATATGAAATCTGGGCATCCTAAAAGAACAGGATAACAGCGCTTTTCAGGGAACAAGGGAGATAACCATAAGGTCTGACTGCCTGTGGGACCGGGCAGAACAGAGTCATATTTCTCTTCTTGCAAAAGCGAATAGGAGAAATATAGCTGAATTCTTTTTCTCAGCAAGGAACAGCCCTGGGAAAAGAATGCATTCCCATGGGGAGGCCTCTAAAATGGCCGCTCTGGGAGTGTCTGTCTTATGCAGTTGAAGATAAGGGATAAAATATGCCCTGGTCTCCTGCAGCACCCTCAAGCTTGCTAGGATTAGGAAATTCCAGCCTGGTGAATTCTAGTCAGACCGTTTGCCTGCTCTCGAACCCTGTTTCCTGTTAAGATGTTTATCAGTGACAATGTGTGCACAGCGGGACATGGAACCTCATTAGTAATTCTAATTTTGCCCTGGCCTTGTGACCTTGCTCTGCCCTTCTGCCCTTGTCATCTTTTATTGCCATTTGAAGCATGTGATCTCTGTGACCCACTCCCTATTCATACCCCCCTCCCCTTTTGAAATCCCTAATAAAAACTTGCCAGTTTTGTGGCTCAGGTGGGCATCACGGAAACTGCTGACATGTGATGTCACCCCCGGAGACCCAGCTGTACAATTTCTCTCTTTTGTACTCTTTCTCTTTATTTCTCAGCCTGGCCAACACTTAGGTAAAATAGAAAAGAACCTATGTTGAAATACTGGGGGCTGGTTCCCCTGATAGTGTTGTGTTCACTTGGAGGACAAGAGTCATTCTGGCTTTTGGAATTTCCTGTGCAAAAAGGTTATTTTCAAAATACTAGTTTTGTCATCCTCCTAATGTACTACTAGAAATTGTTTTTGTAACAAGAGAATGTGAAGTATTTATTAAGACACTATTTTATATTTTCCTGAAATTTCCAACTACTCTGAGAATAGCTGAAGAAGTAGTTTGGCTTTACAATGAATGCTCTACAAGAGCAGATTAAGGATAAAGAGCCAATATCATTGCAGATATCCATGTAGATTGGCTTTGGAATTAAGCATGCTAACTGGGATTACAATAATAATCCAAGTAAAGTGCAATAAAGCGCAATAAAGTAAAGTGCAATAAAAAGTTAAGCCAATTGTCTTAAAGTTTTAGGAGTGAGAATAGGGGTGTTAAAAATAAATGAGGGCTGGGTGTGGTGGCTCACACCTGTAATCCCAGCACTTTGGGAGGCCGAGGCAGGCGGATCACGAGGTCAGGAGTTCAAGACCAGCCTGACCAACCTGGTAAAACCCTGTCTCTACTAAAAATACAAAAATTAGCTGGGCATGGTGGCACGTGCCTGTAATCCCAGTTACTTGGGAGGCTGAGGCAGGAGAATTGCTTAAACCTGGGAAGCAGAAGTTGCAGTGAGCCGAGATCGTGCCACTGCACTCCAGCCTGGGCAACAGAGTGAGACTCCATCTCAAATAAATAAATAAATAAATAAATAAATAAATAAATATTTTCAATGAATCATTCAGATTCATTAATTCAATAAACAACTTGTGATAGACAGTGTGAAGTTGCTAGATACAGAATTAAATGAGTTAGCTCTTATTCTTTTTTTTTCTTTTTTTTTTTTTGAGACAGAGTCTCGCTCTGTCACCCAGGCTGGAGTGCAGTGGTGCCATCTCAGCTCACTGCAAGCTTTGCCTCCCGGGTTCACACCTTTCTCCTGCCTCAGCCTCCCGAGTAGCTGGAACTACAGGTGCCCGCCACCATGCCCGGCTGATTTTTGTGTTTTTATTAGAGACAGAGTTTCACCATGTTAGCCAGGTTGGTCTCGATCTCCTGACCTCACGATCCACCAACCTCGGCCTCCCAAAGTGCTGGGATTACAGGCATGAGCCACCATGCCTGGCCAATTAGGTCTTATTCTCATGAGTTAAACATTTTATAGGAAGACAGACAATATACCAGTAAATAAAAAAACAACAACTTGGCAAGAGTCTATTCTTAAAAATTACAGAGAACAATAGGATAGCAGGTAACTAGGTGGCATTTTTTATTATAGCAATCATAGATGGTGAGGCTTCAAATATGATAGAAATTCACCTATGAGAGGATCTGGGAAAGAGCTTTCTGGTCAAAGCAACAGCAGTCTGAAGGTCTTGACATGGAATAAGCTTAGTATATTCAAAAAACAGCAAGAAGGTTGGAGAGGCATAGAAGAGAAGAGAGGCAGAAAATAATGTAGAGCACTTGGGGGTGGGTTTATGTAGGGTTTTTGTAGGCTACAGTAAGAGTCCCAGTTTGATAAACATTATTTTATTCCTATCTGTCCAGGAAAACTTTCTATCCTCTTCTAGTATCAAAATGCTTCTTCACTATGAAGCTGACTTCTCTCCCCAGGTTAAAAAAAATATGCACTTGACAGACCTGCACAAGCCTTATCTCATTCACTAGCCATAGCCATTAGTGGAGGATGGATATGTTTTCAAAACCAAGTTAATCTCAGGCATTTTTAAACCTTATGTTAAAGAGTTATTATGAGAAAGGTACTTCCTTTATTCTACATGAAGAATAAAACCATCAGAGACATTCAAATTTCATAATATTCAAGACTCAGGGTCCAACCATTTTGTGTATCAGAGAGCCACAGACAGTTACATACATGAATACATTCCATGTTTTGATTAACTTGCTCGATTTAAGTTTGGCAACTTGCAGCTGAAAAAGTCTTAGCTAATATCCCTGTGAATACTTATCTAGCACAAGGATCTTATTTACTCTTACCTTGATGTTTAGAGTTATCTGAGAACTCCTGAGAAATTTTCCATTTGCCACAGTTGTTAACTTACCAAAATTCAAATTTAATATTGGATTGAGAGCAGCTTTTAATGCTCTGAGATTTAGTTGATGATTTTATGGGCTCCATAGCATGCAGAGAAGTTGCCTCCTATTAAATATAATGCACATCCCTGTGAAATAAATGCCGAAGTTGGCCTAGGCTTTTGAAGTTACAGTTCTTGAGTGACACATCTTTTTCAATTCACTTCCATAGGACTCAGTATAAATCCACTGCAAGCATGGCTATATTAAAGCATATTCTGGTGTCATGTGCTTCACATTTTACCCTGCGTTGAAATGTTAACCCATTGATCTTGCCTCATTAAACTCTTCTGGTAAATTGTATACCAAAATCCTTATTGTCTTTTCTTACCACATGGCCTTGAAAGTAATTATTTCAGTCGATATTGTCATAAATGCTGATGACTTAAATTACCACTATTATTACTTTGTCCATTGTCTTTAAAATTTTTATTCTGAGTTCAGTCTTCTCTGCTAATGTATGAGCCAAGATATCCAGTAACTAATTCAACTTCTTTACCTAGATGCTTTAAATTTAGCTCAACACTCAACATATACCACATCACAGTATGTTCCATGTCATGATCTCCTTCACTCCACAATGTCTCATGGATTTTATTTTTTCAATATCTATACTGTTTCAATCTTTGCAACCACTAATTGAGTCCAATCACAGATACTTTTACCTGGATTTCTGCAATAACCCCTAACTGCCTTCCATGAAATTATTTTGTCCCTTTACAATTACCATGCTATAATCCAAAAATAATAATTTAAATCTCAGTGAAATTATTGCAATCCCATGATTAAAATCCCTTGGTAGATTCTCATCAGTCTTTACATAAATATAAAACTCCTACACATGCTTTATGAGGACCTGCATAATCTATCACCTGCCCTCCAGTCCATCCACATGTCACACTACTCTTGCCTCCCATTAGCTGTCTGGCATGCTTTCTTTCCACTGGCCATAATCCAAAAACTTGCTTCACATCTGCTGCTGTAAATTATGACATCTAGTTGCTGTCGTTTCTTCTTCTTCCCCATTTCCGAAATTCATGCCCCTTCCTTTCCACTTCCAGGATTCGTACCTAGAACCAGGTAAACATTTTGTCTTTTTATTTTTTCTGAGTCATATATGTTAAAGAGTGTGTTTTATAGGTAGAGAGGGGCAGAATTAGAATTGAGGTTTGAGAGATTTTTCTTGATAAATACAACAAAATTGTTTCAGTGACAGGAAAGTGTCCATAATTACATTTGCCTATAATATGTATTTAGGATGAGTAACGTAAGGTACATTGGACAACCTCAAAAATAAGTTTTTATAAGAAAAGGGTACAAATCTTGACAATCATGGATATAAACCACTAAGTCTGTCCTGGGATCGAGTTTTATTATAGTGTTTTTAAAATTTTTAGGACCTAAGCCTATAAATCTTATTAGGAATCTTTCTAACTCCTTCAAGCCATGGGCTAAAATTCAACTAAAATTTCTTCTAGTGCTGCAGGTATTTTTAGTGGATGCTATGATAGAATTGAATGCAAGGAGAAGTTGTCTTTCAGCCTTACTAAATTATAATAAGAAGCCTCTGGCTACTGCTATTTAAAAAAGTTATTTTCCTGGGGTAACCTAGGAGGGAAAACGTCAGAATTTTATTACAGACAAGGAAAGGGATTATCATACCCACCTTTCTCCATTCCATAAGGAGTGGTCTCTACACTCCTTTTGGACAGCTCACTTTTATAATAGCTACTAGTTCAATTCTTACTAGTATTCTTTCCACACAATTTTGAATTTTGAATTGTGTGGGAAAAAGACTAGTAAGTACATTAAATTTCATAGTCATCAAACTAGAAAAATTCTCAACAGGACATCTAGTCCCTGCATCCACCTGTGGAGAAAATCTCAGATAATGGTGAAATGCCCAATAAAATTCCAGACTACTAAAATTGCCATAGGAATAATGGCTTAAATCAACTTTTTAGTTTCACTCGATTTCTTAATAGATTGGTTCATAATTAATTTCATTCTTTGTGCAGTGGAGAATATATTCATCTCATTGATAATGTTTTACATAATACTGTCCATATATACTTGGCCTTGAACTAACCAATTTGGAAAATAGGAAGAAAACATTCTCATTTCCCTGCTTTCTCTCAAACATGAAATAGTTTCTCTCTCTCTCCATGTATGTGTGTGTATATATATATGTGTGTGTATATATATATATATATATACACACACACACTCTAATACAACTTGTCTTTGTTTAAAGTCAATTTGCTAGCTAAATTAGAAAAACAAAGACAATGTGTGTATAAAATTTAATAGCAAAACAAGAATTCAAAAATGCTTATGGAATGTATATAAGAATGGAAGAAAAGGAGAAAGAAGACAAAAGCAAAAAAAAAGGATGGTGGGGAAGGGATGGGGGATGAAGAAGGAAGGGAGGGAGGAGGAAGGGAAGAAGAAAAGAAAGAAATATATTTTCAATTTATATATATGATTTCTGTAGTAGACCCATGATGATTCCTAATAGTTGAAATTATTTAAAATAACGCCTATGAATAAATTTTATATTTAGGTAGGCCAGTTCTATTTTATTTACCAATAAAGAAAGAGAAAATGATAAAATAAGAGAAGAAAATCAATCCTATTAGTGAGGAAATGAAGCTGAAATTTTCTACACTGTTTCTATGAGCCATTAAACATTTTTTAAAATTTCTCTGATTGCAGATTTAATAAAAATTTGTCTTCAGAAACTGCTGATTTTAAAATAATTTCTTACTATTGAGAATACAGCACTGCAAAGACAATACTTGTTTGGATAAATTTCTACAGAATGCTGAGATTTTTTTTTTTTTTTAAAGACCCTTCTTAGTAGCTAGCAGGGAGGAAAAATGATAACCCCTGATTTTCTCCAAACATCCACGTATCATTCCCCAACCTGGACCTGGAAATAGTTTTTATAGCTTGAAAAAAATGTCAGAAACATCTTCCGTTGAATTTAAAGGCTGTCTTCATGGTCATGTGAAAGGATTAGGAGAGCTGTGGGAACAAGCAGGTCTGGAATGTGCTTCAAAAGCTGCAACTGTAAAAGATGAGTCATGGCTGTGGGGCCAGTCAAGCTGAGACAAGAAGAGTGTTGTGCAGGCAGCACTCAGCCTTGAAGGATTTACACAATAAAAAATAAATAAAATAAGTCTGTTGCTATGAAATGCAGGCCATTGAAGGCTTAAATTTTAAAATGCTTTAATGTCTTTGTGTCTGCTTTGTTAGAAAGAAACAGAAAAATCTGTATTTCATAAATAATTTGGGTTATTGCCAATGGGGAAAGGAAACGTAGTGATTATTTTAATGGCAAATAAATTTATCGAGCTTTTTCTAAGCAGCAAGACCTCAATTATCAGTAGCAGCAAATAAAACAGCAGAAATGCCTGATAAAAGTCAGGGTAGAACTCCCTTTATCTATTCTTTATTCAAACTAAATGGGACAGTTAATGTTGTGCCTTGAGCAGGATCTTTGTAGTAAATTGGCCGTTTTCTTTTCCCCCAACACATTCTGGGATGCCTTTCAGGACAAGTAGACAAAGGAATTAGTATCTGTCCCTTTAACAGGGATTGTCTCTCTATGCCTGTCCTCCAACTCCCTGGCTATACTCCTGTCAAATGTTTTATAGGGATTAGAGGAGGAAATAGGACTAATGGATTTTCGTCTGAGACTTGATCTTCTAGTGCCATCTATTGCTGCTTTTATTTTTAACTTCCATGGCCAAGTTTTCATTAAAGGTTCAGCAATTCAGGACTATTTTTAAGTCTTAAATGATTGATTAAATTAAACACAGAGCCAATTAAATTCTCATCTCATATGGAGTGACTTTTAGCAATATTTTTCTGCTAAATATAATGAAGGAAAATGCACATATATGATCTAAGTTTGTACTGGAACTAAGGCTAGGTCATCCCAGTTCTGTTTTGTTTTCTTTAAAACCCTCCTTTTAAGTCTGAGTTATCAAGATAATTATCTCAATTATTTAATCTGAGTGACTCCATCGATATTTAATGGTCTCATCAAGATTAGATCTGCCCAAGCATCTAAGAATATTGGTGGGGAAAAATGTAGAAGTTGTAATTTCTTATTTTTCAGTAAAAATGGAATTTTATCTCATTGTGCCTAAACTTCTATTCCAAATTATTCTCTCTCCCTTCTTGTCTGCAAAAAGAGTTCTATTAGTACTAATATTTCATTTATATGAGCAAAGGGAAAAGTGGAAATGAATAACTATCTAATGTCTTTGATTGCTATAGGTAACAATTTTCCTGGGCAAGAAACCCTACCCCACCTTAATCTGACAATATTTTCTATTCTGAATTATAAAGGTAATTTTATTTATGCAGACAAAGGTAACACTGATTAAATAATCTAAATTCTAGCTTCTAACAACAGGTCATGGAAATTCTGGCTTATCCTGTCAGTTAAACATTAAAACAAAGTGTGCCTCCCATGTTAAATGCATGTGTTCAAAAGATATTTTGCTAAAGTTGTCATTCTTGACTTCTACTTGGCAATGTTTTGACAGGATATTCTCATCACGTCAAAACTAGCCGTGATTGGCCGGGCGCAGTGGCTCACGCCTGTAATCCCAGCACTTTGGGAGGCCGAGGTGGGCGGATCACGAGGTTAGGAGATCGAGACTATCCTGGCTAACACGGTGAAACCCCGTCACTACTAAAAATACAAAAAAATTAGCTGGGCGTGGCAGCGGGCTCCTATAGTCCCAGCTACTCGGGAGGCTGAGGCAGGAGAATGGCGTGAACTCGGGAGGCGGAGCTTGCAGTGAGCGGAGATCGCGCCCCTGAACTCCAGCCTGGGCGACAAGCGACAAAGGGAGACTCCGTCTCAAAAAAAAAAACAACAAAAAAACTGGCTATTATTCATGACTGTTGATCGACTGCAAAAAATAATGGTTATTCTAAAAACGATGAGAGAAGTGAAAGACCTCCTTATTTTCTTAAGAATTATTATTTCACAGGCTATTTTTTTGTTTCTTTGCTTTTTGCTTGTGTGTGTGTGTAAGTTTGGTTGTTTTTTATTAAGTGCCAACTGAGGGGAGCACACTGAAGAATAGAAACTATGGTCTGACAGGGTAAAATAAATGAACAAATCATAATGAAAAACAATTATTTTTTTTCAAGCATCTGATAGGTGTGTGTGTAATATGGGGAAAAGTCATATTGTAAATATCTTCCCAATATATCATACAAATAATTAAAACCGCCTTAAGTTGTTAGGTTTTGCAATCTTCCCTCCTTCGTCATCCTTCCTTTTTTCTTTCACAATAGTTAGAAAATTTTACATTCTAGCTCAGAATATAATACTTGAAATATATTTTCCTATTTTAAGCAATAAAAACATTAAAGAGACAAACTTTCACACTGTGGCTTAGAGAAAGATTATCAAGACTAAGAACAAGATGTGGAAATTGCTTAGAAGTAATGGCTATCTGCCACATTCTGGTGGTAAAGGATAAAACAGCAAAATGGACATAATTTTATTAAATATTTCTGACTGCAAAGGAAAATTTGTTAGAAAATAACAGGTAAATCAATCCGTTGGGGATACCATTATTATCAGTTTTATTAGAGAACCAGAAGAGGGCACTCACCTCCTGCAAAAGATAGCAAACTAACTAGAGCAAGCAATTGGATATGTCTTCAAATAAATAAAAACAAAGGATTCTAGTGTAACATTCATTATAGAGCCTTCTAGCATACTTCATGATAAATGTATAATTGATGATGTTCTATAATATCAAATAAATACTGAAAATATATACTACATTTGTATTACTTCAGTGGTAGCTCAAGACATTAAGTTGCTTTTTTTTTTAATATTACCATCCTTTTCCATGGTTTCATATTGAAATAAGGATTTGAGAATGATGTAATTTACTTGTATTTATTTGTTTTTCTTATTTGATTAAGAAGAAAAGAAAAGCTATGACTAGGTTCCAAAACTAACTACCACAATAAACAGTTGCCCAAAGAAAGTTTTTAAGATATTTTCCAGGGAATTCTCTGTCTCTGTGTCTCTCTCTTGATATTAATAGAGATATCGATAAAAGTTATATATACAGATATATGAATATGTATGTCTGTATAAATATACATATATATACATGTGTGATCTGAGCATTAAGTTAATTATCATCTAAAGTTATCCAAAACCTTGAAAAATGAAAGAAAAGTTGTATATTCTTCAGTTGTTTGGTATAGAAATTTATTAATAAAAATTAAGTCAAATTTGGTGATAGTGGTTTTATCTTTTCCTGTTGTCTTCTCATCTGCTACAAGGGTGGTGTTGAGTTGTCTCTGTTTCCCTTTCTTTCATAATCATATC
Source organism: Homo sapiens (assembly GCF_000001405.40). Classification (NCBI taxonomy): domain Eukaryota; kingdom Metazoa; phylum Chordata; class Mammalia; order Primates; family Hominidae; genus Homo; species Homo sapiens. The sequence goes on along the minus strand of NC_000004.12, from coordinate 103,993,521 downwards.
ATGTATTTTGAAGCTCTTATGTTTGGTGCATTAATATTTAATATTATTTTGTCTTCCATTTAAATTGTTTTTTTAATATTTGTGAAACTTTCTTCATCTCCAGAAAATTTTCTGTCCAAATTCTGGGTTCTAAAATTAATTACTACACAGTTTGACTGAAGAAAGTCTTCAGGACATTCTCTAAGGAATTCTCTCTCTCTGTCTCTCTCTTGATAGTGGTTAGATACAGATATAGATAGATACAGAAGATATATAGATATATGCATTCATAAATCAAGACCCATATACAAATGCATATATCTATATATGGATCTTGATATTTTACCCAGTATGTTAATCTCTGCCTTTTATGTTGAGTATTTAGTAAATTATATGGTTATATGCTAAGCATAGCATTTTTCTATTTGTTTTCTGTTTGTTTTGTCTATTTTCTTTTTGTATCTCTTTGACCTTATGTTGGATTAATTAAATAAAGGATTTATCGATCTGGTATTTTAATTATCTATTTAAATATATATATATACACTTTTGTGTACATTTTTCTGGTTGTTCTAAGGATTACAATATGCATCCTTAACATATCACAGCATAATAAGAATTAATACACCACATTGGCAAAAATATCATAATTCTTCAACAAACAGTATAAGAAACTTCTATCATTTGCACTATCATTTTTTCATAATTTACAATTATATAAGACATAAGTCCCCTAGAAATCAATAACAAGAGGAACTTTGGAAACTGTACAAACACATAGAAATTAAAGAATATGCTCCTGAATAACAAGTGGGTCAATGAAGAAATTAATAAGAAAATTGAAAAATTTATTGAAACAAATAAAAAAGGAAAACAATATACCAAATCCTATGAAAGATAGCAAAAGCAGTATTAAGAGGAAAGTTTATAGAAATATTTGGCTACATCAAAAAAGTAAAAAAACTTAAAATGAACAACCTAATGATGCATCGTAAAGAACTAGAAAAACAAGAGCAAACCAAACCCAAAATTTGTGGAAGAAAAGAAGTAATAAAAATCAGAGCAGAAATAAATAAAATTGTAATGAAAAAACAATACAAAAGATCAACAAAAGGAAAAGTTGGTTTTTTAAAAGATTAATGAAATCAACAAGCCTCTAGCCAGACTAAGAGAAAAACAGAGAAGACCCAAATAAATGAACTCAGAGATGTAAAAAGAGAAATTACAACTGATACCACAGAAATTCAAAAGATCATTAGAGACTCCCATGAGTAACTGTCTGCCAATAAATTGGAAATCCTAGAAGAAATGAACAAATTCTTAGACACATACAACCTATCAAGTTTGAATGATAAAGAAATCCAATGTCTGAGCAGGCCAATAACAAGGAATGAGATTGAATTCATAATAAAAAGTCTCCTGGCAAAGAAAAGCCCAGGATCCACTGGCTTCACTGCTAAATTTTACCAAACATTTAAAGAACTATTATCAATCCTACCCAAACTATTCCAAAAATTTAGAGGAGAGAATACTTCCAAACTCATTCAATGAGGCCAGGGGCCAGTATTACCTTGCTACCAAAACCACATGAACACATAAAAAAATAAAAAAGGAAACTACAGGCCAATATCCCTGATGAATATTGATGCAAAAATCCTCAACAAAATACTAGCAAACTAAATTCAACAACACATTAAGTAGATCATTCATCATGACCAAGAAGGACTTATCTCAGGAATGCAAGGATGGTTCAACCTATGCAAATCAATCAATGTGATAAGTAATTTCAATGAAATGATGAACAAAAACTATCTGATCATTTCCATTGATGGCAAAAAAGCATGTGACAAAATTCAACATCCCTTTATGATAAAAATTCTCAAAAAACTGGAACTGGATATAGAAGGAATATACCTTAACACAATAAAAGCCACATATAACTGACCCACAGCTACTATACTGAATGGAGAAAAAGTGAAAGCCTGTCATCTGAGATCTGGAGTAAGGGAAGAGGGCTCACGTTTACCTCTGTTTTCAACATAGAATTGGAAGTCCTGGCCAGAGCAATCAAAAAAGAGAAAAAAAATGGCATTCAAATTAGAAAGGAGTAAGTCAAATCATTTTTGTCTGCAAATGATAATGATCTTACATTTGGAAACACCAAATATAACTCCACCAAAAAAAACTATTAGAACTGATAAACAAATTCAGTAAAGTTGCAGAATACAAAATATATATATAAAACTCAGTAGCATTTCTGTATGCCAATAGCAAACTATCTGAAAAAGTTATCAAGAAAACAATCCCATCTACAATAGCTACAAATGAAATAAAATACCTAGGAATAAATTTAATCAAAACAGTGAAAGATCTCTAAAATGAAAACTATAAAACATTGTAAGAAATTGAAGAGTACACAAAGTTGAAAGATATTCCATGTTACTTTACTGAAAGAATTAATATTGTTAAATATCCATACTACCCAAAACAATCGACAGATTCAATGTAATCTCTCCCTATCAAAATGCTAATGACATTCTTCGGGGATATAGAAAAAATCATTCAAAAATTTGTATGGAATTACAAAAGATCCAGAATAGCCAAAGCCATCCTGAGCAAAAACCAAAATTGGTGGAATCACATTACCTAACTTCATATTATACTACAGAGCTATTGTAACCAAAACAGCATGATACTGGCATAAAAGCAGACAACAAATGAGAGGAACAGAATAGAGAGCCAAGAAACAAATCCACACACCTACAGTGAACTCATTTATGACAAATTTTCCAGCAATATGCACTGGGGATAAGACAGTCTCTTCAATAAATGGTGCTGGGAAAACTGGATATCCATATGCAAAAGAGTGAAACTAGACCTCTGTCTCACTCCATCTAAAAAATAAAATCAAAATGGGTTAGGGACATAAATATAATACATAAACCATGAAACTACTGCAGAAAAACATTAGAAAAACTCTCTGGGACATTGGACCTAGCAAAGATTTCTTGAGCAAAACCCAAAAGCACAGACAACTAAAGCATAAATGGACAAACGGGATTAAAAAAGCTTCTGCCCAGCAAAGGAACCCATCAATAAAGTGACGAGACAACCCATGGAACAGAAAAAAAATATTTGCAAACTACCCATCTGACAAGATGTTAATAACCAGAATACATAAAGATCTCAAACAACTCAACAGGAAAATTTCTAATAATCCAATTTAAAAATGGGAAAAAGATCTGAATAGACATTTATTATAAGAAGACATACAAATGGCAAACAGGCATATGAAATGGTCCTCAACATCACTGATTATCAGAGAAATGCAAACCCAAAGTGCAATGAGGTATCATCTCACCCCACTTAAAACAACTTTTGTCCAAAGACAAGCAATAACAAACGCCTGTGAATGTGCAGAGAAAAGGGATCCCTTGTACACTGTTGGTAGGAACATAGATAAGGACAACCACTATGGAGAACATTACGGAGTTTCTTAAAAATCTAAAAATAAGCTAAAATATGATCCAGCAATCCCACTGCTAGGTATATGCCACACAAAAAAAAATCAGTAAATCAAATACATATCTGCACTTCCATGTATATTGCACTACTACTCACAATAGCCAAGATTTGCAAGCAACCTACATGTCCATTCTCAGAAGAATGGATAAAAAACATTTGGTACATATAAGAACTAGAGTACTATTCATGCATTAAAAAGAATGAGATTCTGTCATTTTCCACAACATGGATGAAACTGGGGGATATAATGCTATGTGAAAAAAGCCAGGCAGACAAAGACAAACTTTGCATCTTCTCACTCATTTGTGAGAGCTAAAAATTAAAACAATTGAATTCATGGAGACAGAGAGTAGACTGATGGTTACCAGAAACTTGGAAGAGTAGTGAGGGAAGTGGGGATGGTTACTGAGTACAAAAATATAATTAGGTAGAATGAATAAGGTCTAGCATTTGATAGCACAACAGTGTGATTCCAGTCACCAATAATTTATTTTACATTTTAAAATAACTAAAAAATTATAGTTAAAATGTTTGTAACATAAAGAAAAGATAAATACTTGAGGAAATCAATACCTCATTTACCATGATGTGATTATTATACTTTGTTTGGCTATATCAAAACATCTCATGTACCCCATAAAGTTATACACATACTATATATCCATAAAGATTAAAAATAAAGACATAAACACACAATGTATTCCATATTATTATAAAGAAATTGAGGAGAAAATATAATCTCTTATGTTTACTAAGACATATAATATTTTTTATTCTATTTTTCTTGCACATCAGTATTCCAAATGATAATGTTGCTCTTTAGCTTGATGAATGCCCTTATTCATTTCTCAGATTTCATCACTGCTGCCAAAAAATCTTCAACTTTTATTTTTGAGCACTTTATAGTCTCCTGATTTTTGAAAGATAATTTCATTAACTACAAAATTGAAATCTATTTGAGTTTTTCTAAGTAATGGTAAGAACAATTAACATAATATCTCCATTATTAACAAAATCTTAATCTTAGGTGTATAATATAGTATTGTTATCTATAAGCATTATATTATACATTAGATCTCCAGAACTTACTCATTTTGCATAACTAATATTTTATATTCATTAAATAGCAACTTTTATTTTCTCCACTCTCCAGGCCCTGACAACCACTACAAACCAATTTTCATAGGTTTAACAAGTTATGGATGCAAATATAATTATAATTAAACATTATTCAGGCTGTACTTTAATGCTCTTTGTTCTAGTCACATGACACTAGATATTGACCATTTATATCTCCAATTTTCTATAGATAGGATTTCTGACCTTAGGATCATAAGGGTTTTTTTTTAAGATAGGATCTCTGACTGTAGAATCATAAGGCTTTTATTTGAAAATTGCTTTAGATGTTTTTCAGAACCTCAGTTCCAGCAAAACAGCTGACATAAAACAGTTTGAAGACTTCTGCAGAGGAAGAAAATCAGTATGAGAATAAAGTTTCTTGATCTCTTTGTTCCAAGACTTCGCTCTGCACTCTCGTGCCGATGAACAATCTCCACACTTTGGTCTACTCCAAAACTCTTAACTGCCCTTATCCCAAACTCTTCAGGGAGACAGATTTGAGGTTTCCTCCAATTTTCTCATTTTGGTTGTAATTAAACCTCTTTCTTTGCTGCAATCCAGTGTCTAGGCGTATCAACTTGAGGTGCACATTGGGCAATGGACCTATTATAGTAGCAACTATTTTCCTTATCCATTAATTCATCCATGGACAATTAGGGCATTTCCATATCTTGGATACTGTGAATATGCTGCAGCAAATGTAAAAGTGCAAATTTTTTTGAAATATTGATTTCAAATTTTTTGATAAATACCCAGAAATGAGATTTCTAGATTGTATTGTAGTTTTACTTGTAACTTTTTATTGAATTTCCATATTGGATTTACCATTTTACATTCCCACAAACAGTGTACCAGGGTTTCAATTTTTCCAAATTCTCACAAACACTTATCTTTTTTTGTTTTTAATAGTCATCCTAACAGATGGGAGGTGACATCTAATTGTGGCTTTAGTTTTGATTTTCATTTCCCTGATGCTTAGTGTTGTTGAATATATTTTTATACACATCTTGGCCATTTGTCAGTTTTGTTGGAGAAATGTCTGTTCCAATTCTTTGCCCATTTTTAATCAGTTATTTGTCTAGTTTTGTTTTTGCCATTGAGTTATAGGAATGTCTTACATACTTTGAAACTGGGCAGTAATGGATATAAACTGGAGAATTTTACTAGGAAGAAGCCTACACTGATGTTAAAAGCACATTAAAGGAAATTCTGTTGAAGTCACAGAAGAAAACAGGAGGATGTAGAGAAAGTCTTATCCTTTTCAGAGAATACTAAAGTGGTCATAACAGACTATAGATAGAAACTTGGATAGAAAAGGCCATTCTGATGAGGTCTCAGGTGGAAATCAGTACATTATTATACAATGGATGAAATGGCATCTTTATTATAAAATAGCAAAGAACTTGGCTGAATTTCATTCATGTCCTAGTGTTTTGTAGAAGCTAGAACTTGTGAGTCATAAAATTGGATATATGGTTGAGGAATTGTCTAAGCAAATAGATATGCTCCTATTGGTCATTCAAGATAAACAGCCCTGAGTAGTAAGAAAAAGCTTTCTAGGTGAATGGTTTATCATATTCTTAGTTCTCTCACAGAATGAAAGATTTTAGCAGAAAAAAATAGGTTTTTATGCAAACATTGAGAAGAAGCTGGCAAAAGAAATTTCTTACCTTCATAGGATCCCATACACCATTAAAGGTAAACAGTCCTGAGTAGTAAGAAGAAGTTTCCTACCTGAATGGTGCATTACATTGAGTGTTCTCCCAACAAATGGAAGATTTTCATTTAAAATGGAATTTGTAGGCAGACATTCAGAAGAACAAGTTTCTTACCCCCATAGAGTCCTATAGCCCTATAGTCCTATAAGGTTCAAAGCCCTGAGGAGTACGAAGAAGATTCCCAGACAATCAATGTATCATATTCTGTGTTCCTTCGCAGAATGAAAGATTTACTTCACTGAAAATGAAGTTCTGTTCCTCTTGACTGCTTATAGTAAAATGCAAGAAGAGAGAAATGAATTAAAGATGAAATTGTTAATCAGAAGAGAAGCAGAACTTAAAAACTGAGAAAATGCTCAATCTTTACCTACTGGAAAAAAATAAGAAAGCCTTTTTGGGAGACAATAGGGGTGAGGCCAAGTGACATTATGATAATGAGTTTCGTATGGATTGACCATCTCAATGGAAGCCAGATGTTATTCATCCAGATATGGGAAGACTTGTCAGCATCTAAATAGAAACCAGGATCTAATGTCCAAGACAATGGAAGAATGACCTGAAAACATTTTGGAGATCATCAGGACTATCCCTCCTATCAGAGTCCCAGAATGCTAGAGCCTACAGGGTAGAATGATTTCAAAAGAGACACTGCTGCCCAGAACTGCTTTGCATTATAGGATCCATTTCCTGCACTCTGGCACCATTCTGCTTGGCTGCCCCAAGTGCAGCTCTGGCAGGACCTCATGTGGCGTGCACCGCATTCAGCAAAACTGTGGGAACATGGTTGCCTCCACTACATTTCAAAGGATGCACTGGGGAGCTGTGGGGCCCAGACTGGGAATCACCACAAGGGGAGGGCCACCACAAAAAGTCTCCACTAAAGCAATGCCCAACAGGGCCATAGGGACAGGGGTGACTCTGAAAACTCAGACCAGAAGAGCCACCAGCATGTGACTCCATGAAAACCGTGGCATAAGCTGCACCCAGCAAAGCCATAGGGGTTGGGCTTCCCAAAGACAGGTGCCAGACAACACTTCACAGGTGGGACCATTGCCTCACTTGGTCCTGAAAGAAGGACCTCTGTCCCAGTGGGCATGGAAGGCAGAGCATCAAGTCCACGCAGATTATTCTCAAACCTTAAGGGTTTGGATTTGCTCAGGATCTCTAACTTCCTTCTTCTTTCCTATTTCTTCTTTTTGGAATAGGAATATCTATCCTATGTTTGTTCCTTCATTGTATTTTAGAACCATAGAATATGTTTGATGTAACAGGTTCATATCTGGAGAGTCATTTGCCTTGGAATGAATTATACATTGAATCTCATCCATATCTGATGATATGGTATGTGATATGGTATATGATATCTGAAGGAGATACTGGATTTAGATTTTAAAATTGAGGCTGGACTCTGTTAAGACTTATGAAGTTATCTCTCTGTTTTTTTTTTTTACTGTGATGGTGAATTTGATGGATCAATCTCATGGGTCATGGGGTGCCAAGATTAAACATTAATTCTGAGAGAGTTGGTGACTGTTTTTCTGGATGATATTAGGATTTGAATCAGTGGACTAAAGAAAGTAGATTGCCTTCTCTAATGAGGAAAGGCATCATCCAATTTGCTGAGGATCTGAAAAGAACAAAAGGCAGAGGAAGGGGGAATTTACCCCCTTTTTTCTCTGTTTTACCGCTTAAGCCTAGACATCTCATCTCATTTTTTTCCCTCACGCTGGTATTTCTATCATTGGCTTCCCTTATTCTCAGGTCTTCTGAATCAGACTGAATTACACCATCTTTCTTGGGTCTCCAGTTCGCAGAGAGCAGATCATGGAACATAACTTAGAACACAAACAATGACTTATGACATCGTTATTAAACTGAAGAACCAAAATATTGCCAAAGCATTAGAGACAGATGGTTATCCCCTACTCTTCTGTTTTCCATGAGGAGGAAATTTCCTTAAAAACTCTTGACTTACCCACTCACTTTCAAATTCTCTCAAGGGAGAAAAATAACTTCTCAAGATGGCATAATTTTGAAAAAGTATTGGAATCTTTCTTGTCAGATAGATAAAGGCAGATAAATAAACCATTCTTGCCAGGGTCCTCACTGAAGACAGCACACACTTTTCCTCTGCTTCTCCTTGCCTTAAATTTTACAAGGCAGCATCCCATGGGAGGCCAATGATAGTGAGCAACTAGATAAATACACCTATTTCAAGGATGCAATATTAGGAGTCAAATCATCACCAATCTGTGAAACAATGTTCTTCAACATCAGCTACATCATTTACTCCCAATTGGTTTTAAACTTGGAAAGGGAAGTGAGAAATTCTTCAAACCCCACCATTAAACAATAAGCTTTAAACTAGTAAGGGGCAGAGATATGATTTAAACAACAATCTGAATAATTCTACATGCTTATTTCAAGGAAAAGAATTTTTTAGAAAAGAATTTTTTAAATAAGAATTCAGGACAAATATCTTAATGTCTCTCTCAAACTTACTGCAAGGTCATCTTGTATGTTAGAATCATGGGCCTTTGCTATAGCATCCCTTTCAAACTCACAGGAGAAAATAAAAGGAATAGAGAGGATGAAAAGGGCAATGAATAATCACGGAGAAAAAAAGTGGCTTATTTATTTTGCCTACCTCTCATTATCCATGTATCTCCCACCATTACAGAGATCCAAACATAAAGATTCTGAGCTACAATAATCTTGGCCTCTAATGCACCAATGCTCACAAGTCAATTCAGTGAAAATTTGCAGCACACATATTGCGTGGTAGGTATGGTGCTAAGTCCTGGGGATTTAACAAAAGCCCTTTAATTGTCCATAAAGTAAAGGCAGATAGACAACCTTTAACTGACTTTCCCCAGGCCTTGTATCTATGGTGCAAGTAGAAGTCTCATTAACTGGAACATATTGGATCCCTCTGATTCATTCTTTCTTTTGTGTTCCGGCAGACCTCTAGATCTCCCTTAAAAGATTTTGGGAAATTTAGTGATCTCCATGTGATTTCACCATCACTCATCTCATGCACTTCCCAATGTCAGAAATGAGAGTGTGAATTCTCTGCTTAGGTTTTGTTTTCTGATGTTCCCCAAAGTTGCAGGTGTGTGAGATACCAAATGACCAAATGAAATGGCATTCATCAGTTTACAGAAATCGGGAGAATTATTTCTTCTTTACTTTGTACCACACCATCACCTACACTCTGAAGCAAAACTCATCACTCAAAGTCTGGGCTATGTTCCTTCCCCTCTTCCCTCTCCATCTCCAATCATTTAAACTGTCATCACTCTTTTGTCTGCAAAGCTTAGTGCTAGTAATTACAATTGAACTGGGGATAAATGCCATGGTTGCACATGTTTGTTTTTGGTTTTGGTTTTCATTCTCATGAATTCCAGGTACTAAATGCAGGTTTCTCCTCAGCAAATTCTAGTCCTATAATGAATTACCTCATGCAAATAAATGACTAGATAATTTGGATTTCACCACCCTCATCAGATACTATAATGTGAAACTTTGTACAATCTTATATAGAATGACTACCAAAAAAAAATAGGAAGATACAGGGCTCAGAATTATTCTTATTCCACCTGGAGATCTAGAGATACATGTAAACCTGAAGATCCAAATATATCAGTCTTTATTATTTGCTACTTTAGGCTCCATGTCATTGGAAAGTTGAAATAGGTCAGGAGATGAGAGGAAATTCTGGATTAGCTTGCAAGTACCACGATCATGTTTTCAAGTGACCATAGTGGGGAAGGTGCACCATAGATAAAGGGGATTTGGGGAGAACATCAACACATCTAACAATATGAGTTATAGACATATTTTAGCACAATAGATATAGGTTTGATTTATCTGCTTTAGTGACCAGTAGTATTTCATTATGTGAATTAACCAAAATGATCATTCCTAATGAGCATTTCAATTGTTTCTATATTTTATCATTATAAAAATAAATATAATCAACAACAATAAACATTTTTAAATGTTTGACCATTTTTCTCCATGTAAATTATCAGAGATACGACAGCTAGTGAAAGATTATGTACAATTACACTCAGAAACATAATGCTAACTCATTTTGCCTATATTTTCATTTATGTTTCAATGCAGTGAACTTTCAGTGATAGGGCTAATTATCCTTGTCAAGATATAATCTCATGACACCAATAGTATTTTGCAAGATAATTAATAACTATACTTTTGGATAATATAATATTAGGACTAAAATTATAAAAATTGTTAAAAATTTTAATCAACTGACCTTTTTTGTAACTTTACTAACAAAACTTTAAAACTATTTTTTGAGAAAATTGAGAATCTAGATTAAAAAACAATATTTCTAGTATAAACTAGAATTTTAATTTGATAAAATATAAAACTTAACTTGTGATTTGCCCTTTTCTATTTTAAGATACTTTATTTTCATTTTTCCCTTTGACTTACTGTGTTATTAGCCCAATTATCATGGCCTTTGTGGCTTTGCTGCTCAATAGAGTAGTATAAAATGCTGACATGGTTATTATTAACTAAATATGCCCTTATGGATATATAAACAAACAAAATACAAATTATGTGAATTTGGATGTGTATTTTAACCCAGTTAAAATTATGTCATTCCACTGGTGCTAAAGCCCATGAAGCTAGTGCCTTGGGCAGTGCCAAAGGGGCTGAAAAATGGTGTAGATTCCTCCAGGAGAATTTGAGCTTCTTATGGCCTGGCCTTACCATTAGTTTTCTCTCTGGCTAAGTATAATGTCAGCTGAAGAAAGCTTCAGGATCGAGATAGGAAGTCAGACAACTTCCATGCCCAGGAGAGTTAACAGTTAATGCTATTCAGTATGAAATATTATGTGTATTTTATGCACTCACGAAATGCATCTATTTTCTAATTCTACATTTTATGAGGTATATAGGACAATTATTTTCATCTTCACTTTATCATGTTTTTGGTAGCAGTCTCGTACATTTCTGACTTATAATTTTCGGTCTCGTTTGTCAGATTCTCTAGTTCTGCACTGACCAGCCTGTCTCATAAATATTACTGCCTATAAAAAATCAGTCAGCAAACATTTATTGGTCCTAGGGTGATAAAATATATATAATACGTAACCCCATGGAATAAGAAGTAAACTCTGGTGAGGGAGGGAGGTAATTGAGCAGCATGACAGAAGTATGTACAAGGTGTTTTTATAAGCCGTGGTACATAGCCTTTGGATAGTGGAAACATGAGGAAGTACTTTTTGTGGGAGATATTGTCTAAGCCAATTCTTTAAGGATGGGCAGAATTTGTCAGTCAGGGTGTGAAATGTTTTTAAAACAGAATAAAAAGCAGATACAAAGGCATGAAAATGTGAAGCAGAAAGGTATAAGAGAAGGCCAAGCATTTGTACAACCAGTGTAAAGTATAAGGCTGAGACTTAAAATGCAGCTGGTATTTTTGTTGGTTCTAGACCTTTGAAGGGTATTGTGTAACACAGAAGATTTTTAAGCTGTGACTACTATTGTTATTTTCATTTTAAACAAATCACGTGGTCAAGTTATTATGAACAATAGATTGGAGCAGAAAATCTTAATGAGGATAAACTACTATAATCAGATAATTATAAAAGTTAAACCTAGCTATTTTAAGAATCTGAACAAGGGTGTTAACATTATAGTAGACATGGGAGGGTAAATTTGAGAAATGTTTGGAAGGTGAAATCAAAAGGACTAAGTTAAATGATTGTATGTGGAAGTAATAGAAAAAAGGTATAGTGAGAGAGATATTAAAAAATTGAAAATACAACTCAGAATTTCTATGGTCCTCCTGCTTCTGGAACAATGTGTAAAACATGCCAATTTCTTCTGATTTTTTGTCCACATTGTATTCACCTCAAATACTAAACAGTATGTTAACCTGCAAATTGGACAGTGAAATATGTTGTGACATTGAAATATAAATTCAATCTTAAAATATCCATATGCCCTTCAAATGCCTTTTTCTCTGCTTCTCCCTACTAGTTAGTGTCCCACCACCTTCTCAGTCTAAAAGTTAAACTGAGAAAAATGAGAGGGTAAAAATAATCAAGAAGCCAGGGCTTGAACTGAACACCAAGATCTATAGGTGCTACCACCTAAATATGTCTAGACTTGACTCTCATATTGACTTCCACTATTAGTGCCCTGTTCAGATTACTTGACTTATTATAATGGTATCCTAACTTATCTTCTTGCCTACATTTCATCCCTTCTATTAAATCTTGCAAATTGTGGCTGGAATAACTTTTCTAAAGTGTAGGTATGGCATCGTGCTTGTGGTAAAACCCTTGAATCTCCTAACATTTACATAACTAAAACATTGTGTTCACATCCAACATCTAATGGATATCACCTAAACTCTTTAAACTAAGTATATAAGATTCTTGGTAATCTAGTCCCCATATGTATCTCAAATCTTACACTCTTTCTCCAAATTTGGCAAATCACATAAAAGTAATCCAAAGTATATTTGGGTTTCTCATATCTTTCATGCCACAATGGAACTCCATATACATGGAAATGTTGCTCATTTTGTCATGAAAGTCCTCCCCAACATCTCCATCCTTTTAGTCTCTAATAAGTGTTCAATGTTTTCTTTACATATTTAGATGAAGCATCCCTTTTCTGTGACAGATTTTCACATTCTCTCACCCCTCAAGCAAAATTAAGCACATTCTACCTTGTGCAGTATTGTATCCTTCAGATCCCTCTATTATAGCACTCACCAAAAAGAATTGCAAGTGTATTTATACATACATCTCTAGGAGGTGGAGAACATCCTACAGTGAGAACTATGTCTTTACCTTTGTAATAACATCACCTAAAAGAGGGCTTATCTCATAGGTAGGATTTAAAAGCTGTTAGTTTAATGAATGATTATACAACTAACAAACAATTCATCTTGGTATAATTTACAAAGTGGCCAAGAATATAGTCATCTACATTGTGTTGGTGTGTAACAACTGTCATGTTGAAAAAATAACCCGTCATTTTTTTTGTGGATGATCATTTTAAGTCTCCTTGACAGACTACTTGTATTTCTAGGGATCTGAGATCTGAGACTTTATAAACCAATTAACTCTCTATACAAGGTTGTAATGATCTATGATCCCATCAAGTAAATACATAAAAAATTTGTGTGTGTAAGTGTACATGTTTAAACCTCACCTAGTCATACACTTTAAACTTTTTTTACTAAAATAGGATCACAATTTATTTGAACTAATCCATAAAATCCAGATAGTTTGAGCACTATAATCATTGGCAAGGGGAATATTTACGCAAATCTAGTCTCAGAAAAAGCTCTGTAGATTTCTTAGCTCTCTAAGATTTACATAAAAGTGAATCATGGGCTACATATAAAAAGTAGTATGCACCCACAGACACATTTATTAATACACACCTGTTTAGAAAAGTAAAGCAGTTTTAGTATATTTCAGTGAAACATATTCAGTGAAACATATTCAGAGAATAAACACCCCTTCCTCAGGAAATATTCAATAATTAAATTTCTCTGAGTCAAAACAAAAGGACAATATTTTTAGTGAGTATTAAGAATATGAAGCTAATTTTCCAACCTGTATTTACTCTATAGTAATATATTTTGCATATTTTTCAGACATATTTTTTAATGTTTACGTGTTTTCTTAAACTCTGGAAATAGAACAATTGTCACTTTTCAACAAGTGCCTGTTATTTCACCCTTATCTATTTTATATTTTATGCCCTAAGATGGTAAATAAATAAAAAAATAGTGCTGATAAACTCTTTGAATACTGAGCTGCAAATCTATCATCTGAAATGAATAAATGTAACTGTCATGACTAGAGCATATATAGCTATAAAATCTATATTAACTGTTCACTTAGAAATGTGATTATTGATAGTTTGGGCTATGTAGATTTCTGATTTGTACTAACGTTTTTGATACATAATGGTACCTTTGTTACCGTGGAGGGTTTTGGCTACGAGTTGTCCAGGTTTTTGGTGTTTTGAATAAAAAACTGGACAAAATGCACAAATAAAGCATTAAAGAATGAAGCAAGGACAGCACAGATGGATTGAAACAAAAGTGCACTCCACAAAGTGGAAGCGGGCTTGAGCAAATGGCTCAAGAGCACTGGTTACAGAATTTTCTGGGGTTTAAATACCCACTGGAGGTTTCCCATTAGTTATGTGGCTTATACCATATGTAAATGAAGTAGTAGCTTGCAACCAGTCTGATTGGCTGTGGGAGGCAATAAATCAAAGGCTGAATTGAAATTACAAAGTTATACATGAAGACTTGGCCTGCCACCAGTCTGATTGGTTGTGGGAGGGGACCAATTAGAGGTACTTTCTTTTTTTATCTGCAATGCAGAAATGGGGGGTCAGCGGGGTTAGTTGCAAAGGGAGCAGCTTCTGTTCTTTTGTTACTTGGGCATGGAAAATTGGGTTTTTTTTTTTTATTTAGTTCTAGGAAGTCAGTGTGAATTGGCCTTAGGTTCCCTGCCTCCACAACCTATTCTCCTGCCTCATTTCCCCCAGAGAGATGTGATTCCCATAAATCTTTATGGGAGGCAGAGGGACCAACAGTCTTTCTTCTGTAACTACTTTATGCTGACTTGTGGCACGGTCCATACCTATTGAGGATCACAGAACCCTTGCCTTGACAGTAGTTTCTTGATGGCTGGGAGTGGTGTCTACACCTGGAACTGGCTGGAAACCTTGTTGCATGATTATCTGAAGTTTGATTGTCTCTAGATGAGAGGAAATGAATTTGGTTAAAAGAGTTAACAAACATGGTCCAAAACCAAGGCAAGTGTAATAATTAATGATGGGCTGGCCAACGGAAGGAGCCACGAACCCCAAGTTAGCATTTTTGACCATGAGCCCCATGACTTGGACAGCTGTTGTCATATCTTAGAGACCCAATCGGCTACTTTTTGGGTGGCATCTCTTGCTCATCCTGATTAGTTGACACAAAAACAGCATTATTCCTCTAGAAAAAGACATAAGCCAACTTTTTCAGCAGTTAGGAGATCCAGTCCCCTTCTATTTGTCAAAGTGACGGCTGCCAAGGAGTCTCTTTGATTTTTTTAAGTAACAATACTTTGGACAATGTCATCCTAGCTTTCCATAAAAATCCTTGGACATGCACTGATAATAGGATAGGGAAGTTGCAAGTCCACTAACTCCCATTCCTACTCCTGCTGTTATTCCTAGCCCTACCAAAAGCGGTATGAGTTGGATGGCTCATTTGTGTCTGGTGGTTGAAGTTAAAGGTATAATGAGAGATTGGTTATTGGCAGCTATATTGATTTCGGGGGCTAAATAAACACATGTACAGGTTCCAGTCCAATTGACTGCAAAACTACACAGGAACTAGTTACACAGAGAAAAAATGTTACTTATTTTTCAAGCCAAAAAATTTCTCTATGGTGAACATGTGGGTTAGAATGTTGTTTGCACTTTTCTGAGTGGTTAAGTTCCCTGCTAAGGTGGTGTATTAGTCCATTTTCATGCTGTTGATAAAAACATAACCGAGACTGGGAAGAAAAAGAGGTTTAATTGGACTTAAAATTCCACATACTCCACATGGTTGGGGAGGCCTCAGAATCATGGCAGGAGGTGAAAGGCACTTCTTACATGGCAGAGACAAAAGAAAATGAGGAAGATGCAAAAGTGGAAACCCCTGATAAAACCATCTGATCTTGTGAGACTTATTCAGTACCTCGAGAAGAATATGGGGGAAACCACCTCCATGATTCAAATTATCTCCCACCAGGTCCCTCCCACAATATGTGGGAATTATGGGAGTTCAAGATGGAATTTGGATGGGTATACTGAGCCAAATCATATCATTCCACCCTTCCACCCCTGGCCCCTCCAAATCTCATGTCCTCACATTTCAAAACCAATCATGCTTTCCCAACAATCCCCCAAAGTCTTAATTCATTTCAGCATTAACCCAAAAGCCCACAGTCAAAAGTATCATCTGAGACAAGACAAGTCCCTTCCACCTATGAGCCTGTAAGATCAAAATCAAGCTAGTTATTTCCTAGATACAATGGAGGTACAGGTATTGGGTAATACAGCTATTCCAAATGGGAGAAATTGGCCAAAACAAAGGGGTTAGAGGGCCCATGCAAGTCTGAAATGCAGCAGGGGAGTCAAATGATCTCCTTTGACTCCGTGTCTCACGTCCAGGTCACACTGATGCAAGAGGTAGGTTCCCATGGTCTTGGGCAGTTCCACTCCTGTGGCTTTGCAGGGTATAACCCCCTCCTGGCTGCTTTCACAGGCTTACATTGAGTGTCTGCAGCTTTTCCAGGTGCACAGTGCAAGCTATTGGTGCATCTATCATTCTGGGGTCTGGAGGACGGTGGACCTCTTCTCACACCTACACTAGGTGATGCCCCAGTAGGGACTCTGTGTGGGGGTTCCAACCCCACATTTCCCTTCTGCATTGCCCTAGCGGAGGTTCTCCATGAGAGCCTCGCCCCTGCAGCAAACTTTTGCCTGGGCATCCAGGTGTTTCCACACGTCTTCTAAAAATCTAGGTAGAGGTTCCCAAACTTCAATTCTTGACTTCCCTGTACCTGCAGGCTCAACATCAAGTGGAAGCTGCCAAGGTTTGGGGCTTGCACCGTCTGAAACCATAGGCCAAAGCTGTATCTTGGTGCCTTTTAGCAATGGCTGGAGCAGCTGGGACACTGGGCACCAAGTTCCTAGGCTGCACATAGCATGGGGACTCTGGGCCTGGCCCAGGAAACCACTTTTTCCTCCTAGGCTTCTGGGTCTGTGATGAGAGGGGCTGCCTGGAAGACCTATGACATGCCCTGGAGACATTTTCTCCATTGTCTTGGGGATTAACATTCAGCTCCTTGTTACTTATGCAAATTTCTGCAGCCACCCTGAATTTCTCCTCAAAAAAATGAGTTTTTCTTTTCTTCTGCACCATCAGGCTGCAAATTTTCTGAACTTTTATGCTCTGTTTCCCTTTTAAAATGGAATGCTTTTAACAGCATTCAAGTCACTTATTGAACACTTTGCTGCTTAGAAATTTCTTCTGCCAGTCACCCTAATTCATCTCTCTCAACTTCAAAGTTCCACAAATCTCTAGGGCAGGGGCAAAATCCTGCCAGTCTCTTTGCTAAAACGTAACAAGAGTCACCTTTGCTCCAGTTCCCAACAAGTTCCTCATCTCCATCTGGGATGACCTCAGCCTGGACCTTACTGTTCATATCACTGCCAGCATTTTTTCAAAGCCCTTCAGCAAATCTCTAGGAGGTTCCAAACTTTCCCACATTTTCCTGTCTTGTTCTGAGTCCTCCAAACTGTTTCAACCTCTGCCTTTTACCTAGTTCCAAAGTCACTTCCACATTTTTGGATATCTTTTCAGCAACACCCCACTCTTCTGATACCAATTTACTGCATTAGTCTACTTTCATGTTGCTGATAAAGACATACCTGAGACTGGGAAGAAAAAGAGGTGTAATGGACTTACAGTTCCACATGGCTGGGGTGGCCTCAGAATCATGGCAGGAGGTGAAAGGAACTTCTTACATGGCAGAGGCAAGGGTAAAATGAGAAGATGCAATAGTGGAAACCCCTGATAAACCCATCAGATCTCATGAAATTTATTCACTACCATGAGAACAGTATGGGGGTAACTGCCCCCATGATTCAAATTATCTCCCACTGGGTCCCTCCCACAATATGTGGGAATTATGGGAGTACAATTCAAGATGGGTTTTGGGTGTGGACACAGAGTCAAACCATATCAGGTGGCCAAGGGAAAATGTGAACACAGCTAGTGGGCCTACCTTGACAGTACTTAGACTGTGTCTTCCTTACAGTGCCCTTATCTAGGGATGGTTTCCATGAAAAATGTATAGGTTTTCTAAATGACGCAGTTTGGGTAACTGCATAGCTTACATCTCTAAGGTGTAGAGATACATTGATGACTTTTCAAGCTTCCCAGGACATAAACAGAATTTTAGCTTCCCTTAATACAAAGTAGCACCTGGAATTTTAGCTCTGTAAATGTTGATATTGGGCCCGAAATGGGTTTCTTTGGGGATGCAACCCCAGAAAGGTGCTCTGGTAGGACTGGAGAAGGTTTGCTGTTCATCCTGTCATTGTAGGTCATTTTTTTTTCAAGGGACGAAAATCAGGTTGGAATTGGGATGGCAATGTATTTGGATGATGATGGAGATAAACAAAGCCAACAGTTCTTTGCCAGAGCTGAGCTGGTGGTATTTAACAATCTTTGCATTAAATTTAAAGTTCTTAATAAATATTCAGAATCCATTAATTGCCTGAGGGGTAAAGTGAAAGTCTGTTGTAAAATTAACCTGATTCCCAGTATGCGTGGTCCCGGTATACACAGTCTGTGGGTGGCCTTATGGAACGAAAAAATTTACTTATTTGTTATTTTGTTCTATAGAGTGGGAACTTCAAGGGGTGGATACTTAGGCTGTCAGGAATGCTTGTTACAAAAATGAAGTAAAACATTTTGCTTAATTAGTACAAAGGAAGTGATTCCATCTGTTTGGAAGAAGGCAATTAAATTGTAAAAATAAAAAATGGCTACTATTATCTAGCTTACAGTAACTATGTAACAAAGACCCCAAGGAAAGTTGACAGGCATTTATCTTTTGGCTCTCTTTTTGAATAGGTACTTCAAGTCAGGTTCACAGGTGTGGTGGCTGATGGGAGCTTCAGGTTCCAGGTCCAGGGCTTCAGGTATCAGAGGCTTGACCCTGGAAAGATGTACCCAACTATCTAATCCTAGTAATTTGACTGCAGAAGGCACGGCCGGTACCAATGAAAATGGTTCCTTCCATTTGGATTGTAACTGTTGAGCAGGTGATCCCTCCTTCCGTGTACTTTTCCCTTTGCCTGATTTTAGGTTGCTAGTTAGTTCCTGGTTTCTGGAGGCTTTGCGTTCCAAACTTTTGTATAGCCTGCTGAAATTGTCCCAGGTCAACTAGGTATTTTACTAAACTGGCTGTTTCTGGATCAGTAATTAGATCATTAGATAAAAATGTCCTTCCATATAACATTTTGTATGGGCTTATATTAATTTTTGCTCCAGGGAAATTACAGATCCTTAAGAGGACTATGGGCAGTAAGCTAAGCCAAGTTTCTGATGTTTCCTGACATAGCTCAACCAGTGCCCTTTTTATAGTTTGATTAACACTTTCTACTTTCCCAGAGGATTGAGATCTTCATACTAAGTGCAAATAATATTTGATTCCAAAAGCCTTAGCAACCCCTTGAATTATTTGGGAGACAAAAGTTTGATCATTATCACTTTGGAGGCTTTGGGGTAACCCAAACCAGGGGATTATTTCCTTTAAAAGAACCTATATAACTTCATTAGCCTTCTGTGTTCTGGTAGGGTAAAGTTCAACGCAGCCAGTAAAGGTGTCAATTGATACTAGCAAAAACTTGTATCCTTTACAAGCTGGCATATGGGTGAAGTCTAATTGCCGGTCTTCCCCTTTAACTTTAGCCAATGTGTTCACACACAAAATCCCTTTTACAATTAATTTTTCATAAACCTTCCACAATGTGTTCAAATGTTTAGGTTTTTCCTATCTCACTTAAACCCTTTAACTTTCTAAACTTAGAACTTTTGAAAACTGAGATATTAGACACCATCATTTAAAGTTAGTTATTTCTTTGTTAACTGTTTTTTAATAGCCAGTGAACATCATACACTCATCCAAACAACAGCCTCAAAGTTAAATACATAAGCATTTTTGCCAATAACTCAGAAGATTCAGCTAACAACATTAAATTAGTCTCATTTGTCAAAGAAGATACACAAATCAAGACCATTTTGTTTTGGCTGGGTTAATAGCTTTATAACCTTCTATGCCAAACACTGACACCTCAAAACATCTAGCAAAGACAAATATAAAACCCAGACAAAAATGTATGCTGACAATTATAAAGACATTTCTATTTTTATTTCACCAATAATTTTAAAGCCAGCTTGTTTAATAAAGATTTACTTATGTCACATGAACTTGAAAATTGCTGGGACTTATTTACTTAATTTATGAGTGCTCCTTTATTTATAAATCAATTTGGTAGACACAGCATATAACATAATAAATGTACATACACATAAACACACCTAGAAATGTATACACACACAAATAAGAATCCAATAGCTTTCACCTTGGAACTCTAGCCATGAGGTAGCAATACAATCTCACTGGTTTTACATGGTTACATTGTGTTGGCCCCAATAAGTAACCCAATGAAAGCTGTGAACCAAAATTTTAGGTAAAGCAGTTTCCATGGCAGTTTGATTTTTAAATTCTGAAGAACACTGGGGCCATACAATACCAAAGGAGAGCATCACATGTTAACCAGGTCAAACCCAGCTTAGAACAGCAGCACAAAAGCCTGGATACATGCAACTCCATTCCACTTCCCCATTTAGCAGCAAACTTCAGATTCCAAACAATAGTGAGGCCAAACAGTATTGCAAAAGAATATCAAGCATTTCCTCCTTGAAATATCAGGGTCAAATTGGATTATCAGGGTCAAATTGAGTCTAATGGTTGAGGATGTAGCCAAGTGGGAAGTCGGGTGGAATAGATGGAGTGTTTCCCATTATCATCTGAAAGAAAGAGAAAAGTCCAGGGCTTAGTACTGGACCTCAGAATCTCTGCCTAGTACATCCTATTTAGAGAGGTTAAGGTCTGGAGTTGGATCCCCTAGGGCATCCCCCTTTAGGGTCCAATCTTAGAGTATCGGATGCCTCTGACCTTAGGTGGGCACTGGTGCCACTTTGTATGCTTTTCCTCCAGAGGCAATGGCCTACTATGAGCTTTCCTTTTGTTCCTGGGTGTGTAATCCCCAACTTTTAGCATACCACCAATTTAGATAGGCCATATCTTCCTGTATTCCTCATGGGACTAAGGGGATTCCCAAACATTGCAATGTTAACAGTACCAAGATTGGTGGGGTGTTCTAAGGAAGGGCCCAGGGGTAAATTGAAGATTGTGGTTGAGAATTTCTATGGGGTTCAAGGTAAGCAAGTGGATGTGTAAGCAATGCCCATCAAGCTATGGGGTCCCCTTAGTGGAGGTCCAAAATATAGAAGTATTCTAAAGTTTACGGGTTCCAAAGGTCCTCAGTCAGTCAAATAGATTGATTAGGAGAAGGGAGGTCAAAACACCTAAGGGACATTATATTTTGCCCTTACAGGTTAACTCTACGGAAAATTTTGCAAATCACCTGAAACATGTGTAAGTTTACCCTGGACGAGCTGCTGCTACTAATTTCATTACACGTAGAGATCAGGGACTACAACCGGAAAATACAAAAAAGAGTCCTTCCCCTTATGGGCAGGGCAACCATCCCCATTCACTCCTTGGCCTTCAGGTAACACCAGAGAGTGGCCCAGGAAAGTCATCCTCAATTACCAGGACTCAAGTCTCTCACCCAAACCAGGCAGTGGTGGTCAGGTGCTAACACACGGAAATCTTTCAGTTTCACCGTAGAGCAGCCTCTGCCAGATACCTGCAGCTGCCTCCATGCTTAGGTGCTATCTGCCAAGGGTCCCGAGTTGGAAAGGGAAAAAGAGAGAGAGACAGAGGGAGAACAGGGCTCCTCTATATACAGCAAAGAAGAAAAGGAAAAAAACAGAGAGAGAGAAGAAAAATAAATCCCAAACTTGGGGCTTACCTCCTTGCTGGCTCACCAAAATATGTTACTGGCGCATGGTCTTGACTACAAGTTGTCCAGGTTCTTGGCATTTTAAACAAAGAATAGGCACAGTGCACAAAGCAATGAACAAATGAAGCAAGTAAAGCACGGATGTATTGAAATGAAAGTGCACTTCACAGAATGGGAGTGGGCTTGAGCAAGCGGCTCAAGAGCACTGGTTACAGAATTCTAAGGGTTAAATACCCTCTAGAGGTTTCCCATTGGTTACTTCATTTACACCTTATGTAAATGAAGTAGTGGCCCATAACAAGTCTGATTGTCTCCCACAACCCAATCAGAAGCTGAATTGAAGTTACAAAGTTACACATGAAGACTTGGCCTACCATCAGTCCTGGTTGCAGGAGGGGACCAATAAAAGGTACTTTCATTTTTCATCTGCAACACAGAAAAGGGGGAGGGGGCAGTTGCAAAGGGAGCAACCTCTGTTCTTTTGTTACTTGGGCATGGAAAGTTGGGGTTTTCCTTTTGATTTAGTTCTAAGAAGTCAGTGTGAATTGGCCTTAGGTTCCCTGCCTTTAGACCCTATTCTCCTGCCTCGCTTTGTCTTATATTTTATCTGTCTCTGTCATAACAAGTATACTCATCAATATTAACAAGTTGATTGTATAAGTTTGGATATAATTCACCCCATTTTGTTTCTATAATACTATCCCAAGTTATTTTCCTCCCTGTAGTCATCATAGCAAGTTCATTTCTTTCCTCCTGGTACTTGTAAACAGGCTTTTGCAATACTTACTACTCATTTACTTCCTATTAGCATTTGCTATTTGTCTTTTTTAAAAAAATCTTCACTCAATTCTTATGCATCCACATTTGGTGTGCAACTCTAGAACTTAGAATATGTTTTTTGGAAAAGTTAAAAATGTAGTTTACTGAAAGATATGTGTTTCACACAGAGCAATAGCAAACAATCCAATCTTAAAGTTTACATAAACATAAATAACTTCAAAACTAACTATATATATACACACACATATGTATATATTTTTATGTGTGTGTGTGTGAAGCTGAAGTCACTGACTTGGATAACTTTATCCTGCATCCAATATTTTGCACAGGACATTCATTCTTAAGGCAGAAAAATTAAATTTGACAGGCAAATGACTTGGTCAAAGTGGGAGTATACTGGAACAGACAAATTTCTTGCTAATGAGGATTTATCTGTGGTGACAATTTCATTCTTAGAGTATGCTATATAAGAAACACATTTGAGAGAACATAAAAATATAAATTTTTAAGACACATGAATATGATTTTTCAACAAGAGTTCAGAGAGACTAGGCATTCTATTATGAAGTGAAGTGATGCCCATAACAAACTAACAAACTCCAACATACTTTTTCTGATATGGTACATAAAGAGTATAAAATATCAAATTACATTTTTGGGGGTATATTACTTTAGACTGTAGATTCCAAGGTCTAGTATAAAAAGTATCCTGGATAGTTAAAAGCAGTTGAATGTCAACTCCTACTGTTACTTAGAAGGCTATCACTTAGGATAGTCTTACACCACCAACAAAACCCTGTTCAGAGAAGAAATAAATGTGTACTAAAATAAAAATGAAGCCCTTCCTGCAACATATGTACAAAAACACTTCTTAATTACTAACAAACAAAAAACATATTAACTGTAGAATGAAGAGCATCGGAGCTAGAGAGATGTAAGAACATACCGCCCTGCCTAGATGGATCAATGAACATATGGGATGAAACCAGCAGTTCTATGGGCACCCTGGGAGATGTCCTATTCAGAATGGGAGACCTTGGCATTTTTAAATACTGCCCAAAGACTTAATCAAATCTTGGATCTTGAAGTTAGAGTCTGTCCTTGTATTTTAAAACTCTTCACACAATGAAAAAGCCACACTGGCTGGGTGCAGTGGCTCACGCCTGTAATCCCAGCACTTTGGGTGGCTGAGGGAGGTGGATCACCAGAGGTCAGGAGTTCAAGACCAGCCTAGCCAACATGGCAAAATCCTGTCTCTACTAATAATAATAATAATAAAAAAAGCTGGGCACGGTGGTGGGCACCTGTAGTCCCAGCTACCTGGGAGGCTAAGGAAGGATAATCACTTGAACTCAAGAGGTGGAGGTTGCAATGAGCCAAGTTCGCACCATTGCACTCCAGCCTGGGTGACAGAGTGAGACTCTGTCTCAAAAATAAAAGGAAGGAAGGAAGGAAGGAAGGAAGGAAGGAAGGAAAGAAAGAGAAAGAAAGAAAGAAAAGAAAGGAAGGAAGGAAGGAAGGGAGAAAAAGTCACACTGATTATTTTTGTAATCTTAATATTTTCTCTCTTCTTCTCTTATCAATTTTCTTTCATATTTTCTATTTACAGTAATAAAAACATCTCAGAACAACACTCATTATTTTTTTTTTCCTCTGGAATCTCTGCACTATTCTTAGTCTGTGACCAAATAGTTTCTCTATGTTCGACACCTCCATTCCCAGTATCACCTCCACCTTTTTTATTTTCAGTTTTTGAGGTTTATTATCACCTTTTCTGACACATTATTTTTGAAAAGTCTTTCATTTCTCTACAAAATTCCACCAGAAGTTCTAGAATATTTCAAAAATAATAAATTTACATTATAGATAGTAATTAAACCATAGTAACCACAGATTTTCTTAATTGTGATCCATATAAAGAGACAAGTGAATTAAAACCATTATTTACATGTAAATACAATTGTATATAACAAAAATATAATTAGAATTCAGAAGGAAAAGTGTAAGGTTTCCTATGTTGTATATATTTACAAATTAAGCCTTTGGGTTTCTAGTTCAGCATTTAAAGAGCTTGGAAGTCACCATTCTTTCTTAGCAACAAGTAAAAAGCTGAAAAAACTGAAAAATCAACAGCTCTTCCTAGATCTGGCAGAGAAATGAGGTCACAGGACAAAATATTGCTTCCCAAATGTAAAAGACAGACATGTAAATACTTCTGATAAGTTGAGTTAAGAGGATTCCAGTTTACCAAAGCAGAAACCATAGAGCATCGCTCCATGCAGGAGCCAGTCTCAAGGGAGAAAAACGTGACTGGTAATTGATGAATTCTTACTGTGGACAACTCTGATAGTCAAAAACTCTACAGAAACCCAGTCATATAGAGGCCCTCACACTTTGTGAGTTTTACCTCTAGGAGCTCTACCAGGTCCTCACAATAAATATCAAAGAAAAATCCTCTCATGCCTTCAGCACCAAAAAAAAAAGGGGAAAAAATTTTGGAATGTGTCAGAACATTCTGTTCTACTTAACAAGGTCTACCCTTATTAGAAACTATTTTACCAGGGCCCAAAGTATTGAGGTTTTATCAGAGACTAACTTACCTGGGGGAAGAAAAATGCCCAACTCTAGCCCCTTTTGGCCATTTGATCCCACCTAATGGCCAGGAGTGGAATCAGAGTTGAGATCGCGAAACAGGGTAATATTCACAACCTGGAGGTACATGCATACCAAAAGACCGAGGCCAAATTATGCAACTATATAATGTTTCCCCTCCCCTACACCTGGCCTTCAAATCATTAAAGGCCTATTTACTGGAGTTCCTTTTACCCAGTACATCGTGTCTATCTTGCAACATAAAATTATAAAGCATAACAAAAGAAAAAAAAACGAGTTTGAAGAGACTGAACAAGTATCAGAGCCAGTTAAAAGTGACAGGAATGTTGGAATTATCAGATCAGAAAATAAAAATAAACTATTATTAATATGTTAATGATTTTAATGGGAAAATTAGACCACATGTCAGAACAATGAATAATGTAAGCAGAGAGATAAAAATTCTAAGAAATAATTACAAACAGATACTAGAGATCAAAAACACTGTAACAGAAATAAAGAATATGTTTGATCTGCTCATTGAGTAGACTGGATGCAGCTGAAGAAAGAGTCTGAAAGCTTGACAATATGATAGTAGAAACTTCCAAATATGAAAGAAAAAACAGAGAGGGAGAGAAAGAAGAACAAAAAAAAAGGTAACAGAATGGTCAAGAACCATGAGACAACTACAAAGGATGTAGCACGTTTAGTGATAATAACAGAGGAAGAAAGACAGAAATAGAAATATCTGAAGTAATAATGAGTGAGGATTTTCTCCAAATTAATTTCAGACACCAATCCACATATCCAGGAAGTTCAGAGAAAAACAAGCAGTATAAATCACACATACACACACACACACACACACACACACAAACTCTGAATCTAGGCATATTGTATTCAAATTTCAGAAAGTCAAAGATAAGAAAAAGTGTTGAAGAAAGCCAAATGGAAAAAAAAAACCACACATTATCTACATAGAAGCAGAAATAAGAATTACATCCAACTTCTCCACAGAAACCATGCCAGAAAGAAGAGACTAGAGTGAAATATTTAAAGTTTGTAAAGAAAAAAATAAACCAACCTAGAATTA
The DNA here is from genome assembly GCF_000001405.40 of Homo sapiens. Lineage (NCBI taxonomy): Eukaryota > Metazoa > Chordata > Mammalia > Primates > Hominidae > Homo > Homo sapiens. The sequence goes on along the minus strand of NC_000004.12, from coordinate 103,966,995 downwards.
TGTACCCTACAAAATTTTTTTAAGTGAAAGAGAGGGCCAGGCATGATGGCTCACGCCTGTAATTCTAGCACTTTGGGAGGTCAAGGCAGGTAGATTGCTTGAGCCCAGGAGGTTGAGACCAGCCTGGACAACATGGTGAAACCCCATCTCTACAAAAAATCACCCAGGCACGGTGGTGTGCACATGCAGTCCTGGCTACTCAGGAGGCCGAGGTGAGAGGATCACTGTAGCCTGGGTGGTCAAGGCTGCAGTGAGCCATTATCATGCCACTGCACTCCAGCCTGAGTGACAGAATGAGACCTTGTCCAAAAGAAAAAAAGAAGTAGTGAAGGCAAAACTAAGACTTTCTTAAACAGAAATTGCTGAAATTTGTTGCCTTGCAGGAAATGTTAAAAAAAAGTTCTTCAGAGAGAAGGAAAATGATACAGCTCAGAAATTCAGATCTACATAAACAACCCAACAGCTTAGAGAAGAAGTAAACGAAGGTAAAACAAAAATTTCTATTTCTTATTCTTAATTGACCTAACAGATAACAGTTTGTTCAAAATAGTAATAGCAATAATATATTTGATTATATATACATATATAATGCTTATGTATACTGAATAACAGCAACAATAGAAGAATTTGGAGGAATTAATTAGGAATACTTTATTTTTATGATGTACTTGTGCCACCCCTTAAGCAGCATAGTGTTAGGTGACAGTGCACTTGGATTTGTTGTAAATGTATATTGCAAACTCTGGGACAACCAGTAGCAAAATTAAAAAGAGAAGAAAAACTGATATGCTTGAAAATGAGCAAAAATTGAATAATATAAAATGCTCAATTGAGACCACAATAAGCAGAAAATGTGCAGAGACAAAAATAGAAACAAAGAACAAGAGCAACAATTAGAAAACAGTAACAAATATAGTGGATATTCATCTAACTATATTAATACATCACTTTAAATATTAATTGTCTAAATGAGCTAATTAAAGGAAAGTGCCAGAGTTTATTTAAAAAAGAGACAAAACTGTATGTTGTTACAACAAACCGATTTTAAATACAAAAACACATACATTAAAAGTAAAGATACAGAGAAAGATCTATGATACTAACATTAATCAAAAGACAGCAGGAGTATTTATACTAATTTCAGACAGAGCAGGCTTCAGAGTGAGGAAAGTTTTGAGGAATAGGTGAAGACATTAAATGTTGATAAATGTGACAATTCTCCAAGGAGACATAACAATCCTTAACGTGTATGTACCTAACAATAGAGCATCAAAATACATGAGGCAAAACCTGATAGTATTGCAAGGCCAAATAGATGAACCCCTTATTATAGTTGGAGACTTTAACACACCTATATTAAAATGGACTAATCTAGCTGACAGAAAATCAGTAAGGACATCATTGACTTTAGCATCACCACCGATCAATTGGATATAATTGGCATCTATGGGCTACCTCATCAAACAACAGCAGATTGCACATTCATCTCAAGCTCATATAGAACATTCACCAAGATAAACAAAAATCTGGGTCATTTAAAAGAATAAAAATTAAACAGTGTATGCTTTCAAAACATAATAGAATCAAACTAGAAATGAATTACAGAAAGATAACTAGAAAATCCCAAAATATTTGATATTAAGCAACATGACTCTAAATAACACAGAGATCAAGAGGAAATCTCAAGCAACTGTTAAAAATATTTTAACTTAATATAAAAATACAACTTATCAAACCCTGTGGGATGCATCAAAAGAAGTACTTAGAAGGAAATCATAGCATTGAATGCATATATTAGGATAGAAGAAAGATCTAAAATCAATAGCCTAAGCTTTCACCTTAAGAAACTAAAAAAAAAAAAAAGAACAATTTAAATACAAAGCAGAAAAAAAAATAACAAAAACAAATATAGCAGAAATCAGTGAAACTAAAAACAAGAAATTAGTTGAGGAAAACCAAAACCAAAGCTCATTCTTCAAAATGATCAATAGAATTAATAAGCCTCTAACCAGTCTAGCCAAGAAAAAACAAAAAGACACAAATTACTCATATTAAAAAGAAAAGAGGGATATTCCTACAGATCCCACTGACATTTAAAAGATTATAAAGGAATATAATGAACAACTATATGCTCATGAATTTGATAATGTATAAAATGGACCAATTCCTTGAAAGCCAGTGTGCCAAGTTTCACACAAGAAGAAATAAACAAACTGAATTAACCTATATCCATTAAATGAGTTGAATCAATAATTATATATCTAAAAGAAAATAAATAATTCTTCCAAAAAGATACATGCACTTGTATGTTCATCACAGCACTATTCACAATAGCAAAGACATGGAATTAACCTAGGTGCCCATCAATACTGAATTGAATAAAGAAAATTTGATATATATACACCATGAATACTACACAGCCAAAAGAATGAAATTATGTCTTTTGCAGCAAAACGGATGTAGCTGCAGGCTATTAACCTAAGTGAATTAACACAGGAGTAGAAAACCAAATACCACATGTTCTCACTTGTAAGTGAAAACTAAACATTGGGTATTCACGGGCATAAAAATGGCAACAATCAATACTAGGGACTACTAGATGAGAAAGGGAATGCAAGAGTTTAGAAAGTAACTGTTGGGTACTATGCTCACTACCTTGGTGACGGTATTGATTATACCCCAAACCTCACATCATGCAATATACTCATGTAACAAACTTGCATATGTACCATCTGAATCAAAAATAAAAGTTGAAATTATTTTAAAAATTAATCTTTCAAAGCAGAAAGCACAAAATATATATGTATATATACGTAGCAGTTGTCTTTCACAAAATAGAAGCAGAGGAAATACTTCCTAATTCATACCATGAGGCCAGCATCACCCTGATACCAAAGCCAGACAAAGACATTACAAGAAAACTACAGACCAATATATTGTATAATCATGGGTGCAGAAATCGCCACAAAATATATCATATAAAATCTAGTAATGTATAAAAAATCTATACACCATGGCTAAGTGGAATTTATCTCATGTATGCAAGGTTGGTCCAGCATTTGAAATTCAGTCAGTGTAATTTATCACATCTACAAACCTAATGAAAATATCACAAGATCATATAAATAAATGCAGAAAAAGTATTTGACTGAAATCCAACACCTACTCATGTTAAAAGCTCTTTAAAAACTAGACATAAAGGGAAATTCCCTCAACTTGATAAAGAATATCTACAAAAACAAACAAACAAAAAACCTACAGCTAACATTATACTTAAATAGTGAGAAACTCAAAACTTTCCTGCTAAGATCAGAAACAAGGCAAGAACGTTCTCTTGCCACTGCTTTTCAACATTGTATTAGATGGTCTAGGTAATGCAATAAGACAAAAAAAGTGATACAGATTGGGAAGGAAGAAATAAAACTGTCTTGTTTGTAGATGACATGATAATCTATATAGAAAATCTGAAAGAACTGACCAAGCAACAACAACAAAAAACTGCTGGAACTAATAAGCAATCTTAGCAATGGTACAGCATACAAGGTTAATATGCAAAAGTCAATATTTTTGTGTAAACAACAACAATTATCAAGTGGAATTTAAAACTAAAAACACATTTCCATTTATATTTGTGCCCCATATATAAAATATTTAGGTGTAAGTCTAACAAAATGTGTGCAAGGTATACATAAGGAAAACTACAACATTTGGTTGAAAGGTAGCAAAGAAAAAATAAATAAATAGAGTCATAGTTCATGTTCAGGAATAGGAAGATTCAGTATTGCTAAGATGTTAGTTCTTTCCAAATTGATATATAGATTCAGTACAATTCCAGTAAAGTCTCAGAAAGTTTTCTTGTGTGTATTAGAAACTGATTCTAAAGTTTATATGAAAAGGCAAAAGACCCAGAATATACAACTAAATACTGGAGAAGGAAAGACAAAGGACTGACACTATCCAACTTCATGACTTATTATAAAGCTGAATTAATCAAGACACTGCGGTGCTGGTTATATATGTATATATATAACCAATTGATCGATGGAACAGAATACAGAACTTAGAAATTGACCCACATAAATATAGTAAACTGATCTTGACAAAGGAGCAAAGGCAATACAATGAAGAGAAGATAGTATTCAATAAATAGTGCTGGAAAAACTGGAAATTCACATTCAAAAATATAGATATAGCCACAGACATGACACCACTCACAAAAATCTCAAAATGAATCCTAGACCTAAATGTGGTATACAAAATTATAAAATTCCTAGAAGATAATAGGACAAAACTTAGATGACCTCAGATATGGTGATGACTTCTTAGATAAAATATCAAAGGTACAAATCATGAAAGAAACAATTAATAAGCTTGGTTTTGTTAAAATTAAAACCTTTTGTTCTGGGAGAGACACTGTCAAGCGAATGAGAAAACAAGCCGTGGATTGGAACAAAATATTTGCAAAAAAAATACAACTGATAAAGAACTGTTATGTAAACAAAGAACTCAAAACTCTACAATAGGAAAATAAACAATCTGAATAAAAATAAGCAAAAGTCCTGAACACACATCTCACTAAAGAAGAAATATAGGTGGCAAATAAGCATATGAAAAGATGGTCATCATCATACATCATTAGGAAATTTCAAATTAAAACAATAATGAGAGAGCACTTAAACAATAGTAAGAGACGTCTATTAGTATTACCAAAATCTAGAACACTGCCAACACAAAATGCTGTTGAGGATGCAGAGCACAGGAACTCTCATTCATTGCTGGTGGAAATGCAAAATGGTACAGTTACCTTTTAAGACAGTTTGGCAGTTTCTTACAAAACTAAACATGCTCTTACCATATGATCCAGGAATCATGCTCCTTAAGATTTACCCAAATGAGTTTAAAACTTATATCCACACAAAAAAAAATCCACACACAATATGTAAAACAACTTTTTGCATAACTGCCCAAACCTGGAAGCAACCAAAATGTCCTTCAGTAGGTAAATGGAAAAATAAACTGGTACATTCGGACAATGGAATGTTAGCACTAAAAACAAAACAAAACAAAAAAAGGTGCTATCAAGCCATTAAAGAAGTCATAGAGAGGAAACTTAAATACATATTACTAAGTGAAAGAAGCAAATTTGAGAAAGCTACATACAGCATTTCAACTACATAACATTCTGAAGCAAAACTATGAAAAAAACGAAGAATGGTTACAAGAAGTTAAATGGGAGAAAGTGTTGAATAAGCAGGATCCAAGGGCTTTTTAAGGCAGTGACTCTATTGTGTATAATACTACAATGGTGAATACCTACCATTATACATTTGTAGAATCCATAGAGTGTACAACATCAGGAGTCTTCCTTAATGTAAACTACGGACTTGGGAAGATTATGATGTGTCAATGTAGGTTCATAGATTGTAACAAATGATGTACCACTGTGAGGTCACAGTGAGAGAGGTTGTGGGTGGGTAGGGACAGGGTATATATAGGAATTCTCTGTACTTTCCACTCAATTTTGCTATAAACCTAAAACTGCCCCCTCAAAAAAAGCTTATTATTTAAAACAATCAACTGCATACATAATCCTTTTAACTTGAAAAGATTAAAATTTTGACTCTAAAAGGTCTGCAAGTAAAGTATGCATTTTCTGTGAGTGCTACATCATATTTTTTATCATCTTTATATATAACATGCTGAATTTTATAAAACAAGTGATATATTAGGCTCAATCCAATATGGTAAACTAAGAGACTCATTATTGAAACATCTGGTGTTTTCTACATGTTTATGAATATCAATGTCTCAAACTGAAGACTTCAATTGTGTCACATTATGAGAATTTCAGGAATTCAGATTTTCCTTGATCACACAATTGACACATTTATAGACTTAATGACTTACAAGACACTATTTTACCAAGTTTTATAAAGTATTTTGAAGCATTAAGATCCATATTGAAAAAATTTTACTGACTCTGATATATCATTTGCTGATAGTACCTTGCCTTCTACCAGTAACTTTCTCTTAAAGGTTATATGCAACTATATGCAACAAAGTTGTCCTTATTTTGTATAGCACATTCCCCAGTTAATTACACAAAAAAGGAGAGGCATGAGGAAAACTGTATTTCTTATAAGTTAAATGATAACTTCTTTGGGGACATATTTTATTTAGTTTTCAGATTTATCATATTGTTACATGCAAATATTTAAACCTCTGAATGCACTTAGCTTATTTTGTTCTAAATTGTACAGAATAGAAATAAAACATAAAATGTAGACATGAAGATTTTAGTTATTATAACAATTTTGCAAGGGAGGGGAGGTGATAATGGTGCCCCATGAAAACTGCTATCAGCACGAAAGAGATTGCTAACTGCCAATCAACCAGTTTCATTGGGTGACTTTAGGTAAATAACTTTTACTTGCTCTATCTGTGCTTTTAATTTTGGAGGACAGATATTTTGGCTTGATCAGCCTCAGGAATGCTGAATGAGTCTAGTTAGACCTAAAACATATTGATATATTAATCAGAATCTCAATGTGTTATTATTATTATTATTATTATTTTTTTTTTTTTTGAGACGGAGTCTCACTCTGTCGCCCAGGCTGGAGTGCAGTGGTGCAATTCTAGTTCACTGCAACTTCGCCTCCCAGGTTCACACCATTCTCCTGCTTCAGTCTCCCGAGTAGCTGGGACTACAGGCGCCCGCCACCAGACACAACTAATTTTTTGTATTTTTAGTAGAGACGGGGTTTCATCGTGTTAGCCACGATGGTCTAGATCTCCTGACCTCGTGATCCACAGGCCTTGGCCTCCCAAAGTGCTGGGATTACAGGCATTAGCTACCGTGCCTGGCTAATTTGTTAATTTTTAAAGAAATACAATCATCAAATGTGTTAGCTATTTTTAAAATTGCTAACACATTTTAAGTTTTTAAGTTTCTTATTTAAGAAAAACTGTGAAAGCCAAATTATTAGATCATTTGATAAGCCAGAAACTAGCCAAAGACAAGTAAATAATGTGATGTTAATGTTTGATGATTTTAGGGTCCAATTGGCTGAATCTGCCACATCCATTGGAGAATATATTATAAAAATATAATAAGACTGAATCTTTCCACAAGCATTTCAGTGTATTTATTCTTACTTTTGGAAAATACTAGGAAAGAATTTGAGAACATATCACCTCCACCAACTCGCCATCTACTTCACCCTGATTGTTTTTTTTTTTCAGTTTTTATTTTAGATATTACATGAGTATATTGCTCATAGATCGTGAACATAGTGCCCAACAGGTAGTTTTTCAACCCACATCCCCCTCCTTCCTCACCCCTAGTATCTGTAGTGTCTGTTGTTCCCATGTTTATGCCCATGTGTGTGCAATGAATAGTTCCCTCTTGTAAGTAAGAACATGCAGTATTTGTTTTTCTCTTCCTGCATTAATTTGCTTAGGATTATGGCCTCTAACTCCATTTAGGTTGCTGCAAAGAGCATGATTTCATTCATTTTCATGGCTTTGTAGTATTCCATGGTGTATATGTACCACATTTTTTTAATCCAATCCACCATTGATGGGCATCTATGTTGATTCCATGTCTTTGCTATTATGAACAGTGCGGCAATGAACATACACGTGCATGTGTCTTTTTGGCATAATGATCTAGTTTCCTTTATGTACGTACCCAGTAATGGGATTACTGGCTCAAATGGAAGCTCTGTTTTAAGTTCTTTGAGAAATCTCCAAACTGCTTTCTACAGTGGCTGAACTAATTAACATCCCACCGACCGTGTGTAAGCATTCCTGTTTCTCCATAGCCTCACCAGCATCTGTTTTTTGATTTTTAAATTTTTTTCCTTTCCAAAAATATGCTTTATTTTTAGAGCAGTTTTAGGTTCACAGCAAAATTAAGAGGAAGGTAGAGAGATTTCCCGTATACCCCTTCCCACGCACACACATAGCCTCCTCCATTATCAACATCCCCCACCACAGTGGTACATTTGTTAAAATCAATGAACCTATATCGACATATCATAATCACCCAAAGCCCATATTTTACATAGGGTTCACACTTGTATTTTCTATGGGTTTTAAAAGATACATAATGGCATGTCTCCAACACCCAACACTACAATATGGTACTGAATAGTTTCAGTGCCCTAAAAACCCTCCGTGCTTGCCTATTCACCACTCTCTCTGATGTAACTATTGACAACCACTGATCTTTTTTACTGTATCCATAGTTTAATGTGAAATAAGCATATGATAAAGAATGGGTTAGCCCTCTTGTCAAACATTTATCATTTGAGTTACAAACTATTCAATTACATTATTTGATTTTAAAATATACCTTTAAGTTATTATTGACTATAGTCACCCTATTGTGCTATCAAATAGTAGGTCTTATTTATTCTATTTTTAGTACACATTAACCATCCCCACCTCCGTCCCCCACCCCCAATACCTCAGTACCCTTCCCAGCCTCTGGTAACCATCCTTCTACTCCGTACAACCATGAATTCAATTGTTTTGATTTTTAGCTCCCACAAATAAGTGAGAACACTTTGTCTTCTCACTTATTGTTTTGTCAATCAGTGAGATGTTTGACAATCATCTCACTGATGTTTGTCTTTTTGTGCCTGGCTTATTTCACTTAACATAATGACCTCCAGTTCCAGCCATGTTGTTGCAAATGACTGGCTCTCATTCCTTTTAATGGCTGAATAGTACTTCATGGTGTATATGTACCACATTTTCTTTATCCATTAATCTGCTGATGGGCACTTGGGTTGCTTCCAAAACATAGCTAGTGTAAACAGCGCTGCAACAAACATAGGAATGCAGATATCTCTTTAATATACTGATTTCCTTTCTTATGGGTATACACCTAGCAGTGAGATTGCTGAATGATATGGTAGCTCAATTTTTAGTTTTTTGAGGAACCTCCAAACTCTTCTCCATAGTAGCTGTTCTAATTTACATTCCCACCAACAGTGTACAAGGGTTCCCTTTTTCTCCACATTCTCACCATCATTCATTATTTCCTGTCTTTTGAATAAAAGCCATTTTAACTGGGGTGAGATGATATCTCATTGTAGTTTTGATTTGCATCTCTCTGATGATAATAATGTTGAGCACATTTTCATATGCCTGTTTACCATTTATATGTCTTCTTTTGAGAAATATCTATCCAAATTTTTGCCTGTCTTTTGATTGGATTATTAGATTTTTTTCCTATAGTTTGTGCTACTTATACATTCTCATTATTAATCCATTCTTAAAGAGTGATATGATTTGGCTGTGTCCCCACCCAAGTCTCATCTTGAATTGTAGCTCCCATAATCACCACATGTCGTATGAGGGACCCAGTGGCAGGTAATTGAATTATGGGGGTGGGTTCTTGTGATAGTGAATAAGTCTCATAAGATCTAAGGTTTTATAGAGGGCAGTTCCCTTGCACGTGCTGTCTTGCATACCACCATATAAGACATGCCTTTGCTCCTCCTTCAGTTTCTGCCATGATTGTGAGGCCTCTCCATCCATATGGAATTGTGAGTCCATTAAAACTCTTTAACTTTGTAAATTACCTAGTCTTGGGTATTTTTTCCTAGCAGTATGAAAATGGACTAACACAGAAGGGTAGTTTGCAAATATTGTCTCTCTTTCTGTGGGTTGTCTCTTCACTTTGTTGATTACATCTTTGCTGTGCATAAGCTTTTTAACTTGATGTGATCCCATTTGTCCATGATCCCATTTTGATTGCCTGTGTTTGTGGGCTATGGCTGAAGAAATTTTTGCTCAGACCAATGTCCTGGAGATTTTCCCCCAGGATTTTCTTGTAGAGAGTTTTATGGTTTGAGGTCATAGATTTAAGTTTTTAATCCTTTATTTAATTTTTTTTTTTTTTTTTTTTTTTTTTGAGACGGAGTCTCACTCTGTCGCCCAGGCTGGAGTGCAGGGGCATGATCTCGGCTCACTGCAAGCTCCGTCTCCCAGGTTCACACCATTCTGTTGCCTCGGCCTTCCAAGTAGCTGGGACTAAAAGTGCCCGCCACCACACCTGGCTCATTTTTTGTATTTTTTTTAGTAGAGATGGGGTTTGACCGTGTTAGCCAGGATATTTAGTTTTTATATATAGTGAGACATAGGGGTCTAGATTCATTCTTTTTCATATGGATATCCAGTTTTCTCAGCACCAGTTAATGAAGAGACTGTCTTTTTTCCAGTCTTGGCATCTTTGTCAAAAATGAGTTCAGTGTAGTTGTGTAGATTTGTTTCTGGGTTCCATATTCTGCTCTGTTGGTCTCTGTGTCTGTTTTTATGACAATACCATGTTGTTTTGTTTACTATAACTCTGTAGTATAATTTGAAGTCAGGTAATATAATTCCTCCAGTTTTGTTCTTTTTGCTTAGGATAGCTTTGGCTATTCTGGGTCTTTTGTGGTTCAATGTGCATTTTATGATTTTTTTCCTATTTATTTGAAGAATATCATTGCTACTTTGATAGGGATTGCCTTTAATCTGTAGATTGCTTGAGTAGTATTGACATTTTAACAATATTGATTATCCCAAGCCATGAACACAAAACATTTATTTTCCATTCATTGGTGTTCTCTTCAATTTCTTTCATCAGTGTTTTATGCTTTTCATTATAGAGATTTTTCACTTATGTGGTTAATTATATGTATTTTGTTGTATGTGTTGCTATTGTAAAAAAGATTACTTTTTTCTTTTTTGCATTATTCACTGTTGGCATATAGAAACATTACTGATTTTTGTGTGTTCCTTTTATACCCAGTTTTGAGGGTTTATCATGAAGGGATGTCAAATTTTATCAAATGCTTTTTCAGCATCAATTGAAATGATCATATGGTTTTATTCCTCATTCTGTTGATATGATGTATCACATGATTGATTTGCATATGTAGAATCATTCTTGAATCCCAGAGATAAATCCCACTTGATCATGATGAATGATCTTTTAATATATTGTTGAATTCAGTTTGCTAATATTTGGTTGAGGATTTTTGCATCAATACTCATCAGAGACATTGGCCTGTGTTGTTTTTTTTTTTTGGTTTTTTTTTTTTTGATATGTCTTTTTCTGGTTTTGGTATCAGGGTAATACTGGCCTCATAGAATGAGTTTGGAAGTATTCCCTCCTGCTGTATATTTTGGAATAGTTTGAATAGGATAGTATTATTTCTTTAAAAGTTTGGTAGAATTCATCAGTAAAGCTATTGGGTCCTGGGCTCTTCTTTACTGGGAGACGTCAATCTCATTACTTGTTGGTCTACTTAAGTTTTAGATTTCTTCTTGATTCAATCTTGGTAGTTTGTATATATGTAAGAATTTGTCCATTTCTTTCAGCTTTTCCAGCTTATTGGCATATATGCTCATAGTTTCCATGGATGATCCTTCAAATTTCTGCAATATTAGTTGTAATGTCTCCTTTTCAATTTCTGATTTTATTTATTTGGATTCTATCTCTTTTTCTTAGTCTGGCTAAAGTTTTGTTTAACTTTTGTTAAATTTTGTTTAACTTTTCAAAAAACCAACTTTTTGTTTCATTGATCTTCTGTATTGCTTTTTTCATTTCAATTTCATTTATTTCTTCTCTGATTTTTATTATTTCTTTTTTTCTACTAATTTGGGGTTTGTTTGCTCTTGCTTTTCTAATTAAGATGCACCATTAGATTGTTTATTTGAAGTTTTTTTCTCTTTTTTGACGTAGGCACTTATGGCTATAAACTTCCCTATGAGTATTGCTTTTGCTATATTGTATAGGTTTTGGTATAGTGTGTTTCCATTATCATTTGTTTCAAGAAATTTTTCAATTTCCTTCTCAATTCTTAATTGACCAACTAGTCATTCAGGAGCATATTGTTTGTTTAATTTCCTGTATTTGTATAGTTTCCAAAATTCCTCTTCTTAGTAATTTCTATTATTCCATTGTGATCAGAAAAGATGCTGATATTATTTCAGTTTTTTGGAATGAAGACTTGTTTTGTGACATAACATATGGTCTATCCTTGAGAATAATCCATATGCTGAGGAAAACAATATGTATTCTGTAACTCTTTAATGAAATTTTCTGTAATATAGACTAGATCCATTTGGTCTATAGTGCAGATTAAGTTTGATGTCACTTTTTTGACTTTCTATCTGGAAGCACTATACAATGCTGAAGGTGGGGTGCTGAAGCCTCCAGCTATTATTGTATTGGGACCTGTCTCTCTTTTTAGCTCTAATAATATTTGCTTTATATATCTGGGTGCTCCAGTGTTGGGTGAATATACATTTAAAATTGTTATATCCTCTTGCTGAATTGATCCCTTTATCATTACATGGTGACCATCTTTGTCCCTTCTTATACCTTTTGTTTTGAAGTCTACTTTGTCTAAGCATAGCTACTCCTGCTTTTTTTATGGTCTCCATTGACATGATATGTTTTTTCCATCCCATTATTTTCAGTCTGTGTGTGTATTTGTAGGTGAAGTGTGTTTCTCATAGACACCAGAACATTGGATCATGATTTCTTTTTCTTTTCTTTTTTCTTTCTTTCTTTTTATATTTTATTTATTTATTTATTTATTTATTTTTTAGGGAGACAGTGTTTCACCATATTTGCCAGGCTGGTCTCAAACTCCTGGCCTCAGGTGACCCACCTGTCTTGCCAAAGCCTGGCCTAATTTTTTAAAATCTATTTAGCAACTCTGTGTCTTTTGATTGGAGAGTTTACTCCACTTACATTCAATGTTATTATTAATAGGTAAGGACTTTACTCCTGTCATTTTGTTGTTTTCTGGTTGCTTTGTGGTCTTCTTTTCCTTATTTCCTTCATTCCTGTCTTCCTATAATCTTCATGTTTATATTCTCAGGTGATATGATTAATTTCTTTCTTCTTATTTTTGTGTATCCATTTTATGTTTTTTGGGCTTGGAGTTACTATAAGGCTTGCAAATACTGTCAAATAACCTATTATTTTAACCTGATAACAGCTTAACACTATTTGCATAAACAAATAATCCAAAAGAAAACTAACAAAAATTCTATACCATAACTTCATCCCCATGCTTTTTATCTTTTTTAAAATTTCTATCTTATTATATTGACTATGTCTTAAAAATTTCTTGTAGTTATTATTTTTATTAGTTCATTGTTTTTCTAATTAGGATAAGAATAATTTACACACTTCAGTTACAGTTGTGAATGGAGAAAAACTGAGACAGGTCTCAGTTAATTTAGAAAGTTTATTTTACCAACGTTGAGGACACACCCATGATACAGCCTCAGGAAATCCTGATGACATGTGCCTAAGGTGGTCAGGGCACAGCTTGGTTTTATACATTTTAGGGAAACATGAGGCATCAATCAATATATGTAAGAAGTACATTGGTTCAGTCTCAAAAGGTAGGACAAATTGAAGCACAGGCAGGAAGACTGGAGGCAGAGAGGGAGCTTTCAAGTCGCAGATAGGTAATACACAAAGAGTTACATTCCTTTGAGTTTCTGATGAGCATTTCCAAAGAAGGCAATGAGATATGCATCTATCTCAGTGAGCAGAGGGGTGACTTTGAATAGAATAAGAGGCAGGTTTGCCCTAAGCAGTTTCTAGCTTGAGTTTTCCTTAGTGATTTTGGGGGCCCAAGATGTTTTTCTTTCACATTTCTCCCCCTTTCTTTTTAAAAATCTTTTGGAAGAACATTTTATGGGAAAATGAATCTCTGGTCTCAGATTTCATCTGATTTCTCATGACTAGGATGATTTATTTCTACATGGGTAGGTCCCAAAAGCTCATTTTTACCAGGTTGTGAAGTCTCATGTCCTGTGAAGATAAAATGGGGGTGGGGGAGGAAGAAAGAAAAAACAACAACAAACGAAAGAACAATCCTGAAAATATCAATATAGACCACATTACTCTGAAGTCCGTACATTAGTCCACAGGTATGAAAGTGGCTTATGTATGTACATAGGTTGCTGTTATTTTCTCCTGGCGTTTAAGTTGTCTGGCTTCAGTTTGCAGGGATTTAAGAAAGCACAGCTTGGTTTTCAGTGCCTCCAAATTAGAAAAAATGGGAAAAAAAGAAGAAAAGGTAATTGAAAACATGATTTTGAAGATTTGTAGCCAAGAAAACTTAGAATTTGTTCCAAACTGTAGAAAATAATAAAAATTGAAAAAACATTAGGCAAGACTATAATCTAACAACAGGTTTACAGTAGTTTTGAAACATAATTTTTTTCTCTCCCCATTTTCCCCTTTTTACTAAATTCAAATCATGCTAGGACTAGTTTGCTTTAATATACTTGGCCTAATTATTTGTATACAGTTCAGCAAGAGTAATTATTTTTACATGGGTTTTAAATTGGCTTTAATGGAACTTTGCTCCATGGGAGGATAAAACTTTTTTAAAGCCGAACCCAGCCATGGATTTGTGCCATCAAATACCTATGAGCTGGGTGAATTTCCTCTCCTCTTGAGGTTCTAAGATAAACCTGGGGCTACTGTGCCTGTCAGAAAGTGGCATTCTTTACTTACCACAGGTCAGAAAACCTGTACAGGGACTGTGTACACAAAATAGGAGGTCAGTTTTTCCAAGGGTTTTATTGGCTCTGTAAGTAAAGTTTGATTGCTTAAAAGTCAAGTTTGATTCCTTAAAGGAAAGCACAACATTCCAGTCAAAGCCTTGGTCAAATAAACAGTCTCCAATTGTGTCTTATTGGAAAAGAAAACAGATTCTTATTGCACTTATGCAAAAAACTGTATTGCTCTAAATTAAGAATACTCACAAATAGTTTTGAAATTCTGGAGAAATGAGGCAGAGATTTTTGTTCAAAATTTTGCTCCAAATTTTGTTCAAAGGAGCATACTTTACTCAATTGTTAAGAGCTGTAAATAGCTTAAAAGAAAAGTTTTCTTAACTCTGAAAAACAAAACAAAATATCAACAACATTTTAAGCAAAAGGTAAAAAAGATAACTTAGGTTTTCTGTTGGTTCAATTAATTCAGTTAACTCCTGTTCTGTTTGATAGTCATGAACATTTCAGCTCTCCATTACAGTTCTGAAATTTTTCCCTTTATTTCAATGTCACAATTTTCAAAGTTATCAGAAAATCTGCATTTAAGTGCACTTGTTAGAGTTTTATATCTGATTGTAAACCTTTTAAAGAGGGTTAAAAACAAGACAAAATAAGACAATTGTCTATTGATGAATAAAAGAAGTTTTAAGGAAGCCATAGTTAAAAGACACAACTGACAAGAATATTTGTTACCTCTGTGGCACACAATAATTTTAACATGAAAATGATTATTGTTACTGATAATGTACTCTAAGTTATATCAAAATTACAGGAGTTTCCCATAATTTTGGAACACATACCAATAACATATTTATACAAATACAGTGCAAAGAAAACCAAACATCATTTCATAATTGACAATGCTTCCTGTATAATTTTTATACCAAATAAGCCAAGGTATGTCATTTTTGGGCTTTAAGGAACCCAATGTCTTAAAGGATTACTTAGGTTAGAAATAGACATAATTTATAATATGATTTTGGAAAGTGTTGGGAGCAGGCCTCCAAAATCTGGCCATAAACTGGCCCCAAAACTGGGCATAAACAAAATCTCTGCAGCACTGTAACATGTTCATAATGGCCCTAACAGCCACACCGGAAGTTTGTGGGTTTATGGGAATGAGGGCAAGGAACACCTGGCCCACCCAGGGTGGAAAACTGCTTAAAGACATTCTTAAGCCACAAACAATAGCATGAGTGATCTGTGCCTTAAGGACATACTCCTGCTGCAGTTAACTAGCCCAACCTTTTCCTTTAATTCTGCCCATCCCTTCATTTCCCATAAGGGATACTTTTAGTTAATTTAATATCTATAGAAACAATGCTAATGACTGGTTTGCTGTTAATAAATATGTGGGTAAATCTCTGTTCAGGGCTCTCAGCTCTGAAGGCTGTGAGACCCCTGATTTCCCACTTCACACCTCTATATTTCTGTGTGTGTCTTTAATTCCTCTAATGCCACTGGGTTAGGGTCTCCCCAACCGAGCTGGTCTTGGCAGGAAAGTTTGTCAAATATAAAAGTTTTAAAACACTTGATATTACAAAATAGGATTACAGGTTATTTTAAAGTCATTTATTTAACCAAAGTGATAATTCAAGGATTTCAAAAAAAGTGAAAACCTGTATTATTTGAGAGAGGAGACTTAATTTTCTAAATGAGTAGCCCTAATAAAAACAACATGAAGCCAATTACATTTTTTTCAAAATTTGGTATACAATTTATAAAATTTAATCTTGATTATAAAATATAACTTCCATAAGACTTTTAAAACCTTTATAACCTCTATTAAGGAGTTGGCTAATGTCTCAAGAAAACCTTGGTAATCTGACACAGGGGTCCATATACTGGTTTTGGATTAGTGTGCCTTTGACATTAGTAATTATAGAGAAACTGAACTTACTTTATCTTTCAAATTTGGCCCTTAAAATCTAAAATGCCCACCTCTTCCATGATAGTCTCTGGACTTTGAGGAACTGAATAGCTTTAATTTCTTGCCGTGTGTCTCAGGAATGCAGTTTATTTTGATTGGCATCTTCTACTGGGCCTGAAGATGAGGCTTTAATTGCTGTCAGTGTTTAAGATTTAGCAGGATTTGGTATCCTTTTTAGACCCAGGATTTAAAAGCCCTGTAACTCAATGTAACAAGGATTTTAGAAGCATATATAGGAAGATACATGGATGTAATAACCTTAATTTTTTAAAAAATCTCAAGTTTCTTTTTCCTAAGCAAACTAAAAATAATAATATGACAACTTGATTATATAAAAATTTTTGGGTTTTTTAAATACATGAATCCTCTTACTGTGACTTCCATTGACTGTTCATGTCAGGGTAAGACTTTCTGATTTGTTCTGAATATCCTTCCTTTTTAAACAACCAGTTATTTTATTTTAGGACTAAACTTACATACAAGATTCTTTCTCATATAACGTTATTTCTCTTTAAAGTTTTTTACCTCAAAAAATAATCCTCTTTATTTTTATAACTTTCTTTGCATCTTTTTTTAAATTTCCTGGTTCCCTTTACCTTGTTTTATATATAACCTTTAAATAAGCTTTGAATTAGACAAAATTTCTTCACCTTCTTTTTTAAATAAAGTCACTTATATGGCTGGATGCGGTGGCTCATGCCTGTAATCCCAGCACTATGGGAGGCCACGGCGGGTGGATCACGAGGTCAGGAGATCGAGACCATCCTGGCTAACATGGTGAAACCCCGTCTCTACTAAAAAATACAAAAAATTAGCCAGGCGTGGTGGCAGGTGCCTGTAGCCCCAGCTACTCAGGAGGCTGAGGCAGGAGAATGGCGTGAACCTGGGAGGTGGAGCTTGCAGTGAGCTTAGATTGCACCACTGCACTCCAGGCTGGGTGACATCACGAGCAAGACTCCGTCTCAAAAAAAAAAAAAAAAAAAAAAAAAAAAAAAAAAAAAAAAAAAAACACTTATTTTTAGCAAGAATGTTTTTCTAAAAAATACATTTATTAGAAAATACCCAAATACCCAAATAAGGGAATATCTATTATTTAATTTAATATAACTTTATATTCTAAATTATGATCAGTTTGTATACAAGTACTTATCCCATTACATTTACTTAATTATTTAATTTTGTTTACCTAGATTATTTATCAAAACTGTGATAGTCATGATTTAAAGTTATGAAAACACCATTGCAAAATTATAACTAAGACAGTGAAAAAATGATTTGACCTAACTGGCACCATCTTCCTCATAACCTTTAAGCTGTCCTTTTTCATTCCTGAGTATAGGCTGAACTAACTTTGGAAGGGAATTCAGTTTATGGTTTTGACTCTGAAACAAAATTGATTACAGCCCTTTCCTGAAAAGACCCCCTTCTTGCCTGGGTACCAGTCTGCCTTTGCAGGATCAACAAATTAGCTACAAAATTAGAAATTACAGTTTAGGGGTCATGCAGCCTCTGGCAACAAAAGTCCAAACCTCCCAAAATTTCTCCTGGTGGTAACATCACTTCTGTAAAGCCTAAGATCAGTGCTTGGAATATGTTGCATATCCTGTACTTGATGGATCAGCTGACACCACCCAGGCCAGTAATCTGGCCCAACCAGTTCTGCCATTGCACCCAGGAAGAGAAGACAGCAAGAAAACCTCACTTTGCCCCGCTGTGATTCCATCTCCTGACCAATCAGCACTCCCCACTTCCCAAGCCCCTACCTACCAAATTATCTTTAAAAACTGATTTTGGAATGCTAGGAGAGACCAATTTGAGTAAAAATAAAACTCCAGTCTCCTGCATAGCCTGCTGTGCATAAATTACATTTTCTCCATTGCAATTCCCCTGTCTTGATAAATGGGTTCTGTTTAGGTAGCGGGTAAAGTAAACCCATTGAGCAATTACAGTACATATCATAGATTTATAAAGACCCTCTCCTACTTTTTTTCCACTTTGACTTTCAGATTCTCGATAAACTGTTTCACAACCCTAGGCAATTGTCAGCTAAATAGCCTTAAATTTGCACATTAAAGGAAGAAACTCAGGTGAAAATCAAATAGCAAAATTTACATCATAAAATACAGAAAGAAAAGGTCTGGTGGTGCTAGAGGGAGACACTTTTATTTTTCTTTGAGTCAAATTAAACTACACTACTCCTTAAAACCCCAAGAGTAGTCTCTGTTGCAATAACTATTTTAGAAAAAAAAAAATCAATTGAAAACGGAATTCAGTCAACTGAGAAGAAATAGAAAAAAAAAAACTTTTGCTCAAAAAAAGACAAGGTCTTAGGAGAGGAAAAACAAAAACAAAAACATGAAGGCCTTTCAAATACAAGCACACATGCACACATATACACACATATCTTGAATGTTAGCCTTCTAATTTAGCTGACTTTTAACTATTTAGCTCCTTTAAAAATTTTTTAAAAATTTTATTACCATATTTCAGCTAAGACAAAATGCTGCTAAACTAACAATGATCACACAAATATTTCTGCGCACTCTAAGTGTAAGCAGAAATTAACACCAGTTGATTGTTAAATGCTAACTTTAGTCACCTGAAAGGAATTTGCAAAACAAGAATCCCAAACCAGTTTCTTTACCTAGTGGGTCTCAGGCTGTAGACTACTCTCTACCATCCTAGAAGCAGGAAAACAAACAAACAAAACAAAACAAAAAAACCAAAAACTGATCTTCCCTGTTGGAAGTGAGCTCAGACTCCTAAGGGAGTTACCTGCCTTCTATCCTCATGGAAGCAGGAAAACTTGCCTTCCTGTTGGAAGCAAGTAAAACTCAAAAACAGGATGAGTTGTATAGAAAAATAAACTTTACATCTCGACCAAATTTTGGAAGATCAGGGATTTCTGGAGGGGGTGCTTTCAGACATCAGCAAATTGTCCTGTTGGTTTGAGCCATAAAATTATTTCATGCTAGTACAAAATGCCAATAGGAGACGTGTTAAAGGTCAGGGGCACCTCCACTCAGAATCCCCCCGTGGTTACCAAAATGTGAATGCAGAAAATCTGAGACAGGTCTCCGTTAATTTAGAAAGCTTATTTTGCCAAGGTTGAGGACTCACCTGTGACACAGCCTCAGGAAGTCCTACCAACATGTGTCCAAGGTGGTCAGGGCACAGCTTGGTTTTATATATTTTAAGGAGACATGAGACATCAATCAGTGTATGTAAGAAGTACATTGGTTTGGTCTGGAAAGGTGGGACAACTTGAAGCAAAGTCAGGAAGACTGCAAGTGGGGAGGGAGCTTCCAGGTCACAGACAGGTGATATACAAAGGGTTACATTCTTTTGAGTTTCTGATGAGCATTTCCAAAGGAGACAATCATATATGCCTCTATCTCAGTGAGCAGAGGGGTGACTTTGAATAGAATGGGAGGCAGGTTTGTTTTACTTGCGTCCCTGTGAAGAGACCACCAAACAGGCTTGTGTGAGCAACAAGGCTGTTTATTTCACCTGGGGGCAGGCAGGCTGAGTCCGAAAAGAGTCAGCCAAGGGAGATAGGGGTGGGGCTGTTTTACAGGATTTGGGTAGGTAAAGGAAAATTACAGTCAAAGGGTGGTTGTTCTCTGGAGGGCAGGAGTGGGGGTTACAAGGTGCTCAGTGGGGGAGCTTTTTGAGCCAGGAGAAGGAATTTCACAAGGTAATGTCATCAGTTAAGGCAAGGACTGGCCATTTTCACTTCTTTTGTGGTGGAATGTCCTCAGTTAAGGCAGGAACAGACCATTTAAATATCACTTCTTTTGTGATTCTTCAGTTACTTCAGGCCATCTGGATGTATACATGCAGGGGGATGCGATGGCTTAGCTTGGGCTCAGAGGCCTGACATTACGGCCTTCTTATATTAATAAGAAAAATAACATAAAATAGTATTGAAGTGTTGGGGCAGTGAGAAAAATTTTTTGGGGGGTGGCATGGAGAGATAATGGGCGATGCTTCTCGGGGCTGCTTCGAGCGGGATTAGGGGCGGTGTGGGAACCTAGAGTGGGAGAGATTAAGCTGAAGGAAGATTCTGTGGTAAGGGGTGATATTGTGGGATTGTTAGAAGAAACATTTGTCATGTAGAATTATTGGTGATGGACTGGATATGGTTTTGTATGAATTGAAAAACTAAATGGAATAAGAGAAGGAGAAAAACAAGTATTAAAGGACTAAGAATTGGGAGGACCCAGGACACCTAATTAGAGAGTGCCTAAGGAGGTTCAGCATAGCCTTGCCAGCAAAGATTATTTATTTACTTTAAGAGTTAAGAGTGGCGGTTTGGGAATAGCACCAGGAGATATCAGCTGTGATGTCTTGGAGAAACAGCGTAAACCAGCAGTGTAAACAAGAGCAGGGCATTTATGAGTAGTTGAGAACAGTGAATAGGAGTATGACTAGACAGAAGATAGTAGGGATGACAAGTTTTCTGGGGCACAGTCCAAGTTGGTCTGGTGTCTGGAATGAGACTGGGGCCTAATAAAAAGGAGCATCTATTCAGGAGCTTATATGGGCTGTACCTTGTAGCATTCCAAGGACAGGCCTGAATTCTGAGAAAGGCAAGTGGTAAAAATATTGTCCAGTCCTTTGTAAGTTGGTGGCTGAGCTTGGTGAGGTGTGTTTTTAAAAGACCATTAGTTCACTGAATACTAAGAGCCTGAGAAATTGCTTGGATGATTTGACTAATAAAGGCTGGTCCGCTACAGGACTGTATAGAGGTGGGAAGGCCAAACCGAGGAATTATGTCTGACAGAAGGGAAGAAATGACCATGGTGGCCTTCTTAGACCCTGTGGGAAAGGCCTCTACCTATCCAGTGAAAGTGTCTACCCAGACCAAGAGGTATTTTAGTTTCCTGACTCAGGCATGTTGAGTAAAGCCAATTTGCCAGTCCTGGGCAGGGGCAAATCCCCGAGTTTGATGTGTAGGGAAGGGAGGGGGCCTGAATAATCCCTGAGAAGTAGTAGAACAGCAGATGGAACACTAAGTTATTTCCTTGAAGATAGATTTCCATGATGGAAAGGAAATGAGAGGTTCTAAGAGGTGGGCTAGTGGCTTGTACTATAGCATAGCCTGCCTTTTCTGGTGTGTGGCAATTAGGCCTTGTGGAACTGACATCAATAAACCAGTGTGATCAGGGTGAGGAACAGGAAAGAAGGAAATATGGGGAAATGGGGTGAATATCAGGTAGATCAGAGAGATACAGTCATGGGGGTCAGGTGTGGTATCAGGAATAATGTGGGAGGCCAGATTGAAGTCCAGGCCAGGAACAAAGGTAATTGTGGGAGACTCAACAAAGAGTGAGTACAGCTGAAGGAGCTGGGAAGCAGAAGGTATATGTGTCAGGTGTGAGGAAGAAAATAGATTTTGGAAGTTATGAGAACTGTAGAGAGTGAGTTGAGCATAGTTTGTGATTTTAAGGGCCTCTGAAAGCATTAGGGTGGTGGCGGCCGCTGCATGCAGACTTGAAGGCTAGGCAAAACAGTAAGGTCAAGTTGTTTGGATAAAAAGGCTACAGGGCACGGTCCTGGTTCTTGTGTAAGAATTCCTACTGCACAGCCCTGCACTTCAGCTGTGGGTAATGAAAAGGGTTGGGATGAGTCTGGGAGAGCTAGGGTGGGGGCAGTCTCTAAAGCTGTCTTCAAGGAACGGAAAACGAGTGGGAAAAGGATGTAGGATCTATGGGGTCAGTTAGGTTTCCTTTTGTGAGTTTATATAATGGTTTTGTTAGGATGGCAAAACCATGTATCTAAAGTCAAAAGTATCCAACCATGCCTAGGAAGGAAAGGAGTTGTTGTTTTGTAGAAGGTGTTGGGGTTTGAGAGATCAGTCGGACATGATCGGCAGGGAGAGCATGTGTGTTTTTATGAGGATTACACTGAGATAGGTAACAGATGAGGAAGAAATTTGGGCTTGACTGAAGTAATGGGGGCTGTCTGTGAAGCCTTGTGGCAATACAGCCCAGGTAATTTGCTGAGCCTGATGGGTGTCAGGGTCAGTCCAACTGAAAGTGAAGAGAGGCTGGGATGAAGGGTGCAAAGGAATAGTAAAGAAAGAATGTTTGAGATCCAGAACAGAATAATGGGTTGTGGAGGGAGGTATTAAGAATAGGAGAGTATATGGGTTTGGCACCACGGGGTCGATAGGCAAAATAATTTGGTTGATAAGGTGCAGATCTTGAACTAACCTGTAAGCCTTGTCTGGTTTTAGGACAGGTAAAATGGGGGAATTGTAAGGAGAGTTTATAGGCTTTAAAAGGCCATGCTGTAACAGGCCAATGATAACAGGCTTTAATCCTTTTAAAGCGTGCTGTGGGATGGGATATTGGCATTGAGCAGGGTAAGGGTGATTAGGTTTTAATGGGATGGTAAGGGGTGCATGATCAGTTGCTAAGGAGGGAGTAGAGGTGTCTTATACTTGTGGGCTAAGGTGAGGAGATACAAGGGGAGGATGTGAAGGAGGCTTTGAACTGGGGGAAAAGGCAGCAATGAGGTATGGCTGTAGCCTAGGAATAGTCAGGGAAGTAGATAATTTAGTTAAAGTGTCTCAGCCTAATAAGGGAACTGGGCAGGTGGGGATAATGAAAAGCAGTTCTTAAAAGAGTATTGTCTAAGTTGGCACCAGAGTTGGGGAGTTTTTAGAGGTTTAGGAGCCTGGCTGTCAGTACTTACAACAGTTATGGAGGCAAGGGAAACAGGCCGTTGAAAAGAAGGTAATGTGGAGTGGGTAGCCTCCATATTGATTAAGAAGGGGACAGACTTACCTTCCACCGAGAGAGTTACCTAGAGCGTCTGTGATGGTCCTGCAGGCTTCCGAGGTGATCGGGCGGTATCAGTCTTCAGCTGCTAAGCCGAGAAGATCTGGGAAGGAGTCAGTCAGAGAGCCTTGGGCCAGAGTTCCAGGGCCTCTGGGAGTGGCTTCTGGGTAAGTTGGACAGTCCAATTTCCAGTGGGGTCCCGTACAGATGGGACATGGCTTAGGAGGAATCCCAGGCTTTGGGCATTCCTTGGCCTGGTGGACAGATTTCTGGCACTTGTAGCAAGCTCCTGGGGGAGGCGGGCCTGGAAGAACGCCTGGCCACTGTGGTTTAGGCGTTTGGAAGTTCTTCTGTGCTGGAGATGTGGCTGGGGTTTGTCTCACAGTGGAGGCAAGGAATTGCAACTCAGAAATATGTTGCTACTTGGCTGTCTCTATTCTATTATTATACACCTTGAAGGTGAGGTTAATTAAGTCCTGTTGTGGGGTTTGAGGGCCGGAATTTATTTTTTGGAGTTTTATTTAATGTTGGGAGTGGATTGGGTAATAAAATGCATATTAAGAATAAGTTGGCCTTTTGACCTTTTAGGGTCTAGGGCTGTAAAGCATCTCAGGGTTGCTGCCAAACAAGCCATGAACTGGGCTGGGTTTTTATATTTGATGAAAAAGAGCCTAAACGCTATCTGATTTGGGATAAAGAAAAAGGAGCATTAACCTTGACTATGCCTTTAGCTCCAGCCACCTTTTTAAGAGGAAATTGCTGGGCAGGTGGGGAAGGGCTACACATGGAATGAAAGTGTAAGCCAGACTGGGTGTGAGGAGGGGAGGTGATAAAAAGATTATAGGGTGGAGGAGTGGAGGCTGAGGAAGAATTTGGACCTAGCTCAGCCTGGCTAGGAGGGGAGAGGTTAGATGGGTCTGTAGAAAAGGAAGATTAGACTCAGTGACACTTGGGGTTGGGACTGAGGGGACAGGCGGGAGGGAAAGAGGGAAGATGTGGGATGAGTTGCATTGGGAACAGAGACTAGGGAGGGACTGATGTGTAAAAGAATGCCTGGACGTCAGGCACCTCAGACCATTTGCCCATTTTACAACAAGAATTATTTAGATCTTGTAGGGTGGAAAAATTGAAAGTGCCATTTTCTGGCTATTTGGAACCACTGTCGAGTTTGTATGGGGGCAAGTGCCATTGCAGAAGAAAATAAGGCATTTAGGTTTTAGGTCAGGTGTGAGTTGAAGAGGTTTTAGGTTTTTAAGAACACAGGCTAAGGGAGAAGAAGGGGGAATGGAGGGCGGAAGCTTGCCTATAGTGAAGGAGGCAAGCCCAGAGAAAAGAGACAGTAGAGACATGAAGAGAAGGGGTGGGGGGGTTCTTGCCCCCTAGAAAAGCAGAGAAGGGATAGAGACATGGAGAGAAGTGGTCGGGGGGTTCTTACCTTCCAGAAAAGTGGAGAAGGGGTAGAGACATGGAGAGAAGGGGTCGGGGGGTTCTTGTCCCCCAGAAAAGTGATACTTGCCACTAAGGGTGAAGGACCAAGGCAGGCATCCCTGTGTGGTCAGACACCTCTGAAATGTGGGTGAATAATCAGGCAGGCATCCCTGTGTGATTAAATACCAAGGGAAGACTGTCATCCCAAGTCCCTGACCGGCGCTGGAGTTTTGGGTCCACAGATAAAATGCATCTCCTGTCTCTATGAGAACAGGAAAGGAACTGAAATTAAGAGAAGGGAGAGATTGAAGTGTGGCGCCAAGATTGAAAGGAGAAAGAGGTTGAGGGATAGTGAGAGAGGTTGGAGGAGAGTGTAAAAAGAGGCCGCTTACCTGATTTAAAATTGGTGTGATGTTCCTTGGGCTGGTCGGTCTGAGGACCTGAGGTCATAGGTGGATCTTTCTCACAGAGCAAAGAGCAGGAGGACAGGGGATTAATCTCCCAAGTGAGGTCCCCCGATCCGAGTCATGGCACCAAAATTTCACTAGTGTCCTTGGGAAGAGACCACCAAACAGGCTTGTGTGAGCAACAAGGCTGTTTATTTCACTTGGGGGCAGGCGGACTGAGTCTGAAAAGAGAGTCAGCAAAGGGAGATAGGGGTGGGGCCATTTTACAGGATTTGGGTAGGTAAAGGAAAATTAGAGTCAAAGGGGGTTTTTCTCTGGTGGGCAGGACTAGGAGTCACAAGGTGCTCAGTGGGAAAGCTTTTTGAGCCAGGATGAGCCAGGAGAAGGAATTTCACAAGGTAATGTCATCAGTTAAGGCAAGGACCAGCCATTTTCACTTCTTTTGTGGTAGAATGTCATCAGTTAAGGCAGGAACAGACCATTTAAATATCACTTCTTTTGTGATTCTTCAGTTACTTCAGGCCATCTGAATGTATACGTGCAGGTCACAGGGGATGAGATGGCTTAGCTTGGACTCAGAGGCCTGACAGTTTGGCCTAAGCAGTTTCCAGCTTGGGTTTTCTTTAGTTATTTTGGGAACCCAAGGTATTTTCCTTCCACACAGTGTTATATTATTCTATGTTTTTCTGTGTGCTTACTATTACCAGTGAGTTTTGTACCTTAAGTTGCTTATTTATTGCTTATTAATGTCATTTTCTTTCTAATTGAGGTACCCTTTTAGTATTTCTTGTAGGACAGGTCTGGTATTGATGAAGTCCCTTAGCTTTTGTTTGCCTCAGAAAGTCTTTACTTATCCTTCTTGTTTGAAGTATATTTTTACTGGATATACTATTCTAGGGTAAAAGTTTTTATGCTTCAGCACTTTAAGTATGTCATGCCACTCTCTCCTCACATGTAAAATTTCCACTGAGAAGTCTACTGCCAAACTTATTAGACCTCAATTTTGTGTTATTTGTTTCTTTTCTCTTGCTGCTTTTAGAATCATTTCTTTATTCTTAACATTTGGGAATTTGATTATTAAATGCCTTGAGGTAGTCTATTTGAGTTAAATCTGCTTGGTGTTCTATAACCTTCTTGTGCTTGCATATTCATACCTTTCTCTAGGTTTGGGAAGTTCTCTGTTATTATCCCTTTGAATGAGCTTGCTACCCCTATCTCTTTCTCTACCTCCTCTTTAAGGCCAATAACTCTTAAATTTGTCATCTTGAGGCTATTTTTGAGATACTGTAGGAATGCTTTTTTCTTCTTCTTTTTTCTTTATCTTCTCTGACTGTATTTTCAAATACCTTGTCTTCAAGCCCATTCATTCTTTCTTCTGCTTGGTCTATTCTACTATTAAAGGACTCATGCATTATTCAGTATGCCAATTGCATTTTTCAGCTGCAGAATTTCTGCTTGATTCTTTTTAATTATTTCAATCTCTTTGTTAAATGTATCTGATAGAATTGTAAATTCCTTTTCTGTGTTATCTTGAATTTCTTTGAGTTTCCTCAATACAGCTATTTTGAATTCTTCCTCTTTCTGAAAGGTCACATAACCTTGTTTCTCCAGGATTTGTCCCCCATGTCTTAGTTAGTTCATATGATGACGTCCTGTTTACCTGGATGATGTTGATGCTGGCAGATATTCTTCAGTGCCCAAACATTGAAAGGTTAGATATTTATTGTAGCATTCACTGTCTGGGCTTATTTGTAGCCATCCTTTTGGGGGAGGCTTTTTAGATATTTGGAATGATTTGGGTGTTGTGTTGTAGGCTGTATCTGCTTTTGAGGGCACCCCAAGCCCAGTAACACTGTGGTTCTTGCAGACTCATAGAGGTACCATGTTGATGGTCTTGGACAAGATCCGGGAGAATTCTCTGGATTACCAGGCAGAGACTCTTGCTTCCTTCTCTTACTTTCTCACAAACACAGGCTCTATCTCTCTCTTCTCCATTCTGAGCCACCTAAAGCCGGGGGTGGAATGACACAAGCATCCCTGTGGCCACCACCACTATGACTGCACTGAATCAGACCTGAAGCCAGCACAGCAGTGGGTCTCACCCAAAGCCTGCTGTTAACAACACCTTGGCTACTGTTTATGTTTGCTCAAGGCCCTGGGGCTCTACAATCAGAAGGTGGCAAAGCTAGTCAGGACCATTTCTTTCCCTTTAGGTCAGCAAGGTCTCTCAAGCCCTGGGTGGGTCCAGAAGTGCCATCTGGAAGTGAGGGTCTAGAGTCAAAAACCTTAGAAGTCTACCTGGTATTCGACTGTATTATGGCTGAGCTGGCACTCAAACCACATGATGCAGTTCTTCCTACTCTTCCTTCCTCTTTCCAAAGGCAGAGAAGCCTCACCCCATAGCCACTGCCATGCCACACCATGAGTGCTGCCCAACAACCACTAATGTTCCCTTAAGGGTTAAGGGCTTTTAACTAGGCTTGTGTTGAATGCTGCCTGACCTGAGACTCCTCTTTCAGGGGAGCGGGCTCCCCTCTAGCCAAGGGCAGCAACAGAAATGCCATCCAAGTGTCAAATCCTAAAATTGGGAACCCTAAGTCCCCACCTGGTGCTCTACCCCTCTGTGGGTGTGCTCATATCTAAGCTGTAAGACAAAATCCCCTTTACTTTACTTTTCTCTCTCTCTGCTTTTCTCAAGCAGAAAGAGTTTTGCTCTGTATTTACCACACCTGGTAAATTAAAGCCACCAAGTCTCACAGTCTCACCCGAGGTCCTCAATATAATACCCGGGTATCACTGCTGGTTATTCAGGGCCCAAGGGCTGTTGAGTTAGCAGATGATGAATGCTGGCAGGATGGGGTCCTTTCCTTCAAGGCAATTAGTTTCCTTCTGGCCCAGGGTGTGTCTAGAAATGTCATATGGGAGCTAGGACCTGGAATGGGGACCTCATGTCTCTGAAAGATGCCCTATTTTGCTCTGGCTCGGATGGTATCCGTGATGCAAGACACAGTCCTCCCAACTCTTCCCTCTCCTCCCCTCCCCTGCCCTCCCCTCCCCTCCTCTCCTCTCTTCTCCTCTCCCCTCCTCAAGCAAAAGGAAGAGATCTCTTTAGGAGAGCAGCCTGGGCTTCAGAGAGGGGTGGTGCCAGCACTCCCTTAGCTGTCCAGCTGGTGTCTCAGTATATGACGTGCTCCCCACCCCTCACACAGACAACTGTCTCTGGGCCTAACTCAGCACTAGGACACATCAAAGAGTAGCAATCCTTATGGTCTAAACTGCCTTTCAAGTTTACTTGGAAACACACGGTGCTGTAGCCCTTGGTGACAGAGTTTGCAGGTGCTCAAGTTAGGACCACTGGAATTGGTGATTTCCCTCTGGCTAGGGTTGTTTTAAATCTTCCCTTCATGAGTAAGCATCAGTCGAGTGTGGTCTGGTTTTTCTTTCTGATATTACAGGGCAGCACTGAGTTCATTGCCTCACAACTGCTGTCTTCTCATTCCCCCAGTGTGTCCGAAATTGGTGGGTTCTTGGTCTCACTGACTTCAAGAAAGAAGCCGTGGACTCTTGCGGTGAGTGTTACAGTTCTTAAACATGGTATGTCCGGAGTTTGTTCCTTTTGATGTTTGGACGTGTTCAGAGTTTCTTTCTTCTGGTGGATTTGTGGTCTCGCTGGCTTCAGGAATGAAGCTGCAGACCTTCACGGTGAGTGTTACAGCTGTTAAGGCAGTGCATCTGGAGTTGTTTGTTCTTCCCATCTGGAGTTGTTCATTCCTCCCATCTGGAGTTGTTCATTCCTCCTGGTGGGTTCATGGTCTCGCTGGCCTCAGGAGTGAAGCTGCAGAGCTTCCAGTGAGTGTTACAGCTCATAAAGGCAGTGCAGACCCAAAGAATGAGCAGCAGCAAGATTTACTGCAAAGAGCAAAAGAACAAAGCTTCCATTGTGTGGAAGGGGACCCGACCTGGTTGTCACTGCTGGCTCAGGCAGCCTGCTTTTATTCCCTTATCTGGCCCCACCCACATCCTGCTGATTGGTTCATTTTACAGAGAGCTGACATCTGTTTTACAGAGAGCTGATTGGTCCATTTTGACAGGGTGCTGACTGGTGCGTTTACAATCCCTGAGCTAGACACAAAAGTTCTCCAAGTCCCCACTAGATTAGCTAGACACAGAGCACTGATTGGTGCATTTACAAATCTTGAGCTAGACACAGAGTGCTGATTGGTGTATTTGCAATCCCTTAGCTAGACATAAAGGTTCTCCAAGTCCCCACTAGATTAGCTAGACACAGAGCACTGATTGGTGCATTCACAAACCTTGAGCTAGACACAGGGTGCTGATTGGTGTGTTAACAAACCTTTAGCTAGACACAGAGTGCTGATTGGTGTATTTACAATCCCTTAGCTAGACATAAACATTCTCCAAGTCTCCACTAGATTAGCTAGACACAGAGCACTGATTGGTGCATTTACAAACCTTGAGCTAGACACAGGGTGCTGATTGGTGCATTTACAAACCTTGAGCTAGACACAGAGTGCTGATTGGTGTATTTACAATCCCTTAGCTGGACATAAAGGTTCTCCAAGTCCCCACTAGACTCAGGAGCCCAGCTGGCTTCACCTAGTGGATCCTGCACCCGGGCCACAGGCAGAGCTGCCCGCCAGTCCCGCGCCATGCACCTGCACTCCTCAGCCCTTGGGTGGTCAATGGGACCAGGTGCCGTGGAGCAGGGAGCGACGCTCATCGGGGAGGCTCAGGCCGCACAGGAGCACACCCGTGGGGGGCGGGGTGGGGGGCAGTGTGAGACTCAGGCATGGCAGGCTGCAGGTCCCGAGCCCTGCCCCGCCGGGAGGCAGCTGAGGCCCAGCGAGAATTCGAGCACAACCCCGGCGGGCTGGCACTGCTGGGGGACCTGGTGCACCCTCCGCAGCTGCTGGCCTGGGTGCTAAGCTCCTCAGTGCTCTGGGCTGGCGCTGCCGGCCAGCCGCTCCCAGTGGGGGGCCTGTGGAGTCCACGCCTACCCGGAACTGGTGGTGGCCCACCAGCGCCCTGCGCAGAGCCAGTTCCTGCCTGCGCATCTCCCTCCACACTTCCCCACAAGCAGAGGGAGCCAGCCCCGGCCTCGGCCAGCCCAGAGAGGGGCTCCCACAGTGCAGTGGCAGGCTGAAGGGGTCCTCAAGTGCTGCCAGAGTGGGCACTGAGGCCGAGGAGGTGCCGGGAGCCAGCGAGGGCTGCGAGGGCTGCCAGCATGGTGTCACCTCTCACCGGCACCCCAGCACCTCTCTGCACCATGCTGCTGCTGCCAGGGTTGAGGGAGAGGTGATGTCAGAGATTCAGGACTTTTTAAGAAAATATCTTCAGTACCTTTTTCAATGGTATAAAGATAAAACCAGGTACTATAAGTGCTCACCTGATTTTTGGTTCTTGAAAAGGTGTTTTCCTGTGTAGATAGTTGTTAACTTGGTGTCTTTGTGTGGAGGATGATTGGTGGAGCTTCTATTCGCCATCTTGCTCCACCCTCTCCTGACTTTTCAGTAAGAGCCATTCTGACTGGTATGTGGTGACATCTCATTGTGGTTCTGATTTGCATTTCTCTGATGATTATTGATGATGAGCATTTTTCATGTGTTTGTTGTTTCTGTTGTTTCATATGTATGTCTTCTTTTGAAAAGTGTCTGTCCATGTCCTTTGCCCATTTTTTTAGTGAGATTATTTGGTTTTTGTTTGTTGTATCGTTTAAGTTGAAGTAATACCAAGCACACTCTCAGACCACAACACAATAAAAATAGAAATAAGTATCAAGAAGATCTCTCAAAAGTACACAAATACAGAGAAATTAAACAACTTGTTCCAGAGTCACTTCTGGATAAACATCAAAATTAAGGCAGAAATCAAAAAATTTATCAAAATTAATGAAAATAAGGACAAAACTTACTGAAATCTCTTGTATGCAGCTAAAACAGTGTTAAGAGGAAAGTTTGTATCTCTAAATGTCTTCATCAGAAAGTTAGAAAGATCTCAAATTAGTAATTTAACTTTGTACCTAAAGGTACCAGAAAAAAAGAATAAACCAACCCCAATATTTTTGCTTTTTAAGTGTATTTCAGTTTAATTGATCTCTTTACTCATTAGCATAAAATTTTTAAATACAATAATACCAAATTTATTTGAGGTTTTGGAACAGTTGTTTTTCTGTAATGTGTTGTATGTGTCTTTGCTTGTTAGTGTGTGCACACTTTCTCTCTCTCTTTCACTCTTTCTCTTCCTCTTTCTTCTCATTCTCTCTTTAGAATTTTCTTAAAACTTGATCTATTGTGTGTTATAATATAACTATATTTGGGGTAACTTACATATTTCAAGCCTCTAATAGTAAAGAAAATATTAATGTTGAGTAAGACTGGATCATCACACTGTTTGTGATGACAGTTTTGTATATGCCTGGAGGTTGTTTAATGGTAGAACTAGAAAAACACTCCTGCCCAAGGCTACCTGCTAGTGGGAGTCTCCATCACAGGTGGAGCAAGCTCTATGTTTTCTTAAGAGCTGGTTCCACCACCAGGAAACCTAGACTCTTAAATAGGCTCAAGCTCACTTTTGAACCGCACAAAGATCTCACATCTTTGCAAAGGGAAAAGGAACATGTTCTGCCTTTTTCCTCACTGTAGCTGAAGTCGCAGAAAAATTGGGACTCATTTTTCTTCCCTGGATGTCAAATGGTGAGATTTCTTTAGTTAACTTAGTTTCAAAATTTATAATTGACACACAATTGTATGTATTTATGGAGTAAATTGTGAACTTTCAATGCATGTATAAATAGTACAATGATCAAACTGGGGTAATTATCATACCCATCACTTTAAAGATTTACCAATGCTTTGTGGTGACAATATTCAAAATCTCTTCTAGCTGTCTTAAAATATACACTACATTATTATTTGCTGTAGTCACCCTGTTGTGTTATAAAACACCAAAACTTATTATTTCTGTTTAACTGTAACTTTGCACCCAATGACCAACCTCTCCTGGTACTCCCTGCCTATCTCCACTAACCTCCTTAGCCTCTGGCTGGTGAACAAAAGAGAAAAGAAGTATATTTATTTTTGTCTTTACATTTATATTGGAAAGTAGAATAATTAAATTATATAAATCTCCTTAATACGGCAAATTAAGTATTTTAGAATAAAAAATATATTTGATATTGAAATAATTGATAATTAGTCAAAGTTCTTAATTATGGTTTCTGCTATGTATCATTCTTCATTTTCAATATTTTCTCCAGATATCATAGAAGTAAAATGAAATATGAAGAATAGTTAGACATACATGCATACACATAAGGAAATACATATATATTATGTCTACATAGAGTTTCTACCTAAGAAAAAATTAAAACAAATTGTGGTGTGCGAAGTGAGATCTAGTGTTATCAAATGTTCACACTATTTGCAATGCTAAACTGAAGGTCTGCCACTAGAGGGCAGTGTTTGACTAATAATTAAAAGTTATAACTAATGCCTTATAGACAAAATAGATACTTGACCAACAGTTCACATAAAATTATCCTATCAGTAAATAACAACTTCACCTCTGATCTTACTTAATTTTCCATTTGCCTTTGTGGTTTTGTTTGATGCCTATAACTTTTAGTGATCCAAAGATCTGCTTCCCATGAAATCCCTATGAGATCATTATTTTGTTTAGGTAGCCTTAGAAGCCTTCTTTTCTCTAAATCGGCTGCATTCTCTGACTTGATACTCCTTGACCTGGCATTCACTTATGTTTAATCAAGAAATAATGCCTCAAGTCATCACTATTAGCTCTATACTTAGAGGTTTTCAGATAGATCAATAGAGAGATGATAGAGATAGATATAGAGATGATAGAGATAGAGATGATAGAAATATAAATGGGATATAGTCTCTCTTCTTAAGAGCTTAAATGACAGTGTGCCTGTTACTGACCACTAACCACTTAGGACCTCCTGTGTTGTTCTACAAATCCTGCCCCAGTCTTACTATATTGTCTATTTCTCTCACATTCAGCCTATTATTTCCTAAGTTTATACTTTATTTATTGCTGGGAAATTGGTGTGCTTACATATGATTTTAATAATACAAGCCGAACTGGAAATAATGTAACAGCTGATCTTTTTTATTTTTATATTTTATTTTATTTTATTTTGAGACGGAGTCTCGCTCTGTCGCCCAGGCTGGAGTGCAGTGGCGCGATCTTGGCTCACTGCAAGCTCCGCCTCCCAGGTTCACACCATTCTCCTGCCTCAGCCTCCCCAGTAGCTGGGACTACAGTCGCCCGCCACCACACCCGGCTAATTTTTTGTATTTTTAGTAGAGACGGGGTTTCAGCGTGTTAGCCATGATGGTCTCGATCTCCTGACCTCGTGATCCCCGCCTCCGCCTCCCAAAGTGCTGCGATTACAGGCGTGAGCCACCGCGCCCGGGGCTGATCTTTTTTTAAATGCACTTTTAAATTAGAATTTATTCCTGGAGACGGTTAATGATAATATCTGTTTAATATTTGCTTTTAAATTTTATTTGTCCATTTCTCATTAGCTAATATTTATGAATATTTCCCATATGGCTAGCACTGTAAGTGTAGGTTAATTCTAATTTTAAACCTATGACATAGATGCTGCAATTATTTCCAATTTAGAGCTGAAATTGAGGCTGAGGATATTCTTAATCATTTACCCTTATGAAACATGAAGATCTAGGCTGTGGTATATTTGAGATCAACATGCAAGTGGCATATGGTGTAAGTGGCAGAACTTGTTTTCTTGATGCTAGAGTTGGTAATACCTCCTCTCAGGTTTTCTATAGGCAGCAATTTTTAAGTAACCTGATTGGGCACACAGTTTTAAATGATCTAATTTAAAGCCCTTGGTGACTCCTGAACTATTGGGTAGATGTTATTAAGTTTATTATTAAAGTCCTATCTGTATATTTTTATGCTCACAAGATCAATTAATCTGTTATATTAATGAATTATATAATAAACTCATTGCTAGGATCTGAGAGTACAAAAATTGACAATATTGACTCCTCAAAGAGTTTTAATGATACATGGAAACAGTATATAGAGGTTTTAAAAATAATCTTAACTAGCGATAAAATGGGATAAGTCACACATATCAAATATTTTATGTACACAACGTTTTGATTCCAAAAGAAGTAGTTGTGCTGAGCAAACATGTTGCTCTCCACCTAGAAGTCAAAAAGTCACATGAAATAGTCCTCTGCTTCTGATGACAGAAAGAGAGTAAAAGCTCTGTAAGTATATCTGGCCATGGATATGAGCAGTGGCCATAGTGGTGATGACTCCAATAGTCTGGGGTGCATTTGAAACCAAACTGAGCTCTCTAGCCTTTCTTATGACAAACATCAGATTGGGGACATGGCTCAGTCCAGCCATACTTACTAGTTTACAGAAGGAACAGCAAGATGATATAACAGCAAGTCAAGTACATTGGGCCACATTCCTACAGGTCGGAGAGTTTGGAATATATGAAACTCTGACTGCTTGGAATCTAGACTAACATATAAGCCACACAGAAAGACCTGGTAATTTCAGGTTCCCTTAGTAGGTGATCACAGAAGATTTTTGGGTTTCCAGACTGGAATGAGCTTCCAGACAGGCAGAGGGGCCCCATTCTAGACTGCCGGTGGCTGAAGTACCCTTTACTCATATGTCCCTGGATGACTCTTTCTGCATTTTTTTCAAAGACAAGAGGCTTATTTTAATGTCCCCATAATGAAGCCAAATCTGAGGATATTATTAAGCTTTTTATAGATGAGTAAAACTTTCAACTTTGAATGTATTTTAAGTTATTTTAAAAATCAGTGGTTTTCTGTTTGAGACATAATTCTCATAAAAATGAAAATAAATAAGCAGATTTCAATGAATGGCTGACAAATGAAAAGCAACACTTTGTTTTAAATATTGATACTCAGGAGTTGAAATTAGGGAAAACAATGGTTCAATTTTAATGTGAATAACAATCCGTTTAGCCCAAGTGAAGAAGAAAGAAGCAGACTGTGAGCAATAACTTTCTTGGCATTTAAGATGGATATATGCACTTTTTGGCATCTGATGAAAATTGCATGTCTAATTCAAAGTTATTTCATTTTTCTTAGCAGAAAACATAGGACTCAGATTCAAATATATTGTCCTAATGTTTAGACAGTGTTTGGTTTGTCTTTCTGAAAGCATACATATTCTTTTTGTTCCCTGAAAATTACCTCAATGCATCACAGAACAGAAATAGAAAGGATCTCTACTTGGTATCTCAACGGTTTCCTTTGTAGTAAAGCACTGTCAAAAGACCACAGGTGAGAACCTGGATCCCACACTAGCTAGAATTCATTCAGCAGGGAAGCAGCATGCTAAGACTAATCAAAAGAAGTCTTCAGTGGCTATACAGACATCAGGCAAAGTAAATTTTAGGAAAAAAAATATTATCTGAGAGACAGTGGATCATTTTACAAGGATAAAGGCATCAATCCATCAAGAAAGCATAACAATATTATACTTTGATGTACTAGTAACAGAGTTTCAAAGTGCATGAAGCAAAGACTGATATGAAGCAATGACAGGAGAAATCAATTAATGCAAAAATAATATTCAGAGTTTTCAACATCTCTTTCTCAATAATTGATATAATAATTAGATAAAAATTAGTAAAATATAAAAATACTGGAAGAAAACTATTAACTAAGCTCAAAGTTCAATCAGGACCTACAACAACATAGTGGGGAAGAAAATGAGAGACAGAATAGCTGCATAGAAGGGATCACTAGGGAGACTGGCTTAGCAGGGAAGTCTGGAGATGGCTGGGAGCAAAGAAGGGAAGATCCTATCTGTATTAGTCATGTGGTGAGTGCCATCGCAGGCCCCAGAGACCTGCTATGTAAAGAACTCCAGTAGCATTTTGTATATTAGACAACAGTGCCACCACCACAATGAGGACGCCCATGAGCCAGAACAGGTGCCGCATTGTCTTCTGTGAGGAAAAAAAAAAAAAGGTATCAGGATGTCCAGAGCAGCCTTGACCACTAAAAAGCTCAAAAACCTTCATCACTGCTATGGACAATCATGGCCGTGGCTCTTGAGGACCCGTGGAATCTTTATTGATGCTGACCTCAGTTAATAGAGCTGCATGGACACTACACTGCTGAGGCCTCCCCCAGAATAAGAGCCACCACATCCCACCCAATACTGGAGAGTGATCAATAGGTCTCGAGTAGATATCAAAGGAGCAATTGAAATGTATCTTGAGATAAATGAAAATGAAAACATCATACCAAAACTTACGGGATACTGCTTATGGGAAGCATTTCTAAGAGGGAAGTTTATGGTATAAATGCCTACAAGAAGAAAAAAAGGCAAATCTCAAATAAACATTCTAACTTTATACCTCAAGGGACTAGTTAAAGAAGAATAAAGTAAGTCCAAGGTTAGCAGAAGGAGAAAAATAACAGAGATAAGAGTAGAAATAAATTAAATAAAGACAGAATAATGATGGAAAAGATCAACCAAACTAAAAGTGGTTTCTTAAAAAGATAAACAAAAATAAAGAATCTTTAGCTAAACTAATGAAAAGGTAAGAAGACTCAAATAAGAAGTGATAAAAGTGACATTATGATATTTCAAAATACAAAGCATTACAAGAGACTACTATGAGCAATTATACACTAAGAAATTGGATAACCTAGAAAAAATGGATAAATTCCTAGAAACATATAAAACTGAAAAGACTGAATCATGGTGAAATAGAAAACCCAATGTCTGGGTGCGGTGGCTCACGCCTGTAATCCCAGCATTTTGGGAGGCTGAGGCGGGCGGATCACCTGAGGTCAGGAGTTCGAGACCAGTATGGCCAACCTAATGAAACCCCATCTCTACTAAAAATACCTAAATAATTAGCCGGGTGTGGTGGCGTGCTTGTAATCCCAGCTACTTGGGAGGCTGAGGCAGGGAGGGGAAGGTTGCGGTGAGCCGAGTCACGCCACTGCACTCCAGACTGGGTGACAGAGCAAGACTCCAACTCAAACAAAAAAAAAAAAGAAAGAAATAGAAAATCTAGATAGACCAACTAATAACTAGTACGAAGATTACGTCAGTTAAAACAATTCTAACAATGAAAAGCTCAGATCCAGATGACTTCATAGGTATATTCTAGCAAACTTTTTTTTATAAAAGTATTAATACCAATTCTTCTCAAACTCTTAACAAAAAGTTGAAGGAGAGAGCCCTTCCAAATTTATTCTATTGTCCATTCAGTATGATGTTGGGTGTGAGTTTTTCATAGATGGCTCTTACTATTTTGAGATATATTTCTTTAATACCTAGATTGTTGAGGGTTTTTAATATGAAGCGATGTTTAGTTTTGTTGAAAGCCTTTTCTGAATCTATTGAAATGATCTTGTGGCTTTTGTTTTTAGTTCTGTTTATGTGGTAAATAACATTTACTGATTTGCATGTGTGCTGAACCAACCTTGCATCCGAGGGATACAACATACTTGGTTGTAGTGGATTAGCTTTTTGATGTGCTATTGGATTTAATTTGCTGGTATTTTGTTGAGAATTTTTGCATGTTAATCAAGGATATTGTCCTAAAGTTTTTGTATTTTGTTGTGTCTCTGCCAGGTTTTTGATTCTGGATGATCCTGGACTCATAAAATGAATTAGGAATGAATCCCTCCTCCTCAATTTTTTTGTAATAGTTTCAGTAGGAATGATATCAGCTCTTCCTTATACATCTGGTAGAATTTGTGAATCCATCTGGTCCTGGGCTATTTCTGGTTGGTAGGCTTTTTATTATTGATTCAATGTTGCAACTCCTTATTGGTCTGTTCTGAGAGTCAACCTCATAGGTATATCATCCCACAGCCTTCTGGTGTTCATTGCTTTTGATGAGATACGAGCTGTGAATTTTATCCCAGATTACTTATACTTGGGGAGTTGCTTCTCTTTATTCTTCCTGGATTTCCTCTTTGTTTTTGACTTTCAACAGTTTGACTATAATATGTCTTGGTGTAGATCATTTTGTGTTTATTCTACTAAAGATGTATTTAGCTTCTCAGATTCATGTCTTCACAAGGAAAGTTTTCAGGCATTATTTCTTCAAATATTCTTTCTGCTTTATTTTTTCTCTGTCTCTCCTCCTGTGCTACTTCAATTATGTGCATGTTGGTACACATGATGGGATGTCCCACGGATCTCTTAGTTTCTGTTTATTTTTCTATTTTTGTTTGTTTCTGTTCCACAGTCAGATAGTCACAATTAACTTATTCCACACTCACTGATTCATACTTTCACTTCCTCAAATATGTTGTTGAATCCCTTGATTAAATTCTTCATTTTAGTTATTTTACGTTTAATTACAATTTCCATTTGGTTCTACATTTATTAGGTTTCTTTCTATAATTTCTACTTACAAAATCTGTATTATCCTCTATGTATTAGTCCATTCTCACACTGCTATAGAGAACTGCCTGAGACTGCGTAATTTATAAACGAAAGAGGTTTACTTGACTAGTACTGCATGACTGGAGGGTCCTCAGGAAACTTACAGTCATGGCAGAAGGAGAAACAAACACATCCTTCTTCACGTGGTGGCAGGAGAGAAAAGTACCTGCAGGGGTACACATAAAACCATCAGATCTCATGAGAACTCACTACCGCGAGAACAGTAGGGGGAAACCACCCCCATGATTCAATTCCCTCCTACTGGGTCCCTCCAAAATACATGAGGATTATGGGGAGTACAATTCAAAATGAGATTTGGCTGGGGACCAAGCCAAATTAGCATTCTACCTGGTTAAACATCATTCTAATGGTTTTATTTAGTTCTTTGTACATGTTCCTTGAGCTTATTGAACATATTTAATGTAGTTCATTTAAACTCTTTTTATCCTATGTGTGGGCAATAAATTTTTTTATTTCTATACCTCGTATTTTGTCTTCATAACTGGACCTTTTAAATATTATAATTTGGCAGCTTTGGAAATCAGATTCTTCTCCCTCTTCAGGGTTTGTGGTTGCTGCTGCTTGTGTTCTTGTTAGTTGGTGACTTTTTTTCTTTTTTTTGAGATGGAGTCTTGCTCTATTCCCCAGGCTGGAGGGTTGGAGTGCAGTGGCACAATCTCAGCTCACTGCAACCTCAGCCTCCCAGGTCAAGCAATTCTCTTGCCTAAGCCTCCTGAGTAGCTGAGATTACAGGCACATGTTACCACACCGGGCTAATTTTTGTATTTTCAGTAGAGACGGGGTTTCATCATGTTGGCTAGGTTGGTCTAGAAATCCTGACCTCAAGTGATCTGCCTGCCTCGGCCTCCCAAAATAATGGGATTACACGCGTAAGCCACCATGCCTGGCCATTGGTGACTTTTTTGAACTTAGTTTGTATAGTTTGTATTATTTGTTGTATGCGGCCACTAAAATCTGTGTTCCATTAGCTTAGTGATCAGCAAGTGATTCAACAGAGGTTATCTAAAATGTTCAAAACCACACAAAATCTTCCAGTCATTGTATATCGGTTCTGTGGGTAAGTTGAAGCAAGCTTTCAACTCTCAGACAAGCAGTCTATAATTTTGTTTTAGCCTTCTCTTCTTGCGTGTGCAGAATCTAAAGGTTTAACGGAGGAGAGATCTTAAGGCTTTTTAAGTTTTTTTTGAGCATGCACCCAGCCCTTGGCGTGTCATGGCCTTTTAGATTCTTGGGATATATGGAAGATCATTTTTATATATGCATATATATATATATAAATATATGTATATATGTGTATATATATAAATAATATATGTGTGTATATATACACACACGTATATATAAAATATTATATATAAAAAATATATAGAAAATATATATATATTTTTTACCTCAAATCATCTCATTCTCAATTCTTTCATTCCAAGCTTTTGGTTTGTCTATTTTTTTTTTTCAACTTTTATTCCTTTCCACAAGCAGCAGTAGCTAATACACTTTCTTTTAAATATATTTGACAAATACTCTCTCACTAGCCGCTTCATCACTAGTAGAGTTCCAAGTGGGATAAATACAAGTCCTTTGAAGAGTTCCCAGACAGATCAAGAGAAACAATTACAATTCTTTAAGAATATAGTCTGTTTTGCTTTATTTGGCATTAGAAAAGTATAGTAGAAATGGGCTGTTGTCTGCAAAACTACTTCTGAACTCAGGAGTAGTTTTGGATCACAGTAAGATAACATATTATAAAACTCTCTTATTCAGATTATTTTCTCCACCTTGACTAAGCATTCACCTCGTTGTTGGAAATTTCTATGAATCTGAAGAGTTCTGGTACAGTCAATTCTGAAAGTTTTTCCCAGTTTCTTTACTCATTTTGTGGAGTAACAAGATTTTTGGAGTTTCCTACTCCATCACTTTTGCTGATGTCGCTTACAAAAGTTTTAATTGCTTTTATTTTTAGTTGGTTTTGGTTACCAATGATTTGCTAGAGCATTAAGTTTTCAATAGTTCAGAACGCAGTTGTTATAAGGAAGATTAGATCAGGGGATAGTTGTCATTCAAGTGCTTTCAAGTACCAGGTGATTTGTTAATGTGTGAGGCAGGATGGAAGGAGGGAGAAAATAGGAAGTGAAAAGATCATTGATGAGCTTCAGAATATTTCCATTGTAAAGAATTTCAAATCCAGTTAAAAATGCTACATCCAGTGTAAATTATAAATAAATAAATTAATAAATACGTAAACTGAATTTTGTCTGTCACTTGCCATTTTTGGCATAGATCATGGTTAATGTGTGATAAAAATTTTCAATGATTTTTTTGTAGTTTAGATATTATTTGTAACATTTTAATATTCCTAACTTATAATGACTTTCTCATTTTAAGTGCAGAGATTGTGGTATCCTAAAACTTTAGCATAGTTTATGTGTGACAGTTAAAAAAAAAATCTTCCATATAATGCACAGGTTGATTTGAAATCGCACATTTGTTCATTCCACATTGTCTGTCTGATTATAATTAATACACAAATTGTTCCTTTAAAAAACATAGTTTGCACACCAACACGGCACATGTATATGCATGTAACAAATCTGCACATTGTGCACATGTACCCTAGAACTTAAAGTATAAAAAAAAGTAGTTCAACTAATTTAATCATAGATTTAAGTTAGAAGAAGAGAGGATTCTTTTAAACAAAGCAATGATTTAAAGTCCCGTCATCAAATTGTGTCTGGTTCAAAATGTCGATAAAGAAAAGTACCTTCTCTGTCCTTTCTTTTAAAAAATAGATTTTTTACAGTTTTATCTTCACAGCAAAACTGAATGGAAAGTACAGAGAGTTCTCCTATATTCTCTCCTTGCCACATACAGCTTCCCCCACCATCAATATCTCACACCAGGGTGCTACATTAGTTACAAGCATTGAACCAACACTGACACATCATTACCACTCAAACTCCACAGTTTACATTAGGATGCACTCTTGTTATATATTTCATGGGTTTTGAGAAATACATAATGACAGGTATTTACCATTATAGTATCAGACAGAAGAGTTTCACAGCCTTAAAAGTCCACTGGGCTCCACCTATTCATTCCTCCCGGCTCCCTCCCCAGGCAACCACTGATCTTTTTAGTCTCCATACTTCTGTCTTTTTTAGAATGTCATATAGATGTAATTATGCAGTATGTAGCTTTTCCAGATTGGCTTCTTTCACATAGTAATCTGCATTTAAGTTTTGTTTACATCTTTTTATGGCTTGGTTGCTCATTTCTTTTTAGTATTGAATATGTTCCATTATCAGATATACCAGAGTTTATGTATCCATTCACCTATTAAAGAGCATCTTGCTTTCATCCAAATTTTGACAATTATGAATAAATCTTCTGTAAACATATGTGTGCAGATTTTTTTGTGGACTTAATTTTCAATCCAGTTGGGCAAATACCAACGGGTACCATTGCTGGATCATATGGTAAGAGTATGTTTAGAGTTATAAGAAATTGTCAAAATGTCTTACAAAGGTGTTGTACCATTTACATGCACACCAGCAATGAATGAGAGCTTCTACTGTTCCACATGTTTGCCAACATTTAGTGTTGTTAGTGTTTTGGATGTTAGTTATTCTAATGAGTTTGCAGTGATATCTCATTGCTTTAATCTGCAATTCTTTAATGATGTATGGTGTTTACCATCTTTTTATATGCTTATTTGAAAAATAGAAAATGTGTTACAAATTTGTCATTCTTGCACAGGGGATATTCTAATCTCACTGTGTCGCTTCAGTTTTTGTGTATGTGATTCCAAAGTGAACACTGTTATGTTTTTTTGGTTCCCAAGTTAAAGGATGGGTTAAAACAAACAAGTAATAGGTAGTGAGTATATGACCTGGAGTTTGCCATTGATGGAAGAGCCATGTCTGTTTGGAGCCAATGGAGTTTGCCACTGATGGAAGAGCCATGAAATAGAAATGAGATCAGAAACCTGTGAATGGAGCAAACAGATTAAGAGACATGTGGGAATACAGAAGAGAGAGAGAAAAAAAAATGTAGGAAGGAGAAGGTGTGTCAGCCAGAACCAAAGAGGCAACCTAGCTTCAATGTTGGCAGGTATAAAATAGGATAGATTTTGAGGTGGAAGTAAACAAATATAAGGGGATAAAGGAAGCTACTGGAGCTTGGTTTAAGAAACACTAAACAGGTTGTCTCCCAATACTTAACTCTTTCATCTTTCCCTCAAGCCAAGTTTATACAGAATTTAGAAATATCAATTTTAAAGTGCTGGACATTTTCATTTTTCTCAAGCCAAGTTTATACAGAATTTAGAAATATCAGTTTTAAAATGCTGGACAAAGTTGTGAATCCACATTTATAAGAAATGATTTAATTGTTTAGGGAGGAAATATTATTTTAAACCCACAACTTGATACCTAGTATTGCAGATATGTGAGATTTTTTAAATCATATTCTAGGCACTGTTTTGTCACTTGGAATAAAAAAGGGAACAAAGCCGATACCCAGTCTTCAGGGAAGTTGTATTTTAGTGGCAAACAATTAAAATATGTATAAAATTTATAGGATGTAGGGAAATAAAGCAAGGTAAGCAGAAAAGGAAAAAGTAATTTCTTGGTTCTCATTTTTGGTTATCACTCATTATTATTTTTGTCTTTAATGCATGTGCTAAACACAAACATTCCAAAATTAGTTCTTTGCTACCAATTGAGAATGATTCATTATCACATGGAATTTCAACAGGCTAACTTCTAGCTTCAGATTGTATTTGGAAACAAAACCGTATAAGCAATGCAGAGAATGAAGACAAAAAATACTGTTCTAAATAATTTGAGAATTTTTATTTTCAGTTTTCATTTTGCACTACATCATTTAGAGTTCAAATTCATGGGCAAATTGAGAAGTATAATTATGTGATAGCATAATCAAGACTGGTTTTTCCTGCTAGATTTTCAATTAATCACAGTTTTAGTTTAAAAGTTATATTCCTCCATCTTTTCTACTATACTAGTTCCTAACAGCTAGTTATAAGTATATCTTACCTACATTTTATAAAGTCATATTTATAAAAATTTTTATGTACCCTTGACAGGAAAATAAAAAACTATACACATTTTTCAGAAATTTGTGTTTACGTATTTAACTAAAATATGGATTAAAACTGCTGAATAGAGATGTTAAAATGGTTAAACCAAATACACTATGATGAAAAAAAGCTACCATAGCAACTTAGTTAAGAATTTAAAAGATTTTCATTTTAGTAACATCTCCAGGGCCTTATAATCCACGTTTCTTTTTAGTTATAGGTATTCTTATTCAATGTTCTCATGTGTCCATTTATCAGTTTTAAACCATAAAGTCGTGTAGTAGTTTGCCAATAACTGTCTTCAAGCATAATTTTCCATTTTGTTGTTATTGCAACAGAGACATCTGAGACTTATGCATTTAAAAAAGACCAATGATCAAGGGGCTCTAAAGTTCATCAGAGTGGTCCAAAGAAAGGATACTAAAACAAAGGTGGAGGT
Organism: Homo sapiens; assembly: GCF_000001405.40. NCBI lineage: Eukaryota > Metazoa > Chordata > Mammalia > Primates > Hominidae > Homo > Homo sapiens. The sequence goes on along the minus strand of NC_000004.12, from coordinate 103,922,819 downwards.
ATTTAAATGACTTTCCTAAGTTAAAATTAATTTAAAAATCTTTAAAGCTATATTAGTACATTCAAGCATAGTTTTTAAATTGCAGAACAAAAATACTATTTATTGTCATAAAAACTTTAATTATAATCATGAAGATCAGACACTAAATAATCTATATTTTGACAGACCATTAAGTAAAGGTTCTCAATTTATAACTCTTTTGGCTCAGAAAAGATGGAATTTCAAAATAACATATTGTCTACTTGCAATAAATGTGATATACAATAAGAAGAAAGTATTTTTAAGCAATGGTTGCAAAAGACTTTGATTCAATCTAGATAAGACATTTGGTAAACATCTTCAAGCTTCCTCTTTTACTGATTAGATTTCTTGCCTTTTTGTACTTGTCTCAGGGATTTGGATCTGATATCTTGGGGAAAAGAAGGATCATTTTTCAGCCTGCAACAGTATGTGAATTATATCTCAACAGAGCTATTTTTAAAAATAGGCAGAATATAATGTTAAGTAAGTAATATACATTTTAAAAGTTATATTTATGGTATAGTTTCAAGAAGACTTTAAAGACATACCAATCAATTGATAACTTTGTTTTGATCTTGATTCAAATGGACCAAAAGTAAAAAGACATTTTCGAAGCAAATGAAGAAAATTGAACATTAACTGAATGCTAGATAAAACTTACTGAAAGTGATAACGGTATTATGGTTCCTTTTAAATCCTATCTCTCAGAGTTGTTTGTTTGTTTGTTTGTTTGTTTGTTTGTTTCGAGACAAAGTCTTGCTTTTTCGCCCAAGCTGGAGTGCAGTGGCGTGGTCTCGGCTCACCACAACCTCCGCCTCCCAGGTTCAAGCGATTCTCCTGCCTCAGCCTCTTGAGTAACTGGGATTACAGGCGCCCACCACCACACCCAGCTAATTTTTTGTAGAGATGGGGCTTCGCCATGTTGGCCAGGCTGGTCTTGAACTCCTGACCTCAAGTGATCCACCCACATTGGTCTCCCAAAGTTGTGAGATTACAGGCGTGAGCCATGGCAGCTGGCCTAGAGTTTTATACTGAAGAGTTTTCAGATGAGATAAAGTGATACCTGGGATGTGGTTTTAAATATTCCAGCAAAAAAAAAAAAAAAAAAAAAAGAGGATGGGTAGATGAAATCTGAAAGGCAAATGTGGATAGCTATTTAATCTAGGTCATTGGTACCTGGGAGAGGTGAGCTGGTGATTTTACCACTCTCTTCATTTGTATCTGTTTGAAAGTTTTTCATAATAAAAGTTACATTCGTTGAAACAAGCTCAATTTTCTTTTCTTTTTTTTTTTTAAAAAAAAAGCTGTTCAACATTATTGATCATCAGAGAAATACAAATCGAATCTACAATGAGATATCATCTCACTCCAGTCAAAACAGCTTTTATCCAAAAGTCAGGCAGTAACAAATGCTGAC